>NC_000018.10:25911206-26536206 GCF_000001405.40 Homo sapiens | reverse complement strand
TCACTAAATGTATGGCTTTGGAGCCCAGCGTGGTTTCATTCACCTCTCAGGTCTGTGGGGCCACACTGTGAGTAATCACTAAGGTACTTGTAGATAGTTTTTCACAGGAAAGCAAAGGGCTTTCCTGTATGTGATTTCATTCCAAGGGCTTAGTAGGGCAGTTCCTAGTGTCAGGTACTGGGCTAGACAGACTGAGGGGACACAGGAAAAAAAATCTTCTTTTTTTTTTTTTTTTGGAGGAATCACTCAGTCTTGTGGGGGAGGCAAATAAGTAACCAGATGAATAAACCCTGACTGTTTGATAAGTCCTGTGAATCTATGCACAGCTGAAGGGGAAGGATAGGAACTTTCATCATACCCATTCTACAGATGAGGAAAACTGACCCTCACATTCACCTACCTACCAAGAAGCAAAGTTAAAGTTCTGGTTCCAGCTCCAGGCCACTTCTACACTGGTACTTTTAAAGCTGTACCTTATAGATAAAGTTATAAACATGGTATAGTTAGGTGTTAAAGAGAGGAGAAAAAGGACACCAAAACACAAGTATATTGATGGATGTGTCTTTTGAAAACAGAATGAATCTTAGTGTGATTTTGTGTTTTTGGAGCCTCAGTGAAAGAAAGGGGAACATGATGGGTCGGGTGAAATGAACAGCCCAGTCTTCCAAATGTCAGTGTACACCCGAGACATCAGTGGCTGAAAGCTACAGTCTTAGGTTGACTTGCGGACTTTTTTTAAAATACAAAGTCAAGCCCCCGGGAGCCATTTCTTCAGTGGGTCAGTGCAGACTGGCTCCTTGCTGGGGGTCTGACGCTCGCTGGGACCAGTCCTCTGTTTCTGTGGTTCTTTATCTGTTCACTGACTGTTTGGCAGTTGAAGACTTGCTCCCCAAGGCCCTCAGTCTTTGCCACTTCATTCAGAGCACTTAATTAAAAGAGAAAAGGAATGCAGTTCTGATGCAGTTATAACTAGTAAAAAGAACCAATAAAAATGACTATAAAGTGCCTGACAAATAGAAAATGTTTAGTAATACCAAGGTACTTTATGGGGGAAGGGTTTACCTCTTGGCACAGGATGGCAGCTCCACCCCCACCCCCCAACCCCAGGCCTTTCCCTCCATGATGCCCTTGGCAGGGAGCTCTTGCCCAGCCAGAACAGGTGAGTGAAAAGATTCTGCTGTCTTGGAGTCACCTGACTTCTTACTACAAGAACATCCTTCAGAAGTGAAAATCACAGACATGTAGGTCTTTTGCTGGTGATGACAGATAACACAAGAGATAAAGAATACTTTGGTGATGAGAGTAAAAGGGAAAATGAGGAAAAGACAGTAGAAAAAAGTATAGGAGAAGTAAGTGGTTAAGGACCCTCTGGTCATAAAGAAAGAGGTACATCAGTTTGGAGCAAAACTCATATCTCTATGGGTTCTGGTAGAATTACCAAGGGATAGACCAAGTTAAAGTTACATGAATCATTGACCTGAATGATCTTAGGCAGGTTACTACATTTCTTAATAGGGATAATACAAATACACTTGTATTAAAAGCCCATAGTAAGTGCTGAATAAATGATAGCTTTAAAATACATATGTATAAAATATACATATATATTCTATTGGTTAGAGATTATTGACAGGTTAGAGGAAAATGAGAGAGATTATATACAATTTACAGATGATCTTCAGTATTCTCTTTGAAAGATAAGACAAAGGGTCCAAAAAAATTACAAAATATTTATAAACACAGGCAGAAGTATGGAGATGTACAAAGAAACCAGTTGGAGAACTCACATCTTTGGCAAGGATAAAATAATGATAATCAAGAGACAAATAATAAAAACTAAAGTTTAGAGAAAGATGGATATTAAATTATAGGTATAGGTACTATGTGACTCACTAAAATATAAAAATAAAATGAAACACAAACTTCTGTTCTCTCCTTTATGCCACAGAGAAAAATTTAAATATGCTTTATGTAAAATATTTAAAGGATTAATTTTGAACAAACTCTAAGTAGATTTTATTTTCTATGTATATTTTTAAGTAGACTGTAAATAAAAAAATTGAAATGAATTACAAGTGTGAGCAATATAAATCTTCAGGTTTCAGTAAGATTATCCATCTCATAAAAAAATATACAAATTGATTTTTCCTAATTATAAGCAGTGTACTTATGGAGATCAGTCACTTTTTATTTATAATTTTCATTAGAATGTTACGATACCAGTAAACCATATTCCAAATGTGTTTCAATAAAGAAATATCTTAGTCATCTAGAATATGGAACTAGAACCTCTTATACTTTTATTATTAAAATCTAACACATACAACCAGATGATAAATCGCAAATTCCATGGCTTGCTTTTTTTTTTTTTTTTTTTTTAAATAATAGCTTTAAAAATATTCTCACAGGCCAGGAGTGGTGGCTCATACCTGTAATTCCAGCACTTTGGGAGGCTGAGGCAGGCAGATCACTTGATCTCAAAGAGTTCGAAACCAGCCTGGGCAATATGGTGAAACCCCATCTTTACAAAAAATACGAACATTAGCCCAGCATGGTGGCACATGCCTGTAGTCCCAGCTACTCGGAGGCTGCAGTGGGAGGATTGCTTGAGCCTGGGAGGTGGAGGTTGCAGTGAGCCAAGATCGTGCCACTGCACTACAGCCTGCGCTACAGAGGAAACAAAGAAAAATTCTTATGGCCACTTAGCTAGAAAAGATCTCATCCAAATACAATAAAGAATATGAAACTTTCTGGCAATGTATTACATAGAACAGTAACACTCTTTGTAATAAAGTGCTCATTTGAGACAAATTAAGTCATTCTCTTAGCCCCCTTTTCCTACTTGACTGAAATAAAATACTTGCTCAGTTGACAAAAACCATCAAATAATTCACATTTTAGTTGTAATTTAGTTTATACTAGCTTGTTTAGAAATAAAGTCAGCAAACATTATCTGCATCATAAAGTGTGAATCGCAGTTAGATTATTACCCTTCAATGCATTGCTTGGTAAGAGGGCTACTACATATCTCATTCCTGAAGAATTTGTTCCCACAATCAACCCAATAACTAACATCTGTGTATCACATGTTATGTAAGTACTCAAGGTCCTCTATTCCATGTGATCCTCACAGCAATCTCATAGGCTACAGAGGTTAAGTGACCTGCTCCAGGAAGGAGGTGGTCAATGGCAAACCTAGGACTGGATCCCAGGTCTTTCACTTATTCTATTCATTTAACAAACATTTATTGAGCACCAACTTCGCTTATCACTGAGGACGCAATAAAGAACAAGGCAGTGAAGGTCTTGTTTCCCATGGACTTGACAGTCAAGTGGGAAAGACAGGAAAACTAATAAAACCATGATTAATATAGATGGAAGTAACTGAGCAGCTACTCTAGTCCCCAGGATTCCTCCTCTTAATGTGTCATCTTTTTCCCCATCAGTTGGGTCCCACCCCCACAGAAGCAGGCCACACTGACCACTCATGCCAACATAATCACAATAAGGCACTGCGTAAAGCCAGAGCCAGACTTCTCTGACCACCTCAACCTGTTGTTAGGTAGGGCAGACATCACAGGTGAGGAGATGGCGGCCCAGAGAAGGTGAGTAGCAGATTCTGGCCTAGAGGCAGGAAGTGATCAGCAGGGAGCCATGACTCACGCCTGTAACCCCGGCACTTTGGGAAGCCGAGGCTAGAAGATTGCTTGAGGCCACGAGTTTGAGACCAGCCTGGGCAACATAATGAGACCCCATCTCTACAAAAATTTAAAAATGTAGCTGGGTGTGGGAGTGCATGTCTGTACTCCCAGCTACCCTGGAGGCAGGAGGATCTCTTAAGCCCAGGAGTTCAAGGCTGCAGTGAGCTATGATTGTGCCACTGCATTCCAGCCTGGGCAACAGAGCAAGGCCCTGTCTCAAAAAAAAAAAAAAAAAAAAAAAAAAGAAGGAAAGAAAAGAAAAAGAAAAAGAATAAAAAAGGAATTGATCCTGACTCATAGACTCAGAATCTCTTTCCTTCTTGACAAAGCCGCCTCTTCTCACTTGTTAGGTTATGTGTAGCCTTTATGGTGTGATTACATCCTGCCTTATTCAGCCCATCCTCATCCCAGCATACCACTCAAAATCTGAATGAATTGCTCAAGGGCTGAGATCTTTGTTCTCTGGGATACACACTTTCCTTCCAACTACCACTCTCCAGATAGGTCTGTCAAGAAATCAGGCCTTTCTCCCCCATTCTTATAAAAGAAAGCAGCTAAGGTATTACTGATGGAATCAAAAGAAACTGTTAACAAAGGCAAGCACTTGTTTGTGAAATGCTTCATCCATATTTGTAATGCTAAAGAATCGTGGGATTAGCTTTGGAGAATGAGATCAGCTTGGGAGGCCGCTGTTCACAGCTAAACCGTATCCTGATCCTCCCACTTGGTGTCAATGAGGTGACCTCACCAAACAAATTTAGGAAGAGCCCTTCTGAATAGGGCAACTAGGATCCAGGAATACCTGGTCAGGTGACATTTAGAATCTCTTTCCACCCTAAGAACCTATGATTCTACCCTGGCAAAAAATGTCTGCAAATCAAATGCTTCTAAATTAGATCAAAGTTTAAGTACACTGAGGGAAATTCTGTTTTTATAGCTCCCGTTTTGAATTTTGATACTGGGTCAGGCTTTTTAAAGTTAAACATACTTTGGTATACCTTACAATGTTGTCATTTTTGGTTAGGATTTATATGTTTTAAGGGTATATACACATATACTTCTTTTTTACAATATTTGACTTAATGAAATCTGTATGTATTTGACTTAAAGTATTTCAACCTGTGGTTGAAATTTTCTAATTGATTTTGGGTTATTTTATTTAATTTATTTTTCTTTAATAGAGACATGGTCTCCCTATGTTGCCCAGGCTGGTCTCAAACTACTGGGCTCAAGGGATCCTCCTGCTTCAGCCTCCCAAGTGCTAGGATTACAGGTGTGAGCCACCATGCTCACTGTTTCATTTTATTTTATTTCATTCATTTTATTTGCCATAATCAGAGTAGTTCTTCAAAAAAATAATGGTTATATATTTGTAAGAGTGAGAATTAATATTTTCATGATTTTTATTCCTTCTACTGTTTAAATAAATAAAGTGTATTCCTCAAAGGCAGGGACATGGCCTGTGTTGCTCACTGCCCTATTCCCCATGCCTGCCACAGTGGTTGGTGCGTACTAAGTACTGAAAGTACTTGCCGAAATGAATAAAAATATGTTATAGTAACATTTTAAGGTTACTTGATCATCTTTGCCCTCTTTGCCTTGAACAGAAAGGATCTAAGTATTTTACCCTTGTTTGAAAAGATGAAAACAAATTCCTTAGCTGTGAAGGTTAGAAATAAAAAGCTCTTCCAATAGCACATAAAGAAAAAAACCCACATCGTCCCTTAAATAGTTGTTACATACCTACTGTGTGCCTGGCACTGTGCTGTTCTCTGCAGGGTCAGACGATTAAGACAGTGCCCTGAAGGTTAAGTCAAGTGCTCTACCACGTATGTTCCAATTTTAATTTGTTCTCCTTTGCTGATTTCTTAGCACATAGTAGGAATCACATACACCCAAAATAAATCATCAGCCAAATTAACTGTGGTTGTGATGGTAATACTGCTGTCCTAGTGAGGTGTGGGTCTGTTTGGGTAGGTTGTGCCCTCTGTGGATGAGGGAGGGATAGGACCAAGATGGACTTGCCCCAAAGTTCACCACATCTAGACTTTCAGCCTCTTCCGTGTTTCGGGTCTATATGGATGTCCTTTTCCTCTCTGCCTCAAGCCTACTCATCTTTTCTTTCCTTTTTTCCTTTCCCTGTAACCCTCATATCTCTTCTGTCTTTCCCTGGCTCAACCTCTAACTCCTTGGAAATACAACAAAGATAAACTGTATTATAGAGGTTCAGAATCACCCAATATATATTTATTCAAAGTGTAGGGTTGACAGGGCAAAATTGAAGTTCTTAGGGAAAGAACTCCAACTTGAGGGGGTCCATGTTAAAATTTGGGTGTAGAGAAAAGAGTAAAAAGAACTCTAGACATACTGCTTTGAAATATTAAGGGAATAAATGTCAACCCAGGGCATGAATCTGTCTAGTCTTCCATTTCCATTCCCTTGGGAGACTCTGATTCGTAAGTAAGCACCCTTTCTACAGAAGAGAAGGGCCAGAGACAGGCCTGGATCCTTGTCTGTAGGTCTAGCCGTCCACCTTAGGGTTTTGTTGACATTGTTTATGTTTATCACCTCTTCTCACTTTCTGAGTTTAATTCTGTTACTATTAGGACATAGCACATGCTCTGTTAGGAAATATTAGTGACTATTGTCACTAATCCTGTTTTACTTTTTACTTTTATGGGATTTGGTCATGGATCCCATTTGTCCTTTTGATCATTCACAACTGCAGAAATTAAAATCAGTATTCTCAAAGTTATTTAATATCATTTGGAAATTTGTATTCTGTTAGGCACAACCTCCTTGGGTTACATTTTATTTTAAATGTAAAGAATGTGGTCTGAGAGGACAAAGTACAGTTAATAAAAGGAGATGAACTTACCTGTTTTTCTTTCTTGGCACTTTTCTTCAACGGTTAGTTTCTCTTGGTTCTTCTTTTCCTTTGGGATTTACTCTGTTTTAACTTCTGGGGGTGCAGAGAGAGCAACAGAGAGAAGGATTTTGGACTAAGAGATGTGGTAGACAGAAATGTACATGAGCAAAGGCCCTGATACAGGAAGGAACATGGAACATTCCAGAATATTCTAGAAAAGAAAGTTCACGGGCTTGTAGCCTAGAGAGGATAGGGAAGTGGCGGGAGAGAAAGCTGAAGAGTTCAAGGTGCAAGTGCCAAGGCCATTTAAAGGTTTCAAGCCTCATCTTATAGGCAGGGCAGTCATGGAAGGGTTTTGAGTGGAGGGGGAGATGCGGACCATGGATTGCAGAGGGATCAGAGCAAGGGGAGAGGTCATTGTGTCTGAGGACTAGGATGGCAGTAGTGGGTGAACAGAAGTAGATATTGACATGCTAGTGCTGTGTGTGGAAACAGAGGCCACTGCAGGGGAGTACAAGAGGCTGTGATGGGTCTGCTTTAGAAGCATTGGGCTTGAGGGGCTTATGGTGTGACTAGGTGGAAATGTTGGATAAGCAGGTAGATACACAGGTTTGGCAAAGGTGTGGGCTGGAGGACTAAATTTGGAATTTCATCAGTTTACAGATGATAATTGAAGCTATTGGGGCAGATTGTTTTGCTTAGAAAGAAATTACAGTGACAGAAGAGAAGAGGGCCTCAAGAAACTGGAATCTGTGGAGGCAAAGCAAAAAAAGTGTTGCCGGCATAGAACTACAAGTGGCCGGGGAGGAGGAGGGGAACTGTGGGCCTTAGTTTCAGGGGCAAAGGGAGTCGTCCATTTTGTTCAATGCAGCTGAGATTTCAAGTGAGATGAGGCCTGGGTGTGTGTCCTGCAGCTTCTCTATAGGGAGGCCATTAGTCATCTCTGCAAGAACAGTTTTGTGGGGCATGGGGCAGAAGCCATATTGGCGAGAATTGAGGGAGCCTGAGAGGTGAAGAAGGAGGAACAGAAACATGGCTCCAGTTTGACTGTCAAGGAGGCAGGCAGCAGAGCAGCAGCTGGAGGAAGGCAGGGCTCTAGAGGAGATGATAGGTGGATCCCGTACGTTTTTAAAAAGAGAGAGGACCTGAACCTGTTTAGAAAGAGCAAGAGAGATGGCGGAGTATAGGCATGGCAGGATCCTGAGGACAGGTGGAGTGATTGGCTTTAGATTGTTTTATTAACTTTTTATAGACTTTAAACTCAGAAGGAAAAGATTGACCCACGTTCAGCTGTTGCTGTGGTCTCACCTTCCCCCCACCATCCTGGGACCATCCTCCTCACATGGGGCCCACTGTACTCCCACAGAAAGGATCCTGGCTCCCCATTAAAGGCTGTTCCTCATTCAACCAGATGAACTCCAGCATCCTTTTTACTTTGAGTAGGAGACAAAAGCTGAGGATCAAGTTCAAGGTAGGGGCCTATAGTACTGAAAGAAAAGCTAATAAAATAAGAGCACCGTCTAGAAATATTTCTCAGACCACAGAGAGAACCAATGAGTTCCATTCTGTGCAACATGCTGGGTCTGGTGTTTCTGGGATTAAAATAGGCTCTTGTTAGCATTACTTTAATTGATTTTAAGTGCAGTGCCTGTATGCAGAGAGAGTTTCTAGATTTCAGGCTGAGTTGGGCCTGAGTAGACTAGATGCTCATCAGGGAAGAGCTAGGCTACTATTTGCTGGCTTTTTCTGGAAAAAAAATTACTGGATTTGAAACAATTATTTTTTTTCTCTTATTTATTTTTCCTTAATAACATTTGTCAGAGCAGTTTTAGGTTCACAGCAAAATTGAACAAAAATTATGTAGAGTTCCCATAAACCTCCTGCCCCCAAAAAGGCACAATTTACCACAAGATTGACATCTAGAAACAGCGTGGTACATTTGCTGCAATTGCTGAAACATTGACACACTGTTATCACTCAAGGTCCATACTTTACAGAAGGGTTCATCTTAGTGTTGTACATTTTATGGATTTGGACAAACGTATAGTGACATGTCTCTGCCATTATGGTATCGTATAGAATAGTTTTACTGCCCTAAAAGTCCTCTATGTTCCACCTCGTCATCCCTCCCACGCCCCCCCCCCTTTTTTTTTTGCAGTAGCCCTCTTTCACATAAACATAAAAATGTGTTTTTCAGCCTCACCTGTTTGAAGATCTTGACACAACCTTAATAATAGCTTTGTTTTGGTTTGAGTACACAAAAGAAAAATTCAGTCACTGACATGGAATTAGGACACTAAAGCAGTAAGTCATTCAATTGTCTTCTGCATCAAATGCTAGCTTTATTCTTCTGTTAGTTGCTCTCCCTCCCCTTTTAAAGCTCTCTGTAGTTCCCATTTCAGCAGAAGCTTTTTTCCCTCCTCTGGCAGGCAGACCTGTCCTTGACCCTGACCTCCCACCTTGCAGAGGGCCAGTCCGTGAGGATGTGTATGGCCCTTCCTGGCACTGGAGAGTAAATTTCTGTCCCTAAAGAGCCAAGGAGGAGAAGCTTTGGCTTTTTAAGTTGCTGATGATAATGTCCCAGGCAGAGGGCAGGGAAGTTAAAAACAGGTAGTTTGGGAATTAAGGGGTTAAAGCATTAGTGCTCACAGCTCCACTGTTTACGCATCACTACATTTTACAGAAAATAGGTTGCTTTAATCCTAGGGAAACTGGTCATTGTATATTTTGTGGTTTGAAAGTTGTTGGAGACAAAAAAAAAAAAAAAACCCAAAATGTAAGATAAATGGGACTGAAAATACCAGTTCTTCAGGGAAAGGCTCCCTCAGAGATAAGCTGCTTTTAATCCACACATGTTCTCCATTTCCTAGTCTTTTTCTTTTCTTTATCTTTTCTCAAGTGGGATTGGCTCAGCATTTTCAAGTGTTGACTGAGCCCCTCCTGGGTCTCCAGCATCCCTCTGGATGTGCTGAAGGAGGCAGCGGAGCAGAGGAACCCCTTTCCGTGTGCCTTGGGCTTGACTTTTGCTCTTTCTGATTTTGCCATATTTCTATTTCCCTAGCATCTTTCTCTTGGCTATTCCAGCCTCATCTCAAGTGACAGTCACCACGAAATCCCAGGTTTGATGTGCTAGTTATATTTTCTAATACCTGTTCAAACACATGTAGGACTATTTAGAAGCCGTAAAATGGTCATCGCGTGCCACCCCAAATAATCCTGCAGCTCTGCAGGGGCACGAGGTCCTCTATGTGCGAATCCGGGTCTAGATCACAGCCTCCAAGAGCTGGAAGGAATCCCGCAGATTTCTTGAATTTCATGAATTCCTTGAGGCCCAGGGAGGTTCATTGTGCATGGGCAGCATGGTTTCCCTCCTCCTGCTGCTCCCCAAATCTCCAGAAATGCATAACCAACACACCGGCTTTCCTCGGAGAGGGCTGCTTCTTCACTGGTCTCTTTTCTCACATTTAACTCACAATTTTGTGCCACCCTGGATTTTTTTTTTCAACCCAGAAGAAAATGCTCTTAAAGACTGGCCACCTGCCTCCAGAAACATAGGATCTGGTAAACTGTCTGAATAATTTGTATGTCTCTCTCTGAACTACTCTTCACTAAACACCTACTACAGGGGCTGTGTAGGCTCTGGAAATGATAGCCGGCCACAAGATGACAAGCGCCCTGCCCTCTCAAGAGCTTATATCCTAGGGGGAATGAGATGGACAGAAAGGGGAAATAGGTAACATTAAGAAAATATGCTGAGCACAGTGGCTCATGTCTGTGATCCTATCACTTTGAGAGGCTGAAGCGGGAGGATCATATGAGCCCACAAGTTCAAGTTTACAGTGAGCTATGATCATGTCACTGCACTCCAGCCTGGGTGACAGAGCAACACCCTGTCTCAAGGAAGGAAGGAAGCCAGGCAGGGAGGGAGGAAATATTATATAGTAGTAAATGTAAATGTATCTACAGAAAATGAAAACAAGGGGACATGACAGTTGGTTATCAGGGGAGTAGGGCTGCTTAGATGTGGGCTTTGGGAAAGAAATTGCCAAGGCAGGAAGAGGCTGACCATAGGAGAGCATCCTGGGCAGAGGGATCAGCTCACGCAAAGGTTTTGGAAAATCTTTGGGAAACACCAAGTTAGTTCAGTTTGACTTGGCTGCAGAGAAGGGGGTGAGGTGGAGCAGTTAGTTGGACCTCACTGGAGGCTGTGGGGAATTATTGAATATTGGCTCACAAAAGGTAATCACATCCCTGAATTCAGCCCTGGAAATGAAGCAGATTTGTTCCGCCAGCAGATCAGAGCACATGCATTGTTGCAGTTTGTCATGTGGTTACTTTAGTATCTCTAAACTAGATTTGATCTGTGGGGACACTAGTGGCCCTACCTCACCAGAGTGTGTCTGCACCCTCTTAGCACAATGGAGCTTCCTGCTAACCCCTAAGGCCTTCTGGAAAGTCCATACTGATAGAAAAAGAGAGTTGCACGTGCAAAAGAAACCAAGATTTTTAAAGTTGCTGTTTGGATCATTCTGCCCTGCCCTCATCAAAGGAAGGTGTTGGGGATTGGCAGTTAGTATTGGCTGGGTTTTCTATGAGAGAGTTTTTTTTAGGGAAATGAACTTTTTTGATATTCAGCATTCTTTCCAGAGGTCCTTTCTGGGTGGAGTTCATCCAGGCAGTACATATAAACAGTGAGATCAAGGCATTTTGTAAAAGGAGAACTAAAAGTCGTGCCTCTAACAAATGACTCCAGAAGAGCATATGCGGTTTGTGCCTTTAGATTTTTTTTTAAATTAAAAAATGTCTTAAAATTTAACACATGTACATGTTAAAATTTAAAAATATACCATGAAAAATGACTCTGCCTCCTATTTCTGACTGCCAATCCCCCATTTTCCTCTTTAGAGACAGCCACTGTTAACATTTTCTTGTGGATTCTTCCAGAGATATCATATGCACATTCAAACATATATGTACATACCACATATGGGTTTTGAAAGGTAGAGCTTTCTTAAATGTTTGGGTGTATGGCAGCTCCTTAAAGGTTAGGGAAAAATTGAACAATATTGAAAAAAGAACAATACAGAATGAATAATATCATTGGGATACTGATTCCTGAGCCTGAGTGACTTTGGGGGCTCATGTAAATAATGCAGATCATTCCTACAGGAAAAAGTATAAATAATACATACAGTTAAAGTGAGCTAATTCTATCTGTAAAGACAGAGTGTTTCGAAATAAAACAGACCTTGAATTTTCTCATTTTGTCTGTATTAGGGGAAGCTTTGGGAGTCTTGTCTCTTTCTCTGTCTCACTAAAGCTGGATAGTGATGGAGCCTGTGAGCGCTGTCTTGCATGCTCCTTGGCGCCTTCACCTTGGCCCATAAGTAAGGGTGGATGTGGTCCTGGGAGCTGTTCCTAGCAACAGGCATCCCCCTACCCCTGCTGGAAAGCAGGCAATGTGTGCCTGGTGAGGTCTAGATCCTAATCCAGTTGTTATGGGTAGGATGCATCTTTTCAATGATGGGCTCAAGGTATTTGCATTAGAAGATACCAAGATAATAATTGAGAAGTTTATGAATTCATTCCCTCTTGTCCCCTACATTGTCTCCAGTGTGACTGCTGCAGTCTCCAAATCCTGCTCAATGACTGCTGAGCCGTTCTGAGACTGCAGATTCGAGTCTGTTCTCTGCTTGAAGCCCCGTTGGCCAGCAGTGAGTGTGCTCAGACCCCAGAATCCAGGTCATCATTCCGGCACCAGCCAGAGTTTGATCTCCTAAACATTAATTGTTGTTTCACAAATTGCATTTCCCAAGCTGCTTGAAGCTTTTCTTAATTTAGGAAAGAGGAATCAACAATAGATTATGGGAGGCTCCCCACCACTATTTTTCCAGACTCAAAAACTGTGTTAGATAGTAAGATTCTCAGAAAACCACACAAGGCTTACCTTAGGTGTTATGATGGTTTGGATTTTATTTTTTTGTTTTAAATTTTTTAATTTTATTATTTATTTGTTTGAGAGAGGATCTCGCTGTGTTGTCCCAGCTGGCCTTGAACACCTGGGCTCAAGTGATCCTTCTGCCTCAGCCTCCTGAGTAGCTGGAATTACAGGCTTGAGCCACCACACTCAGCTTTTTTCAGATTTTAATGTGCTTCTCACATATATCTTATTTGATCCCTACAATAACTCTTTTGGGTGGCCGGGGGAGGACTATTATCTACGTTTTATAAATGTAGAAATTGAGCCTCAAAATAAGCCAAATCCCACGACAATTTCATGCAGAAAGTAAGTCACTATCTGCAACAGAGTTTCCCCCAAAGTAGAGGGAACACCGACCCTTCAATAGGTATCTAAAGAAATAGAGTTCCAGGGTCAGGGAAGCTTGGCAAACAGTGCCGTCCTCTTGGAAGCCCTATATAAAGAAGCCTGTTTAACTCAGTGTTTCCCAAATCTACTTGATCGTTAATCGTCCCCTGCCTCCACTTGGTAATATCTAGCGCCACGGTTTCTCATAACACTTTGGGAAACGCAAATCTACAACATCACCATGGAAAAAAAAATGTAATTTTTGAGTAACTTTAAAAAAATATATCTCTATTTAAAATAATTTTAACTCTAATTCACAAACTCCAAAAGTTACCCCATGGCTGTCAGCTAACAGTAATACTTCCAGATTCATGGAGCAGTATACAAGGCACTGTGGGAGATGTTTAAAATCTAGTTTAGGTCTCAGCTAGTTACTAGCTTTGTGACTTGACCAAATTACTGAACCCTCTGTAAGCCTCAGTTTCTATATCAGAAAATGATATTTATTCCTGTTTCATGGTCATTGAAGAGGGTAAATAAGCTGACTCGCACACAGCACTTGACACAGAGCCTGGCACATAGTCAGTGCTCAGAAAATACTAACTTTTTATTATTAGTTCATGAGCTCCAAGCAGATTCGCTGTTCAGAAGAGGATGGTAATGGGCATGGTCCACAAAGAGGTACCGTCAAGATTTGATTAAACCTGAGAAAGTTACAGTTGGTTGAAGTGTCTAATCCTATGTAGCTGGAGTAAAACACGTGTACCAGATTATATTATTTTCCTAGGACCACCATAACAAAGTACTACAAACTGAGTGGTTTACACAACAGAAATGGATTGTCTCACAGTTCTGAAGGCCGGAAGTCTGAGATCAAGGTCGTCGGCGTGGTTGGTTCCATCTGAGGGCTGTGCGGAGGAATCTGTTTCATGATTCTTCCTAGCTGCTCGTGGGTTGCTGGCAATCTTTGGTGTTCCTTGGCTTGTAGACACATCAACCGATCGATCTCTGCCTTGAAGCTCACGTGGCATGTTCCCCGTGCGTTTGTCTGTATCCAAGTTTCCCCTTTCTATAAGGATGCCAATCACTGGCTTGGGGCCCACCCTATTCTTGTATGACCTCCTTGTAACTGATTACTTCTGCAGCAACCCTATTTCCAAGTGAGGTCACATTTTGAGGTACTGGGTTAGAACTTCAACATATGAGTGTTTGGAGGACACAGTTCAACTCACAACATGAGTGTAGTCTGTCAGTCCCTGGAAGAACGTGCAAGAGGAATTTGGCTAAGCATCCAGTTGTGAAATTTTGTGCTTGCTTCTTTTTCCTTAGAACTACTTTTTTTTTCCAGTCACCTTTATTGAGGTATGGTTCATATACAACAAAGTGCATCTGTTTTTAAGTGTACAGTTTAGTGAATTTTGACAAATAACACTGCCCCAATTAAGGTATAGACCGTTTTCGTCAGGTTAGAAAGTTTCCTCCTGCTCCTTCCCCAGCAGCTCCCCTCCCATGTCCCAGCCGGCAGGCAGCCACTGCTCTGCTTCCTGCCACTGGAGATTAGTTGTAGCTGTACCTTTTCTAGAGGTTCATGTAAATGAAATCATACAGCCTATATTTTTGTGCTGACCTTTCTGCTTTTCTCTTCTTTTAATGTGGACTGTGAGTCCACAGGAATCGAGTATAGAAGTTTAATAACTATAAATCCAGCCTTTAGAATTTTGTAGCTCCTGGGGCACAATCTTGATAGATCTTTAAGGAAAAATTTATTGTTTTCTTACTGTGCCCGTAGCCCTGTAGGAGACACCTCATACCCTCATTAAATCCCCAGACAGCCCTGTGAAGTAAGTGTTCTTTTCTCCATTTATAAAAGAGGCAGTTTCTTAGGGAATATTTTTTTTAAGTCTTTGATGACTGCTACCTGGAAAATGGGTTGAACTGAGAGATTTTGAGCTTTTGCAAAAGAGCGTTTAAGAATATTGGCATATGCCCATAGTGGTGTTTTTAGTGAAGTGTCACAAGTCCACTGTAAAGATTAAATGAGATAGTGATGTCAAGGGTTGAGAATGGTGCCTAACACACAGTGGGCACCCCTAAATGCCACCTGGCATTATTGTGATTAGCAGACTCGCAGGCTGTCACAGCCAAAGCCCCTCTGTGATGATCCAGGCCAGCGCTCCACCCTTCAGGGCCCTGAGGTTCCCCCCATCTCCAGGGAGGACTTGGCCTGTCCCTGTCCTTCACTCCCACTCCCCCAGCAGCTTTGCCTTCTGGTTTGTATCTGCAGCTAAAATGTAAGCTTTCCTCTGAAAAGAAAAGGTTCCACAATGAACAGGTGTGGGCACCCCACCAGTGGGGTTCTGCTGCCTCCTTTTTACAGCATGAGAAGGCTTAGCGACTTTGGGCAGCAGGTGTGTGCAGGAGCCAGGAGCTCAGCTCTCTGAACTTCCAGCCTTTAGGAAATTAAAACAGGGAGATGCCAGCCCAACGCTGAGATATTTTAATGTCATGCCAGTTCAAAGTGAGGACTCTTCTTACTATCTCAGTATCTCCAGGCAAGCTGGAGGAGGAGTTTGGAGGCATAAATTGAAAGCTAATAATTTTCCAGCCTCTTGTTTGGGACATAGTAAACATTTTAAAGCTAAAATGTGGGGTCAGCTGACACCGTCTTTTTAGCAGTTATTTTTAATTTTGGGGGTTTTAGGGAGTTCTAATGTGTCAAATTTCCTCATCCCTTATCTTTCACATCACTTCAGAAATATGTGTGAATTAAGGTCAATTAGCATGTGTCGACATCCACCTCAAACTAAATCTCTAAATTGTCTTCGTATAAATCTTGAAGAGGTAGTAATTTCAGCTTAAGTGGCAATTAAAAAGCAAGGATTATACTTAATAACCTCTGTGGGGGTACCTGAGGTCTTCTGTTGTAGAGTCTTGACAAATACTGTTAGTCATCAATAATTTAGGGGGCTATCGTCTGACTTCCATTTAGTTTTACATGGTTATGCAGGCTCCAGTTCTCTCTGGGGAGATGGCAGAAAGAAAATAGCCAGCACATGTGTGTGTGGAAGCTGGTCACTGTGCTTACCAGGTGCTTCTCAGCTGTGGCCCTGAGCAAGCCACCCAGTCACCCTGAGCCTCAGTTTCCCTTTTCTCAGAAATGATCATGAACCAGATCTTTTCCAGCCCTGAATTCATTTGCTATTCATTATCAAAATGCTAATATGCAAAATCTATTTTAGAGCTACTAACTCAAATATAGTCCTGTGTTACGGGATTAACATTAATTTAGTTAAGTGTATTGTGAGATTTGACATTGAGGACATATTCATGCTAATTAGAACAGGTACAGTGAATAGGCTCTCGCTAGAGCTGTCTCATTAAGACTGAACCGAATTGATTTTGACGCTTTCTTACAGATTTTTAAATTAAGAGCAACAAATGGCAGCAATTGGCTCCGAATATATAGACTTTTACCTAGAGCAGCCACAGTCCCTCTCCATGATTATTTTTTACATTTCAAATATGCTAATTTCTTACCTCCTCCCGTCTTTCTCTTTATTCTTGTCCAACTGAATTATATTAGTACAACTGAATATATCTTTAGAGAGAGAGGTGGTAATCACTGCTTAATTTGTTTAACATTTTAATACCCACAGTCCGAGTACATGAAACAGGATATCAAGTATGTTATTGGCAGATGAAATAATTCCAGTGATGGAATTTATTTTGAGTCTTAGTTTATATAAATGGTTGATTGACGGTTAATATCAGGTCATTGCCTCTAAATGGTGATAAACAGGCCAGAACGTTAAGTGTCGTTATTATTAACTTCATTTCATTACTTCTAGTTTAGGATTTGCATTAGAAGACCAGAGCATTTTCAAATAACTTAGAATATTTTTTAATTTGTCTCGACAAAACATTTTTCCATAAGATACTGGACTGACTTAGGAACAAGAGGTTAATATTTTAGTATCACTCACATACCAGAGTCTCATCTTTTGCATATTTGCCATGGAGATTAGACAAACAGGAAGGAGTTATGTTCTGTACTTCTGAGGGCACTTTTTCATTTACATGAGGATTCTTTAAGCAGTGACTATCTAAGACCATCATTAAAGTCAGGCATTTCTGAATACAGGTGAAAATCATCACTTGTGAGATTTAAGCGTAAATGTAAAAGTCGGGCAAATTTTCTTTTACCATGTCTTAATTGAGATAGAATTTGTATTTAAAAAGCTTTGAGAATATAATAAAAGCAGGAAAAATAATGAATTTACCACATATTATTCTTGTAATTAGTAACTTCAGAAGTTCATTAGTATACATTATCCCTCAGCAGAAAAGATAATACTTGTAAAGTTTACATTTATAATACTTACAAAGTTTACTTTGTATAGCACAGTGTCCTGTGCAGTATAAAGTGTATTGGGATTTCACAGTAAGTTCAGAATCACCGGAAAACAGAGGGGATAAGGAGATAAGGATGGCTGGTGCAGTAGCTCATGCCTGTAATCCTAACACTTTGGGAGGCTGAAGTGGGAGGATCACTTGAGGCCAGGAGTTTGAGACCAGCCTGGACAACATAGCAAGAACCCATCTCTACAAAATTTTGTTTTAATTTTAAAAAAAGAAAAAAGGAGTAAGGATGGTGTGTGAGCAACATGTGTAGACTGGCATTTTGTAAGTATCCCTTAAAAATAATCATTAAATCTTTAATAATCATTTGCAAACTTTTGAAAACCTTCATGAAAAATTATAGCTTTGGCTGGGCGCCATGGCTCACGCCTGTAATCCCAGCACTTTGGGAGGCCAAGGTGGGCAGATCACAAGGTCAGGAGTTCAAGACCAGCCTGACCAATGTGGTGAAACCCCGTCTCTACTAAAAATACAAAATTTAGCCAGGCATGGTGGTGCGCACCTGTAGTCCAGCTACTCAGGAGGCTGAGGCAGGAGAATCGCTTGAACCCAGGAGGCAGACCCAGCCTGGGCAACAGAGTGAGACTCTGTCTCAAAAAAAAAAAAATTATAGCTTTGCATTTTTCAAATTAGTTTGTTTCCCTTTCTGCTTTTATTCTCCATACTAAAGTGTTTTCTAATATTTCATATAGTTATTGGAGAGAAGAAAAAGTTTATGTGAAGGAAGGTGAAAGATGGGGAGCTACGATGCACCCACCTTTTAAATTCTCTTCTGGAATTCCATATTAATGTTTATTTCGTGCCTACTGAGTGTCTTGCTCTGTGCTAGAGATGGGGGTGTACAGCAAACAAAACACAGTTCCTACCCCTGCAGAGCCTGCAGGTAGACTTATTTCCTAGGGTGATTCTGAGTACCATATTTCATTTTTGAAAACACTTTGCCCTGGTTGGGGGACTTGGGGGGACCCCACCCCACCCACTCTGAGTCTGTCTCTTGTAGCTGCAGGAATCCAGAGTCAGCCCCACAGAGGTGTTTGGCCGCTGTGTTAGTCTGTTTTCACGCTGCTGATAAAGACATATCTGAGACTGGGCAATTTGCAAAAGAAAGAAGTTTATTGGACTTACAGTTCCACGTAACTGGGGAGGCCTCACAGTCATGGTGGAAGTGAAAAGCACGTCTCACGTGGCGGCAGACAAGAGAGGATAGCTTGTGCAGGGAAACTACCCTTTTTTTTTTTTTTTTTTTTTTTTTGGAGACGGAGTTTCGCTCTTGTTGCCCAGGCTGGAGTGCAATGGCACGATCTCAGCTCACTGCAACCTCCGCCTCCTGGGTTCAAGCAGTTCTCCTGCCTCAGCCTCTTGAGTAGCTAGGATTACAGGCATGCATCACCATGCTCAGCTAATTTTTGTATTTTTTAGTAGAGACGGGGTTTCTCCATGTTGGTCAGGCTGGTCTCCAACTCTCAACCGCAGGTGATCTGCCCACCTCAGCCTCCCAAAGTGTTGGGATTACAGGCGTGAGCCACCATGCCCAGCCTTTAAACTCCCCTTTTTTAAAACCATCAGATCTCGTGAGACTTATTCACTATCATGAGAACAGCATGGGAAAGACTTGTCCCCATGATTCAATTATCTCCCACCAGTTCCCTCCCACAACACATGGGGATTATGGGAGCTACAAGATGAGATTTGAGTGGGGGCACAGAGCCAAACCATATCAGCTGCCTTCTTGTCATTTTTTAAAACTTCAGTACTACCAGCACTCCTAATGTCCCGCTTCTCAGAGTGTGGGCTGATAACCCAGAGATTCCTCAGTGAGCACAGGCTGCCTAGCTCCCCCTGGTTACTGGAGTTTTTACTGTGCAGGGTGACTGCATCAGTGTTTCTGTCCTGGGAAGTATTATGTGTTTACTTTATTTCCACAAAATCTCTATCAACTTGTGAGTGTTTGATTTTCCTTTACTTGACATGTGTGCCTATTAACAACATGAAATTGTGGGGTTTGTTTTTTCTTTTAATTGACATTTGGGATGGGTAGGTAACAAATCAAAAAGCATTTGATGCCCACTGTCCTGAGGGACAAATCACTACTGAGGTCACTTACTGGAAAGAGATCAGAGCACTCCATTCTAGAGCCTTATCAGCTTGCTTTGTCATCATCAGTACTGTTTATTCATTTTCTACCAAGTACCAAAAATAAAAAAGGATTTCATGAAGTACTGTGGGGAGTTGATAGGAAAAGTAATTGGATGGTACTCACCACCTGATTTTATTCTGATTGCATCTGCAGGCTTTCAACTGATGCCTGTGATCTTCCATTCTACTTGCTATAACCATTTATCTGTGAGCTCATTTAGTGGTGAACATTCCATCAGGGCCAAGGATCTACCTGATTCTCTAAAAATCAGGCTTCAGCCCCAGGATCTTCAGAAGGAAGCCCTACAGAGAGGGATCTTTCAGATTGGTTGGCGGGAGGACTGAAGCAAAATGCAGGACCTGGAGGACCCTTTAAACTTTTCTTCCAAACTTCTCTCATACAAAAGGGCCCACTTGCAGAGGGATCCAGTAAGTTCCTCCCATGGGATAAACAAGATCTACAGGGAAGCACACAGGCATTAGCAACCTCCTGAATATGTATGTAAACAGGTGGTCAAGAAAATGAGGAGGTAAAACTAGTCTGATCCCTCCTTCCCAACACACACCCCTGTCTTCCTGTCTCTTTCTCATCTCCTATATTTTCCTTTCCATCAGTTTCTTTCTCACTCCCTCCCACACCACTGTCCTTTCCTCACTTCCTGCTCCCCTTCCCTTTCTTCTCACTTCTTGGCCTCTTTGGAGCTGCTGTCTGTCCCTTTCCTGCTTCCCTGACCCTGACCCCTTTTCTTCTCAGACAAAATTGCATTTATCCGCTGTGTTCTCCCAGCCCCTGTCATTGTCTTGGCATTATATACTGTGTCTTTTGCTTTAAAAAAACATCTAATGAAATTAAGCTGGGCTCTTAACAATACCAAAGAAATTCTGCCGCCCATTTCACTTCCTTGGGCAGGAATGCTCTAGTGCAGTGCCGTCTGCTGCCACAGGTAAATGAAAGGCCTGTTTTCTGCTGGCTGTTGTGGCTCACGCCTGTAATCCTAGCACTTTGGGAGGCCGAGGTGGGTGGATCACCTGAGGCCAGGAGTTCGAGACCAGCCTGGCTAACACAGTGAAATCCCATCTCTACTAAAAATACAAAAATTAGCCGGGCTTGGTGGCGCACACCTGTAATCCTAGCTACTCACTCAGGAGGCTGAGGCAGGAAAATCGCTTGAATCCAGGAGGCGGAGGTTGCAGTGAGCCGAGCAAGCCATTGCACTCCAGCCTTGGTGACAGAGTGAGACTCCATCTCAAAAAAAAAAAAAAAAGAAAAAAGAGGCCTGTTTTCAGAGTCTAAGCCCTAGTGGGTCAGGCGCCACCAGATTGCCCCAGACATCTAAGATAGGAGGATGTAAGTTTAGATCCTGGAATATTTTGCTTCTAACTTTTAAATCAACTAGGTTGTTTGAACTTGAGCAACTAATCTAAATATTGCTGCCTCCGTGTGTTCCTTCTTTGCAAAAGATGGCATTGGCTTTCCCTTCTGCTTCCTCTGGACCTTACAAGGGTCATGATTGTTCGTAAAGTCTTTGGAGTTCTGAGATCTCATAAATGATGGCTTCATATGCATAAGGCGCTATCTGAATACAAGTTACAATGGTTTTCTAATGCATTTCCATTTTTATAGGAAACTTTTCTTCCCAGTCAGGTTGATCTTTTAAAAGTTGGTTTGTTTTGTACTCTTGTTGGTTTTTATTTTAAGATATATCTCCAAGAACACAGATGTCTCCTTTACAGTGTGAAAATTATAAAGAATAGCTCAATGCAGTAAAATACTGAGGAGGATGATTGTTCACTGCTGTCTTTAGGGCTCATTCAAATGCCTGCTTCTTAATCTAAGCTTTCACTGATATCTTCTCACCCATCTGCTCCTAAGCAGGAAGTTTCATCAACCACTATCCTCTCCAAAATATTCCAAGAAACAAATCTCCTGTGCTAATACCAGGTCTGGCAGTTCAGCTGCAGGCACTATTGGTCCAAATAGGACGAATGTAACTAAGAACTGGACAGCCCAACAGCCAGAAGAGAATTGGTCTATATCTTCTGAGGACAAAGATCCCAGTGAATGCCAGATGTCACCTAGGTCCAGGAGGAGTGTTTCTGGCAAACTGCTAGGCCTGGAGCATGCCTATCAACAGGACACATGACCCATTAGGTCTGGGTGTAAACATGACACTACTTCCTTCCAACATCTCTCTGCCATTTCTTTTTTTTTTTTTTTTTTTTTTGAGACAAGGTCTCACTCTGTTGCCTGGGCTAGGATGCAGTGGCATGATCATAGCTCACTGCAGCCTCAAACTCCTGGGCTTACGTAGTCCTCCTGTTTCAACCTCCTGAGTCACAGACTGTAGGCTGAGACCACTACGCCCAGCCAGTTTTTTAATCTTTTTAGAGACAGGGTCTCACTGTGTTGCCCAGGCTGGTCTCGAACTCCTGGCCGCAAGCAGCCCTCCTACTTCAGCCTCCCAAGTCACTGGGATTATAAGCATGAGCCACTGTGCTTGGCTCTCTCCTCCCCCACACCTTTAAAAATTTTTATTACCAAATATATCTTTTGGAAAACTTGGCACCGATTCTGCTTACAAGAGATCGTTACTTTATTTTTTAAAAGCATCACTTTATATCATTGAGACAAATTTTTTCTCTGTTCTACAGGGGAATCTCAAGCTGCTTTCAGACTAATATTCTAGAACAATAAAAGATATAAATAAGTAAATGATACTCCAATAAAATGACACTAAGAATCTTTCCCAAGTAGGCATTTTGCTTATTAAGCACCATATTTTATTTGCTGTTTTCTCCTGCCAGTGGAGGCAAGTAGAAAGCAGTAGTGATTAAAATGTAATCTTCCCGATCAGCTAGAGCAAATGGTGTGATTGTTAAGGAATCTCCCTGGGTTAGCTCTTTTTTGCACTCATACTTTTGGAATGCCCTTCATTTCATGACCAGTTCTCCTTTCTTTCAAAGGCATTTTGAATTCCAATTCTGACCTTCTAAAATGCTAGCTTTCTTAAGATATTTGAATCTCTATGGCTTATATTTTTTAAAAATCATAGACTAGTAAAAATTCAGAACTGGAAAGAGCATTACAGAGCATCTGGTCCGACTGCATAGATTATAAATGGGAAAGCTGAAGTGAGAGAGAAAAGAATTTGCCAAGGCCACATAGCTCATTGGTGACATGGCTTAGGCTAAAACTTCGTCTCTATGTTGTTGCATCCTCGGGAAAACGTTCTGAGTTTAGGTACCTTACTCCATGTCAACACTGTTAGAAGTGCCACAAATAGTTTGCTCTTTAAAAGGTAATTGGGGCAAAAGTTAGAAGTGTGATCTTTGTAATGTGGAATTACTAAATATAGGTATGTCTTATTTAAAAATAATACACCCTGGAGGCCGGGCGCGGTGGCTCACGCCTGTAATCCCAGCACTTTGGGAGGCCGAAGTGGGCAGATCACGAGGTCAGGAGATGGAGACCATCCTGGCTAACGCGATGAAACCCCGTCTCTACTAAAAATACAAAAAATTAGCCCGGCGTGGTTGCGGGCGCCTGTAGTCCCAGCTACTCGGGAGGCTGAGGCAGGAGAATGGCGTGAACCCGGGAGGCGGAGCTTGCAGTGAACCGAGATGGCGCCATTGCACTCCAGCCTGGGCAACACAGCGAGACTACGTCTCAAAAAAAAAAAAAAATACACCCTGGATTTATAAAACCCAGAAAGGTGCATTCTTTGGGGTATTTAAGTATTATTTAGTTCTCAGAGTATTTCAGGCATAATTTGATTGAAAAAAAAAATTTTTTTTTGAGACAGTCTTTCTGCGTTGCCCAGGCTGGAGTGCGGGGGCATGATTTCAGCCCACTACAGCCTCCACCTCCCTGATTCAAGTGATTCTCTTGCCTCAGCCTCCCGAGTAGCTGGGACTACAGGCATGCACCACCACACCCGGCTAATTTTTGCATTTTTAGTAGAGATGGGATTTCACCATGTTGTCAAGGCTGGTCTTGAACTCCTGGCCTCAAGTGATCCACCTGCCTTGGCCTCCCAAAGTGCTGGGATTCCAGACATGAGCCACCTCATGCGGCCAAAAAATTTTTATTTACATGGAGTCTCTTGTCATCAGGAATTCCCTGTGCATATGACTAATTCTCAAATTAAACTTACAGACACCCTGAGGAGTTCATTTCCATAGTGCCCTAGCCTGGCACCAAATAGAGCAACCAGCCAACATTTTCTAAATAAATGAACAAATGAGCAAATGAACTTTTTATGAACACATTTATTATATAGAGTAAGTCATGTACGTATAAACCTGTGCATTTTAATTTTTTTTTTTTAATGCAAAAACGTCAAGCAAATGGGCACTTAAGAATCTCAGAGGAGGCCAGGTGCGGTGGCTCACACCTGTAATCTTAGCACTTTAAGAGGCAGAGGCAGGCGGATTGCCTGAGCTCAGGAGTTCGAGACCAGCCTGGGCAACATGGTGAAACCCTGTGTCTACTAAAATAAAAAAATTAGCTGGGTGTGGCAGTGTGCGCCTGTAGTCCCAGCTACTCGGGAGGCTGAGGCAAGAGAATTGCTTGAACCCAGGAGGCAGAGGTTGCAGTAAGCCAAGATCGCGCTACTGCACTCCAGCCTGGGCAACAGAGTGAGACTCCATCTCCACAAAAAAGAATCTCAGAGGAGGTTCCCAGAGACTCAATTCAAGTTAAAAGGAGCACATTTAGCTTTCGATACTCTGCTGAATGAGGAATTTCAATGACCACATCCAAGAAGTTAATAAGTTTATGATTTATTTAGAGGCCGATGTGTCCTGCTAAATGCACATGGAACTAAGAGTTGGGGGAGTGAATAAAGTGCCAATTCTCTGTGGCAGGGGAGGTGTCCACTTCCTGGGCCAGCTGGTCCCCGCCTTCTCTGTGATCACTGACCCTCCTTCTAAGCCTCCAGCCAGTATGTTCACCCCCAAACACAGACAGGGTGAAAGGAACAAGGCAAATCTCTCCCTCCTCCAGGGAATGTCAGAGCATGTATAGCCTAGTAATAAGAGAGTGGCAACCTTATCTGGGTACACAATGGCTAGCATGTAAAATATCACAGTAAATTTATTACTAGATAATTATAGGCTAAGCCACTTGACCTCAGAGTCAACTTCCTTCTCTGTGAAATGGTGATAATACCTAACATTGTGCAGAGGTTTCTGATTTCAGACTCGAAGGCCCTCTCTACATGTTAGACGCTGTTTCATTGCCAACCTTTGCTGTTGTTCGCATCTTCCCCCCACAACAGCGTGTGCAGGGCGACTTCAGGAAACACAGGCAGTGTACTTGGATAGCTTTGATCATTTTGCTCTTGCAATGTTTTAGAGCTGGGAATGGAGGGATCTGGAAGAGGGGGCAGATGACCAGATAGACCCCGAGAGTGTGGGAACCATAGGCGACTGCCCCTGTCTTTCAGGATCAAATGAAATCGTCTTCTGTGTCAGCTGAATACGAGCTCCCTTGACCTGAAGCCCATTTAATTTTCAGTTCCACGTGTTTCCTCCCTGGCAAGAAAATTAAGGAAAGGGAAGTATTATCCCTAAGTTTAGTTCCATTCTTGTATTTCTTTATTCTGACCTCTTAAAAATGTCAAAAATCCCTATTATGAAGGTAAAATATAGCACTGTGTCAAGAGTATATACTAAATGATTTAATTGGGCCATTGAGTGCTGTTTTTTCCATTTTTAAAATTCAAAAGTAGTAAATATTCAACTCTGTATAGCATAAAGGAATAAAAACAACTGAAAATTTTTGCCCATAGCATCATCACCCAGTCCTAATCCCTACTAATATTTTGGTGCATTTAATGCTAGAATTTTTTATTGTACCTACACACATTTGCAAAAATGACCTTTCCCTATAGCACTATTATTACTGAAGCAGCTCTGTCACTTTTAATGCTGTTTTAACTTTTTAAAAGTGAATAGTAGCTATATTTGAGCTGTAGAATGTATTTAAAATATTCTCTAGTGTTTTAAGTGTATTTAAAAATATGTAAGAAATCTAATTTAAAAAAACATGCGAAATTCTATTCAGATGTTATTTTTCTCAAGTTCATTTTCCTTTTGAACTAAAAGCAAAGAAATGTTGGCCAATAGTCATTCTTTTCATGGCCTCAGCTTGGTAATCTAATAAGGGAGCTTCTCAGATACATATTTCACTATGAAAAAGAAAAAAAACAAAAAGGCATGTTGAGGACACTCACTCTGTATCTGGCAGACAGACTGTGCAGTGAAATAGATAAACAGCAGTAACGCCTTGTCCTGCCCCACAGCAAGAAGGGTAACATTTTACCACTTCAGATTAGGAAAGAACTGCAGATTAATTTAACACAGTCCCTGGTCATTTTGAAACAACTTTGAAGCACCCTATTTTTAATTTGTTTTTAATTCTGTGAAATTACGATTTTAATCTGAAAAGGAAAAGTAATACAGCTCAAGTGCCATTTCGTGAACCTACTGTGATGATTTCATTCTCTACTTCCTTTCATACACTTTGTCCAAGGCACATAATTAGCATCTTGTCCCATTTTCTTTCTATTTATCTGCACCCCACAATGTAATACTGTGTTACATCAATGCAAAGCACTGCCTTTTTGTTGGGCCTTGCCGCTCAGCGACCTTAGAGTAGTTCACTGTACTTCTCGCTAGGCCCATAGAAGGCTTGTCTGTCTGTCCATCTGGCTTGTCAAATTTCACTTTTTTTGTGCTCGGAGGAAAGAAAGAAACTTCATTTTTTCCTTCTAAATGCCAGACGCTCTGTTAGATGTCTTCCCAAACACTGTCTCATCTACTGCCATCTTTGCCCCTCTGTCAGGTAGGGCGATTTATTCCTGTCTTAGAGATGAGGATACTGGGGTTAGATCGGTTTGGTAACTTCTCAGAGATCGCACGGGGCGGGCGGCTGAGTTCAAACCAGGTCTTCAGATTCCGAAGGAACAGGGCTTTTTCTCCTGTACCCTTACTTAGGGTGCCCTGTATATGTGACTTTTCCAGCTATATGGGGTTTTGAAAATTGTCTTAACTTAGAAAAATGTTTTCCTTTACTGTTTTGGGATGGAAATTTTTATTCAATGTATTAGATACTTTCCAATCTAATTTTGTCTGAGGTTTGATCTTTGGATGACTTAATTTTAGATGATTTTAGCGAGTAGCTACTGTCCTGTGAGCTGGAAAACCAGTAATCCCACTTCTCATAAAGATTAAGAATAAGTAACACAAAGAAACGATACATGGTTGAAGTGATGGATATCCTAATTATTCTGATTTGAGCATTGTATAGATATATGGAACTAACACTCTGTACCTCATAAATATGTACAATTAAGTGTCAAAAATAAAATTAAAAAAAATTTTATTATATTCTTAAAAAAAAGAATAAGTAGTCTCTATGAATTTGAAGGGGGCTCCTGTGAATAAAGTGACTAGAAAACTTGACATCAAATGTGGATACTCAGAAGACTTTTTTGGGCTAATTCTTTGCTGTTTCCCAAATGGTCAAGATTGACAGAAACTGTTCTCTAAATAAATTATGCATACAGTACTCATCAATTTTGAATCACTGCCGAGTTTGTTTTTTTTTTTTTACTTAAGTGAAATTACCAGAAAGATTATTTTCTTTCTCTTCAGGCTCATTCTGCTATTTAGTTAAAGTCAATAGAGACCATAGAGTTTGGCAGGTGATAGGTGCCCAATAAATAGCACTTGAATGAATGAAGAAACCAGTGAGGCCTCTTTCAAAACACGTTGATGTTATGGTTGAGAGACTTGCTATACAATTAAGTAGCTGTGGTCAGTAAAGTGATGTTTTCTTATTAGAACCTTTATTGAGGGTCCAATGATTATGTCATTCCTGAAACAACACTCCCAAGGCAACCGCAAATTTCCATCCCAGGAAGCAAGATCCTTGCCTAAGACACTTTGATTACCCTTGTCAGACTATCAGAATTAATCAGAACATTCCCATATCCAAGTATGCCATATAATACAGATGTTGTGCGTGTGTGTGTGTGTGTGAGAGAGAGAGAGAGAGAGAAATATATTTAAATCCAGGTTGAAATTTGTGGAAAAGTTATGATCTGTATTAAATTCTTTCACTGCTCTACTGAATGTTATGAATTAAAATGTCAAAGGATATAGGTATTTTACCACTGACATGCTTTTCTGGAGGTATCACTAAGAAACCTGTTTCTTTCTCCAGTGAAAGAGGTAATATGGTCAAACTCAATAGTGAAACGTGACATAAGACAGGGACATACATTCTTAACAAAGAAAGTCATTAAAACTTTCAGTTTAAACTTCAGCTCATTTGTTCAAGGCAGTACCCCCAGGGCTCCTGTTTGAACAGCACACAGCTAGGTTAGAAGGCAGATTTTTCTTCTTCTTCTTTTGAAAGATGCCTGAAGTCAAATCCCTTGAAGGATTCTACTACCAAAAAAATCATTGCTCCTCTGTTGGGTAGGTGAGATGGATGATGAAGCTATGGGAAGCAGCTAGGAAATGGAAATGTTAAAGATGCACCGATCAGCACGCCTGGAAAATCTATACAGGACAGATATGGGAAAAGAGGAATTAGAGAATTCCTAAGGGCTGTTTCATGTCAGAGTATATTTTAGTCAGATTTGGTGAATTCTATCAAAGGAAATAATAAGCACTTTTTTTGGCTTTAAAAATAAGTGTTATTTCACAGAAATTTAAGTAAGTATTTCAACAGTAAAGTGTTCTGATTGGAGGATTTTTTTTCCAAGATTATTTTCAGTTTATCTTATTTTTATTTAATAGAACTTAAAGTGAATGAATCTTCCATGTGCGTATGTATACAACTGTGTCACCACTCAGATCAAGATGTGCAGCTTTGCTGGTCACTCCCTCTTCCAGTCACTACTCCCAAAGGTGGCCAGTGTTCTGATCTTTGTCATCGTCCTGCCTGCCTGTCACTTCATGTAAATACAATCATACAGTACGTGCCCTTTTGTTCCTGACACCTTTTCTTCAGTGCTCTTCCAAATCCACAGGGCATCATTCTTTTTTTAAAAAAAAAAAAGTATAGTGTCAGTAAAGAAGGGAGAAATACTGTTAGAAAGGGAGAGGGAAATGAATGTGTTTGTGAGGGGTCGTAAGGCATTTGATCACTTGAGGCCAGGAGTTCAAGACCAGCCTGGATAAACATAGCAAGTCCCCATCTCTACAAAAGAAAAAAAAATTTTAATTAGCCAAGTGTGGTGGCACACACCTGTAGTCCCACCTACTTGGAAAAATGAGGCAGGAGGATCGCTTGACCCCAGGAGCTCAAGGCTTCAGTGATCCCTGATAGCACCACTCCATTCTAGCCTCGGCAACAGAGTGAGACCGAGTCTCTAAGAAATAAGAATAAATTGTATTCAGTTCTAAATTACTCCTGCTTCTCCATCACAGAAGTGGGAAATTCAAGTTTGTCATAATTTGGGCTTCCAAATATTAAGAAAAATTCTAGCAAAGTTTACTTGCTACCCAAAGTTACTACACTGTCCAAAATGATAGCAACTAGCCACAGGTAGCTATCTAAGTTAAAATTTATTTATTATTATTACTATTATTATTGAGACGGAGTTTTGCTCTGTTACCCAGGCTGGAGTACAGTGGCGCGATCTTGGCTCACTGAAACCGCCACCTCCCAGGTTCAAGCGATTCTCCTGCCTCCGCCTCCCGAGTAGCTGGGATTACAGGCACCTGCCACCACACCTGGCTAATTTTTGTATTTTTAATAGAGACGAGGTTTTGCCATGTTGGCCAGGCTGGTCTCAAACTCCTGACCTCAGGTGATCTGCCCGCCTCGGCCTCCCAAAGTGCTGGAATTACAGGCGTGAGCCACCACGCCTGGCCTAAATTAAAATTTAAATTAGCTAAAATAAAATTAAAGATTCAGTTCCTCAGTCTCACTATGACACCCACTTGTGGCTGGTGGTGACCATATTGAACTGTGCAGGTCCAGAGCATCTCCTGTACTGCAGAAAGTTCTATGGACAGCTCTGTTTAGATTGTGGGGTCTTAGCTCCCAACCTTTCTACCTCCTCTTCTCCAGACACAAGGATGTTATGGTGGGCTTCATTTATTTTTTCATTGTAAATTATCATTTAATTCTGTGGTTCTCAGACCACAGATCAACATACAAGCTTCTGTCTCCCGCATTATCCCTCAACCTTGGAGAAAAAAATAAGTGGTTGCGACGCTATATTGAACTTTTAATTTCTGAAAGGTACCATGTGCTCTCCCACTTTGGAGCCTTGGGAATAGCACTGGGCACTCTCCTTCCAACCTCCCAGTGTTTGTTAACTTCTCAGTTCTCAGTCTCTAGGGATCCTTCCCCATCCTTCCCAGCCCCCAACCCTGGGTTAAATGTCCTCTCCATCAGCTGCCATAGTAGCCCGGCCTTCCTCTGTCCTGATTGTAGTCGCATGTTTCATGGGCTCCCTCCCACTGAACAGCAGGACTGCTGAGGCCAGAGACCAGCCTGTTTTGTTTACTCTTGTTCACTTATCACCTTGAACAGTGTCTGGCACTCAAGAGATGTTAATAAGTGTTATGGGCTGGGCGCGGTGGCTAACACCTATAATCTCAGCACTTTGGGAGGCCAAGGCGGGCTGATCACCTGAGCTCAAGAGTTCGAGACCAGCCTGGGCAACATAGCGAAACCCCATTTCTACTAAAAACATGAAAAAAAAAATTAGCCAGGGGTGGTGGCGCACACCTGCAGTCCCAGCTACTCGGGAGGCTGAGGCATGAAAATTGCTTGAACCTGGGAAGCGGAAGCTGCACTGAGCTGAGATCATGCCACTGCACTCCAGCCTGAGTGACAGAGGTGAGACCCTGTCTCAAAATAATAATAATAATGATAATAAAATGTCATGGCCCAGGCCTGGTGGCTCATGCCTGTAATTCCAGCACTTTGGGAGGCCTAGGTGGGAAGATCATTTGAGGCCAGGAGTTTAAGACCAGTCTGAGCAACATAGCAAGACCCTGTGTCTACAAAAAAATGTTATTAGTTGGCCAGGTGTGGTGGTGCACACTTGTAGTCCTAGCTACTTGGGAGACTGAGACAAAAAGATCACTTGAGCTCAGGAACTCAAGGCTGTAGTGAGCTATGATTGCGCCACTGCACTGCAGCCTGGGCAACAGAGCAAGACCCTGTCTCTAAAAAATAAATTAGTAAAAATGTTGCAAAGGAGAGAACAATGGGCTGCACAGGGGAGGAGCAGTAATCAAGTAGCTTCATGTTAAGACAAGGGTTCCTCTCCCGGGTTCTTCGTCTGTATTCCGGAGGGAGTTTTATCACAGAGCTCTTTGCCTGAGCAATGCGCAGAAATCGAAATAGTCTTCAGCACTCTGAGTTGTTTCTTCAGCAGTGTGACGGCACATCCAAGTCCCTTGCACTCTTTCTGGTTAAAGGTTATGGTTTTCCTTTCTCCAGAAGTAATCCTGAAAGACATACACAAACTAAGATGATGATGGGAAGGTAGAGTTGAGGACGATGATGAACGACAGAAGGCTCTGCTGCATCTCAGCAGGCAGCCATGCTTGGCATCCCTGGCCAAGGCCCCCAAGCCAAATGACCTCGCAGGGAAGCAGCTGTGTAACAGGAAGGATTCCTTATCAAGACAGGTGGCAGAAATCCCATTTCAAACTAGCTTTACAAATACAGAAATTTATTTTCCCAAGTCACAGGAAATCTAGAGGTGGGAGGCTGAGAGATGGCTGATGCAGTGTGTCAACAATGTCAGCGAGGACCTGGCTTCCTTCCAGCTCTCAGCTCTGCCATCCTGGGCATTGGCTTCATCCTTAAATTGGCAGGGAGATGGCAGCTGCAGGTAGCAGCATCCCATCCTGGACTTCAGTGTCCATCCAGGTGAAGTTGAGAAAGTGTCAGCTCCAGCTACTGGCCAAGGAAGAGGTTGCCACAATTGTGTTAGATGAAACATCTGGAGTCAATGGGATACATATTGAGCATCAACTTCAGTGTCTAATACAAGTGCCCAAACTCTCAGCCCCAAATATCGCCCCCCCAACCCCAGCCTAAGGATTTTAAAAGTTCTTATATATCAGGTACAGTGGCTCACACCTGTAATCCCAGTGACTTGGGAGGCTGAAGCAGGAGGATTGCTTGAGGCCAGGAGTTCAAGGCCAGCCTGGGCAACACAGTGAGACCCTTGTCTCTAAAAACGTTAAAAATAAAAAATTAGGCCAGATGTGGTAGCTCATGCCTGTAATCCCAACACTTTGGAGGCCGAGGCAGGAGGATCACTTTGAGCTCACGAGTTCAAGACCAGTCTGGGCAACATGGCGAAACCCTGTCTCTACTAAAAATACCAAAATTAGCTGGGCATTAGTGGCCTGCGCCTGTAGTGTCAGCTACTCAGGAGGCTGAGGCTGGAGAATCGCTTGAGCCTGGGAAGTGGAGGTTGCAATGAACTGAAATTGCACCAGCCTGGGTGACAGAGTGAGACCCTGTCTCAAATAACAATAATAATAATAGTTAGCTGAGCGTGGTGGCACGTACCTGTAGTACCAGTTACTTGGGAAGCTGAGGTGGGGGGATCGCTTGATCCCAGAAGTTTGAGGCTGCAGTGAGCAGCTTTGATCACACCACTGCACTCCAGCCTGGGCAACAGAGAGAGACTCTGTCTCCTAAAAAAAAAGTTCTTACAATCTGCCCCATATGGAAAATACCAAGTGAAAAGCTCTGACTGTGTTAACTAGTATCAGTTAATGCCTTAGAAATGAGCGCAGCCACAGCAACCCTGCAGAAAGAGGAGAACATCCAGGATGGGGAAAGCGCCTAGGAGAACCAAGAGGGCTCACCAAAGGAGGGCATTGCTAATCCTTGCCCTTAAGGGCCAATCTCCACCCCACCCCACCCCCACCCCCAGCTGAAGAAACACTGGTTTAATTTTAAATTTAGCAATATCCATTGCATTTATGACTTACAGTGTAAATGGTATATATTCTGAGAAATCTGGAATGCTTCAACCGATCAGTTATGCTTTCATTTTTTTCTCTTTCTGTACAGACCTGGCAGTGTTAGAGCCATGCTGAATGAGGTCACAGTCTAACGACAATATTAACCCTGCAAATCTGTTCATTTTCGCCTGAGCACCCTCAGGCAGGATAGAGAATGTGTCCAATTGAAAAACTATTACAGACTCTGCCGCGCTGTGATGGGCTGAAATGTAACAGGGAGGGAGGTGTGTGTGTGCCTGTGTGTGTGTGTTTGTGTGTCCGTAGCCAGGAAATCATTTTCTAACAGGAAGTCAGTACGTATCTCTTAAAAGTGGAGGTTGTATGATTGCATTTTTAAAGGAAAAATATGTTTTCTGTCATCCAGATTTTAAAATGCTACTTTTAGTATTTCTGAACCTTACCTGTTTCATATTTCCTACCAACTGTCTTGTTTTTTTTATTTTTTTCCAATACCCAATACCCCTTTAACTCCTCTTCTTTGTGTGTTACAAACATCCTGTTGTGTTTTTCAATATCTATTTTGCATTGTTAAAAATATCTAGAAACATATAAAGAATAATGTAGTAAACACCCTTGAGCCGACCAGCCGATTTAAGAACTAAAACATTAACTCTTTTTCTATAACTGTTTCTAGGCTCTGTTAATTCAGCATGTAGAAACGCACAACACAGATGGTAAACATTTTGCGTAAAGGCCCAGTCACCACCCCATTCACAGTAGATGTTGAGCTTCAGAAAGCATGTGCATTCACAGTCTTGCTTGGACATGTGGTTAATGCTAAGTAGTCTAACAGTTGTGCCCCAGGTAACTCCTGAAGCTGTTCCAGATCATAAAATCTATGATGTTTTGCAAATTTATATTTTATCATGCTGCATTTTATGCACAAAAACTAGATGACTTCCCCTTTGTGGTCTCCATCAAAGGCATTTTTCAAAATCCCTTCAGTGTGCCTTATCCCTGGCTTTGCCATACATTGTTTGCATGTTTGAAAACAATCTTTGGCTAAAATTATAAATCTGAGAGTATACGTGTGTCATCGGTGTTACAGAATTTGTACATAAATGCTATTTTAGCTTACTCTTCAGTTAGATACTCTAAATGTTTGACCCCTTCATTGAATACCAGAGACCTATCTTTACTTGTCTGTGGTTTGGGCTCTAATTGAAAAGCAAACAACCGTGTTTTGATAGCATTTGAAATATTTATATTGTATCCATGGAAAGGATGTAATAATTTATTTTCTCAAGAGTATAGTTTCTACCTGGGTGAGGTGGTTCACGCCTGTAATCCTAGCGCTTTGGGAGGCTGAGATGAGCAGATCGCCTGAGCCCAGGAGGTCAAGATCAGCATGGGCAACATGGAAAAACCCTGTTTCTACAACAAATATAAAAATTAGCAGGGCGGGCTGGGCACGGTGGCTCACCCCTGTAATCCCAGCACTTTGGGAGGCCGAGGTGGGCGGATCACGAGGTCAGGAGATCAAGACCATCCTGGCTAACACGGTGAAACCCCGTCTCTACTAAAAATACAAAAAATTAGCTGGGCGTGGTGGCGGACGCCTGTAGTCCCAGCTACTCAGGAGGCTGAGGCAGGAGAATGGCGTGAACCCAGGAGGCGGAGCTGGCAGTGAGCCGAGATCGTGCCACTGCACTCCAGCCTGGGCGACAGAGCGAGACTCCATCTCAAAAAAAGAAAAAAAAGGTACAATTTCTTAAACATGTTGTTACTGCCACCAGGTGATATCCTCATTCTGGTCTGTTTGCTCACATTGCACCTTTGCTTGTGCAACCGCACATCAGCATCTGCCTCAGTTACACTTTGGGAACTTGATTTCTTCAAGAAGTCAGGCATGCAGAAGAGCAGTTCGCTTGTGGTTCATGAGCAAGCACATATTTATCATTTGAGGGTATATTCTGTTGACTGATGAACTTGTGGTATCTCTTTGCAAGGTTGCTTTAAGTATGTGAGCTGATGGCTAGACCAGTATGCTCTCTTTTTCCTGATTTGAAAAATGAAAGTTTAAGAAAACATTTTGTAGAACACAGGTGTCAGAGGTCTGTTTTTATTCCAAGTGCATAGCAATGAGGAAGTTTTCAAAGAGAGGGCTAACTCATACGCATTTTATTTAGATATGTATTGTTTGAAGTGTTTGATTGTCATTTTATTTGGAATGAATAGACTTTTCATATCATACTAGTTGCCATGTGTCAATTGTTAAATGCAAGAATTTCTTAGTATAATAAGCCTTCATAGTCCTCAGAGTTATTTGAAGTGAACATTAGTTCAGCTCCTTATTTCTGAGCATGTGAAGATTTCCTTTTCTTTGCTACAGAATTGGTTTTTCTGATATTCATTATAACAAAAGCAAGAGCTTGCCGGTTTTTCAGGTTTTATTACTGAATGAGTATCGTTAATCACTCGTTTATTCTTTATGCTATATGTATTTCCTATCTTTCTACTGTAAAGAGAAAAAGTATCTAAACTTGCTTATCTCTCTGTAGGACAGTCGGCCCAATATGTCAAGACCTCTGATCACTAGATCCCCTGCATCTCCACTGAACAACCAAGGCATCCCTACTCCAGCACAACTCACAAAATCCAATGCGCCTGTCCACATTGATGTGGGCGGCCACATGTACACCAGCAGCCTGGCCACCCTCACCAAATACCCTGAATCCAGGTAATCTGAAAAACTGAAAAATCAGACTCCGACGTGCATGTATTTGGTAACCTGTTTTTCCTTTGACCAGCATAGCAGTGTAGCCTCGTGGAGGCAGGGGGCAGGATGTGAAAGTGCTGTGTGAGCCACCCTGCTGCCTAGGCTGGATGTCTTGGACAATGGCTGGACATCTTCGAATCAGGATTGGACCCGCAGCTTAGTTGAGTCCATGTAAAAATGTCACAGGAGAATGGAATACTGTGATATTTTGCTCTACAATGATATTCATAATTCTCAATGTAGTACAAAAAAAGATGGTGATTTCTCCCCAACACCTTTGTTCCTTCCTTCTTTAAAAACATGCTTTCTTATAGGTTCTGATAATTTTATAGGAGATCAGTTGGTTCATCAACTTGTGAACTAGAAAAAAAAGAGATTCTCAGCAGTGAGGCATTATATTTAGATCTGTATGCAAAAGTCCAAGAAGCCAAAATAGTATAGTTTACAAAAAATGAAGGGCCATGGAACTTACGAACTTAAGGTAGATAAATAAATATACAAATTGTTTAAAGATGGAGAGTGATTTACAAGTAGGCAGTATACATTTATGTTTATGAGATATCTCCTCCCATGCCCCTGCCCACCCATTTTTTTTATTATTATTATTATTTTGGAGCCAGGGTCTTGTTCTGTCGCCCAGGCTGGAGTGCAGTGGTGCAAACATGGCTCATTGCAGCCTTGACCTTCTGGGCTTAAGTGACCCTTCCACCTCAGCCTTCTCAGGAGCTGAGACCACAGGTGCATGCCCCCATGCCCAGCTTTTTTTTTTTTAAATTTTTTGTAGAGACAGGGTCAGACTGTGTTCCCTAGGCTGGTCTTGAACTCCTGGCCTCAGCAATTCTTCCGTCTCAGCCTCCGAAAGTGCTGGGACTCTAGGTGTGAGCCACTGCACCTGGCTAATTTTTTTATTTTTTGTAGAGATGGGGTCGCGCTATGTTGCCCAGACTGGTCTCAAACTCCTGGCCTCAGGCAATTCTTCTACCTTGGCCTTGGCCAAAGCGCTGGGATTACAGGTGTGAGCCACTGCACCTTGCCCCAACCACCCATTTCTAAAGGAGTTCCAAAGAAATAATTTCCTTTCTACCCTGGGACAACCCTCCTGGCTCTGCCCCAGATTTGGGGGCTATGTCCAGATCCTGTAAGGGAAGTTTTTTGCTGGTGGATAGGGGAGGAGGCATGCATTCATGTAGGGTAATGTCGGGAAACAGGGCATTTCTCTGTTTCTGATCACAGGAACTGGAAACACACTCCTTGAGCTTCAGAAGGGCACCGGCCACATTTTTCAGAATGTCTTATGAAGTGACAGATAACAGATAGCTTACAGTCTAAGTAGACACCACTGACATAAAAGTCACTGTCACCTTGCATACTACATGAAGGCCGACTTTTTGTTTTTTGTTTTAAAATCTCACTCCATTACTTGATAATTTATGAAAGAATGTGAAGGTTGGAAAGAAGAAAGATGAAATGTTTTCTCTCTTAATTTCCAGATTTAATTTCTACAATTGAAATGATTTAAATAAAATAGGTTTCCATTTGTTCAATTATCCAAAAGACTATATACTTTAAAATGAAATGATTGTATTAGTCATCTATTAGTATTATTTAGTCCCCACCTTCCCTAAGTATATTGGAATAGGTACTACGAAAAATCATATTATAATAATGGCTTTATTTTTCAAGAATTTTGTTATATAAGTAGTGTTCTTTTTGAAAATGCCTGTTTCCATTCCTTCCGACCCTCTGTTAATACCACCATCAACTACAGAAAATCACAGCTGCCTCTTTAGATGAATTTAATTCTAGGGTTTAAGTCACAAAATGCATATTAAGAGACAAAAAAGCAAACCTTCAACTGTAGCAAGATTTACTGGTCTGGTCTGATGGCCTTTTGCTTCAGTTTCTGTAAATTAAACCTTGAGACAGGAGGGAAGTTAATAAAAACTATATTTTCTGTGACTTAAGCAATAGGTTTTCTTCTATGCTCATTGTAACTAGGTGGGTCTCCTTCCACTGACTCATTCCCGCCAGGATTTAGCCCCTGGGAAGCTCCCTGGTATCACTTGGTCTCCTGGCCAAAGTAGAAGACAGAGGGAGAGAGGCTCTATTCATTCAGTTCCTATCTCTCAAATAATTTGCTACTTTCATTATTCTGGCGCTATATATTATGAGGTAAAGACTTCAAATAGTGTCCCATTTGGAGATGCTTTCTCAGCCCATCTTTCCATGGATATTTCTAAGAGTCTATTTTTGTTCCTTCTTATCCAAACCCTGAAACATGCATCAAATTCCATGGATCTCATCACTTTATTTACCTGCGCTGTGTCATACAGTAGCCAGTAGCCACGTACAGCTATTGAGCGCTTTAAATAGGCCAATCCAAATTGAAATATCATCTAAGTTTGAAATATACACTGATTTTTAAAGACCTAGTACCAAAAAAATGTAAACTCAGTAATTTTTTAAATTGATTTCATGTTGGAATGATAATATGTTGAGTTAAATAAAACATTATTAAAATTAATTTTACTTGTTTCTTTTGATTTTTTAATGTGGCTACTAGATAATATAAAATTACATGTGTCTTGCTGTTTATTTCTGTTGGACAGCGCTGAACTATGAAACAGATGTTTTTATAAAAGCATCTCACTAAACCTACCCCTCCCCTAACCTGATACTGAAATACATAAAAAAGCGAGTGTCTCTTTCACCAACGTAATTAGAAAAGATAGAATTGTTGATCTTCCTTTCCTAGACTTGCCCTCTGCTTTCTGTCACCAGTGAGTCCTAGGATCACAGGAGCAACAGCAAAAATAATTTGTGATTCATTGGTTCTCGGATTGGATGCTGGCAAATGGCGAACAGTTCTTTGGCTATGGAAAGGTCTGATTTCTGAACACCTGTCATCTCTTGTGTAAAACAGGCACAAATAGGTCTCCTTGCAAGGTTACTGGGGGTATTAAATGTGATTGTGAAAAGCACACCGTGGCCCTGTGCCCAACATGTAGCATTGTCTTCATACTTAATCTTCTGCCAAACCCAGGAATTGTTTCTTCTCAAATTCCAAATATTTTCCATTTCTTGCTTTCCTAGCCATGGAAGCAGCTTTACATCTGGATTCTTGCCTGGATGACTCCCGTCTCAGGGGACTCCTGGCCTGCACCTTCTCCTCCTTTATCTTAAATACCCCAGCCGGTCACAAGTTCCGAGACATCCTTATCATTAGGAGATATCTTTAAGAATTTGTCAAGACTCTTTGAAACAAGCCTTACAAAGTAACTTCTGTTTCAGCTGCTAATACCTAAAGCAAATGACGCTGCTCAGGTAACACTGGTTTTGCTGTTGAATTGACCATTGGGTATTGCTTTGTTTCCTCTTGGGTTTTGGGGGGCGTATTTTTGTAGGTAATTAAATGTTCATGTCAAAGCAACATCCAATTTAATGGGACCCATACGCAAATTTTAGTAATCAAAGAAACAGAGAAGAACTAGTTCTTCATGCTTTTCCCATAGCGTCGGGTGCTCCTTCCAATTTCTGGGAAAGTCTCTTGCATATTATCAACCCCTCTTGGATAAATCCAAGGACATTAGGTTGCCCATGGCCATGGAATCACAAATAACTCCAGTTAGTTTTGTAGATTCTGGGGTGCTTCAAACCCTTCCTACCCTATGGGACCATTCTCTGCCCCACCCTCTTGGATCCCCTGGTTCCACCCTCACCTACCTCTTCCTTAGTGTCACCCAGAGGATAGGGGGGCTTTTTCTAAGATTTCAAGGGAAAGACCTGTAGTTTAAAAATACTAATTTGTATGTAACAAGTGACCTTAAAAGATATAATATTATCTTTCTACAATTTCAGAGTTCCTGCAAAGAACCTTTACTCCGTTTTGAAATGTTGTAGGTGTTTTTAAAATTCTGTCTCTACTTAACCTACCCTCTTGGCTAAAGAGCACCCTTAGAACTTTGTCCCCAAAAAGTACTATGATGGACTATACAGCTGAACATTAGAAGCACCTGGGAAGCATTAAAAAGCCATGCAAGGCCCTGCTCCAGACCAATAAAATAGGAACCTCTGCAGTTTTCCAAAGAGGTCTTGATTTTCACCATCTGACTCTGAATGGCACCAAGATGTATGATCCCTTCTGGAGAATGTAGGCCTCTTCCTCAATGATTATTTCATGTATCTCATAATGGCCATTTCACCAAAAGAAAATAGCTTTCAATCTTCATTTCTCTTATTACCAAGGTTACCAGTGGTTCCAATGCGTGTGTGTGTGTGTGTGTGTGTGTGTGCACATGCTTTTTTTTAGCTTGTAAACCCTGAGTAATGATTCAGTGAGTAAATTGACTTTTACACCTCAAGGTTAGCCACTCATGTTGTTCATTCATCTCCATCATCAGGTGTTTTTTTAGCTAAAGGGACTAAAGTTTTCAAATTAACTGAAGTATTACATATATCAGTAATGTATTTCTTCTTAACCAATGTGTATGTAAGATGCAAAACAGCTCTTTAGGAGGTGTTTCTGAGACAGAGGTTAATCTCCACCATCTGAGTGGTAAACACTGATTCCTTTCAGAGGCTCATAAGAGTCTCCAGTTCTGACTGCCATTTTGAATTGTAATCCCCAAGAAAAACACCCAGTTCAGATCTGCAATAATTTCACTTTAAATAAGTATGAAGTCAAGAAAAATATATTACCACCAAAAAAGAATTATAAATGGATAAAGAAGATAGAACATATTTTGTTTAATAGTTTGTTAGCTTGATTTGTAGCTTGTAAATATCTAGAAGTATGCAAAGTAGACCCTCCACTCGCACTCTTGCCCTGGACCCTGAAAATTTTAAGGGCAGACCTGATTATATCTTAGTCAAAAATCCAAGGCACCCTTTATTAACATCATTGGTAATAAAAGATCTAGGTAACTAAGTAATTTTTCATAAATAATTAATATTGGTACCATATTATATGGCTTCTTTAAGATCTACTGTTGACACTGAAATATCCTCTTAGCCACATGCATAATGAAAATACGTTCAATTTCTGCTTTAAAAGAAAACACGTCTGATTTCAAAGTTAGATCTATTCATTCTCTACTATTACCTCCAACAAAAACAATCTTAATAGCAGCTGTATTGATGGTTATTCAGATGTGGATAACCATTTTTAAAACCAAGAAGTAGATTGATACTACTAATTCATCGAACCTATCAAGTGTAATAGGTTATTACTATCAAGTGGTAATAAGACAAGGGTCTTAAATAAAAGCACTGATTGTCAACCAATGACCTAGAGGTAAAAGGTGAGATCTCATGTTTCAGTCCCCTCAGCCATCCAACCTGACTGCTTGACAAAGCTTTTGTATATTTTAAACCCAGTACATGAGTTAACTCCCACATAAGTAGATTATGTTAAATTGGTCTCTTCTAAATAGCAGTAGAGTTACTAAGCATGCTGGCATATGTAGGTAATTGCAAAACGCAAGAAACTCTACTTTCAGCCTTGCAGTCAACACCCATGGCCACCCAGGGGTGTGTGTATTTGGAGCTTTAGGATGGAGATGCCAAACATGTGTGCTCTGCCAGCAGCAATCCAGCTTTTGGCGTGCGTCATTCTCGGATGGGTTAGCCATTACCGGATTGCTTATGTGGAGCTACACCAAAAGGAAATTCAGACAACTGCAACACTAAGGGATTGGTGCATACATTCAGAGGATAATTGCATTCAACAATTTGGCTTTCCTTGTAACTGTTGTATGCCAGCCTAGGGAGTTTGCTGTAATCCTGTATTAGGGTTGGGGATTCTGTGCTATCACTTTTTATGACTTTACAGTTCCAGTTTTAACACTACAGTTCGTAGACATGGGTTCAGCAGCCTCATCGTGCAAGCCGTTGTTTTAGGATCTCAACAGAAATGCCAAAAAAAAAAATGCATTCAATTTATTCACTACACTTGCTTTCGGAATCACTGCATGACATGGAATAGTGAGCTTTTTATTATAACCTGCTCTCTACATCCACATGCTTTATAATTCAATGTCGATAGCAAATTTAAAAGTCACAGAATAGGTATTAGGGATTTTTAGATGAGTCTAAATCAACCTTCGTTATGTAGTCTCGGCACAGATGGAAAGAGAGCATATCCCTGCTGCTATGAAAAGTCTTAAGGAAACGCATAAAATGATGAACAGTTTTGGTTGGCAAGATGGGTTAATCTTTGAAAAAAAAAAGTTAGTTTATGGAGGAACTTAAAAGGGGGGAAAGCACCTGGCAAATGAAAAATGGAAAGTTTCTCCAGGGTAATAGAAGAAATTTTCCTCTTCTCTCTCTCTCTTCTTTTCATCTTACAATACTGCTTTTCCAAAATTGCTCCTCAGTTATATAGGTAAAGAGTAAATGAAATGGTTGGCTTCAAATGACTTTTAAAAAAACAATGAAACTGGATTTTATGTTTAGTGCTGAAAAGCCAGTCCTTCAGTAACTTACCTTGCACAACTGCTGGATTCAGCAAACTTCCTTTGCCACTAGGGAACAAAAAAGGCCTTATTTTTAAAGTAATCTAGCTCATAAAGTCTTCGAGCCTAATTTAAAGGAAAGATAGCCATACAGTGCCTGAGTTTCCTCTATTGTGTTTGTTTTTGTTTTGTCCTGTTTGATTGTTTTTTGAGACAGGGTCTTGCTCTGTCACCCAGGCTGGAGGGCAGTAGCAGGATCATAGCTCATTGTAGCCTTGAATTCCTGGGCTTAAGTGATCCTCCCACCTCAGCTTCCTGAGTAGCTGGGACTGTAGGCATGCACCACCATACCCGGCTAATTTTTCTATTTTTTGTAAAGACAGGGGTCTCACTATGTTGCCAGGGCTGGTCTCAAACTCCTGGCCTCAAGTGATCCTCCCACCTCAGCCTCCCAAAGTGTTGAGATTACAGGTGTGAACCACTGAGCGTGGCCCGTTCTTTCATTCTTTCAACAGACTTACTGTGTGCTCCTCATCTGCCAATGCATAAATAGTTACCAACAAAAGTCCTTGCTCTTATAGTTTACCTGGGCAAGGGCGAAGGACAGCCAGTAAACAAGTAAACCACCAGTAAGCAAGGTTTCAGTGAGTAGTGATATTAAGAAAAATATTTAGGTTGGTGCAAAAGTAATTGAGCTTTTTGCTAATGGCATCTAGGGTAGTGGGCTGGGGGTGGAGGGGAAGAGAGGGTGGTTAATGGGTACAGAAAGTATCTAGAAAGAACGAGTAAGACCTAGTATTTGATAGCACAACACAGTGACTATAGTCAATAATAATTTAATTGTACATTTTAAAATAACTAAAAGTTACAATTGGATTGTTTGTAATGCAAAGGATAAATGCTCGAGGGGATGGATACCCCATTCTCCATGATGTGGTTATTGTGCACTGCATGCCTGTTTCAAAGTATCTCATGTACCCCATAATATATATACCTACTATGTACACACAAAAATTTTCAAAAAAGCAAAAGAACATCTAGATGGAAGCGTGAGATCTAGGTGTTCTTTTTCTAGAACAAGAAAGAAAAGAACACACATGATAAATAGGCCCACTTTGACATATAGTTCTCTCCTTATATTAAAACTAATTTTATTCCTACATGTTTTTCCCCCCAAAAAATACATCTTTGTTCATCTATATTTTCAAGACAAAATCTAGTTTGCATGTCAGTTTAGATTTAGAAGCAGATTTTGTCACTATCACAAATCACACTGGATCTATGAAAATGAAGGCCACTCTGCTAGCCACAGACATCGCACATTTGCACCCCTGCCAGAGCTTCTGATGGCCAGATGAGTCATACTGGGTATCCTAACATGAAATAACTCAGGGCAGGACTCCGGGTCATACACTCAACTTCCAGTAACTTCTCACTTAACCCAAAACTCAGTCTCATCATAGACAGAAACCCTCTCCCTGGAAGGGAGGTTTCATCCTGTATCCTTGGGACCTGGTAGCATCCCAGCCGCAGGGTGGACATTCAAAAGTTTGTTCAATGTATAAATTAATGATTGGGTAAAATATTGTACTCAGAGGCCAGATCCTCCAAAGAATGAAGGGAAAATAATTGAGTAACGTTATTCAAATCATAAAGTTACATTTAAAGGCTGGGTTGGGTTTATTTCATATAACCTTATAGGTAGGGACGGTATTTATATATAAGGTTATATCAGATATAACCTTATAGGTAAGGAACTGTATTTATCCCTCTATCCCTACAGAGAAGAGCCCTGAAACTCTGAGAGGTTAAGTGGCTTCACCTTAAGAGTCAGTGTTCTTTGGGAAATGGGGTAAGAGCCAGGCCTCCAGCTCCCACTCTGACTCCATGATGCTTATTGTTTCCTCCTCTTTGATAACAATGGTTCTATTTATTTATTTATTTATTTATTTATTTATTTATTTATTTATTTATTGAGACAGTGTCTTGTTCTGTCACTCAGCCTGCGGTGCAGTGGCATGATCCTACCTCCCAGGCCCAAGCCATCCTCCCACTGAGTAGCTGGGACTACAGGCACACACCACCACATTCGGTTAATTTTTAATTTTTTATAGAGACGGGGTTTCACCATGTTGCCCAGGCTGGTCTTGAACCCCTGGGCTCAAGTGATCCACCCTCCTTAGCCTCCCAAAGTGCTGGGATTATAGGCATGAGCCACGGCTCCCAGCCTCATAATGATGGTTCTCAAACTCAGGGGCAGGTTAGAATCAACTGGGACTCAACAACAACAACAAAAAATTGCCTGCCCCTACCCCTCAAAGATTCCAATTTTTTTTTTCCAGATAGGGTCTCACTCTATTGCCCCGGCTGGAGTACAGTGGTGCAGTCACAGTTCACTGCAGCATAAACCTCCTGGGCTCAAGCAATCCTCCCATCTTAGCCTCTCAAGTAACTGGAACTACAGGTGCATGTCACCACACCTGGCTAATTTTTTATGTTTTTGTAGAGACGAGGTCTCACTTTGTTACCTAGGCTGGTCTCGAACTCCTGGGTCAAGTGATCCTCCTTGGCTTCCCAAAGTGCCAGGGTTATAGGCATCAGCCACCATGCCCACCCCAAGTGGGATCTTTGGATCCCAATTTTATTGGTCTGGAGCAGGGACTGGGCACAGGATTTTTTAATGTTTCCCATGTTCAGCCATATAGTCCAACACACCCCTTTTGGAACTGTGTTCTAAGAGTGGTTTTTAGACAAAAGGTCAAGTTGTCTATGATATTTCAAGCCACTTTCTTCTCAAGGCAGCCTTCACCTTATTCCCTAGCCAAGGGCATCTCTGTTAGTGCTGGGACATGGGTTACCCATGTGAGCCCTTCAGCCCCCGAGGAAGCCAGAGCTCCAGGCCAGTCACTTCCTGCCGTGAACAAAACTCTTGCTACCCTAGTGTCATACAAATATGGCACCATCATTTTCTGTGTGTATCATGACTTGGAACAGTTTGGAAAGGACCGCCTTGGACTGGGCAATGGGATAAATGGGTCTTGTTCTTATTTGCGTGTGGGTTTCTGAAGTCCTTTTCTTTCAGGCCCACATGTCCAGTGTGCAAGCCTGCCTGCAGCCAGGGACAAAGTTGACTTTGGACCAGTGACCTTGCCACTTGTCTGATGGCTCGTTGTTTGTACCTATGAAGAGAAAGTTGTTAGCAACAGTCAGTGACCAGCTTTGATCCTTGCACTGTGTGCCCACCGGAAAGAATGGTGCACTTGACAACACTGGGATATTGAGGGCTGCTCTCCAGGCTGGGAGGATTGAGGCCCATGGCTGTGTTAGTCACCACCCTCCTGCTGTGCCCTCCTTTCTTGTTGCTGCTGGAACAGTAGACCCCAAAACACCCCGCCAATGCAACAACCAGTGCGACACTCAAGGTTCACACTCCTACATGGAACACACATAAGCACGCATGCATGCATACACTCACACACCAATCCAGGAAACTTTGTTTAAATTTTTATTGTAAAAATATGCTCTCTGGGCCAGGTGCGGTGGCTCACACCTGTAATCCCAGCACTTTGGGAGGCCGAGGTGGGCGGATCACTTGAGCTCAGGAGTTTGAGACCAGCCTGGGCAACCTGGTGAAACTCCATCTCTACTAAAAATACAAAAATTAGCTGGGCATGGTAGCATGCACCTGTAGTCCCAGCTACTCGGGAGGCTGAGGCATGAGAATCGCTTGAGCCCGGGAGGCGGAGATTGCAGTGAGCCGAGATCACACTACTGTACTTCAGACCCTGGGCGACACAGAAAGACTCTATCTAAAAAAAAAAGCCCTCTAAACCTATGCCCTAGGTTTTAAAACAAATAACAGATCCGCCAGTAGTCTTCGGTGCCTGGCACAGAGCAAACACTTGATAAATATTTGTTGAATGTGAATGAATTTTGCTTAGTATCTCCCTTTATGACCTGGAGCAACTCAGCCACCCCAGGGCAGCTGCAGTGTGAAAGTCAAACATTTTGAGTCTTAGGTGCTAGAGTAGCCTTAGGACCTGCCTGGCCTAGTTTAATATGGGCAGCAAAGATTTACATCGTTTTTAATTCAAGGCACAAACCAGAAAGGAATTTTCTAGTCTCGCTATCCTGGAGGGAAAGAGCAATGAACCAGATTAACAGAAGAGTGTCCCCTGCCTTCAGAATGCTTTCCTCCAATTGATAGCTTTTCCCTAATCCCCCTGTGTCAGGGTCATCTCGAGGTACTTCTAATGATGCAGATTCCTGAGCTCCACCTGCTGTTTACTTAATCTATATCTCCCAGGTTGTGAGGAAAATCTTTAGTTTTAAGTTTCCCCACAATCCACATGCCTCTCCAAGTCAGGGCACCTGAGCTGCAGAGAAAGGTGGTGAGATGTAAACGCGTCACCATGCAGTACCATGGGCACCATGGTGGTGTGGCAGGAGACTCACTGGCAGAGTGAGGCCTTTCCTATTGACTCTGGCACAATCCACATCGCTTGGGACAATAATACTGACTGTACTCGTTTTTGATCAGTCATGAATAATATCATTGAGCAACACCCCAGGCATTTTTGCTCTGTTTTTTCATCGTATTTCGAGTCTACCCTTATCATACCAGAAAGAACTTTTATAATAATAAACCATGTGATTGATTTACTCGTTTGAAAAATTCATAAGCATTTCATAGAAGATTCAGATAATCTCTTACAACGTTAACATGTGACAAATATGCTCCACTTTACTGTGTCTTGAGAACAGTTCCATTCAAAGGGGTTTAAAATTTTAGATGTTATTTCATACAGCCCAGCCCACGAATCTCACACATCTTCTTTCAAGGATACCTATGCTATGCGTATGCTAGGCTGGAAGAAAATCCCGTACAAGTTATTCTCAAGCTGAGGAAATGTTTTTTATCAGGCCAACGTGGAAAATAACCTTTACCCCCAACTCCCAAACAGAAGCATTTATTCACACCCCAAAACCATGATGTTATAATTTTCATTTAAATATTCAGGATTGAAAGAAAAAAAACAGGCCAGGCACAATGGCCTGTAATCCCTACACTTTGGGAGGCCAGGCAGGAGGATTGCTTGAAGCTGGAAGTTCAACACCAGCTTGGGAAACACAGGGAAACACTATCTCTAACCCAAACTTCCTATGAGTAGTATCAGAAAGTCCCTCTGAAAGATATCTCATGGGTCCACTGCCACATAACTGAAACATGGATCACTGAAACGTGAGCTATGTTAGGAGAAGAGTCTGGTCCACCGCATCACCAGACAGTTCAGTCTATTATTATTATATAAGTCGCGTATAAAAATACCATTTCTTTTTACTAAAAATGCAGGATTTATAGCCTCAGTTAGATGAATTACCAATATTTGGCTTCTGAAAGATTACTCTCAAGCTGCCTGGAGATAGGAAGTGGTGACAGTTTGTCCCCAAAGCAGCCAGCTGCGTTGGTGCAGAATGCTTTCCGTGCTGGCCTTTCGAAGGTACCCAGGATGGTCCTGGTCCGAGCAGGGGATGAGAGTCAGGTGTAATCTTACGAGGTGTGTGTTTTTCATGCGTTCATATTTCAACAGTAGGCACCTGGAAGCTCCAATCTGACGGCAGTGACATTTGCAAATGAAAATGTTTTTTAAAAATCATGTTTCAGTGCCACAATTTTATCAGCTATTTGCCCGACTGTCTGAATCTATTCAAGACGTGGTATCAGTGGAAAAGACACTCGTTGGATAATGGCTTCCTGCTGCTACCGAGTGTCAAATGCCAAGTGTCAGTTTGCTTAGTAATAACATTGCTGTTTATCTTTTCTGGTGGTAATGATTATTTTTATTCTTATGCAACTTTTCTTATTGTGTTCTTCATATTCAGAAGATAAATTACAACTGTACATAACAGCTAACCACCACTTTCAAACAGTGGCAAACCTTGCCAGGCTGGGAGGGCTTCATAGCTGAAGGGTGAATTTGAGCTCGCCCAAACTTGTTTCTGTGATCGGAGCTGAGTGTGTTCCTGAACTCCCACCCAGCCTCGTTAAACTTGGCGAGGCCCCTCCCACCCCGCCAAAAATTGATTTTCAAAAAATAGCTTAGAAAGTCCTGAGGGCTTTAGAGCTTACCTAAAAACTGAAAACTCTCCTAGTCTCAAAGCAACACAAACAGTCAATATAAAAGAAAAAAAAAAGAATGCTCTTTTAAGTATATCCCACTGATCTGTAATCTTAGGGGCCCTAAAGAAGGTACATCATTAAAACATCATCATTTTGATGATACATTGCAGAAGGAACAAAATGGCATTAAGGGTGGAATTCAGAGAAAATGGACTGGAATAAAGGTTGTTGTATCAACCAAGGAAACCTAGGGAACCACGTTAAAAAAAAAAATGAAGTTCCATTCTTCACCCTAGCTTGATGTCTATAACGATTAGAAAAGCTGAACAGGGAAGATATGGTTTGTATTTCCAAGTACACCATGTGTCAGGCTCTTGAGGAACCCATTGATAATTCTTTATGCAGATTTTTAAATTAGAAAAGTATTTCTTTCTCACCCAGGCCTTCTGAATGAAAAGCTAGTGGAACAAGAAGTTATGGGAAGTGAAGTCATCAAACTACTACTAAAACTTTTCAATGCCTGTACATGATCATCTTAAAAGGAAGAGGAAAAAAATGAGGAATCCTTCTTAGCTGGGAAACTTTTATTTCTTGAAATGATTTTCAGGTTAGGGCTTGGTTCTGTTCTTTGAGGGGTAGGGAGAAATATTGATAGATATTCCTATCACCTAGCATGGCTATGGACTGGCTTGGGGCGTCTAGGTAAATTTTTGAACTATGATAAACCACGACTAAGCCCAGAAGGGCGTAGACAATTGCACAAGACACACACCTACAGACCGTGCATTGTTGGCCACAGTGCACCCAAGGGCAGAATGCTGTCAGCGCCTTCTTGGGTATTTCCCAACCACACACACCCACAAGTGTTGTCTTTGAATCATTAGCTGATATAAACTTAATATTTTTCACATGTCATTTTGATTTGGTGGCTATTTAAATAAGCTTGCGACATAAATTAGAAACCTTAAGCTTCTCAGAGCGTAAAGCCAACCAGGCACATCCTCCACTGTGATTTGAAGAAGCAATTAGACATTCTTAAAATGTTGGGTAATATGGACTTTTGATAGATTCTTTAAAATGTCTATATACTTTTGAAGTTGTATATTAGGATTCTTGTCCAATTTTCAGCTTTCTGTCCTCCTTTTCAAGAGATATAGCTCACAGTCCTGAGGCTGTCTCCTTCCTTTGACTTTGTCATTGCAAGGCTTAGGTTCTGAATGTGTTTTTAAGCTTCCTAGTCACTCTGACATCATAAACGACAGAATAATTCATTCCTTTTCATTCATCCAACCACCTTTCAATACTGTAGATATTTGAAGAGATATTCCGTTGACTGATACCATCAATGAAGTCGTGTGTGTGTGTGTCTGAGTATGGAGGGGTAAGGTGGGGGTGTGAAGGAATCAGGGTAGATTCAGTTACTTGCTTCCAGGTATCTTCTGTTAGGTGTCCAAAATGTATTTACCTAGTCTCTAAGTAAATTACGTCTATTTTCTAGTTCTTTCTTTTTGAATTAAGCGCTGTGTTAAGCCTCTGGTTTTTCACTTATAGGTAAAAAGCAAAAGATTTAAATACTGTTCTTTTGCTGGCATGATTGCAAGTGGGAAAAATTGTTAAATTGAAAATAGATATAGCTGGTTTGGCCATACTCCTCTCATAGTGTCATATAATTAATCTGACGTTTTTATATGAAGTGACTGCAGTGACATGCAAGTTAATTCCAACAGTCTGGAACAGTAAAACACCAAGGGAAATAATCAAAAAATAGGGAGAGACGGGGCCACCTGGAGAGCAGCAGTCACAGGGGGACGGGCCCAGAGTCTGTTCCATTTGTTAGAGCTATTGACACCACAGATGAAGAATCAAGAATGTTTCTTCACACAGGAAGGCCCCAGTCCAGTATTTAGGGTTGCGAATACTGAGAAACCCAGGAATAGGAACAGTCCTTCCAACACAGATTAGGTTCATTGGGAACACATGCAAAAGAGTTCGTTCTGTAACAAAGAGCGCAACTGCGAGATGAAGAAAGATTGGCAGGAGGTGCCAGAGCAGGAAAGGAGCTGGGACTTCTGGGACAGACGGACACTGTGAGTCGGGGACAGCATCGAGCATGTGCTGGCCCTCACTCTTCAGGGACAATAGACTGCGTAGCTCAGAAACCCTTGGCAAGTTACTCGATGGCTCTATAACTCAGTTTCTCCATCAGGAAAATCAAAATACTTTATAGAGCTGCAATAAGATTAAATCAGGGCCGGGTGCAGTGGCTCACACCTGTAATCCCAACACTTTGGGAGGCCAAGTGGGGCGGATCGCTTGAGGTCAGGAGTTCGAGACATGGGGGCTAACATGGTGAAACCCCGTCTCTATTAAAATACAAAAATTAGCTGGCCTAGTGGCGCACGCCTGTAATCTCAGCTACTCAGAAGGCTGAGGCAGGAAAATCGCTTGAACCCGGGAGGTGGAGGTTGCAGTGAGCCGAGATCATGCCACTGCACTCCAGCCTGGGCAAAAAAAAAAAAAAAAAGGATTAAATTAGATAATCCATAAAGTTTTTAGCGGAGTACTTGATACTCTTAATACATGTTAGCTATTTTAACATTTTTTTCTCTGAATAGCAATTATTATTGTGAAATGGAAAACACATTATGGAGTTTTAAATTAAGAGACTAAGGAGTGTATCAGAAATACCTCCAAATATAGAACAGTGTTGAGAGGAGGGTGGGCGTGGGCTGTGGGGCAGGTTCTGTGCATATGCTCATGCTTGCCTGCCCAAATAAAAAGCAAGGGAAAACCTAAACAGAAACTGTTCTAGCTGAAAAAAATACTAAATTGGGCTTCCCAGGGAGGTTATGATGATCTGATCCTCAACTGATTTTAGACAAATAGCCATTTACCCTAGAAATCATGTTTAAACAAACACTCAAGTCAGAGAACAGGCCCAGGTGATCTTAAAAGTTTTCTTTCAATTCAAGATGCATGCAGGATTTTCTATTCAGTCAGAATTCTGTTTTGGCATAGCACACTGTCTCCCAAGGATGCAAATCTGTCAGCATTTACCAAGGCCACGCACAGTGCTTTACTGAGCAGCAGAATGGCCACAGTGAGGATGTGGGTCCCAGCTGGGCCCTGCGGTCCAGCTGCCTGGTTGTGAATTCTGGCCTTACCATTGATTAGTTGGCTAGGTGTCCTTGCCTCTAAAATGGGGATAATGGTACCTACCTCATGGAGGTGTCAAGACTCTATACTGTGCCCTGCACAGATGAACACTCAGTTCAATGTAGGGCTTATTAGATATCCACTTATTCCTCATGAGAATTATTTGAGGTAGGTATTATCCCATTGCTCAGGTGAAGAAATCAAAACTCAAGGCAAGTTTCAAACCCAGGTCTATGGGTCTTGGAGCTGAACATGCCAGGAAGTTCCTAAGACATGACTGAAGGACTGTGCCAAAACTCTTGTGAATAATGGCGCCCTTATCTACCCCGCTCAGGTCAATACTGAGAGAAATGCTCCTCACTGGCTGTGTCTGTACGTCACCCATCAAACATCATGTTCTTTCCTGCCTCCGTGGCCTCCCTTCAGCTGAGCTCTTGGGCTAAAATCTCTTCTCCAAGCCCCTGTGCCCTTCCCCTTACTCCAAACCCTGCAGAGTCATTGCCTCCAGCAGGAGGCCTTCCCTGCCTGCCTAGGCCGGCTGGTTCCCTCTCCTCTGTCCTTCCGTGACACCCAGTGGGACCATATCATGCCCAGTTTAAGGCCCCAAAGAGCACAGGGAACATGGTGGGCATTCAGTAAATGAAGAAACAAAAAGTCTACTTATGTCAATTCTAAAAAGATTCAGTTTCATTGTAATAGTACTTTTCATAGTAAACAGTCAATGTAACCCTCTAATTTTTAAAAATTTTCTAACCGAAGTCAGGGGAGGATTAATAAGCTTACCAGAGAATCAGCTACCCCCGAGTGGCCCTGAGCCCTCAGTGATGGATTCTACAAAACGCCGAGTTCCTGACTTGTTATTGCACTCATACTTTTTCTTATATTTCAAACTTGCCTTTCCTTTCTCCCCTACTTTCTTCAGTTCTATGTATCATTTAAGAAAATGATGCCACCTCAGGGAACAGGTACTAGAAACATTATCTCCTCATAAGTAGATATAATTTGTTTTGTTTGTTTTTACTTAGAAGGTATTTTCCCCCTTCTCTTAAATTACTTCTATCCATTTCTATAACAAGCTCTGAATTAATTTTTATCTGTGTTCATGAAATATAGATGAAATTTCTTGAGTCTGGAAATCTTAAAGAGCTAGTCCTAGAATTTTTAACAGTTATAATACTTTAAACGAATTAAATGCTGTTTATGATAATGCAGACTTCTGAAACAACAAATTGACTGATGATATTTTTTACACTATAATTATCTCCAGCATCGCATTCCCTTTTTTAACAGAAAAACTTTTTATTATGGACATTTAAAAATATATGCAAAACAGGGAGAATACTTTTCTAAAGGTTTCATATATTAACCTAGCATTTCCTTCCCTTCCCCCCACTTTGTTTCATTCCTCTCTCATCTCAGCAGAAAGGAGGCAAAGGTTGCAACACCATCTCCTCTCTCCACGACTCCTTCCCTTCCTGCTGTCCTGAGTTTAGGTTGCACGTGCGGTGTCAGCTCTGCACATGCCTCTCATGTGTGCACACACACACACACACACATCTCCGTTGTGCATGCCCACAACTTACACACCTTCACCCAGCCTCCACCCTGGATTTGTCTATGTTAGGTTTCAGATATTAGGAAAAAAAGTTGGTTGAGAATCCAAATTAGTAACCATAAAAAAGTATGAAGCTACAAGTGCTTCCAAAAACAAAATGGTTCAATAGAAAAATACTCAGGCTGGGCGTGGTGGCTCATGCCTGTAATCCCAGTACTTTGGGAGGCCTTGGTGGGCAGGTTACCTGAGGTCAAGAGTTCAAGACCAGCCTGGCCAACATGGTGAAACCCCAACTCTACCAAAAATACAAAAACTAGCCGGGCGTGGTGGCAGGTGCCTGTAATCCCAGCTACTCGGGAGGCTGAGGCAGGAGAATCACTTTGACCCAGGAGGCAGAGGTTGCAGTGAGCCGAGATCATGCCACTGCACTCCAGCCTGGGTGATAGAGCGAGACTCACTCTCAAACAAAAAGAAAAAAGAAAAGAAAGAAAAATACTCTTTAAATCAGATTTTTTAAAATTAATTCCCTGCTGAGTGGTGGGCTCACAGCAGATTGTTCTTCTGTTTTGCTGCTCCTTCACCGTCTATACTTTTCCAGTTGACAACATAAGCAGGTATCACTTTTATAATTAAATATCTCCAAATGCTAAAGATGTCATTTGTAAGTAGCCTCTGAATCTCTTAGCCAGCAAAATAATTCTGGACCAGAAACTAAATGAAATCTTTTCCTAAAGTCCAAACCATATGTCCCATGGCTTGGAAGCCTAGACATAGAGAAAAAGAGGCATTTCTTGGCAAAGGAGAGCCAAATGGATAAAAGGGCCCAACCACCCGGGCCCTTCCCTTTTCTCGCCATCCTCATCCTGTGGTCCATCTGTCTTTGCACTTCTTTCCCCAGCCTCACCCCTGAGCAGGATGTCTCCACCCTCTCTGGGTTGGTCCATCCTGCAGCAATGCAGATGAGCCCTCCCTCTGTAATTACCATGCATGGACCACAGGGGAGAGTTGAAAGGATTAACCTGCTGGCCTCTCGGTAAAGCCAGGCCTGGTGTCGAGTTACATGCCTTGGTTCATGAGGTGGCATGGGGTGCCCTAGACAGTGCAGCATGGGAAGGGTGGGGGGTACAGAGCCTAGAGCCAGAAGACAGCTTCGGCAGAATTGGCAGCCTCTTCAAGCTAAACTTCCTTAGCTGTAAAGTGACAAATCCCGTAAGAGTTTTCAGGATTAAGTGTAGGGACACAGCACATAATAGAACAAGAGCTGCAAGGTAAGTGGAGATGAAACCTCATGTGTACTACTCTTCCCAGAGGTTTCCATTGCCCTGAGAATCCTCTTTCCCATCCCTCCTTAGGCCTCTTTATGATTGTACCAGCAGTTTGAAAGGAACCTCAGGAGTCTTGGGGTGTTTCAGTTTGGTTTGGTTCAGTTCAGTGTAGGGTATCTTCTCAGTCTACCAATGATTTCCTTGACCTCATTTTAAAGATTAAATGAGATATAAACCCTTAAAGCAGCCAGCTCACTCTTTGGCACATAATGCTATTCAATGAGTAGTAACTGGCATTAGAGCCATTGTCCCCCGTAAGCTTGAAGTTGACCATTGTGCCAATCACCACAGGGGCAGCATGGTGGGGTCTGGAGCCACCTCTGTGTCTACCCAGCCATGCATCCTTGAGTGTTACATATTTGTGACTCGGTGTCTCCATTTGTAAATGAGAGGCTGAACTTGGTTGTCCTGGAGATCCTTCACAGTTTAAGAAAGTATGCTCTGACACTTCAGAATGACAGGGTCTCAATTGATGTTGACTTGCCTCCTCGTTGGTCTCTCTGCTCAACCTCCTTTACACTGGTTCTCAACTCAGTTGAGACTTGGAGAGTTTTTTTTAAAAAAAATACAGATGCCTGGGCTTCATTCCCAACCAATTACATCAGAATAGCTGGGGATGGGGGCCCAGCATCATTATTTTTTCAGAGTTGCCCAGGTGATGCCACTGTGTAGCCAGGGTTAAGAACCACTGCATTATGCAAATGATGTAGTCAAAGCAAGGCAAAACAGACAGGATTTGGATAAGCCAGAAGCTGTGTCTGTGAGAAGGCGTGATTTCAGATGTGGCACCTTGACTGTCTCACTCCTAAATGTGCTCTTTTACTTACTGTCCCTGACAACATAGCCTGACACCAGTCGCTATTGCCCTTGAGACCAAATCTAAACTCCTTGACCCGGCTCACATGGCTTTTTACGATCTGGCTTCTGCTGCTTCAGCCTCATTTTTCAGCCAGCCTGACTACACCCCAATAGAGAGTAATCACATGGCAGGGTTTGGCTACAAGCCTTTGTATCTTCCGCACCCTTCTCCCTGCTTACCTAACCTTACCTCCTGCCCCTGTACCTGGCCAACTTCTTCTCCTTCAGGTCTCCAATGAGCTTTCTCTTTCTTCCCTGCCAACCCCAGATTGAGTTAGGTGAGCCAGGTGCACCTCCTGAGCCCACTGTGCACACCCAGTGACACACTTGATCACACTGCACTTGACCCACACTCCCAGCCCCGACGACTTAAATTCCACAAAAGCAAGGACTGTGGCTTATTTACTACTGCATCCCCTGTATCTGGCATAGTGAGCCCCCACTAATACTGGTGGAAAGAGTGAATGAGTAACTGAATGATTACACAAGAAACAAAGAAATTCTTAAGAACCTGAGTCACAGGAAATTAGAGATATCAGGTCCATAAAATGAATGAATACACAAGAAAAAATTCTTAATGAATGATTCACGCTAAGCCAAATGTAGGATCCTAGCCCCATACTCTCTTTGACTTAAGACCATTCTTTAATGCACAGTGTGGACAGCACACGATGCCAGGGAGAGTGGAGAGAACCAGACTCACTTCCCACCAAATGGGCTTGGTTTCCTCAGAGATTAGGTCTTGCATTATTTGCTCTATAAACAAGAGTAATCAACAGAGTGCTAATTTTTTTTTTTTAAGACAAAGTCTCGCTCTGTTGCCCAGGCTGGAGTGCAGTGACATGATCTTGGCTCACTACAACCTCCATCTCCCGGGTTCAGGCAGTTCTCTGCCTCAACCTCCCGAGTTGCTGGGATTACAGGTGCGTGCCACCACGCCCGGCTAATTTTTGTATTTTTAGTAGAGACAGGGTTTCACCATGTTGGTCAGGCTCGTCTTGAACTCCTGACCTTGGGATCTGCCCACCTCAGCCTCCCAAAGTGCTGGGATTACAGGCATGAGCCACCATGCCCAAGCCTCAGAGTGCTAATATTAAAAAGCTAATATTGAGTGGAATTCAGTATCTGTCATTTTTAATGAACTTTTTTTTAGTGAACATATTTTGAGTGAACTTTCCAATCTTATTAGTTAATGAAATATGTACAGTAAAATAATACAGTGTTTGAGATTTACCTCAGAATAACCAGTGGAAAGGAGAATGAGGCATAGAGGTAGAGTTGAAACAAAATTAACCAGGAATTGACAGCTTTTGAAGCTGGTTGATGGTCATATGGGGGTTCATTCTATTATTTTCTCTGCTTTGGCATAAGTTTGAAATTGTTCAAAATAAAATGTTTTAAAAAGTAAAAAAAATAGTTAAAATAGTAATGATCATCCTTAAAAAACAAAAAGAAATTGGTGGAAGAAAGTCGTTCTCAGCATTGCCACTTGATTCAATGAGTGAAAAAAAAAAAAAAAAAAAAATTCCAAAACCAGCCATACATCGTCTGGAGCCAGCTTGGTCTTGGCTAGTTGGAAAACAGGAATGTTCTCCAAGGTTAGTAAACTGTAATGAGTTCCACATAGTTTTCAGGCATCAGAGTTTACAAATCACTGCAGTTTGATTTGTAACTCCATTCACATGTCCACAAGAAATACAGCCTGTGCCGATTTTCCCCATTATTTGCTTAGCCAAACAATACTTTTCCACAGCACAGTCCTGCCAATCTCAAAAACCACCCAGGGACGCCATTTTACGACCCTTGGCACCACGTGCCCCCTCCACTGTGTTTTCACAACTCCAACGTTCCTCCTTTTAAAGTTGGCAGAAATCAGCAGCCCTGCGTTTCTTTTTATTACTCCCAGCGTTTGTTGCTTCCAATGGGGAACGTTTTCTTCTCTGAGAGGCTTTCACCTCCGCCAGGCCTGTGCCTCCGCGGCCCAAGCACCCTTCCCTTCCAGCCCTTTCCTCTTTCTCTCCACACCCCTTGCCTGCTCTGCTTCCACGGAGCCCACGCAGCCTTTTCTGCCCTGGCAGCGCGCGTTTTTCAGCCCCTTCCATCGGGTCTGGCCGAGCTGGCCGCCAGCGTTCCCACGGCCTGGCGGGGGGTCTGCGGTTTCACCAGGCAAGGGGGCCCCCGAGACAGGGCCTGGGCCTTTCTTGCTGCCCTTTGACTGGACCCCCTCATAAGAAAAATTCCCTGGCTAGGTTTCCTCTTGTGCTGGGTGGAATTCAGGCCTTCCTCAGCTTTTCGTCTCCTCTGGTCTTGGTGGAGGCCGCCTGAAGAGTCCACTTCTCCCCACTGTCTCTCCCACCCGGACGCCCAGGCGGCCTCTAGGTTATTCGTGGGGCCAGCTCTGCTAGTGCTCGCTTCAGATCTCCCTCTTGCTCTTCTCTTTGCAGCTTTTTTCTATTTTAACTACATTGGAAGTGAAGATGCCTCATTGCATCCACACCCGAGGTTGTTTTTTGTTCTTGGTTTTTGCATCTTAAAAACCATTTAAATGACACTTCTCTCCTATTTTTAGAAAGGTCTATAAACAATGCACCTCCAGGATTGTTCCTTTTTCTCCTTAAATCCTGTGCCTTAGCACTTGCAGTCTTTTAAGAGCTGCTTTTATAGAAATTTTTGTTGACTGGCTTGGAATACTTTCTATTGCTGTGCATTTTTTGAGTTCACCACGAGCACACTGGATTTCCTCATCAACCCTGAGAAAAAGTTAAAGTTATTTTATAAAACAAAGTGAGACTTAATTTTAAAAAAAATGGAGACAGAGAAGTCGATTCACCTAGATTACAGCTAGTAACTAGCCAAACCCCATTCTCATTCCGCACTCCTCAGTCCTGGTTCCTTTACACATTCACCCCGTATAGGTTTATTAATCACTCATTCTGTGCAAGCGTACATCCAAGTCTAGACCTGAAAATGAGAGTTTATCTAAAAATTAAAAAACAGGATTTTTAAAAGAACAAAATACCTACTTTTCCTCTCTTACTAAAGTGACAAGATCACTGATACTGACTTATTTCGGTATAGGTGCTTGGATTTCATTGTAAAATTCTCACTCCACAAATATATGGCAGAAATAAAACTCTAGACCATAAGCTTTCATTCGATATTGGTAATTCTTTTCATTCCAATCGTTGTAAGGGAGGCCCCTTTAGGACCAGACAGACTGTGCACAAATACCCCAATGCTGCTTAACTAGTTGGGCAAGTTAATCATCTTTTCGAGCCTATTTCTTCATCTTTAAAATGAAGATAATGGATTTGTTACATATATAAAGTACTAAGGATGGTACAAGGCATCTGGAAAGCACTTAATATAGCTCCCTTTTCTTCCCCTGTCAACTGGAAATTTATCATGTTATTAAGAGTGAAGAGTAAAATGTTTTAATAATAGGCAAACAAATCTCATTCTTTTTCATCCTGTATCAAATTGTCCTGGAAACACTACAAGTAAGTGACTAAGCATATTTTAGTTTCAGGCCTACTGTTTGATTGATGTGTCAGTGAGAAATGAATGACTAGGTGGCATGCAGTGAAAGAATCCCAGAAAGGTTGTAATCCACACCCTGGATAATCACAGGCAATTCGTGGAAAGTTGGATAAAATGCTAGCTCAAAAATATTTATTGAATTTTAGAAAATAACCCTACCATAATTACTTGCTTTCCTCTTTGCACTTACTACCTTCAGAGTAACGTAACATGAGTTTTTAAACATGATTTTAAAACATGAACTTTAAAATTATCTTTAAAAGATTTCTATTGAAACAAAAATTCACATGCCTTTCTTCTGGGGGAGAGAGGGAAGTAGCTTTCCTACTTGTTTGTTTGTTGTATTTTAAGAGGGGTGAAATTATTGATTTATCATTACACCTGCCCCACTTCAACCTATGATTAGAAAATGTATAATTTCAAAATCATCTTCAGAGCAACAAAATGATATTGTTCCAAATCAGAGAGAGATTTCTCTTCTCTGATATGGAATGCTTGCATGTCATTAGCCAGCCCTCTATGTTTTCACAGTATAGATATGACCACCTTGTATTAACTGAGTATATACTAATGTGTATAGGTTCAGCCTTTATTAGTGGGATAAATGATGATAGATGCAAAACACTTCAACTGTAGCACACCATACAAATGTTCATTCCAAAATTGGGAAAAGCATAATGTGGATCATTGTTTTTAAGCATAGCTACTCATGTTCTGGAACAGGTCATATTTTGGGGGTGGCCAAATTTTTTTTGTAATGGTGCCTGGCTGTTAAAAATGCTTTTTGCGCTGAGACCTAAGAAACTGTAGTGTATATTGTTAGTGGAAAACATATTCTTCTAGATGAGTGACATTTTAAATTATTCTTTTTTATATAATTAAATGTAGATGTCAACATATAGGCTTTGCCTTATTTTTAGAAAGTTTGGGATTCGTGGTTGGGGAAAACTCAGAAAACGATTTCTTAAAAACAAAATTGCTTTTTTAGTAGAACCTGTTTCAAAGATGCTTTGGAGCAATAACATTTTTTAAGTATCAGGGATGCTTGTTTTAAGTAACACGGGGAAAGATGTGATCTTCCATTACAGTGACAGCACTTAGCCGTAATCACCATGTCAGGAACATTTTCTTTGCAGGTGAAAGACAGTGAATAAAAGAATTCATTTGACAAAGCCTAGGACTATTTTGAATGGTCTCGTCCTGAGATATTTATCAAGCGGGGACCAACACTTTGCAGACAATCGTAATTTTTCCCTACTGCCATCTTCAAAAGTGCTACCTTTGACAGTGATAAAAGACACCTCTTAGTCCTAGTGCCCGAACAATTGATCTAATTGTCTTCACTGTTCCCTCTTTTCTATCACAGAATCGGAAGACTTTTTGATGGTACAGAGCCCATTGTTTTGGACAGTCTCAAACAGCACTATTTCATTGACAGAGATGGACAGATGTTCAGATATATCTTGAATTTTCTACGAACATCCAAACTCCTCATTCCTGATGATTTCAAGGTGAGGGATCCATGTTAAATCACCAATAGCATAAATATGTGATTTTTTTATGTGCTCCAAAAAAATATTTCTAGTTCTACATTATTAACATACACCAACTCGAAAGGTGCCAGAGTTCTCTTTGACATGGTTCACTATTCATGAAATAGTGGTTATGGCCATTAAACTTCTACATGACTTAAAGAGGATCGCTTTTCATTTAAAGAATTGAATTATAATTCACTTGAACAAATTGAAAAGGAGTTGATTAAATTCAAAGCTCATTTCTGATATGTCTTAGAGAGCTAGAGAATAAAAGGAAACCTCCTTAGCTTAATGAAGACTTCCCCGTCCCCGCCCCTAGAAATCGAAAGCAAACATGAACAGTAAAATTTTAGAATTCTTCCCTTTACAGTTAGTAATAAGTGTTAAGGTTAGTCACGCTGAGATAGCCCACATTGTGCTGGTAACTCTAGGCAATGGAGTCAGACAAGGAGAACAAATAGAAAGTGTTAATATTAGAAGGGAATTCACGAAAATGTAATTTTTGCAGCTGACAATGTTTCTTCAAATGGATGATTCTAAAAAGTCAACTTAATGCTATTAGAACTTATAAAGAACTCATTAAAGCAGCTCAATTCAGGATCAATATATAGCTTTTTTTGTTTGTTTGTTTGTTTTTTGAGACGGAGTTTTGCTCTTGTCTCCCAGGCTGGAGTGCAGTGGCGTGATCTTGGCTCACCGCAACCTCTGCCTCCTGGGTTCAAGCAATTGTCCTGCCTCAGCCTCCCGAGTAGCTGGGATTACAGCTGCCCACCACCACGCCTAGCTAATTTTTCATATTTTTAGTAGAGACGGGGTGTCACCATGTTGGGCAGGCTGGTCTCAAACTCCTGACCTCAGGTGATCCACCTGCCTCAGCCTCCCAAAGTGCTGGGATTACAGGCATGAGCCACTGTGCCCAGCCAGTCAATAGCCTTTTTAGAGAATAGCAAGAGCCAATCATAAGCTATAATAGAAAAATATACAACAAAAATTATAACACCTAGGAATAAACCTAACGAGAAACAAGCAAAGGCTGATTAAGAAAACTGCAGATCTCTACACACAAGTGTAAAAGAGTTGAATAAATGAAGGAACATTCTAGGTTCCTGGATGGGAAACCTCAATATTGTTAAGATGTCAGTTATCCTCAAATTATTCTATATAGTCAGTGCAAACCCACTTAAGTAATAGATTTTTCAAAATGAAATTTGAACCATTTATAAAGTTTGTGTAGAAGAAAAAAAGCGTTAAGGATAGCTAAAAAAAAGTATTTCTGGTCATAGTAATGATGGTAAAGGTGGGTAATGGTGGATGTGTCCTATCAACGTCAAAACAGACTTTCGAGCTATATTAATTTAAAGGTGTCATTCTGACAGCACTGAAATATACAAATCAATGGAGAAGAATAGGGTCCAGAGATAGATGTACAGGTGCATAGGAATTTGATGTACCATAAAGGTGGCATTTCACATCAGTGGGAAAAGAAAGCAATAGTCAGTAATAGGTGCTGAGACGATCACCACTGAGACATTTGAGGGAATTGTAAAGCCAGAGCCCTATCCTACATCATAAATTCACAAAAATTTCAGAAATAAATACAAAAACGAGGGCAATAAAAGTATTATGAAAAAATACAAAGAAATTTCTAAAAGTATAATTTTGAGGCAGAAGGGGCCTGTCTAAATGAGACTTCATACCCAGAAGCTATCCTTTAAAAAAAATAGTTGAATTGAAGACATCATATACAAATACAAGACAAGTGTCAGACCATAAGAAACATTTGCAACAAAAGATGAATACCCATCATAAAAGATCTATCTTAAAAATCTATGAGAAACATACAAACAACCCAGTGGAAAAATTTTTTTAGCTATGAACAAAATTTTCCCAAAGAAAAAAACAGAAATTGGCAATAAACATTTGCAAAGACATTCAGTTTCTTTTGTATCAAATAAAAATAAAATTAGATACTCCCTTTTATCCATTAGATTGGCAAAAATTAAAAAGATGTGTAATATACAGTGTTAGGGAACATACGGTGTGGTTGGAAGTCAAAATCATTAAACATTTTTGGAGGACAATTCAGCAGTAAATGTTAAAGTTTCAAATATACATACTCTTTGATCTGCTAGAAATATTCAGGTAAATCTGTAAAGATATTTATATATAGGATGTTTATTATAGTCATGTTTATAATAGCAAAAACTGGACTTTCTAAAAAAGAAAGTTCATTGGCAGATGGTTACAAATATTATAGACTATCCATGCTATAGACTAGTTTAAAAGATGTGGTAGATCTGTATCTGTTGATATGTGGGGGGAAAATCATGTAATTCCATGATTCAGTGAAAATATTAAGTTGCAGAACCATATGTATAGTATGTTTCTATTTATGTAAAAGATCAGGTATGTATGCATATATAAATGCATAGAAAAAGATCCAGAAGAGTAGATCCCAAGTTAATAAGAAGCTCAGGGGCCCCTTAGTTATCTTCTCCTTCAGGATTTTGAACAGTGGGGCACATGCCAAGGATTATTAGCCAAATGGAAAAGAGAGCACAGAGGAGTTGCATCATGTGCACATTTATTTTACATGGCAACTATATGCAATTGGCAAGAAAATAGAGAGAGTGTAATAACTGCAGCCAGTGAATGAGCTTCCCGCAGCCCTGGAATGAGCCTGAGGAAGGCACAGGAGCCCGCTGCTCCCAGCCAAGGGCAGTTCCCAAGGCCCCCTCAATGGCGTGCATCTCACCGCACTGAGCTTGATTCCAGGGTTTGAAGACATGGGGGTTTGGTTTGTGCAACATGGCTCCTAAGCAAAAGCCGCTTCATCAGTAGTGATCTCTTCCAGCTCAGGAAAGGAAGCATATTGAGGAGTGATTTCTTTTTTACTATTATTATTATTATTATTATTATTATTATTAATTTTAAGTTCTGGGGTGCATGTGCAGGATGTGCAGGTTTGTTACATAGGTAAACGTGCTATGGTGGTTTGCTGCACCTATCAACCTATCACCTAGGTATTAAGCCTTGCATGCATTAGTTATTTATCCTAATGCTCTCCCTCCCCCTATCCCTGCTACAGGCCCCAGTGTGTGTTGTTCCCCTCCCTTTGTCCATGTATTCTCATTGTTCAGCTCCCACTTATAAGTGAGAACATGCAGTGTTTGGTTTTCTGTTCCTGTGTTATTTGCTGAGGATAATGGCTTCCAGCTTCATCCATATCCCTGCAAGGACATGATCTCATTCCTTTTTATGGCTGCATGGTATTCCAAGGAGCGATTTCCAATATGCCTCTTCCTAGAGGCTTTTCCAAGATAATTTTCAATATAGTATATACAGTTTTTTCTTGGCATGATAACTTTTGAACCTCTTTCCTGCCTTATTCTCCATGCTACTTTATTAATTTGGGCAAAAATTTTATCCAGGGCTCTCAGATAATAGCTGAATTAGACAACACTCTGCAGGCCCAAGGCCAAAGTGCAGTCTCTGCCTCCAGCCCTCAGTCTGCACCTGGGGTCACACACTCTCAGACATGATCAAGGGGACTGATTGGGTTTAGACAGCAGCCCCATGTCTTCGAGGCCACAGCTGATGAATGGCATAGTTGAAGAGAGCAGGCCAGCTTCCCACAGCAGCTGCAGGTGAAACAGAGAGACCTAGGGAGAGAACCAGGACTGTTCTAGAAAGCAGGTGCTTGCCACATGTGGAGACAGGAAGAGGAATCAGGAAGCTGGGTCCCTGCCCAGGGCACAGATTCCAGCAGTGACTGGCCACTAGTCCAACCTGAGCCACCAACGTCGGGCGCTCCCCAGTCAGCTCTGGACCCTTTCCCACTTTAGGGAGTAAGTAAGCTCATGTAGAGAGAAGGGCCAAAGCATGATGTGGAGAGGTGGGGGAACAATTTCTTACTCTCTCATATTTTCCTAGAGGAAAGGCAGTAGAATTGGAAATGGGTGAGGGAGGATATTTCACTTTTAGTTCCGTATGCTTTAGTATGAATTTTATCATTAGTTTTTACAATGAGCAGGCATTCACATATGACTTAAGTCATTAAAATAAAACAATAAAATAATTTTTAAATAAAGTTGTCAAAAAAGAAGTCAAGTTATCACAGCTACAGACATGTATACTAGTAAGGAAAAACTGCCATAGGATTTCATTATATTTTTCGCTAAGTTATATATAGCCTGGACTTCATCAGGAGAAGGTTTGGTTAGTACAATATGAAAATCACCTCATGTTTAGGTGATTGCATTTCCAAATGCCGACCCAGAATCCCTGCCTGGATAGTTCATTCGCTCTTTAAACTTTAGATGCCCAAAAATGAGCTCACTCTGTCTGCCTCCCCCTCTGCCACCACCACCACCAAGAACAAAATCTGCTCCTCTTCCTTTGTATCCTATCTCAGTAAAAGATGCCAGAATCCACCTACTTGCTCAAGGCAGGAACCTGCAGTCCTTCTGGACTTTTTCCTCTTCTTCGCCTCCCACGTGTGATCTGTCAGCGCATCCGTCATCTTAACCTCCTGGACGCATCGCGAATCAATCCACTACCCTCATCCCACCTCCCTAGCCCAAGGCCCAGCAGCTCTCTGGACTCCTTGGAGTGGCTTCACAATTGGTCTACCCCCTCCCACTCTTACCCCTTTTTGACTTGTTCTCTGCATTGAAACTATGAGACACTTTTAAAAAATTCAACTTTTAATTTTGACATCATTATAGATTTGCATACAGTTGTAAGACATAATAGAGATGCTGTGTTACCCAGTTCCCCCCAGTAATAACATCTTGCAAAATACTGGGATCACAACCAGGATATTGACACTGATACAGTCAAGGTTCTGAACAGTTCCATCACCACAAGGATCCCTCCTGTAGTCATTTGACAGTTATGCCCACCCCTCTCTCTCCCTGCCACCATCCTACCCCATCCCTGACCATGTGACACTTTTTAAAAACTGTATCATGAGTTGCTCCTGCTTGAAATTCTGCAGGGACTTTCTCTTGTTCCTGAAACTGTCAAATGAAGAAGATAAACCAAGCTTTTCAAGAATTAAAGTTAGTTTTACTCGGAAGTCTTACTGAGGTCCCACACAGGATTTCAGCCCACAGCTTGTTATATAGGCGGTGGAGGTTCAGTACATGGAAAATCACATCACACTTGCTCAGACGCTACAAGCAGAATACATCGAGCTTTGGGTGTAAGAGTACAGCGTGTTATAGATTACAGAAGCGTCATCACCAACCTGTCAGACTTTATCTCATACGGAAGAAAAGGCAAAGACTAGGGTCATGTATCTCTTAAGGAATGTAGTGACTCAGGCAGGAGACCTGGGGGGGCTGTATACTCGGCTTTGTTGTGTCTTCAAGGCATTTTCCTGGAGACCTGCACGTCCTCCCAGAGTCAGAGGGTCAAGCAGAAATGAGCAGCCATGGCTTCTTCCATTCATTCTTCTGTCTCACAGAGCAAAGCACCACATCCCTGTCAGAGCCCACAAGGCCCAGAAAGCTCTGGCCCCTGCCCACCTCACCCACTCTTGCCCTCCACATGTCCCTACAGGACTTCTCTTGGTCCCTCAGACACACCCTCCTCTTGCCCCCTGACAACTGCCCCTCTGTGTGCCTATGCAGCCATTCCCCTGGCCTTTACTGGAATTCAGGAGTCATCTTTTTCACCACATCCCCCAGCAAACCTACCTGGGCCTGGTGTAGCTTAGGCTCACCTGTACCCCTGACTCTCCGTGGTCACACGCAGTGCATCTATCACTCACTGTGCAGCACCATCTGCGCAGCTGTGAGGTAGGGACGCTTCCAGCTACGAGAGTGGGAACAGCCAATTAACAGCGGCTTACACTATAGGAGATTTGTTTTTCTCACGTGAGAAGTCAGAGGCCTGTGGCAGAGGTATCTGCCCAGCAATGTTATCGAGGACCAGGAAGCTTTCTGTCTTTCTGTTTTGCCATCCTCAGTGTTGACGTTCTGGCCTCATGCCTGTCACCTCAAGATTATATGGTGACTGCATCACGGCACCAGGCATCACCATTCCAGGCGTCACATCCTCAGTCAAGGCAGGATAAAGGGACAGACAGCTTTTCAACTCACAAGACTCTGTCCTTGTCAGACGATCCCACAGAAGGCTTTCCCTTTGTGGCTCATTGGCCAGAACGGAGCCTCTCCTTGGTGGCTGAGAAAGGGATTTTTTTTTCTTCGCTTATTTTTAGCCTCTGTAGTAAGAGAAATAGGCAAGGGAAAGAGGTTGAAATAGCTGTTGGGGAAGCTAGCCAGCAGCATCTGTCCCACATGCTCAGCACCTGCCACATATTAAGCATGTAAATATTTGTGGCGTGAGTGAATGAACGCATGGATGGGTAAATAGATGAATGGAGTGAGGCTAACATGCAAACTAGGCTCTTGTTCCCACCAGTTCATCTGAAACCTGCTGATCTACTTTCTGATGTTTGGACTCTGGATATTTTGTGTATATATCTTCACTTCCTTGCTGCATTATAAGGTTCTTGCAGGCAGGGCCTTTTTGTTTGTTTGTTGTTTGTTTGTTTGTTTTTTTGAGATGGGCAGTGGCACGATCTTGGCTTACTGCAACCTCTGCCTCACAGGTTCAAGCGATTCTCCAGGCAGGGACATTTTTATGTTTTTCCAGAGGACATTGTGTGTTGGGCACATAATCAATGCTTAGTATTAATTCACTGAAATACAGCAGAAAAGGGTTAAAAGAGATGCAGGAAGCCACAATCTAAATATGAATAGGCAATGCACTTCCTTTCAAAATTATATAGGACTAAGTAGAAAATACAAAACGTGTATATAATATCATCATTGTATGCTGCTTATCAGAATAATATTAATTTATAATTCCCATTATTGAAAAGGATGCAGGCTGCAGGGAATCACAAAAGAATATATTGGGAATTACAGTTAGAAATGATAGTAGCCATTCATTTTTAGTTGCAGTATGTTCCAGAAACTGAGCCAGGTATTTTAGGCACGCACTTTGGTTTAACTAAACCTCAGCACATAAACCTACATAGCAGGCATTATTTTTCCTCCAAGAGCATTCAGGTTAGGTGCTGGGGAGGGAAAAACTTCCACACGGAGTTCAACTGTGGCCAGTTTGCTTAAGGACTCACCCACCCACCTGCCTAGGATTAGCACAGCTGCTTCTCTGCACCTTTTGCGTGCTCCCTGAGGATTCCAGAGCTCTTAAAGACCTGCTATTTATCAATTCTAAGTACCAAACACACCCTTTAATTGGCTAAGGATTTAGCTGTAACCCACGCTTGAGGGAAAAAAAAAAAAACAAAAGCATGTCAAATGAAACTCACATATCCCAGGGCCTTAAAACATTTCCCACAGAACCTCTGGTGACAGGCTGTAAATTACAGTACAGGGTGTTCTGGGACCTGGGAGGGGCAGCAGAAGCTGAAGGGGTCCTTCCGCTCTGGTGGCTGGTGATGGAATTGCATCAGCAGGAGCAGTGCAGTTTACAGGAGTCACAAATACAGGTACACATAGGAGCTTTCAGTCTGCACGTCCTGAACAGTACTATTGGTGCTTTCTTCCTCGTCAGAGTTTTCTCTTGAACCTGGGAGGGACATGGCTTTTGGGGTTTTTTGGTTTCTTTGAGACAAAGTCTTGCTCTGTCGCCCAGGCTGGAGTGCAGCGGCACGATCTCGGCTCACTGCAACCTCCGCCTCCCGGGTTCAAGCAGTTCTCTTTCCTCAGCCTCCCAAGTAGCTGGACTACAGGCACACGCCACCACACGCCACCACGCCACAGGCACACTAATTTTTATATTTTTAGTACAGATGGGGTTTCACCATGTTGGCCAGGCTGGTCTCAAACTCCTGACCTCAAATGATCCGCCCACCTCAGCATCCCAAAGTGTTGGGATTATAGGTGTGAGCCACCGCGCCCGGCCAGGACATGGTTTTTTGCATGAGGAGAGAATCTCTTTCACTAAGTTTGTTAGGGAGAATGTTTATTGATTACCTGCTTCTTTCCCTAGCCATTTAATACTGGGTGAACAAGTGCATTCAATCCTGAAGTCACAAGATCCTCCACCCCTAAAATCTCATTCCGCAAATGTGCTGTCCGAGCCGGATACCCATTTCATCTTTGAGATAATTTCATATTTCAGAACACCATTTAAGTGGCAGTTGCTCCTGTCCTGGCTTCCATGGAAAGCTGTTGAGATCTGTTCTCTGCATAAGTGATTGCAGAACTTTTCTGCAGTGTTTTATTATGGATATGACTGTCCCTCTTCCCTTAATTTTCCCCTCCCTCCAATTTTACTGATTTGCTCATTGTTGTTTTATGCCCTGCACATGAGCGTGTACGCATGCATAGGCACACACACACACGTGGTTGCAACTCTCAGCACACCAAGAGTCTAGAGCTTCGGCCCCATTTTTTATGGAGAACCACACAATTCTCTCTTTCTCTCTCTCTCTCTCTCTGTAGCCTTTTATCTTTAACATCATCTTTGGTAAGTGGCCCCCATGTTGCTCACATCTTTCATGGTCTGTCTGTATGTCCACCATTCCTAGACATAGACAAACTTGCTGGCAGGCAGCTCCCAACTTACCTAGCCCTGGATATGTTCAAAAGTCTATTGGGTATTTTTTTAATTAATTTAAAAAAAATTGGTTTTTTTGAGATAGGGTCTCGCTCTGTCACCCAGGCTGGAGTGCAATGGTGCAATCTCGGCTCACTGCAACCTTCGCCTCCTGGGTTCAAGTGATTCTCCTGTCTCAGCCTCCCAAGTAGCTGGGATTACAGGCACCCCCCACCATGCCCAGCTAACTTTTGTATTTTTAGTAGAGATGGGTTTTCACCATATTGGTAGGCTGATCTTGAACTTCTGACCTCAGGTGATCCACCCACCTCGGCCTCCCAAAGTGCTGGGATAACAGGCATGAGCCATTGTGCCCGGCCTTAAAAAATTTTTTTTGAGACAGGGTCTTGCGCTGTCACCCAGGCTGGAATGCAGTGGTGCAATCATAGCTCACTGCAGTCTCAACCTCCCAGGTTCAAGCAGTCCTCCCCGCTCAGCGCCCCCGAAGTAGCTGGGGCTGCAGGCATGCACCACCACACTCAGCTAGTTTTTCATTTTTTGTAGAGACGGTCTCACTGAGCCGCCACAGGTTGATCTCAAACTCCTAGGCTCAAGCAATCCTCCTGCCTTGGCCTCTCAAAGTGCTGGGATTACAGGTGTGAGCCACCACCACAACCAACCTCTATTGTTTATTTTTAATAACATTTTAATATTATAGAAGAAGTACATGTACATTGTAGAGAATTTAAAAATATAGACAAACCAAAAAAAAAAAAACAAACTATACCGTATGTTCCCACCACTCAGACTGCCAATGTTAAAACATTAGTGAGTAGCCTTCTGGATCTTTTCCTGTGCTTATTTTGGACAATAACCTTTACCTTTCCATTTAAAAAAAATTATTTCCTCTAATTCCACAACTATATTTGAGTTTCCCTGCTTGACTCCACAATGCCCTTTACAACTTGCTGGAGACTGGGCTAGCTGTCCTGCAAAATGTCCTGCCATCTCGATTTGTGTGGTTGCCTTGTCATGTGTAGTTTAGCTCATGAATCTATCCCTTAATTTCCTGTAAACTGGAAGTCATCTCTAAAGACATGATGGGTTTACGTTAGACTTGTTGGGGAGAATACATCACAGTGATGCTGTTTGCTTCATACTACCTCACAGTAGCAAAGGCATGTGGTTGAGCCACCATTAATGATGCTAGGAATGAACTGATCATTGTATCAAGGTGAGTTGCATGCTCCTTAGGCTGCAATAAAAACGATCTCTGTCAAGCTCAAAGTAACATTTGGGGCCAAACAATTCTTTGTGGTGGGGGCTGTCCTGTGCAATATAGGGTTTTCAGCAGCATCCCTCCCTACCCATCAAATTCCAGTAGCACCCCCTTCCCGGTTGCAACAACCAAGAGTGTCTCCAGACATTGCTAAATGCCCTCTAGTGTCAAAATTACTCCTGCTCGAGAACCAGTTGTCCAGCTTAAGGAAAAGTTAAAGGGAGTATTGACAGGAAGCGCTTACTAGTTTATCTCATAGAATTAGTGGAAGCTTTCTCTCAGGGATGGAAACAACAGGACCGCCCTGAAGACTTAAATTGCAGGAGGTGCCATTAACATGTGCCAGTCTCAGCAAGCCCAGGGCCTCGTTCCCCTCCCTTGGTCCTACAGAGACACCATCTGATTGGCTCAGCTTGGCTCCATGCCTGTACTTTAGCCAATCAGCTGTGGCAACACACACATTGCTTCTAGGTCCTCATTCCTGCGGGTAGAACTTTCTCAGAGAAAGCAGAGTGGCGACCTGGATAGGCCCCCACTCGCCAGAGTTTCTTCACCCGTACCTGCGGGTAGGTCTTTCTCGGAGAAGGCAGAGTGGCGACCTGGATAGGCCCCCACTCGCCAGAGTTTCTTCACTGGTACCTGCGGGAGTGCCTACTCAGGACATGCCCCAGACCACGGCCTCAGCTGCCGCCACCGAGGCTGTATCCGTGGTCTGGTGACTAGCGCTGTCTGGTACTGCCCATGACCTCTTTTCTCCTCCCAAGGATATTTTCCCAGAGGCAGGACTGGGAGGATGGAAGAGCAGCCAGCCCCACCCCGGCACCATCTCCGATGGTGTCTCTGGCCCCCTCCCTCAGCACGCCCTAGACATCAGGCCTAGCTCCTGTGGTGTGGCGTCCTCGTGACTTTCCAAGCCAGGGTGTTGTTTCAGAATGCTGGTGGGCCTGCCTTCCGTCCCGCCGTCAGCACCCTGACACGGTCACCTGTGTGTGCTTCTGTCTGTAAGATGGGAGTGGAGACAGTGGCAGGGCGTAGACGGGACACTGCTGCTGCTTCCATTTCTTTCAGTAGCCATCAAGACTAATCCTAGTCTGGGTATCCTTGACCCAGGAAAACAAGAGTAGTCGGGAGAAGCTGGGAGTCAGTGCCCCTGGATGAGGAGGGGACTGCCTGGTGAGAACTGTCAAGTAGTGGCAGGAGAAAAGGGGCACGTGGGCCAGTCCCTCCAGGCTTTGAAGAAAAGAAAGAATGGGCCGGGCACGGTGGCTGACACCTGTAATCCCAGCACTATGGGAGGCTGAGGTGAGCAGATCACCTGAGGTCGGGAGTTCAAGACCAGCCTGGCCAACATGGCGAAACCCCATCTCCACTAAAAATACAAAAATTAGCCGGGCATGGTGGCGGGCACCTGTAGTCCCAGCTACTCTGGAGGCTGAGGCAGGAGAATCTCTTGAACCTGGGAGGCAGAGGTTGCAGTGAGCTAAGATCATGCCATTGCACTCCAGCCTGGACAAGGAGAGAGAAACTCCATTAAAAAAGAAATTATTCCAGCCCAAAGGAGTATTACAAGGCCAGGGCAATTAAGAGCTTTAGTACCCTAAACACTGAAAAAACTGCAGTGGCCACTCCCCCAACCTCCATCCCCGACAAGATAAACAAAATCTTTAAAACCAAAGGAAAGTAAGTGCTACAGAGATCTGTCTTTTGTTATGATGACCACTACTTGGTTGCTGTTTTGGAAATGGAAAAGGTAAAATCCTTTCATTTTCTTGGCACCCCTGCTTTGCTGGTGGTACCCCTGATACATAGGTGCCCTGCCTGCTAGGGAACCACCCACTGCCGAGGGTCCCAAGAGCAGGATCCCACTGCCCCCTAAGCCTGGGGGTGAGGAGAGCTAGAGCTCCTGGGAGGTATTGGAGACATTCCTCAGAGAAAAATCCTTTTTGTGCTCACGGTGCCTTCCACGGCATCTGGCACCTACACAGTTTTTAAAATGAAATGGGTGAACAGTTGAGTTGCCTTTTGAGTGTTAAGGATCTGTCAGCTTCTGGGTAAAGCCTCAGGTACATTCAGAAAATAAGCCTTTCAACTGTTTTGCAGAACCGTTGACTGTGAGGGGGAAGCTTGCCCCAGTCCTCAGAACCTGTGAATACAATGCTTTGCATGGCAAAGGGGACTTTGCAGATGTGATTAAGTTAAGGGTCTTGAGATGGGAGGATTAGCCTGGATAATCCAGGTGGGCCCTGTATAATCACAGCGGTCCTTATTTGAGGGAGGCAGGAGGGCCGGGGTTAGAGAAGATGGGATGAGAGAAGTGATGTGCTTGCTGGCCATGGGCCAAGGAATTCTCGCAGCCTCTGGACGCTGGAAAAGATGAGGAAGTGGATTTGTCCCCAGAGCCTCCAGAAGGAAGGCATCCCTGCCGGCACCATGACTTCAGCCCAGTGAGATCCATTTCCGACTTCTGACCTGAAGAACTGTAAGGGAATAAATTTGTGTTGTCTTAAGCCACCAAATTTGTGGTAATTTCTCACAGCAGCAGTAGGAACCTAATACACTGAATATATCGTTTTCCTCCCTCTAGGGAGGATATTTTCTGAATTCCAATTATGTAATCAAGAAAGAAGTTTCAAAACCTGGCCTGTTTGCATTTTGGAGTCCACCACCCATGTCTGTTTTCTTGTCCCCTGTACCTGTCCTCAGGATCTTAGGGAAGCTCATATGTAAAATGAGATCTTGATCTTCCTGCCTCAAAAAAATCATTGTAAATCTTAAATTATTTAAAAAATATGTATTCAGGCCGGGCGTGGTGGCTCACGCCTGTAATCCCGGCATTTCAGGAGGCTGAGGCAGGTGGATCACATGAGGTCAGAAGTTCGAGACCAGCCTGGCCAACATGGCGAAACCCCGTCTCTACTAAAAATACAAAAATTAGCCGGGCGTAGTGGTGGGCACCTGTAATCCCACCTACTCAGAAGGCTGAGGATGGAGAATCGCTTGAACCCAGGAGGCAGAGGTTGCAGTGAGCTGAGATCACAACACTGTACTCCAGCCTGGATGACAAGAGCGAAACTCCATCTCAAAAAAAAAAAACCGTATTCTAAGATTTTGAAATGATTTAAACATGATAATAGGTCTGTGAGTAACTGATTTCCCTTTAAATGTATATGGGGCTAAGCAAGAAATATGGATGGTGCCTTTTTTTTTCTCTTTTTTTTTGAGATGGGTCTTTCTCGGTCTCCTAGGCTGGAGTGCAGTGATGCAAACATAGCTCACTGCAGCCTCAACTTAGCTGGGACCACAGGCCCGGGCCACCACATCCAGCTAATATTTTTACTTTTTATAGAAACAGGGTCTCCCTACGTTGCCCAGGCTGGTCTTGAACTCCTGGCCTCAAGTAATCCTCCTGCCTCCACCTTCCAAAGTGCTGGAATTACAGGTGTGAGCCACTGTGCCTGGCCAGATGGTGCTTCTTAATCAGAGAAGATAAAATGGACATAGGACAGGGCAGAAGAGTGATAGCATCTAGCACACTCTTGAGTGGCTTTGCTGAAAGCTTATTTCTCAGAAGGGAGGAAAAGTGGATGTTGTGAATTCATTTCCTTCAGAAAAACAGGTGCTGAACCTGCTGCTGCCCCATAAACCCCTGCCTATTTCCACCAAGTACCTTGGAAACAAGAGACCCATCATCTCGAGTTTGTAAAAGCCCCAGAAAGGACATTGCCAGATTAGAACAAAGGCTTAAGGAAAGATTTCAGAAAATTCAGAGGCCTGAAGGAAATAAGCACAAGGCCAGAGAACCTAACAGAAACACACTAAACTTTAAAAACCGTGGTACTTAGAGAGTAAAGTTAAATGATCCCATTTAAGGAAGGAAAGGTTTCTAAAGACAGTAGCCAATGGGACTGACTCTGCTTTGCAGGTTCATTTCTGATGAGCTAAGACTGTAGGCGGGTGTTAGACAGGATAGAAAGACAGACACAAAGGAGCCTGCCAAGAAAATGAATGGCCAATGTGCACTTCACCGTGTGCAGAAAATGGTAACGCAGCAAGAAGGATCATTTCAGTTCTCTGGCCAGCCAGTGCTTAGAGGCAAGGCAGCATGATGAGCAGTCACCAGAGAGAAGCATGAGTGCTCAGCTGTTCTCTGTCATCTGCTCCCCGTGACATAGCAGTGGCTCTACTCTGGAGACTAGATAGAACAGCATAGTAAAGGAAAAAATGGAGCCAGGATGATCAAGAGAGAGTAAAAGAACACCTGGTGGCTTAAAGCAGTTCAGCGCTAGGCCCATGAGACTCTAGCCCAGGGGCAAGATGACCTTCATAGGAGCGCTTCTGACTCTCACTTTAATAAACCCTAGCAGGATCCCAGAGTGGTCACTGAGCAGGGCCAAAAATCTGAAAAGGGCCAGTGTTTCTCGACTTTTCCAAGAGTGGGTAACAATGAATTGGAGCAACATTATGTTGTGAGCCTCACTGCCCATCCAGGGCCAGACCTCAGAGTGGATTATTAAACAAGTGGCTTGTGAACCTAGAAGGAAGAAAAGATGGTGAGAACTCAGGGTCAGCATGGGGAGGACTTCTAACCCCAAGTCCTTCCTGTTAGCTTCATTCACTTTGGACACATTGGGAGATCAGGGCTTTGTCCGCCACCATGCCCGGCTAATTTTTTGTATTTTTAGTAGAGACGGGGTTTCGTCATGTTGGCCAGGCTGGTCTCAAGACTCCTGACCTCAGATAATCCACCTGCCTCGGCCTCCCAAAGTGCTGGGATTACAGGCGTGAACCACCACGCCCAGCCGATAAGATATTTTCACTGGAGTCTAGATCCTTCCTTGTGCTAAGTTTTGTAATTAAATCTCACAAGAAAATAAAAAGCAATAGCATAAGTTCTCGCTTCTCTTGCTTGTGTAACTCTCATTGCTGTTTAAAATCTCCTTGGTAAATAAGTGTTTAGGTCAGTATCTTACAGTTGGCGTGATGCCAAGATGACAAAGCCCCAGAGTGGGGATCCCAGGTAGAACCAGGAGGAACCTGCAGAGGCTTCCCCACTCCTACCCCTCAGGCTGGGCTAAGGGCCCCGGTTCTGCCCTGTCTTAAGAGTGGCCACACCTCAGCCTAGTTTTCAGCTCCTTAAAGCAAAACAGTATCTCCTCTGGGTCAGGAGGCTAAGCAGGTAGAACATGTGCAAGGAAGATTTTCAGAGCAGTGGGCTCCTTTCCTGCAGGGAACCAAGACTCCTGTGGTAAGGGGGTTGCCAGGAAAAGGACAGAATAAAGCAGCAGCCCATTCCACTGAGATGAGTGTCGTCATCAGCATCTTCTACCTGATCTGAGTTTCTTTATATGGAAAGTGGATTACCCAGCTAAAGACCCCCAAGTACTGTCATCTCTCCATGCTGTTTTCTCTGGAAGCGTTGAATAATGCCGCTACAGCTGCTGCTGCTATTGCTTGATTTGCAAGAGAAAGAGCAAAGTGCAAAATAAAAATATTTATCCCATGGTCATCTTGTGCTTCTCATACTCTAGCCCATCTGGACATCAGGGGCCTCTTTGAGGCACTCGGACCACATGTTTGCAACATTGGCTGTCATGCAGGCACTGGGCATCCCCTGCCAGCTCTTGCCCATGGACGGAAGGCACAAATGCCTGTGTCAGCTGATTAAAATGTTCTCAGTCAACATGTCTAGACAAGTATCCACTTATCTTACACCCAGAAATGATTGTGGCCATAGCTACGTTTAGCCATAACATTGACCTGCTTGTTAACATTGTTCCTGAGTTGCTGCCTCCCCCTCATTCTCTTTTGTCTTCCCATTCAGTGGCTTATGTGTGTGTTTTAATACCTGTTTTGTTAGGTTTCTGTTTCAATTCAACAGATTATTTTAAGGCTGGAGGAAAGGAAACCATGCCAAAAGACCAGGTGTTCTTGCTTTCAGAAATGCAGAAATGGACAGGTTTTCTTTATTGCACATCTTGCAGGAGTCGAGGCCTAAAGTTGTTTATGTCTCTGACTCTATGATGGCAGCTCCATCAGGTGGCACAGGGCAGTACACTAGCCTTCCAGCTGTCCACCAGCCTCCCCCAAACCATCACAAATCAACACCTAGGTTCAAGTAAAAGCCACATGCCTGCCCTCCAGGTGCCCATCCCTGCCTGTCTCTAGCCTCATATCTCTGTCCCACACCCTCCTGTGGCCACCAAAGGTGACCGGGAGCTTCTGATGAAGGGTGCCCATTGGCAAGCTTATGCCTCCCCTTGGTCAATATATGCGTTCCATCCAAGAGGATAGAAATTGGGTTCTCACCGACACAATCAAACTTGAAATACCCAAAGACATTTTTTCTACTAAAAGAAACAAGTCTTGGGTGAATCCTTTCACATCTCAGTTTTCTCATCTGCAAAATGGGAATAATAGTGGTTCCTAATTCACTGGGCATTGACGAGGGTTACAGGATTTAAATCATGTAAAGCACTTAGAAGAGGCCTGACCAGCCCTAATCTACTCAGCTCCTTTTATCTTCACTGAATGAATGAATGAATGAATGAATGCAAATTGAGCCTCTACAAACATGTCGTAAGTGAAAAACGCACATGCAGATTTGATTAGTGACATAACAAGAAGTGGAAAAAAATCACCTCTTAGATGTGGACATGTTTAGTACTTTATGTTTGCAGTTTGCACTGTGAAATACCTTTTTTTTTTCCAGGACTACACTTTGTTATATGAAGAGGCAAAATATTTTCAGCTTCAGCCCATGTTGTTGGAGATGGAAAGATGGAAGCAGGACAGAGAAACTGGTCGATTTTCAAGGCCCTGTGAGTGCCTCGTCGTGCGTGTGGCCCCAGACCTCGGAGAAAGGATCACGCTAAGCGGTGACAAATCCTTGATAGAAGAAGTATTTCCAGAGATCGGCGACGTGATGTGTAACTCTGTCAATGCAGGCTGGAATCACGACTCGACGCACGTCATCAGGTTTCCACTAAATGGCTACTGTCACCTCAACTCAGTCCAGGTATAGCATTGTTACGCACTGTGTGGCATCAAATGCCACTCTTACTGTTGTCACTTAACCTTGCCCTCACATGGTGCCTTTCCTCCAAAGAGCTTAGAAACTCACTCAGTGACACTTCTGTTGGGTAGGTGAATTATCACCCTCTATAGCAGTCATTCCGTAAGTCTTGTGATTGTGCCAGGTGCTGGGATGAGCACTGGAGATACAGAAGAGACAGATATAGAACACGACAGCTGGGCACGGTGGCACACGCCTATAGTCCCAGCCACTCCAGAGGCTAAGGCAGGAGGATCACTTGAGCCCAGGAGTTCAGGTTCAGCCTGGGCAACATAGTGAGACAGACAGACACAGAACACGATGGACAGCTCTGTGTTCATGGAACTGCATTATGGGAGTGGAGTGGGAGGCAAACAGTCAACATAAATATATTGCCCAGGAGGTGGTAAGTGGATTTCTGGGGCAGAGTATGCTGGCATATTGAGGACTATCAGGAAAGCCAGTTTGGCTTGAAGAAAGTGACTCAGGGAGAGAGAGTACCCAGACAGGAGGCCCGGGAAAATCAGGGACAGATCACGGAGAGCCTCGTTAGGAGGTGGCAAGTGCCCTAGGATTGTTTATTTTGGCATCTTTTGGTTTTGGTTCGTTTGTGTATGTGAGCCAAATGGAAATCCATTGGAGGGTTTTGAGCAGAAGGGAGAACTGACAGAACTCGTATTTTAAAGTGAACATTGCGACAGCAGCTAGAGAATAGGAGAAACAAGGAGACCAGGCAGCAAGCTGTGGTTCAAGCAGCTGAAAAGTGTCCAGTTGTGTGTGTCTGGAGGGTAGAGCTAATAAGGTTTTCTGACGATGGCTGTGGGTTGTGAGACATAAGCCCGGGATGACTAAGATTTTTGACAGAGGAACTGGGTGAGTGGAACTGCCATTTCCTGAGATGGAGAAGTGTAGGGGAGCAAGAGATGTGGGGGTGGAATTGAGAACTCAGAGGCTAATGTGTGCTGAGCACCGACTCTCTGCCCTACCCTGGGCCATGGCCTGAGCATGTGTTGTCTTCTTACAACCCTAACAGGTAAGCACTGTTAATCCTCTCTGTCTTGCTGATGGGAAGGCAGAGGCACACCTGGGTCTCGATTCCAGCTCCGTGTGACACAAAACCATTTGAAGTCAATGGAGTGAGGGTTCTAGTTTTTTCCCTCTTTTTAACTGGAATGGGCCCATGACTTTGTTCAGTATTTAGTCAGCAGAACCCTTCCCAAAGCACAGAGACTAGAAGCACCCACTCTTCTGTGCTGCCTCTTGAGGATTGTTCCACTACTATTTATAACTCTTTAAAATATATGAACAGATGTCTGAGAACAGAAGAGCAGAAAACTGGCAGAAAATGTTCCCTAAGCATGCTAGCGGAAGGCACATGCTCCCAGGCGGCGGGCTGGCTGCTGGGTCGCAGGGTTCCCGAGGACGAGATTCGCGTTCTCACCTGTGCGGAGAGCGTCCCCTGGAGGTGTGTGGTGCTCCCGCATGGCCCTGCACAGCGTTCCTGAGACGGCCTCAGCAGTTTAAGCCTCTTTAAAGCCCAGAAAGCCTGTCCCCTTCCACACAACAGCCTGCCCTGGCTATCACTGGAGCAGACAGAGGGGCAGAACCATTCAGAGCCAGGACAGGAAGGCCTCGGCCACACCTTTGGGCCAGTGAATAACGATCATCAATTCATGTGCTTGACAGTTTCCCACATCAGATATGGAAATTTTCATCTGGATTAACGTGGTCATATGACACAGCCATGACCTACCCTTGCGTCCTGCTCCACCGACCAAGAAATAGGCACCAGCCTATGGGCACGCAGAGACTCTGGGATAAGGCTTACGACACCCGATACCTCACTAAGTTGTTGTGTGATCACTGTTTAAGGAACTTTGCTGTGAACGTGTTGTTGTTTCCAAAGTAATGGCTCCATCAGCTGTTTGCATTACATTGAAATAAGCTTTTGACCACATCCAAGGTAACATTGGATCACATTGAATAATTATCACATGATGCCTATCGGACTCCGAAGAAGAGCTTAGCGATTTCCTCCTGTTAGCATTTAGTGACCTTAAGACTCAAAGAAAAATGGACATCAGGGTTAGGTTCTCTGCTGTTCATGGCTTCCTCCCCTTTGGATTTCCTCTCCTAATCATGGCAAGGGATCTTTTCCAGGGTGCTGGTTTGGCCAAGCAAGCTGGGATGCCTCTTGCTGAGGGCTGCATTCCTGCCTCTGCTGGGGAATCCATGGAGGGAGCTGTTCTTCGTCTTTGTATTTACCTGCCACCAAAGCACATCTTGATTTTGAATTTAGGGATTGTTTTCTTCCTGTCCTTATGCTGACAGGTATGCATATGCATTGTGAATTTACCTACAGAAATAGAGCACTGCTGGGTAGAATGTTAATTTTGTTCTTATAAGGACTTGTGTATGTTTTTTTAATTTGCCAGCACTTGAGGTTTTAATTAATTTTTAGAAAACATACTCTCTTGCTTTCCCATCTCATCTAGTAAGCTGTTTTGCAACATAGCAGACTATATTCTATATTGAAGTAGGCAACTAAAAAATAATACTTTTTAAAAAAGTAAGGATTCACTTTACATTGACTACATTTCAGTTCATTCCAATAAAAGTTTTTTTGAGGTGGGTTTTTTTGTTTTGTTTTTTTTTTTTAAGTTATGATTGAATCACTTTGCCTTTAAGGTGGTGTGGAAGTAATTTAATTATATTCAGAACTCGGGCAGGAAACATTTGCAAGTCTAATATTTGTTGGATTCCTAAAGAAACAGAATGCTCCAGATCAGTTTCCTGTATTTTTGTCTATCTAATCTAAGAGTCACAGGTACTGTTTCCTGCATTTAACAGTGTCAGACATGTAGTGCCAAACCCAGGAATCTTGCTGGCGTTAGGTTTTTGATTTCAAAATTAAGGAACAGATTCTATGGCTTACATTTGTATAAGAAGTTTAGAATATCTTTATTTTTCTTACATTTTCTAATATGTAATCATTGTGCTGGTTCTTGTCTCCTTGAATGAATGCAGGGCAATAAATCTGTTTCAGATGTTACAAACTTGAAAACCTGTAGATAATCCTCTAGTGTCTTCAGTAATCCCTTTGTTCTGCTATTGAAATTACATCAATCTTCCAGGCCAAAACATATATATTAACTCGGTATTAGGAAAACTTGAACAAAGGCGGAGTTGAGAGTACAAATGAATCACTGACTAAGTAAACTCTGCCATCACTGTCCTTTCCAGATTCTTTATCATCTCATAGGATGTATTTTAGTGATAAATGAGCTTTGAAATGTGAACCCTCATTTTTGACAGAGAGGGCAGCATTGCATATACAAAAACAGGAGATTTGAGGCCAAACAGACCTGAGTTGGAAACCCAGTCCCATCACTGACTAGCCATGAACCTCAGTTTTCTCATTTATAAAATGGGCCTAACACCATCGAGTGTTGTAGCTGGTGTGTGTAAAGCAAGCATGAAAGGCACATTTTAGGCATTAGAAATGCTTGCTTCCTCTCTCCTGCCCATTAATCCAGGGTCTTCCTTTGAGAGGAGCAGCTCACAGGGACATGGGTGCTGGATGAGATGAACCAGAGTGCGCATAATCTCAAACTTTGGGGTGTTTATGTAGCCATAGGACTTACCTCACCCCTAACTGGATGCTTGTCTTGTTCCCTCGCAGGTCCTCGAGAGGTTGCAGCAAAGAGGATTTGAAATCGTGGGCTCCTGTGGGGGAGGAGTAGACTCGTCCCAGTTCAGCGAATACGTCCTTCGGCGGGAACTGAGGCGGACGCCCCGTGTACCCTCCGTCATCCGGATAAAGCAAGAGCCTCTGGACTAAATGGACATATTTCTTATGCAAAAAGGAAAACACACACAACCAATAACTCAAACAAAAAAGGGACATTTATGTGCAGTTGGGACAGCAAACCAAGTCCTGGACGTAAAATCGAATAAAAGACACATTTATATCCAATAGAGACCACACCTGTATTCATATGGGAACAATTGGAATAGTGATATCCTCAAGGTGTAAAAAATATATAAATATATATATATATGTCAAAAGGTAGGAAATGCAAAAAAGAAAAAAAAAAAAGGTGACAGCCGCAGTTGGTGCTGTGATGGCCGTGAAGTGTCCTGGGCCTTCCGAGGCCTCTGACAAATAAACAAGCCATGAGTGGTGAGGACACAGTCTCCTTACAGTTTCCATTGCCAACAACAGCCATCCATATTTCTTTTTTCCTTTGTCTTTCTTTTTCCTTTTTTTTTAAAAAAACAAAACAAACAAAACACCTTGAATCAAGTTTGTTTGTATATGGAGGTTCCACGTCTTTCTTTAGGCAGGGACCAGGCAGGACTTCAGAAAAACCCTCATGAGCACATTGCAAAGATGTTAGACATGAAATTTTAAATGTAGTTTGTACAGAAGTCACACTTTTTTGTCCACCTCACAGATGTGAACTTTACTTTGTTTTAAAACTGATCAGTTTTGCCAAGGGGCCAGAATTATTCCTTGTTAGAATTGCTCCAGTTCAAGTCTGCTGCTTTCCTACAATTTTTCAAATTTTATAATGTATTAAATACAATAAACTCTGTTTAAAAAATAAGGTCTGTGTGAAACACACATGTGGGGGTGAGGCTGGATTAAAGTGAAATTTTTTCTTTTTGAAATTGTCCGTGTTGAGCATCAAAAAGAGGCATGAAAGCCGGGGTCAGTTTTGAAGTCAAAACCTACTAAAGGCTAAGGATGTCATCACCTGTTCCAGACAGTTGTCTTCCGACCCAGCAAATGTTATTTCCTGTGCTTTGTTATTCTGCATTGGTCAGCAAGGTAAATCTTCCTTCTTACGGACTTTTCGGTTACACCTATTTCAGTTATCTGGCTGCAGAGCAAGTCACACCAAAATTTAATGGCTTAAAACATTTTGTTCTGGCCTGTGATACTGGCCTTCGCTGGGCTGCATCTGCTCCATGTCTGCTCCACTGCTCCAATCCAGGGGTCTGATTGGCGTGGAATGTCCTAGATGGCTCACCCAGATGGCTGCAAATACTTGGCTGTTGGCCTCTATGTGGCTTGGGCCCCTCTCAACATGGTAAGTGGATTCCAAGAAGGAGGCAGAGAAAGCCACAGTTCTCTAAAAGCCTGGGCCCCGGACTGCACAGTACACTTCTGCTGCTTTCTGTTGGTTGAACAGCCACACGGCCAGCCCAGACTCAATGAGGGGGAAATAAGAACCTCCTGTTGGGGAAAGTAACAAAGCATTTGTGACCAACTTCAGTCTACCATAACACCTGTCCAAAGCATCTTAAAAGTAGGGCATTATGGCTTTGGAAGAAGTAGGGAACATCTCAGAGCCAGAACTATCAATCATTTTATTACTAGCCAGAGAAGTAAAAAACCTGAGATTTCAACAGCACTTTAGAATGAAGTCCTCAGCTTTTCCAAGGTATTAGTGACCCTGATTCCTCCATCGGCCCTACACCCACCTTTCTTCCCTCCTCTTCCTCATTCCAGACACTCAAAATAAATCTGGCATGCTGGTAAGATTGACAGGTAAACTAGAATGTGTTTCTGGTGCAGAGATATTCCTGTGGTGATGGGTTATTTCCATCCTGAACTTACTTTCTTTTTTTAAATTAAAAAGTGTATGCCTGAGGACACTAGTAATGAAAATATCTCTGGCTTCTGAAACTAAAAGTGAGCTGTTAATGGCTCCTATCACTGCCTGAAACACAGGCAGCCCAAACACTGAATTACTTTAATGACGGCTAGCCAGGCTTCCACATTGCTGCGTAATTTCCCTATTTGAGACTAATACACCACTCTCTCAGATGGGGACAGACAGGGCTGCTCCCACCAGCTGCTCGGTCATCCATGTCTTACTGAAAGGAGAATAAAATTGCTCTATGATTTACTAGCAATCCATTCTCATTAGGCAGAATTTCCTCAAAACAATAATGCAAGGGCCTCACTTTGGGACTCTGCTGGTTATTGTCATCAGTTAATGTTTACCCAGGACTGCCTATGTGCAGTTAGCATTGTCCCAACCAAATACTGCACAGAATGGTGTGCATTGGCTACTGGCATCCACTTTGTTCTTTTCTAAGTTCTTCGGTCCATTTATATGACTGCATCCCAGTTGCACATTGTTTCTACAAAAACTCTGATCCAGTTCAATGGAGCAAACATTTCACTTGTAATGTTGACCTTTTTAGGTCTTGAAACATGTAGATTCCCAGATACCAAAATACTTTAGGAAAGAGTAGGTCAATCAAAATGTCAAAATATAATTGAATCACCACTTTTTTCTTTTCTTTTCTTTTCTTTTTGAGACAGGGTCTCACTCTGTCACCTAGGCTGGAATGCAGTGGCACAATCTTGGCTCACTACAACCTCCACCTCCTGGGTTCAAGTGATTCTCCCACCTCAGCCTCCCAAATAGCTGGGACTACAGGCATGTGCCACCACACCCAGCTAATTATTATTATTATTATTATTATTATTATTTTTGGTAGAGACGGGTTTCACCATGTTGGCCAGGCTTGATCTTGAACTCCTGACCTCAAGTGATCCACCCCCGTTGGCCTCCCAAAGTGCTGGGATTACAGGCGTGAATGAATCACAATCTTATTTTTCACTACTTTTTATTATTCAATATAAAGTTCATATTCAAACTTCGCCAGTGTCCCCAAAAGGATCTTTATAGCTGTGCTTTTCACCTAGAGGATCTGATCAAGGATTATGCATTGCATTTATTAATAATACCCCCCACACCTTCCTTTTTTTTTTGGAGGCGGAGGGGTCTTTCCATGACATCGACTTATTGGAAGAGTCTAGGTCAACTGTTTTGTAGATTGTTGCACAATTTGGATTTGTCTGATTTGTCCCTCACTGGTAGAGTCAGGTTTTTTGGTTTCAAGAATACTACATAGGTGATATCATGTCCTCAGTGAATTATATCACAAGACTCAGTTTGACCCATATTAGTAATGGCAGTTTTGGCCTCTTGGTTAAAGTAACATTCACCAAATTATCCAGTGTAAAGGTAGCTTTTTCTTTTTGTAATTAATGATTACCTGTGGGATGACACTATGAGACTATAAATATCCTGTTTCTCAACACACTCTCACCAGATGGTTTTAACATCCATTGGTAATCCTTTCCTGAATCAATCATTACCTTGGTAGCTATAAAAGTTTGCTTTTTAAAAAGCCACTGTTGGCCGTGCACGGTGGCTCACGCCTGTAATCCCAGCACTTTGGGAGGCCGAGGTGGGTGGATCATGAGGTCAAGAGATCGAGACCATCCTGACCAACAGGGTGAAACCCTGTCTCTACTAAAAATACACAAATTAGCTGGGCGTGGTGGCACGTGCCTGTAGTCCCAGCTACTTGAGAGGCTGAGGTAGGAGAATCATTTGAACCCAGGAGGTGGAGGTTGCAGTGAGCCAAGATCGCACTGCTGCACTCCGGCCCAGGCGACAGAGCAAGACTATCTCAAAGCCACTGTTGCCTGAATCTTTGATAGTTGAAATAATCTTTTTTTTTTTCTTTAGCAAAATATATTTCTTTAGTCTAGGGCAGACAAGCTACACTATTTGACCTGCTCTTTTCTAAGAAGTATTTTAGAAAACTAGAATAAGGCAAGCCACTTATAAATTGGTTCCAAATATTAGATGAGGAGTTTCTCCATAATAATAATAGTCATCCATTTAGTGTTTGCTGTGTGCCAGACCCATACTGAGCACTTTACCTGTTAACTCATTCAATCCTTATGACCACACTGGAGGTTGTATTATCCATCTCTATTTCTTGGTTAAAGTAACTAAGAACCTAAGACATCAAATAAAGGATATGATAAAGGCTAATGTTTGATTAAGTTTTATAAAGAGGACCCAAAACAACTATTTAAGAAAAAGTAAGTTTTTATGTTGCAATAGGAGGAAGGAGTAGATTATTAGTTAATAGCATTTTCTCCTTATAACGGAAATGCACTCCTATAGTTAAGTATTTTGACCATCTTCTTCAGTATGTTGGGCACTTGGCTTTGCTGATACTAGGGCGACCATGACATGGTTTCCGCTGTGGGTTTCCGGGGAGTGAGAGGAGCGGGGCTCTCTGCACATCTAGAGGTGAATTAAGGTATGTGCATACCTAACTACTGTCCAAGGCACAATGGAATATGTGTCATTTCATATTTACAAACCAAGGATTCTAGAAATGCCCAATCATATGGGATCATATCTAGTCTGGGAAATTAGAAAAACCATCCTTTGGGGAGGTGGCGCTTGCAAGATGGGTAGGCTTTGCAAGGAAGGAGTATTTGGGGGTGGGGCAGAGGCTCTGAGCTGGAGAAGCACAAGGCAGGGTCAGCACATGGTGTGGGACGAGGGAAGCATGGGCTAGAAAAGGAAGGTGGAATTGGATTTTGGGAGTGTGAGAGGGGAGCTGATCTTGACTGCCAGACAAGGATTTGGACTTTATTTAGGAACCATTGGAGAATCACAGAAGGTGGGCAGATACTCATTTAGGGAGTCTGCAGGCTTGACTGTCCGGGAACAGTCTGTTGGTGGGAGGGGCAGTTAAGTGGCTGTTTTCCCCATTCATCCATTCATGATGAATGAAGCAGGCTAAGAGCTGATGACATAAAGTTGTATGAGAAAATAAGACATCACCTTAGTGTTAGCGCAGCAAACTCAGATGTCTCCAAGGGCTGGGCAAGTTACATGAATCAGTAAGAGATGGCCAAACTGGAGCATTTGAAGGAGCAGCCCCTACTCAACCCCAGCAGGTTGCAGCTATAGGAGAACGGCGTCCTTCTACTTAAACATCTCATTTTTCTAGAAAACCTGGGAATCCAGACTTTTGTGTGAAATCTCTAGATGTGTAAATATTGGAGCTAACTCATTTTTTTTTCAAATGTACAGCCCAAACAAGACATCTGCAGACATAGGTGATATCATGTCCTCAGTGAATTATATCACAAGACTCAGTTTGACCCATATTAGTAATGGCAGTTTTGGCCTCTTGGTTAAAGTAACATTCACCAAATTATCCAGTGTAAAGGTAGCTTTTTCTTTTTGTAATTAATGATTACCTGTGGGATGACACTATGAGACTATAAATATCCTGTTTATATTTTGCAACTCTGAGAGTTATGAAATAAAAGAATTTTAGACACTCTAGAAAAATTCCATTTGGGTGGGATTGCATGTGAGATCACAAAAACTAAGTTGATCGAGGACATACTTTATAAAAAATGAAAATTTGATGCAAATTTTTAGTTTGATTTGATAATATCTTCTGATAACAAAGAACAACACTTATTCACATACACATACACCAGGTCTGAATAATACTTTGAACTCAACTCTTTCTCCTTTTCCAACCCATGCAAAAAATGAGCTTGCTGTCATTGGCAGCTGCAGTGTGCTCCATTGTAAGACACTAGACAAAAATGTCATTGCAGTAACTATTAGTAGGAATCTACTGGTAGGAATTACTAATAACATTTGTGACCGACTAATATTCATATATAGGACTAAAACCCTGAGAATATGCATTGTGTCTGACTTTGTCACTGTCGGGCAGCTCTTTTCCATAAAAGTTGATCATAGGTTCTATCAGTGATTTCCAAACTTGCCTGTTCTTAAGACACACAAAAGGCATGTTTTTAAGTTATAATTCCAGCCCACCACCACCCCGCCACCCCATCTCCCCATAGATTTCTGAATTCCACTTTTTTTTTGAGATGGAATCTCACTCTGTCACCCAGGCTGGAGTGCAGTGGCGCGATCTCAGCTCACTACAACCTCCGCCTCCTGGGTTCAAGTGATTCTCCTGCCTCAGCCTCCTGAGTAGCTGGGATTACAAGCGCCCGCCACCATGCCCAGCTAATTTTTTTGTATTTTTAGACGGGTTTTTGCCATGTTGGCCAGGCTGGTCTCGAACTTCTGCCCTCATATGATGTGCCCACCACGGCCTCCCAAAGTGCTGGGATTACAGGCGTGAGCCAGCATGCCCAGTCTGAATTCCACTTTGTAAGTGAAGAGGCTGGGACTCCATATTTTAATAATGCCCAATACAGTGACTCTTCAGACAAGTATTAAAAACACTGGGTAACGTCATTGTGCTCCCTAGCGTAGCCTAAGAACAGTAAATAAGGATCTTCTGAGTGTGCTTTTGTGATGTGCCTTTTTATGATTTCACTGATGTAAACAATAGTTGGCATCTGCTATTCTTTTGAAGTTCAGACTGAGTACTTCCAAATGGAGTTAATGGAGGAGGTAGGGGATGTGTGTTGGGGGCGTTGCAGGGAGTACTTAAGTGACATTTAATCCAAGGGCCTTCATCCTTTCCTAATTAGGCAGAAAACTGCCCAATCCTGTGGAAATAGCCCACCAGCTACAGAATTCTTATACCTCCTCTTAAAAAGCTGTCAGAGTCTTAAGTGAACAGAAACCAGCACAGGAAGTAATTACCATAGCATCTACCACCTGTAACAATAGCCTACTGTAGGTGTATAGGTCCGTCTTTTCCCTTGTATTTTAATCTAGGTGAGTTTCTTTGAAACTTAATGATTTCAAAACTTCCGCATTTGAAGGGGAATGTAAATCGATGACCCTAACCACTGACCACAAAGCTCCCTTGCATGCGCTAAAACATTCGCGTCAGAGAGCTCAATCTGACTGCATTTCATGGGACTCCAGGTTCATTCTCTCTCCGTCTCTCCTTTTCCCCTCATTCCCAGTGTGAATCACACAGTGCTGCACTGCTCCTCCCAATCTGTTTATCAGATTGTGCTTGTCAGAAAAGGGAACAGATAGTACAAGTATTAAATTATGCTGTTGATCGGGACTGAAAAAGCCACAGAAACATGTATTGTGCGTTCCATTCAAACTTTGGAACTTGACTCGGAAAGCCTGTCCCAAAAGCTGAAGATCAAATCCTTGTCACAGAGGATCACACTCGTTGGAAAAGAAGCAAGATCAGTTGGTTAAATCCAGTTTGAGGAGGCCTTACAGGATCATCTAAAGGTCTGCAACTTGAGCAATCTGACGCAGCTGGGTTTTTAAGTTAATCAGCAGTAATGGGAAACTGGCTTGGGAAGGGGCAATGGTGGGAGGCAGATGGCTTATGTGCCCCTAAAATTTAAATGTTCATCCATTATTGCTCTTTATTTGAAATTTTTTAAAATTATTTAAGATGTTGTTCTTCTATAAGTCATATTCTTAAATGTTTGGTCTCTTAAATACATAAATACTAGAAAATTTGAAATTCTAAGTAGAATGCATATTCATGAAAATAATTCAGCTATAGCTCTTAGTTTAAGCATGGTAGATGTGTTTATAAAACAGAATTTTGACCTGTATAATCTTTTCCCTACTGCCATTACAATATCAAAATCAGTTATTTTCCTCTAGGTAGGAAAGGAATGGTAGAAAAACTACACACACACCCCAAATTCTTCTTTCCAATAGCTTCCTGCCTCTGTCCAGTCTGCAATAACACCCCTCCTCCACCATCCACTCCCCACTTTTCTTCCAAAGTTAGTCAAGTGATGGATGGAGATGACTTCTGCACAATCACTAGGAGCCTTCATGTAGATATTAAAAGCATACAAAGGGAATGACTTGCCTGGACACTGACAGGGCTGCAGGCCTGCATTGAGGTGGCCTTTCACAGGGCCCATGGAAGAGCCACAGACAATGCAAGGCCACCAGGCCACTTACTTCTCAAATTCTCACCCCAGGTGTGAATGTCTTTTTCTTGCATGTCACTGCTTTTCTCAGTCTCCTCTACTCTCCCTGCGAGATCTCAACCATCGATGGCTTTCCTGTCACCTGTGCTGCAGGCAGACGTCTCCCAGAGCTCGGGTGGGGTAGCCAGCCCTGAGGATACAAGATGAATAAGGCATGACCTTGCCATTTGACTTTTAGTCAGGCAGGAGGGTAAGCCATGTAAACCCATTGATTCAATATATTTTGTCATAAGCAATGATAGATGTAGGATCTGCCAAGCATTCCCATTGGACTATCAAGAACCGAGCTTATTTTGGCCCCTGGGCCTTTCCTTTCTCCTTTTAGATTTCCTATCTCAGTTCAGGATGCTCCTTTCTGTTCACATCAGGGAGCCATTTCTGCAATCCCCACACTTACATGGTCACCAAGTTCTACAGAACGTATCATCTAAATATTTCTTAAATTGGTCTTTTCCTTTCCACCCCTATCTCCACTTACCAATGTCATATTATCAATTCCTCCTATATGGACCATTTCCAAAGGATCTTAATTGGTTTTTCTCTTGAGAATTGAGATTGTCACCCCTTAAAATCCATCCTCCACATTGCAGCCTGGTTACTCCCCTGTTAAAAGCCTGACGGTGTTTCCTTGTTGTTTTTAGAATCATCTTCTCTCCTTAGTGTGGCATCCAAGCCCCCTTAATCTAACTCTACTTACCCCTCAGCCTCACCTGGGGCTACCCCTGGCCTCCTACAAAATACTTTTAGTGTCATATTCGGGTTTTTTTGTTTGCTGTTTTTTGTTTTGTCTTGTTTGTTTGTTTTGGAGACAGGGTCTCACTCTGTTGCCCAAACTGGAGTGCAGCAGTAGCACAATCATGGTTCCCTGCAGCCTTGACCTCCCAGGTTCAAGTGATCCTCCCACCTCAGCCTCTGAGTAGCTAGGACTTTAGGCACCCGCCACCACGCTTGGCTAATTTTGTGTATGTGTGTGTGTGTGTGTGTGTGTGTGTGTGTAGAAATGGGGTCTCATTGCCAGGTGTGGTGGCTCATGCCTGTAATCCCAGCACTTTGGGAGGCCAAGGCGGGTGGATCACAAGGTCAAGAGATCAAGACCACCCTGGCTAATATGGTGAAACCCCATCTCTACTAAAAATACAAAAATTAGCCGGGCGTGGTGACGCGTGCCTGTAATCTCAGCTACTCAGGAGGCTGAGGCAGGAGAATCGCTTGAACCCAGGAGGCGGAGGTTGCAGTGAGCCAGGATTACACCACTGCACTCCAGCCTGGCAACAGAACAAGACTCCGTCTCAAAAAAAAAAAAAAAAAAAGAAAAGAAAAGAAAGAAATGAGGTCTCACTATGTTGCCCAGGCTGGTCTCAAACTCCTGGATTTAAGCGCTCCTCCTGCCTCAGCCTCCCAAAATGATGAAATTACAGGCATGAGCCACCATGCCCTGTATGTCATATTGTTCCGAGTCTCCCTGCTTGGTAATACATTTATCTTGTTATTTGTTTAATCACTTGCCACTCATCCTTCAAGACCCTCTTTACCCATCACCACTTTTTCATGTGCTCCTCAGATGGGTGACCCATCTCTATGGTCCTAAAGCACCCGATTTATACTTTTATTATCATACTTACAACTTAATATTGAAATATCTACATGTATATGTTTACTAATCTAATGGCCATCCTTAAGATCTTCAGTGGAAGAAATCTGACTTATTTATGTCCTAGCACCTAGTAAGTGCTAACTAAATGATTGTCGATGACAGATGAAATGCACAACTGAAGTCTATTATTTGTAGAACTAGGCAGAGTATGGGTTTCATGTTCCTTACTCCAACTCTTAGAGAACTTATTTCTATTCATAAGCACTCAATTAAATAAGAATTAATGTAAAGTATAATAACTGACATACAATAGAGAATCAATTACTAGTAATATTAAATCCCTCAAGCACTTTGGTTCTTTTGATGTTTACTTTGGATTTTGACTAATCTAAAGTCATTCAAGTGTTCCACATTTGGCCAATATGAAGTAACAGATTACTCTCCCTCCTGAAACAACTCACAAACTGGACAGCATATATGAAACAATGATTTTCAACACATTGAATATGAGGCAGCAGAGGACAGTGATCCCTGAGAGGTGGAAAGCAAACAAGGTGAGCCCTATGATTGCCCTGGCTAACTGCCTTGAGGAAGTTTCCAGGCCATGTTGCAGGGAGGGGTAACCCATTCAGAGGCTAATGCTTTGCCTGAGTTGAAGAGATGGAGACGGTGGTACAGGGAAGCCAAGGCAGCTAGAATTCATAGGGCAGAGCAATGGACAGGGGAGAGATACGTGCAAAAAAGAGAAGACTGAAGAACAGAAGAGACTATTCAGCTGAGTACTGATCAGTGCATGTGTTGGAAGAAATCACTCAAGCCTAGGGGAAAAGCTACATAGAAGAATAAGAGAAAGCAATCCCCATAGCCCACCCAGGACCAGAAACAGTTCCTGCTCTCAGCAGACAGAGTGGAAAGCCTCATAATGAATGGGGCATTGGTTAGAGTCCTCAGAATGCCAGAGTGCTGGAGGGAAATGAGCCCTAGACTAAACACAGCTCAGATCTTACCTAACAAAGCTTAAAAGCAAATCCCAAAAGGATCAAAGTGTTTCCAATTAACTCTACTTCATTCTAAAACAAAGTCAAAAAATATTGATAGAGATACACAAATATTCAGCACCCAATAAGGTAAAATTCACAATAACTGGTCTCTAATTTTTAAAATTACCAGGCATTCAAAGAAGCAGGAAAATATAACTCATAGTAAAAAATAAAATAAAATAAATAAATCTAAACCAACCCAGAGGCCGACACAGGTGGCTCATGCCTGTAATCCCAGCACTTTGGGAGGCCAAGGTGGGTGGATCACTTAAGGCCAGGAGTTCAAGACCAGCCTGGCCAACACGGTAAAACTCTATCTCTACTAAAAATACAAAAATTAGCTGGACATGATGGTGTGTGTCTGTAATCCCAGCTACTCAGGAGGCTGAGGCAGGAGAATTGCTTGAACCCAGGAGGAGGAGGTTGCAGTGAGCTAAGATCATGCCACTACACTCCAGCCTGGGCAACAGAGCAAGACTTTGTCTCAAAAAAAATAATAAAAATAAAAATAAATAAACCAACCTAGAAATGATGAGACATTACACAATCAGTAGACAAAAACACTAAAACAGTTAATAAACTTTATTCTACATGTTCAAGGAGCTAAAGACTTAACGTATTAAATGGTGACATGGAAAATATAAAGAACAATATCAAATTTCTAGAAATAAAAATTATGATGTCTGAAACACACACCTGATGGGATTAGCAGCAGATTACAAAAAATTAGTGAACTTGAAGATATATTAAATAGCAATAGAAATTTCCTAAGATGAAACATAGAGTCTTGTCTTTAAAATACTGAAACAAAATGAACAGAGCATATTGAACTGTGGAGTAACTTCAAGCAGCCTAATACACATGTAATTGCAATCTCCCTCAAGGGGTCAAGGGGGCAAATGGAAAAATATTTGAAGAAATAATGGCTATTTTCCAAATTTGATGACAACTACAGTATAAACCCACAGATCCAAGAACCTTAATGAACTCTGCAAAAGAAGCATAAAGAAAAACACACCAAGACACATCATAAACAAATTGCTTAAAACCAATGATAAGGAAAAAAAAAATCTTAAAAGCTGCTAGTGGGGGAGGGAGAAGATACTTTATGGACAAAGGTGGAAAGATAAGGATGATGGCAGATTTCTTATGAGAAACATGCAAGCCAGAGACATTGGAACAACAAAGTAAAATTACCTTTCAAAAACAATGGTAAAATAAAAACTTTTTTGGGAAGACAAAATCTAACAGAATATATCACCAGCAGAATTCTCTACAAAAAAATGCTAAAAGAAGTCCCTCAGGCAGAAGGAAAATGATGGCAATTGGAAATCAGCTTCTATACAAAGAATGGAGGGCACCAAAAATGATAACTACGTGGGTAAACATAAAGGGCTTTATTCATTATGGTTAACATTTTAATAAAAATAACTGTTTAAAGGAAAAATAATAACACATCGTGGGTCTACAGCTTATGTAGAAGTAACATTCATAACAACAATATTGGAAGGGAGAAATGAAATTATAAGATGCCTATATGTTAAGTGATATCAAATCATTTGACAAATAAGACTGTGATAAGTTAAAGATAATACTATAAACCTTGCAACTACTAAAATAATGCAACAGAAGCCACTACAGTGAAATTATTTTTTAAAGTACTCATTTTATCCAAAGAAGGCAGAAAAGGAAGAAAAACAAAACAAAGTGCAGATGGGAAAAGTAAAAATTAGCAAAAGGATATAATTAAACAAAACCATATCAATAACCACATTAAATGTAAATGGCCTAACACCTCGATTGAGACAAGATCATCAGGCTGGCTAAAAATATGACACCCAACTATATGCTGCCTAAAAGAAATCAATTTTCAATTTTTTTAAAAAATAGGTTAAAAGTAAGAGCATAGAAAAACATATCCCAAACTAACACTAATCTAAAGAAAGCTGGAGTTGCTATATTAATATCAGGCAAAGTGGACTTCAGAGCAAAGAGTATTACCAGAAATAAAAAGATCATTTCATACGATAAAGGGGTCAACAGGACATACTTCTAGCCTTTTTATTTCACATAATAACAGGACTTTAGAATATAGAAGCTAATAATTGGTATCAACTACAGGTAAATATAGGCAAATCACATGTATAGTCAGAGATCTGAACACCATTCTGTCAAGAAGTGATAGGAAAAATAGACAGAAATTCAGTAAAAATACAGACTTGAACACTCTAAAAACATAAAACAAATCTCAATGGATTTAAAAGAAGTTATAAAGAAGAAATTATCTAACCACAATGGAATTAAAGAACTCTGGAAAATCCACAAATATTTGAAAATTAAATATGTTTTTAAATAGCCCATCGAAGAAGAAATCAAAGGGCAATTAGAAAGTATTTGAACTGAATGAAAATGCAAATATAACATACCAAAATGTGTGGGATTCTACTGAAGCAGTACTTAGGGGGAAATTTATAGCACTAAACATCTACATGAGGAAAGAAGAAAACTTTCAAATCAACAACTCTGGCTTCCACCTTAAGAAACTAGAAAAAGAAGAACAAAGAAAATCCAAAGTAAGCAAAAGAACAAAAATAATAAAGATCAGAATAGAAATCAATAGAATAGAAAAAGAAAAAATAATAGAGAAAACCAATAAAATGAAAAGCTGGGTTATTGAGAAAATTAATAATACTGATAAACCTCTAACCAAACTAACTGGGGAGAAAAGCAAGAGGACACAGATAGTCAATATCAGGAATAAGTAAATTACTGGAGTCCAGATTCTAACCCAGATCTGGCCAACTATCAAGTCCACACCAAGTTGACTCCTGGGAGTTGAGTGAGGCATACCAGATGGACAATCGGGTTGGGCTTATATAAGGTTTTCCTTGATCCATAAATGGGTCTCTAACAAGCTGAATAACCTTCCAAATTAAACGCTGACCACCCAAACACTTTCCGGCAGCACTTATTTGTAAAGATTTTTATATTTTGTTGCTCTTAGATGAACTGTAATAAATTTGTAATGAATTAGAAAAGCAAACATTACTTTTTTATTTGGTAAATTATCTGACTTTTCAACATTAACATTTTTTTAAAAATAGATTCTTAAATTCTGTACTTCCTTCAAACAAAAAGCATTTGCCAGAAAAACAAGTCATTATGGCTCATATTTCAAAGATGTTTTACGCCTGGCTGCATGCTTGAATCCTGGCTATATCCAAGTTTTGGATAGGGCTGCCTCCTTGAAAAGCACTGGGAAATAACGACAGGGTTAATCAGAGTGATGGGATGGGGTGGAGAAAAGAAACTTCAACAGACTGATCTCTCCCTCTGCCTTTCTAGTCTGAATGCAGCTGATAAATGAGTTCATCTACCACACAAAATAGCCTTTGTTTCATTCTGTAGCTTTCTGGCTTTCCACTGCTAGGAAAAGAAAAGAGGCAGTATGGTTTGCCTCAACTTGCCTACTTACCACTGGCGCTTTTCATTTTTAGACTTACTATACAGTAAAACTATTTCCTGAAATTTGCCTTTATTTCAGTGTTAACCATTTCCCCCCAGCTTTCATTTTAAAATATTCAAACCTGCAGAAAAGTTGAAACAACAGTACAAGTAAGGGCATGCACTCTTCACTTGGATTCATCAGTTGTTAACGTTTCACCAGGTCTGCTCTCTCCTTGTCCCTGCGTATCGTTTCTGCTGAGCTATTTGAAAGTAAATTGCAGGCAGCGCAGCAATCACCCCAAGTACTTCAGCACGAAATCGCCTAAGAACAAGAACATGCTCTTAACTCTCAGTGTGATAATACACACACACACACACACACACACACACACACACACACAGTCAATATTCAAATTTCCCCAACTGTCCCAATAATTTTTTTTTTTTTTTGAGATGGAGTCTCACTCTGTCACCCAGGCTGGAGTGCAGCCGCACGATCTTGGCTCACTGCAACATCCGTCTCCCAGGTTCAAGCGATTCTCACCCCCCTAGACTCCCAAGTAGCTAGGACTGCAGACAGGCACCATCACACCTGGCTAATTTTTGTATTTTTAGTAGAGACGGGGTTTCGCCATGTTGGCCAGGCTGGTCTCAAACTCCTGACCTCAAGTGATCCACCCGCCTCAGCCTCCCAGTGTTGGGATTACAGGCGTGAGCCCAGTAATTCTTTTAAAAGCTCTTTTGTTTTGTTTGCTGACTCGACCCAGTCCAGTATCACACGTTGCATTTAGTTGTTATAATGCTGAGCACTTTTTAGCCCACATTAAACGTGTGTCTGATTTGTCACTCTCACTGATTAAGAAATCTCAGATAAATGAAAGCTTGATTCTGCAATTAATCCGGAAGTTACAACTCTTGAAGTACAGCCATGAGTATCAGAACATACTGTTCCAACGGCGGAAGTGGCTACATCATTAAATTATCCTGTTGAATAAATGACATAACTCATTCAGAAATGGAGCAGGGCATACAGGTAGGAAAAATGTTAACTGCTCACCACCTCTCATCGTCTGTAGTCAGGGACACAGACAGTTTGCAGCAGAGGCTGACATTCTGCCCTTGTCAAAGTCACAGACACTGGGAGCTAGGCATCTTTCAAGGTAGCTCTTCTCCCTCCCATGGAAGGCATCCCACGGAAGACCCCACCACGGTCTTCCAGCTTCGCCTTCAATGCTTATCATGGGTAGCCTGGAACCCAGAATGCCTGGGTTCCAGCTTAGCTATGTGACATTGAGCGGGTCACTTAAACACTCTTTAGCGGCCCAGCTTCTTTAGCTAATGAGAGCACACTGCCATCTGCCTCAACTGCACCTGAAGACTGTTAAGGGGAGCAAACAAGAAAGAATGTGGGAAGGCATCACCCTTCACCAGGTCAGCCATCACTGACTTGACAAGGAGCTTGCTACTGTCACGCTGGGTGCCTTTGCTGCCCTAACAGCTCTTCCCCTGGGTCCACTGTCCTCCACTAAGGAGAAAGGCATTGAATCAGTCCTTACTGCTTTCTTTACCAGATTAAGCAGCCCCATTTTCTTCAACTAAAATGCCCTTGATCTGGACACTGTACTCAACTTAGTGCAACCTAAGAAGCAGACACCACCCGGACCTTGGGTTTGATCAAGCCAGATATCCCCCATCCCTTGAGCAATTGATCATTTATAACCAAAGAAAGAACTGGCCCTTATTCCCCATGAAATTTCACAGGATTAGTGTTTTGGATGCTTTGGGGTTCTTCCATCTGTCCTCCAGGAAGCTATTCACTCCTTCAAGTCTTGAGTCATCTGAGAATTCTCTGAGCATGGCCTGTCCATCTTCATCCGAGCCACAGACATCACTGTTGACTTGAAGCACACCATCAAAGTTCTCCCTCTAGGATAATGCCAGCCTCTTCACCAGCATTACTTGGGTACGGGTGTTCCCAACAGCTGTGAACCCACAGGACTAGGCTATCACTCATTCATTCGTTCATTCATTCATTCATGCATTCAGAGCTGCTGAGCACCCACTGTGAGCCAGCCCTGCACTTGGCACTAGCCCCTCAAGAAAAAGAGGAGGAAGCTGGCGCACTTATGGCTTTTCCACTCAGATCCTCCTGATTACAAATCCCTGCATCCTCCCTTTCTATCCCTTTAGTATGTCCATCAAGAAGGAAATGACTTCTTTGGAAGGGCCTGGGCATCTGCTTTCTTTGATACACTATTCATAAACATTCAGGGCATAATTTATCAAGAAACTTGGGTGTCAGCTTAGACAACACTGCATCTGAGAACAGTTCCCTATCCCCTGCCCAACTTTCTGAACAGAACACACACACACACATACACCCTTTCCTCCACTGCACCATAAATGGAGAAGCTACATTTACCCAGGACACCACCACCCTCATTGATCGGCCCAGAGGGAATACCTGTGTCAGGTCTCTTACATGCAAATATATAATTGAGTCTAGGAGACTCATCTCTGTCTGGCTGCGCTGTCAAAAAGAGGAACTATCAGCCTTAGCTCTGTGGGCTGCCAAGTTCACGGGCAAGAGAAAATTCAGAGGCCGGGGTACAGCAGAAGCAGCAACAACAGCAGTTGATTTCTTGGTTCTGGTTGACTCCTGAGGCCTGGTGGGTCCCTGCTGTCACTTTTGTGAGACAGCTCTGTACTGTCGGAGTAAGCTCCACTTTCTTTAAGCTATATAAATTGGTTTATATTATTTGCAATTAAAAAATTCCACCCAGCAGGGCACGGTGGTTCATGCCTGTAATCTCAGCACTTTGGGAGGCCCAGGTGGGCGGATCACTTAAGTCCAGGAGTTTGCTAGCAGCCTGGCCAACATGTCAAAACCCCGTCTCTAGAAAAAATACAAAAATTAGCTGGGTGTGTTGGCGTATGCCTGTAATCCCAGCTACTTGGGAGGCTGAGGCACAAGGATCACTTGAACCAGGAGGTGGAGGTTGCAGTGAGCCAAGATCACACCACCACACTCCAGCCTGGGTGACAGAGCAAGCTTCTGTCTAAAAATAAAAGTAAAAATTCCACTTAATACATAATGCAGAAAAGGTGCCATTAATAGTTGATTTTAGATGTTTTTGTACCCTTTTAGATAACTAGGAACATTGTTGATTTTGTTCCTAGTTACTGATTTTTTATTGTTACTGATATTCCATTGCCACTCTTCCACTTTCTCCGGGAAATCTCAGTAGTTAACACATCTACAGGTCTGTCCTTATCTGGAAATGTATTTCATCTAAACCGAGAAGCTCCAATTCAGGTAAGCCACCAGGGGCCAGCCCACACTCTGCCCCTGTCCTGAGGTCCAGTTCCTTCCATACTTTGTTCCACCCTTTCCAATTTGAAGTCCATTCTCTGAGATGAGGAAGGCAGAAATAAAACAGCAGTGACGTGTGTCTGCCTTGTCTTGGCCACCAGTCACATTACACTGACTGCTCTAAGCTGTGGCGCCATGGCTACCAGTGTTGGTTCAGATCCCTGTCTCCTGCTTACTGGCTGTGTGACCTTGGGAAAGTTAGGGAACTTCTCTGTCCCTCACAGTCCTCATCTAAAAACTGGGAATCACATCAGTGCCTACCTCACAGAGCTCCTGCGAGGATCTGAGCAAACGAATTAACACAAGTAGAAGACAGGGCCTGGCTCAATAAATGTTCACTTTTATTTTGTCCTTTTCCTATCCTGACTAAAACTAAAAGAACCCTCTTCTGTGTGTGCAAAGTTCGTAGAAACTTCTGTTGTAGTCTTCTTGTCATTTTTCATGCTGCTTCTTTTTCCTTGGGATCTTCCTGCTTCCTTGTGAGTGGGAAAATAAAACCAAGGTCAACTACAAATTAATTAATTAATTTATTTATTTATTTATTTATTTATTTATTTATTTATTTAATTTTATTTTTTGAGGCAGAGTCTCATGCTGTCGCCCAAGCTGGAGTGCAGTGGCACAATCTCAGCTCACTGCAACCTCTGCCTCCCAAGCTCAAGCGATACTCCTACCTCAGCCTCCTGAGTAGCTGGGATTACAGGCACACACCCCCATGTCCAGCCAATTTTTGTATTTTTAGTAGAGACAGAATTTCTCCATGTTGGCCAGGCTGGTCTCAAACTGCTGACCTCAAGTGATCCACCTGCCTCAGCCTCCCAAAGTGCTGGGATTACAGGTGTGAGCCACTGTGCCCAGCTCCAACTACTAATTGAAAAGGCATAGCCCCCGATAAGAAATGTTCACTCCTGGCTTGTCCCACCACACTCTCCAAAGGGGCACTTGACCCTGCCATTGTCTTTCCAGACAGCTCTTCTCTTCCAGACGTCACCTTTCCCAGGCAGTGAGGCCTCCCCAGGCTACAAAGATCAGGCAGGCTGCAGCGCCCGGCTAGTTGAAGAAATGAATGTTATCTCCTAGAAACCAGGAGGACTACCTCAGTGAAGCTTTTCACCTTGGAAGTTCCTTACAGTGAAATAGGGAAGTTTCTCATTATGCCCAGGTAATACAGCACTGATGGGCACAGGGTTGACAAGGCGCCCAAGGGAGGCTCTGAATTATCCTTCCTGTTGCCCCTCCTCAACCCCTCCTTAATTTTCTTCTACTGAAATAAAAAAGTAAGTGAAATAAAATGTTTCAAAACTGACTCAGAGAAGCTAGAGGTCCTAACTAAAGCAACATTTGCAAAACAACACACTTACTATTAGCTCTGCCCATCACGCTAGCTGACAAGCAGTGCTTAAAATAAGACAGAAAGAAGCAGGGAGGCTCATTCATGTACTGCCTGGCTGCGGGAGGCAGCCAGGAGACAGTGCCCTGCCTTGGTGGGGCGCGCTCCCAGCAAGGGGAGGCCAGTGGGAAACAACCACAGCAGAGTTGATAGATGCCCTGCCTGACACGGCTGTTCAGCCTGCTCTGGGAACATGAGGCAGGAACAAACTACTAGCTCATCCTGGGGAATCCAGGGAAGGTCTCACAGAGCTGGGGCAGGAGCAGAATCTTACAGGATGAGCCCACCAGAAAGACAAGAGGAGGAAAGTGGGAAGCAAAGGGTGTTTCAGGCAGGGACAGTAGCCTGTGCAAAGACAGACACCTGAAAAGCACGATGCTGAGTACAGGAAGAATAGCCAAGTTCCCTGTGGGGCAGGGCCAGGCAAGGAAAAGAGCAGGGACACCCAGCATCAGGAGAAGTTAGGATGGGGGCCCTCCTGAATGCCGCTTTTCAAGCCCCACAGACTGATTCAGAGTCGTTACGGTGGGACCCAAAAGTCTACATCCAGGTGGCCCTGAGGACCCAGTGTGGGAATGAGTCATAGACAACAAGGAATCATTGGCATTTTCAAACAGCAGTGTGATGCAACCAGATTTGCTTTTAAGAAACACTATATTTGTGGGAAAGTGGAGAAGGAAGTGGAGCTTGCAGAGCCTGAAGAAGAGATCAATCAGGAGATGATTCCAGCTGTCCTGTGGAGCCACGATAAATGAAAGCAATTGGGAGGGAGAAGAGGCGGTAAATATCATGAGATATTTCCAAGGTACAAACAACAGAATTTGATGAGCAATTACATGTGGGTGGTGAAGGAGAGAAAACAGTCAAAATAATTCCAAAGTTTCCACCTCAGGCTCCCCAAGGGTTGAGAGCCCTTAGGAAAAAGAGGGAATGGAGGTCAAGAGGAAGCTTGCATTTGTGGGGCAGGCAGTGAGAACTCTCCACGGAATTTAGTTGAGGTGTGCGGCTCAGGAGATGGCTGTGGATAACTGCATGTCCAGAGATGGGGGCAGCAAGCCACAGGCACTGCAGGGAGGAGCCGAGATTAAACATGGGGATTTGGAGTGATAACTGACAAGGAAAGGCTGAGGACGCCCAGGGAGAGTGGACAGACTGGACATGCACCTGGAGATGCCTCCAACAGGAGAGGTGGGTGGAGACCCAGAAGGAACAGCAAAGAAGGAGGAGGAAAACCTACCTAAAATAGTGTGGGAAATTGGAAAGGAGAGAGTTTCAAGGAGAGAATGAGAATGTCCAACACCCAAGAAAGGTCAGATAGGGATAGAGCGGAAACACGTAGATTAGGTGTGGCAATTCCAAAGCCACTGCCAACCCTAGAGAAGGCGACTGTGGTGTTCTGGGATCCGGAGCCAGACTGCAGCAGGCTGAGAAGTAAATCAAAGCCAGGAGGAGAAGACAGCAATTGCAGACTCTTCTTTTATTGTGAAGGAAAAGAGACATGACAGTCACCAGAGGGAATGGCAGAGTGAGATATATGGAGCCTTTCCCCTCTTTTTAAACTTTTCACTTTATTAAAATAGCATGCCTTAACATGAATCATTGAATATAATGATTATTTCCTACATTCTATAGATATCCAAAATGATTAGAAATATTTTCTACTCCAGCACTTCCTAACATTGTATTTGCAGAGGGTACAATCTCAGCAAGTTAGGGTGAGAATTTTTCTTTCAGTTTGAGTATTTGAAAATGGCCATATGGATTCATATCACCTCATATTCTTGCAGTAAAAAGCATGAACACCAGGGTTACAAGGGAGTCCGCATGATGTTTGTAAGAAGGGATGTGAGCAGTAAGAATGAGGTTCAAACTCCACCCTCCTTGGGTAACCCTTGCATCACAGCTGTGTGGGTATTAATAGTGTGTGACCCATTTAATCCTCACAACAGTTCAGTTGTTCTTCCTAAATAATAGCAAACCTTTATAGAGTGCTTATTATATTCCAGGCAATATCCTAAGTGCTTCAATACGTAATCCCACCTGATACTCAAAACAATCTTATGAAAAAGATACTATTATTATCCCATTTTACAAATGAGAAAACCGTAATTCAGAGGGCCTAAAGTAACCTGCTCAATATCACACAGCTAGTAAGTAGGGATGAATTTCCAAATGATGTTATTAAATTTAGAAATTAAGGGGAAATGGCTAAATGTAAAAGAAGTTAGAAATACAAAGGGGCCAAAACCAGAAACAACTCAATGTCCTCCAACAAGAGTATCAATAAACAAATTGTAGTTTATTTAAACAACAAAATACAACTCAGAATCAACTACAGATATATGCAGTGACATGAATGAGTCTCAAAAATTATGTTGAAGTATATGAAAAAGAGCTCAACATCACTGATCATTACAGAAATGGAAATTAAAACCACAATGAGGTACTATCTCACACCAGTCAGAATGGCTATTATTAAAAAGTCAAAAAATAACAGATGCTGGAGAGGTTGCAGAGAAAAAGGAACACTTACACACTGCTGGTGGGAGTGTAAATTAGTTCAACCATTGTATAAAACAGTGTGGCGATTCCTCAAGGACCTAAAAACAGAAATACTATTCGACCCAGCAATTCCATTACTGGGTATATATCCAAAAGTGTATATAAAGTGTTCTATCAGAAAGGCATGCTGGGCATGGTGGCTCACGCCTGTAATCCCAACACTTTGGGAGGCCGAGGTAGGTGGATCAGCCTGGCTAAACCAGCCTGGCCAACATGGTGAAACCCTGTCTCTACTAAAAACATAAAAATTAGCCAGGAGTGGTGGTGCATGCCTGTAGTCCCAGCTACCCAGGAGGCTGAGTGGGGAGAATCACTTGAACCTAGGAGGTGGAGGTTGCAGTGAGCCGAGATTGTGCCACTGCACACTCCAGCCTGGGTGAGAGAGCAAGACTCCATCTCAAAAAAAGAAAAAGAGAAAGAAAGAAAGAGAGAGAGAGAGACAAAGAAAGAAAGAAAGAAAGAGAAAGCAAGCAAGCAGGCAAAAAGGGAAAGAAAGGCAGGCAGGAACATGCACACATATGTTTATTGCAGCACTATTCACAATAGCAAAGAGATGAAATCAACCTAAATGTCCATCAATGACAGATAGGATAAAGGAAATGTGGTACATAGACACCATGAAATACTATGCAGCCATATAAAAGAACAAGATCATGTCCTTTGAAGGAACATTAATGGAGCTGGAGGCCATTATTCTTAGCAAACTAATGCAGAGACAGAAAACCAAATACTGCATGTTCTCACCTATAAGTGGGAGCTAAATGATGAGAACACATGGACACACAGAGGGGAACAACATACACTGGGGCCTATTGGAGGGTGAAGGGTGGGAGGAGGGAGAGGATCAAGAAAAATAACTAATAGGTACTAGGCTTAATACCTGGGGGATGAAATAATCTGTACAGCAAACCCCCATGGCACAAGTTTACCTATGTAACACACCTGTACATGAACCCCTGAACTTAAAATAAAAGTTAAAAGTAAAATAACTTTTATTTAGTAAAACAAATTACATTTAATGAAAAATCAAACTACCAAAGAAATATATACTGTACAGTTCCATTTATATAAAGTTCCAGAAGTACTAATTTCCAATAATAGGAGTCAGAATAGATATTACTAGGGTACAGGAGTGAGAGCATGGTAGGCTCGTGAAAGGAGTTAGGGGAATTTTCTGAGGTGAGGAAAGTGTCTTATATGAGGGTGGCAGTCCAAAATGAAGTCATATGTAAATGAACTTTAGAAAACAAGAAAGAGTCAGAGGTACGATGGAGGAAGGCCAAGGAGCAGGCTGAGGGGCTCAGTTAACAAACACAGATGCAGTCCTAGCTCCAGAGAAGCCCCTAAGCCCTAATGCCTGAGAAGGAGGGAGAGCCAGTTCCATGGCCAGCAGAAGGATGGCAGTAGCCAGCCGAGGGAGCTGACCTCAGAAGGCTCGTCCATCATTTCAGCTGGAGGAGTAAGAATATAGGAGAATACTTTTCCAATGGTAGATGTTCTTGGGCCAAGGATGTTAGATCTGGGACAACCCCCTTTTATAGATGAGGACACAGTGTTAGTGACTTATTCATGGTTACATGGTTAATTAGTCACAGAGCTGGAATCAGCACATAGTTCCTTTACATCAATAGAATAAGTCAACTGGGGTGGTGTCAGAGCCTCCTCAAATGCACGACCCTGCATCACTTCCCACCATTGACTCCCATCACTGCTAATGAAGGCTCTGACCCTTGCTTACTCAAAACAAATGAATGACTTCCAGTTGTATCTTCATTTAATAAACATTCGTCAATCACTTATCACTGGCCAGGTGCTGTTAGGTGCTGAAAATCCAAAAAGAAAAAGCCACTATCCCTGTTTTCAGATAACTTAAGGTTGGTGAGGTGAGACTCACATGAGTAGATGACACACTAGAGATGAGTACCAGAGTACGAAAGAGGGGAGAAGGTTTACTGACGGCACAAGCAGAACTCAAGCAATCCTGCTAAGGTGAGGAGTTGAGAAGTCTTCCTTAAGCCTCTGAGAGAATGGGGCAGGCTGAGGTCAGAGAACTGAAGGGAAGGGTTTAGGGATAGAATCACCCCACTGAAAGCACAGGCAAGCACATGCACAGAGACGCAAGAAACTCTCTCCCCCTGCTCCCTATCCAAGATGGGGAGCTCAGGGGTACAAATCTGGCTTCCCTTAGTGAAGAGCACCAGCCAAATGGACCTGTAAAAACAATCAACATCAAAAGTATCCGTGAGGAGTTTGGCTTCAATACACCCCTGAAGATAAATACGATGCAATCTCAACACATACTTAGCCTACAAACAGAATTTCCACAACAGAATATGGACTAAGCTTTGGTGAGTGGAAACATGATGCTTTTAAGCACATTTTGACAAACACAGTGATCTTTAAACAGTCACCTACACAGCCTGGTGCTGGCATAAGAACAGATGCATAGACCAATAGAACAGAATAAACCCACAAATAAATCCATGTATCTACAATGAACTCATTTTTGGCAACAGTGCGAAGAAGATACCTTGGGGAAAGGACAGTCTCTTCAATAAATGTGCTGGGAAAACTGGATATCCATATGCAGATGAATGAAACTAGACCCCTATCTCTCACCATATACAAAAATCAAATCAAAATGGACTAAAGACTTAAATCTAAGACCTCAGACTATGAAACTACTACAAGAAAACATTGGAGAAACTCTCCAGGATGTTGGACTGGAGAAAGATTTCTTGAGTAATACCCCACAAGCACAGGCACCAAAGCAAAAATGGACAAATGGGATCACATCAAGTTAAAAATTTTCTGCACAGCAAAGGAAACAATCAACGAAGTGAAGAGACAGCCCACAGAATGAGAGAAAATATTTGCAGACTACCCATCTGACAAGAGATTAATAACCAGAATATATAAGGAGCTCAAACAACTCAATAGGAAAAAATCTAATAATCTGATTTTAAAATGGGCAAAAGGTTTGAATAGACATTTCTCAAAAGAAGACATACAAATGGCACACAGGTATATGAAAGGGTGCTCAACATCACTGATCATCAGAGAGATGCAAATCAAAACTACAATAAAATTTGTACTACAATTACTACAGTAAAATTGGCTTTTACCCAAAAGACAGGAAATAACAAGTGCTGGGGAGGATGTAGAGAAAGGGGAACCCTCATACACTCCCCTTAGTACAATCACTATGGAGAACAGTATGGAGATTCCTTGCAAAACTACCGTATGAGCTACCATATGATCCAGCAATCCCACTGCTGCGTATACCCGAAAGAAAGGAGATCAGTATATTGAACAGAGATAATCTGCACTCCCATGTTTATTGTAGCACTATTCACAATAGCAAAGATTTGGAAGCAACCTAAGTGTCCAGCAACAGACAAATGGACAAATAAAATGTGTTATGGGCAGGGTGCGGTGGCTCACGCCTGTAATCCCAGCACTTTGGGAGGCTGAGGCAGGAGGATCACTTGAGCTCAGGAGTTTAAGGCCAGCCTGGGCAACATGGTAAAACGCTGTATCTACACTACATTAGAAAAAAAAAAATTAGCCAGTGCACGCCTGTAGTCTCAGCTACTTGGGAGGCTGAGGTAGGGGGATCACTTGAGCCTGAGAGGTGGAGGCTGCAGTGATCCATGATCATACCACTGCACTTCAGCCTGGGAGACAGAGCAAGACTCTGTCTCAAAAACAACAACAAAAAAGGTGTATGTGTTATATACACAAAATGGAGTACTATTAAGCCATTAAAAAGAATGAGATCCTGTCAACAACATGGATGGAACTAGAAGATGTTATGTTAAGTGACATAATTCAGGCACAGACAGAAAGAAATTTAGCATGTTCTCAATCATTTGTGGGAACTAAAATTAAAACAATTGAACTCATGGAGATAGAGGGTAAAAAGATGGTTAGCAGAGACTGGGAAGGATAGTGGGGAGAGAGGGATGGGAAATGGGGATGGCTAATGGGTAGAAATATATAGTTAGATACCACAAATAAGATTTAGTATTTGATAGCACAAGAGGGTAACTACAATCAGCAATAATTTGTTGCACATTTTAAAACAACTGAGTGAATAAAATTGGAATGTTCATAACACAAAGAAATGATGAATGCTTGAGGTGACGGAAACCCCATTTACCCTGATGAGATTATGACACGTTGCATGCCTGTATCAAAATATCTCATGTGCCCCATAAATACCTACATTGACTATGTACCTATAAAACTTAATAATCAAAAATATTTTTAAAAACCAGTCGCCTAAACCTGTTCCACAATCAGTAGTCATGAACATTAAACTGCTGGCTTTATCAATCAGTATCTCCTGAATCCAAGAAACACGCACACTAGCTGAAATGCAGGCCACAGCTCTGCCAGTGATGGATAGCAAAACAAAGGCAGCACTAATGAAAAATTAATGAAAACAGTTACTTCCATAAGAAAAATGATCTGTTTTCTCCCACCTTCGTATTGATTTTTAACCAGCCCTGTAATTGGAAATGTATATGTTATCCCAAGGTAAAGGCAGGCAGAAGGGAGCAGAGTGTGTAATCCACTCCAGTGTGGGCAGGCTGTCAGCCATGCAACGAAGCTTTAGCCTGGGAAGCACAGCCTCTCCCTCTCATATTCTCTCCTCCCAGCCTGAAACCTGATCCTCCCAGGCTCTGAGTCCTGAGTCATTCCAAGGTTATGAATACTGATGACACCCTAATGTTCCTATGTCCATCAGGGAACGCACTTTTGGGATCATCTTTTCCTATAGCATTCAATTGAAATAAATACAACCCCAATCTTCATAGTGCAGGAAGTCCCATCTCTCCCCCAAGTTCTGAGGAATTCCCTGGATATTTATCTTTCCCCATAGTCACTTTTCTTTTTTTTTGAGATGGAGTCTCGCTCTGTCGCCCAGGCTGTGTAGTGGCGCGATCTCAGCTCACCACAACCTCCGCCCAGGTTCAAGCAATTCTCCTGCCTCAGCCTTCTGAGTAGCTGGGATTACAGGTGCATGCCACCATGCCTGGCTGATTTTTGTATTTTTAGTAGAGACGGGGTTTCACCATGTTGGTCAGGCCGGTCTCGAACTCTTGACCTCATGATCTGCCTGCCTCAGCCTTCCAAAGTGCTGGGATTACAGGCATGAGCCACTGCACCAGGACCATAGTCACTTTTTATATCTCACTCAATTCCAGTCTCAACTCTCCCATCCCCTCTTCTCTCATCTGCTGTGGCTCTCACCAAATCTATCACATTTTGTCACAAGCTTGGATATAGCCCACCTCCTTGCCTCTCCAAAGACTAACCTAAAGCAGTACTAGGTTAGGCTAGTTAAAGTTAGTTAAAGCAGACTAGGCATGGTGGCTCACGCCTGTAATCCAGCACTTTGGAAGGCCAAGGTGGGAGGATCACCTGAGGCCAGGAGTTCAAGGCCAGCTGGGCCAACATGGAGAAACCCCATCTCTACTAAAAAATACAAAAATTAGCCGGGCATGGTGGCGTGCACCTGTAGTCCCAGCTACTCAGAGGTTGAGGCACGAGAATTGCTTGAACCTGGGAGGCAAAGTTGCAGTGAGCCGAGTTTACGCCACTGCACTCCAGCCTGGGCAGCAGAGAAAGACTCCGTTTCAAAAAAACAAAAAACCAAAACACATAAAGTTAGTTAAAGCAGACTGAGGCAGGTTGGAGGGTAGAATCCTCATTTGCTTTGCTCACCACTGAATCCTAAATGCCAAAGCTCTACTTGGAGCATCATAGGAGCTTAAAACTAATAATAGGCCTAGAATATAGACACAGACCTTGAGCAACCAAATTCATAGAGACAGAAAGTAGACAGGTGGTTGCCAGGGGCTGAAGGAAGCATGGGGAGTACTTCTGTACAGAGTACAAAGTTTCAGTTTAGAAGATAAAAAAGTTCTGGAGAGGCCAGACGCGGTGGCTCATGCCTGTAATCCCAACACTTTGGGAGGCTGAGCCAGACAGATCACTTAAGACCACGAGTTCAAGACCAGCCTAGCCAACATGGTGAAACCCCATCTCTACTAAAAATGCAAAAACTAGCCAGGCATGGAGGCACACATCTGTAATCGCAGCTACTTGGGAGGCTGAGGCACAAGAATCGCTTGAACCCAGGAGGCAGAGGTTGCAGTGAGCCAAGATCGCGCCACTGCACTCCAGCCTGGGCAACAGAGTGAGACTCTGTCTCAAAAAAAAAAAAAAAAAAAAAAAAAGTTCTGGAGAGGCATGGTGGTGATGGTTGCATAACATTGTGAATATTCTCTGTGTCACTGAACTGTCCACTTAAATATAGTTAAAATGGTAAAATCTATGTTATGTGTATTTTACAATTTTTAAAATTCAATGAAGCAATGATAGAAGAAAAGAGGAGTGGAGCTCAGTTCTCTTTTATCCTAAAACTAAACATCTGTTCTCAGGACTCCTTAATGTCCCAGCTCGTGGGGTGGCTGCCTGGTCCAGAGCTCTCCAAAGTGAGTGCTCCAGACCTATTTATAACATAGTCCAACTGAGAGAGGAAAGCAAATTACAACTTCTATTTATATATATTAATACTTTCTATTTTGGGGGTATATTTAAACATATATAATACTATAGAAGCACATGTAGATAATTTAGAAACAATTAGATTTACATTGGAGGAATGTTGTCAAAAACTTTACACTCCTGGATTGCATACTCAACAAACCTTGAAGACCATTATTATTATTAATTTGTATAGCTTTATGTGGTACAAGTACAGTTTTGTTACATAGATATACTGCTTTTGGTGAAGTCTGGGCTTTTCGTGTAACCATCATCTGAATAATATACCTTGTATCCATTAAGCAATTTCTCTTATTATGATTTATTTATTTATTTAGAGACAAGGTCTTGCTCTGTCCCCCAGGCTGGAGTGCAGTGGCACCATCTTGGCTTACTGCAGCCTCTACCACCTGGGCTCCAGCGATCCTCCCACCTCAGCCTCCTAAATAGCTGGGACTACAGGCACACACCACCATGCCCAGATAATTTTTTTATTATTTGTAGAGATGAAGTCTCACCATGTCACCCAGATTGGTCTTAAACTCCTGGGCTCACGCAATCCTCCCACCTTGGCCTCCCAAAGTATTGGGATTACAGGTGTGAGCCACTGCTCCAGGACTCGTATTATTATTTTTTGATGTCTAGCTCACCTTACTAGCTGTGAGCTCCACAGGGACAGGCATCTTCATATGTTTTGGTTTTTTTTTTTTGTTTTATTTAGTTGTGTTTTTTTTGTAATTTTTACAGATGGAGGGTCTCGCTATGTTGTCCTGGCTGGTCTCAAACTCCTGGCCTCAATGATCCTCCCATCTCAGCCTCACAAAGTGCTGGGATTACAGCATGAGCCACCAAGCACCCCGGCCATATGTTTTGTTTATCTGTGTATCCCATACCCCCAGTACAGTATCTGGCATACAGTAAGTTCTCATGGATAGTTGCTGATGAATGAGTTGTGGCTGCTGTTACCACTACTCTCTCCAAAGCAGGCGCTCTTAGCCCATGACCATGCCATGCAGCTGGGGGCTTCTGGCCCACTGGGACATGCTCTCTTCCTCTTTCTCCTCCTTTTCTTTTTTTTTTTTGCTACACCATCCTACAGTTTTCTAATCTGTAAAATGAGGACATTGGACAGAATGCTTCCAAAGTTCCTAACTTTCTTTCTTTCTTTTTTTTTTTTGAGACGGAGTTTCACCCTTGTTGCCAGGCTGGAGTGCAATGGTGCGATCTTGGCTCACCGCAAACTCCGCCTCCCGGGTTCAAGCAATACTCCTGCCTCAGCCTCCCGAGTAGCTGGGATTACAGGCATGCGTCACCACGCCTGGCTAATTTTGTATTTTTAGTAGAGACGGGGTTTCTCCATGTTGGTCAGGCTGGTCTCGAACTCCCAACCTCAGGTGATCCGCCTGCCTCAGCCTCCCAAAGTGCTGGGATTACGGGCGTGAGCCATTGCGCCCGGCCCAAAGTTCCTAACTTTCTATGATGCTGATTTTCCTGCCTAAATGCCAGCTACTAGGTTGAAGTCATTTCTAAGCCACAACATGAATCTGAATCAGGGATAGATGCATGCAGCTTCAAGGTGACTTTGGGGACTTGGCCTGACTTTTTTTCTCAATGAGGGCAAACTGCCGACATCTCCTCTAGGATACCAAAAGCCACATACATTACAGAATCTCACCAGTCAAGGCCCTTCTGCTGTTCAAAGTAGGTGTCAAGGAAAGGTGGCTCTTTTAGAGGTAGAAAAACACATTTACATTGAGTTTCCATTAAGATCTTATTTTCACAGAACCCAGGTTTGATGGGAAATCTGTGTTTTCTGACTTGGCCCTGTGTTGATCTTGCAGCTGAACAATCCCAGGTGGACCTACCTTGTCCATGCACACATTCCCGAAGTGACTTGGAGCAATTTTCTCAACCTGCCTGCATCTCACATTTCTCTTCTGATAATCCAGAATATAACACTCATTTTGTGAGGCTGCTGTAAGAATAAAAAGACGCATACACAGTGAGACTTCCATAAAATATAACCTTGATCGCTATTATTATATTTTGTTTTCTCAAATGGAAATGAGAAACTAAATCAGTAGTTTCCAGAGGAATTCCAGAATTCTCAAGAGCTGCCAGAATGGGGCTCCAGGTAGTTCATCCTCCGAGATGCCCCCACTTTTTTTCCAGCTCTGCTTTTTCTCAGATTTATGTATATTTCTTATGAAAAAAAAGGGGGGGGGGGGATTCTGCAGATTTTTTGACATGCCTTAAAAATATTGGACTAGATAAGCAGATAATTTTTAATCCTATGAATCTAACTAAAAGAAAGTAAGATGCCTGAACTCAAACCACTGCGCAGGTGATCTCACCTGACAGAGAGAGTGGGATTGCCCTGCCCCCGAATTTCCTGGTTCCCTTCACTGGACTCTGCCAGGAAGAGTTCCCTGTTAGAATCATCTCTGGGACATGTTGCCCATCTCCTAGACAAGTGGTGGTTAAACACCCACTCTTTGGTGAAATATCTCATGCTGTCATCTCTGCCTGCAACCGCTCATCCCTAACCACTCACTTTCAAGAAAGGGAGGAGGGAGGAGAGAGTGAGTTATTAGGAAATAATCCTGAATACACCCAGGCCTGCTGTCTCTCCCATCTTTCCAATCCAAGTTCAGCCTTGGGCATAGATTTAAAACGACATTGTTCCGGAGGTGGTCTTCAAATGCAACAGGCTGTGATTAATGCTCACACTGTCCTTTAAGGCTATGGGCAGCCTTCTGGACTATTCTCCATGGGCTGGTGCTCATCTGAGTTCAGGTTATGGTGGAAATAGCCTGGTTCACAGGTGTGGAGCAGACCCAGCTTCTTCATTTGTGGCTGAAAAACCTCGGGCAAATAACTTGCATGCTTTAAGCCTTGGTTTTCACACCTGAAAAATGAAAGTAAACAGCATTCACCTTGCTTATCTCACAAGACTTTTTTGTAAGAAGCTCATTGAAGACTGGATGTCAGAACCAGATAGAACCACACAGAAGGGAGGCCCAAGGTTACCAGAGACCATCTGAGCCTGCCCCTCACTGAGGAGGCTGGTGTGGCAGGAAGGGGCCGGGCCATTCTCTGGACACATCTGTGGGTCCTCTGGCATGAAGTCATTTGGAGAAGGAGAGGACATGGGGCTGCAGGTTCCTACATGATCCATCCTCACGTCTGATCCTAAAGCTCACTTTCACAGCTTGCCCAATGCCGGGCAGGGAGGATAAAAGTGCCCTGGCTGAGAATCCATCCAGATACCACTGGCTCTTCCAAGATTAAACAGACAGTGCATCTGACTCCCAAAGCATCTCAAAGCAGAGCTGGCCTTTGGTTCAACAGGGCCAAAGGCAGGAATGGGTGGGGCCCTGCCTTCTCCTGCCACTCAAGGTGGGCATGAGGGATCTACAGGCATAGCCACTTGTTTTGAGGACATCTAGGGTGTGGCAAGCCAGAGAAAGCCCATAGAAGAGAGCTAATGACACGGGCCAGGGAGCGTGTGTGGCTGAACCAACTGGGCAGGCCCAGTACACGTGGAGGTGCACCTCATTGTCCTGGACTGGGACTCAGGAAACCTGGCTCTTCTTCCTACTCTGTGTGGCCTTGGGCAAGTCACATCACCTTCCCAGGTTTCTATAGATTAATGGATTGGACCAGAATCTTGCTTTTCAGATGGGTGCATTTAGGCCCATTACTCAGCGGCAAAAAGCTAAAAGTTACTCATCTTCCCAGAATGCCAATTTTACTTGGAGATTGGAAGAAACAGTTTTTCATTTTCTTAAACAGCTTTATGAGATATAATTCACATCTCATACAATTCACCCATTGAAAATGTACAATTCAGTGCTTTTTAATGTATTCATAGGGTTGTCCCAGCATCCCCACCATCAATTTTAGATCATTTCCATTACCCCAAACGGGAGAAACCCATTCCCTTTGGCCGCCACCTCCCACCACCCAGTCCTTCCAGCTCCTGGCAACCACGAATCTACTTTCCATCTCTACAGGTTTGCGTGTTTGGGACATTTCATATAAATAGAATCATACACTATGTGTTCTTGGAAGGCTGATTTTTATATTAAAACAAACAGTTGTGTTATGAAAAGCATGCCAAAATTACATTAATTTCTAAATCACAAAAGACATTTCAGAGAAATCTCCCATGTGTCTAGCAGCTTCATGCTCAGTCTGAGTCTCCTCTGGGGACAGTAATTCACTCTCTTCTGCCTCCGGGGCCACTTGGTGGAAATTCTGGAAGGCACTGGACTTAAGGATCTAGATTCAACTTTTGAAAGACCCCAAGGCTCAGCTAGATAAACCAACAGAGTGATTTTCCGGGGAAAAAGTCACTAATCATGATTTTCTGTTACCATTTTCCTCCTCATCCCCTCATCTTTCCATCTTATCTCACCTCCACACAGAGGTCTACATTTAGAATAACTGAAAAAAAATAAGAGAATGATCCCACTATTTCAGATTTCCATGTGAAAGAATAACAGGTTGCGGCTGACCTCCCTGTCCACTCACCTTGTACCATTCTTCCAGTCTCTGGGAGGAGCTTCTTTGTCTGTTCCCAGTACAGGGCCTTGGAATATGATAGTGAAGCCCAGTTCCAGCTCCACAAATATTTGATGGAAGAAAGAAATGGAAGAAAGCCTGAAGGAAGAAAATGAAGAAGCAAGGGAGAGGGAGAGAAAAACTAGGAATTCGGGATCCTACCAGCCCTCTGTCTCCCCATCCCCACACCATGCTACAATGCAGCCCCCAAGGGGCTTTGAATTTGCGCGTTATCAATCACCTGCTTCTCAGAAATCATTACTGCCCCAAATTAAGACAACGAAACCAACTGCTCACTAAGGAATTTGAAAATGAAGAACTGTGAGTGGGTTGGGGAGGGTTATTAGACCAGAAACAGAGCACTTTTCACTGACAGAGTGCTTTTGCATATATTATCTCATTTGACCTTCCCAGAAGTCTGGTGAGAAAGCCAAGGCCAGGATTCTGTAGGCTGTTTTAGACGAAAAACAAAAAACAAAAAACCCAGCACTTAGGTAGAATGCAGTGCTTTGGCACACACAGGTTCTAGAATCACTCAGCTTTGTTTAAATCTGAGCTCTGGCCCTGTGTGACCTTGGGACCAGTGCCTGACCTTGGTTATGCTAAGGGGCACAGGCAACTGCACAGTGTCATGTGGGGCAGGTGGGACCTCACAGGGAGGAGGGTCTGCAGGTGCCTGGGTCTGTCCTGCATTCTCTCAGCATCCTGCTCAGAGCCTGCACAGCGGGCTGTGCTATGCTTGTGCTGGAGGAGAGGGGTCCTGTCCCCCTTGTTCTTCCTTTGTATTGGGCATAAAGGGAGTCTTTAGGGGGAGGGACAAATGGCGCAAGAGCACAGGGCAGTCTGAGCATAGATGTGGGCTGTTTCAGGAGGTGCTGGGAATGCCAGCTGCCCAGGACATGGAGACAGCAAGCAGGAAGCCACCAGGCCACTTGAGGGTCACCCATTGAACGATTTGGCACACGTCTCTGCAACCTCTCGAAAGATCAGTTTCCTCATCTGCCTTCTCAGAGGATTGTGGCGAGGGTCAAAATGAAAAGTACACGAAGATCTGTTGCCCAGAACCTGGCCTCCAGACAGTACTTGGAAAGGGTCCTGTACCCACAGCTAGAAGAGCTGGAGCGGAGACCTTGACCCATGGCCTAGGTGCTTGTCCAGGGCCCCTGCAGGGACACGGGGCTGCCTCCCTGTGCCCAGTGCACCATCTGCTCCATGCGCTTGACCTCAGAGCTGTTTAATGACATCTGTCCCAAGGCACCTGCTGCCCTAGGATACAGAGGCGCTAATTAATGTATTCATGAGGCACAGAGAACCTTTTCTGTTTAATACACACTTCTCAGGACGTCACAAATCCAGAGGTTAAAAGGAATTTTCCTAAACAAAAAATGCACAAACTAAGCTTGTCTGATAGGAATCCAAGCCAGCAAAGACTCCTCCTGAGAGCTGCCTGGGTCCCCAGGCTATGAGAGGGCATTTGTCCCATGGAAGGGGCGTATGCACCCCACTCTGTGCCTCACCTGGAGGGCTGGGGCAGCTCCAATGTGTAAACCCAAAGGAAATGGCACCCAGGCTGGGCTGAGCGCTGACCTGACCACCTCAGGCTTTTCTGAAGGCCCTCCGACCTCATGGGATTGGCAGTCAGAGCAGCCCTGTGTCCCTGAAGCCACTATCATAACGTGGTGTTCTCTCGCGAGGCTGCTCTGGGGGATGGGAAATCACAGAGCACTTTTCCCACCCACTGTCACCAAACCTTCAAAACTGGCTCACCACCAGATGCAGTTGCTGATGCCTTTAATCCCAGCACTTTGGGAGGCTGAGGTGGGCAGATCACCTGAGGTCAGGAGTTTGAGACCAGCCTGGCCAACATGGTGAAACCCCGTCTCTACTAAAAAAATACAAAAATTAGCCAGCCATGGTGGTGGGCACCTGTAATCCCAGCTACTCGAGAGGCTGAGGTAGGAGAATCACTTGAACCCGGGAGGCCGAGGTTGCAGTGAGCCAAGATCATGCCATTGCACTCCAGCCTGGACAACAAGAGTGAAACTCTATCTCAAACAAACAAACAAACAAACAAAATAACTGGCTTACCTTCTTGCTGTGGATAGAGCCGGAGGGCAGAAGCTGTGAGGGGTCCAGTAACATAGGTAATGCTGACCACGCAGAGCTGCATGGTGACTTCTGGGGCCCCGAGGCATCTTTGCCTTCATAAGACCTTTCTTCCAAAAAACATTACAAATATATTTTGCAATTGCATTGATATGAAGATGTCTTAGTTTGTTTTCTGTTGCTTATATCAGCATACCTGAAACTGGGTCATTTATAAAGAAAAGGAATTTATTTCTTTCAGTTACGGAGACTGAGAAGTGCCAGGTTGAGGAACCACATCTGGTGAAGGCCCTCTTGCTAGTGGGGATGCTGCAGAGTTGCTGCAGGACATCACGCCACGAGGGGGCTGAGCGGGCTAACATGCTAGCTCAGGTCTCTCTTCCTCTTCTTATAAGGTCACCAGTCCCACTCCCGTGATAATCCATTAACCCATTAATCCTTGAATGGATTAATCCACTCATGAGGGCAGAGCCCTTGTGACCCACTCACCCCTTAAAGGCTCCACCCCTCAATCCTGCCACATTGGGGATTAAGTTTCAACATGAGTTTCGGTGGGGACATTCACAGCAGAGCAGGAGACAAATATAATCCAGGCTGGGTTTACATGTTACATATTATATATATGAATCAAATTTATCACTTCTTCTGATTTCAAAAGAATTTTAAGTTAAAACATTTTTGTAGGCCGTAGGCCCTGTGTTTGCTCTTGCTGGAAAAGTTGCCCTGAGACCAGGACAATTCAAGAGCCTACAGCCCATCCTCCTTAGGCTGGGACAGCCACTTACCCTGGGGTGTTCAGTTAGTCAATTAAAAGAAACTTGTGCTGAAACAGTACATTAGAGACAGACTTCCTTTAACAAAAACTGAAGCTCCACTACAAGAATAACACAAAAAGAAATGAAAGAAGTCAGATTTGAAAGAAGGTGTTTTAAGTTTATGGGTGGCCTTAATAAACACCCGCGTGTACAACCAAGAGGTGAGCCTGGTGTTTGATAATGGCTTTTAGCTAGGAAATTGAGTTTGGTTTGAAAAAGGGATATTTTGAGAGGATAGAAAGAGCTTCCATTTTATCTGGATACAGAACAAGCCTTTTTATGGTGTTTTACAAAATTTCCTTTAGTCCTCAGATACTGGCTGAGTCCTACCAGGCACCGTGCCAGACCTCAGGGTGACGACGGCTGGGCCATGTTGTCTGCCTAGAGGGGTTCCCCCAGCAGTGGGGATGGACGTGGAGGGCATCTGGATTTCATTCTGCAGGGAACAGGGAACCAGCAGAGCAGGACCAGCTACGCCATTCATGGGGTCTAGAGCAAAATGAAAGCGAAGGTCCCCTTGTTCAAAAAGTGTTCAGAATGTCACAGCGGCAACATGAGAGCATTAAACCAAGTGCAGGGTGCTGATGGGGGGCCCGGTGTCACTGTACGGGCTGCTGGCCTGGGAAGCTGCTTGCCTGGTGCAGTTCAGGGTATGAATCTTGCCTGAAGCAACTGCAACCTCCAGTCTAACCTAGCATACTTGGATTGTACTTGGAGTGTCTTTATATTATTGCTATATTACTTTTTATTCAAATGTAAGATTTTAAAATATATATTTTGATCTTTTGTGGGATATTGACAAGGTTGTTTCTTTGAAAAAAAAAAAAAAAGTTGTATGTCATTAAATACGCAAATTATCCAACTAAACAGAAACTCACTCCAGAGACAACTTCTCCAGAATCTCTTCTCCAGATGGTGAGGCCCAGTCAATGATCCAGGGTCCCTCCCTGCAGCCGGGAAAGAAGGCACGGAACTCACCACTGGGGTCAGGAGCTGGCACTGCCCTTACAAACAGAACAGCAACACAGAAGGTTTAAGTCCTGCCAACAAAGAAGTTTTTAAATTCTCCTTCTACATATTCTACAGCAAAAGTGGCCAAATTCATCCCAAAACTTCCTAAGAAATTCTTTTACTGGCCTGGCGCAGTGGCTAACACCTGTAATCTCAGCACTTTGGGAGGGCCTGGCCTGCAAATCGTTTGAGCCCAGGAGTTCAAGACCAGCCTGGGTAACACGGAGAGACCTCATCTCTATAAAAATACGAAAAAAAAAAATTAGCTGGGCATGGTGACACACACCTGTAGTCCCAGCTACTTGGGAGGCTGAGGTGGGAGGATTGCTTGAGCCTGGGAAGTCAAGGCTGCAGTGAGTGGTGATTGTGCCACTGCACTCCAACCTGCATGACAGAGTGAAACCTTGTCTCAAAAGAAAAAAGAAATTCTCTTACCCCATACCTAGGAGAAAGCAGAAGCTGGGGAGAAGAAAAGAAACCTCATTTTAAAATGATAGGCGAAGACCTATATTTTAGGAGCGCTCGAAGCTCCCCTTTGCCCTGAGCTCTGGGTTCTTCCAGCACTGCGGGGTCTCCTGTGATCTGCAGGATCGGTCATGAGTTGAGTTGCACAGCAGGGCCCGCAGCAGGACAGAATCTTCCCTCCTCCAAGCAGCCCTGGAAAGAAAAAGGGTCTGCTGTGCTCATGGTGCTGAGAAGCTAGCCAGGCCCTCTCCACAAGGCAGCAGGGAAGGTGGCAGCCTTGCAAAGGTAAGTGCGATTTCTTAGGTTATTTCTCTGGTGCTTACATTTCCACTGGAATGTGTAGAAGACTCCATGGAAGACTCAAAAACTACCCTGAGGCAGAACAGGCAGAAAGGGGGAGCCTGGGCTCTGGAGGCACACGGCTTCACGGAGGGCTAAGCCTTGATTTGCTCATCTGTAAAATGGGCATTATACTCCATTGCCACGAGTCACAGCAGTGCCATGATTGGGAAAATGGACATGAAGCCTTTTTAAAAACATATGTGGCACACAGGGAAGGTCTAACAAATATGGGCTAACTCCTGTCATTTCTGCCCAGTTCCCTAAAAGAAATATTCTAAAACTGAAATATTCAGAGATGGCAAGGGGTTAGCAATGATTGGGGAGGAAGGCTGATTTTTCATACAATTATTGTTTTCATTTCCCCCAAGACCCCATATGAGATCCTGCCCAGTGGCACCAGGTGTCTCCTGTGAACTCACTGCCATGGATTTTATCTGTGTCTTTTGGCCTCTAGCAATGGGCCTGGGTGGGGGCCTCAGAGATTCTCCTGAGCACAACGGCCCATCCCTGCGGCCCCTGCCCTGTTTAAGTCAGCAAGTGTCTTCAGGGGCCATAACAATGGAAGCTAGTCCCAAGAACACTGCCTCAGGTTTGACATCCCTCAACCATACTTTACCTAGTTAAATTAGCAACCGCACATCTGTCAAGGCACGAAAGCGGATTTTCTCCCTGCTATCATATAGAAGAATGAATGGCGAGGAAAATTATGTAATGCGTTTTTAGATCTGAACAACTGAGCCTTCTTGGGTCCCGAGCAGGTTGGAAATGAGAGTCTCTGGAGATAGGTGTGTGGGTAACTTCATAAGCTCCACTCTTACAGGGCATGACCTGGGCCCTGGGAACAACCAAGGACCCCTGGGTCCAAGCAGCTGGCTCTGCTGGCTTTTTGCTAAAAAAAAAAAAAAAAAGTCTTTATCAAAACTTCTGATACTCACTGGGAATCTCCAGAAGCGGAAAATAACCTGCAGCATCCCCCAAACAAAATTTACCACAAAATACTCTTATTGAGGGAGTTCTGAATGAATGGCCACCGACAGCCATTGATCTGAGGGCGTGAGGTGAAAGGAGAGCCACAGTTCTGGCCACACCACAAGGAGAGTACAGCAAGTGGGCCAGGGCCACGCAGCCGCCATATTGGAGAAGCTGGACACGTGACCCCAACTAACAACGTGCAGGGCGGGTGTCATGGACTGGGGTGCATCCTCCTTCCTTTTTCTCTACTGTCTTTCTGAAAGTTTATGCCACCGAGTGTTCTCGTTGCTCCACCGTAGCATCAGTCAGAGAGGCTTTCCTGAGATTCTAGCCCCTCACACGGCTCCGAATGCCTGACCCCAGCCCACATTCAGGCCTGAGGCAAAAAAAGGGGATCCCGAATTTTATGTATTTTCCACGACCAAACTTCTCATCATCAAGTGGGATTTTTCGAAGGGATCATTCTCATTTTTTTAGAGGATAAGATTTATGGTTTGAAAGTAATGGCCGCCAACCTCATAAAATGAGGTTTAATATCACCAGAAACATTCTCACAATTGGCCAAATCCCCAAGACATTCATGAAGAGTGAACAGCCCTAGGCAGAAAAGGATTAAATCCGCTCAACGTCATAAAAATACACAATGAGCTCCACATCCTTTCTCATTTTCCAGTGATAGCCATGCTGGGCAGGGCATCTTGGGACGCCCTCTTCTCTCCTCACCGTTTCCCCTCCTGGCCTCCATGCTAAGCCGCACGCCTTCTCTTCCAATGCTGGTCTCAGCCCCTGACACTGACCTGGAGCTGCTCCAGCCCCCTCAGGATCAGTATCTTCTCTTGGCTCCTGAAGAACTGAGTGAATGTAGGATTTGTTACTAGGCATTAGGAATATGGATTCATTAATTAATACAGACAAATTTAAAGCTTATATTCACCTTGCCTTGTGAGATATGTGAAAAACCCTGCTCTGCTTTATAGACTGTGACCTTGGAGAAATGACCTAATTGCTCTGAAAATGCTTATTGATCTGTTAAAAATAAAAACATGTAGAAAGGTAATTTTATTATTAACAGATTGCCTTACTTAATATTCACTAAAATCCTATGCGATGAGTGTCATTCCTCTCACAGAAATGAAGGAAACTGACACCTCACAGCCAGTAAGTAGTGAAGTTGGGATTCAAATCCTGACTTGTCGGATTCTCTAATCCATCATCTTTTTCCATAGACCTCCATCAGACCTTGAATGGAATTTTTATAATATTAGGCAATGATATGCAAGAGGACTGAGAAAGGAAAGAACCTGATAGCAGAGGCATAGCCAGGGAGCCTGGTGCACTCATCCAGGGATGAGTCCTAAACCAAAGCAAAGACAGCTGGAATCGAGAGAGATTTTGTGGAGGCTGAGCCACCTTCACAGGGGGTGAGAAAGAGAGGAGTAAGAAATTGGGAAAGATCAAACAAAACTGAGATTGTTGAGCCTAAAGGAACCAGGAAGTGATGGAAGAGATGAACATATTGAGGAAAGGGAGCCTTCTTGAGCAGAGGGGCATCAAATGAAAATGTCTGGAAAAAATTTAAGAATTCAGATTTTGGTTTTCGAAGAAATTAGGGAAGGAGAATGAAGATGCGAAAAGCAGCCCCATCCATAATAGCTAAAGTCACAAACGTGGGGCGGGGGTCCCTCAGTATAGGAAGGAAAGCTGTGAGCTGAGAACAGGCTTGGGTGGAGGGGAGGAAGAGTGGTCAGAGGGCAGGAGACCCTGGCAGCACCCCAGGGCCACACTAGGCAGAGGTCGCTCTCCCACCAGGGGTGCTCAGAGTATCAAACAGAAGCTGCAGATAGGACATGGCTGTGGTAATCGGAAGGAAACTCATTTTTAAGAGTGTAGTCTAAGTAGAGTGGTGAGAGTGGAGGTCAGATTACAGACGGTTAAAGAAAGATGCAGGGTAAAGAAAGAAGACAGAAGTCACAGACCATATGTTTAAGATATTTAGAAAAAGAAAGATAAAAAGGGAAATAGCAGGATTAAGCAGAGATTTTTTTCTTTCCCTTCAAGTTCCAAAATACTCGAATGTGTCTGACCATAGAAAGGAGGGATCTAGTGAAAATGAAGACAGAGTAAAGAAAAGAGATTGTTGAAGAGACTGATTTCTAAGGAAGGCAAGAAGCATTTACAATGAGCCACTATATGCAAAGTATTATGTTTCGCACAGTAAGAAATAATGCAGAAAATGGTGTCTTCTCTAAGGAACTCACAATTTAGAAGGAGAAACGACAGTTATGCAAATAATTCCCTTTTACAACAGTGTAAGTCCTGTGTTAATGTTATGTTAATAACAAAGTGCTCTTGGAGTCGAGAGGAAATTAGGGATGAAGGGGGAAGGGACATTTCAAAAGGCATCACAGGGGAGAAAGTACTAAACTCAGCCTTGAACGATTAGTAAGAATATAATTGGCAAAAGATCATGAGCAAAGAAAGAGGAATTTTGGCCACAAAAATGGAATTCATAGCAAGGGTAGAGGATTTGGCCTTAGAAAGGAGGGGCAATTCTCCAAGGGAGACTTGGGGGGAAGAATAAGTAGGAAAGATTAAGTGGATAAAGAGGTATTGTAAAGTAGAGAGGATAGGAGAGGAGAGAACTCATACCTGATGGTGTCTCCATACTTGTAGGAAAGCAGAGGGCCAGGGGTCAAGGCCAAGAGGAAAAAGATTTTAAATAGCAGTGAACATTCAGGTGAATGAAGTTAGAAACTCCCAAAACTTTGTCTAGCAAGAATTGGCACTCTGGGAATAGGAACTAGAATAGTAACTGTCGAGAGGACTGTAGCTTCCCGAAGTCTGATGGAGAAGATACTCTGGCCTATCCTCATATGGAAAATAATGAACAATGCTGATATACAGAAAGCATTGATGAGTTTGGCAAAAAAAAAAAAAAAAAAAAAAAGTAAGTGACTGAAAACCAAGCAAAGGTGAGAGTGAAAGCCCAGAAAAATAAGCAGAATTCTAATGCCACCTTATATCTTAATAACATTTACTCTAAAAGTAAATTTGAATTTTTATTTTCACAGCCTTGCTGGGTGAAAAAAACAGGGCCTGGTCAAGGTGGGGAGGCCAATAGAAGAGCCCCCTCCATAAATCTAGAACCCTAATGGGTTATATCTTCCAGTTAATTAACTAGGAAATAGATTCACCCACTCCCTCCCTCAAGGGGAAGCAAGGAGTTTGCCTCTTTCAACCTTGAACCTGAGTAGAAGAAAAAAACCTCAAGTTGAATATTTAGTTAAAAGATGCCTATGACTGGTGGTTCCCCCAGATGCCTGGAAGAGGTAAGTACAAACCTTCCCAAGAGAAACTTACTCAACCTAGCATCAAATAATTTCTACAGATATGAGCTCACAGTCAAAAATCACGAAATAGGCCAGGCATGGTGGCTCATGCCTGTAATCCCAGCACTTTGGGAGGCCTAGACAGGAAGATCACTTGAGTCCAGGAGATCGAGACCAGCCTGGGCAACACAGGGAGACCTCAGCTCTACAAAAAATCAGAAAAATAAAAAAATTAGCCAGGTGTGATGGTGCGCACCTCCAGTCCCAGCTACATGGGAGGCTGGCACAGGAGAATTGCTTGAGCCCAGGAGGTTGAGGCTGCAGTGAGCCAAGATTACACGATTGTACTCCAGCCTGGGTGACAGAGTGAGACCTGTCTCAAAAAAAAAAAAAAAAAAAGTAATAATCATGTCTTATAGAGTTAAAAATTAGAACCAAAATATAAGACACCAATAGCACATGATCTAAGATTAGGGAAGGGGTTTGTTGATAGGATTTAAAGTATTCTGAACTATATACTATTTAGAGAGAAAAAATACTAATTAACTTCAGACTGATAAGTTAGAATTTTTAGAATAATAATAAAGAATAAAGTGTATCATTCCCAAGCTAGTAAGAATAAAATTACACAAGAAAAATAATGTTTATTCTAAAAAGAAGAAAGAAATGGGTGGATCCAATTCAGACAATCCAAGAGAAAAAAACAAAACAAAAAAAATTTTTGTGTGTGAGACAGGAAAATTTGAACACTCACTGCATATTTAATGATATTAAAGAACTGCTATTTTTAAAGATGTAATAATGGTAATGTAGTTTTGTTTCATGAAAGACTTCTTAAATATTACACACATACTGAAGAATTTATGAATAAGATAATATGATGGCTTGGTTTTGCTTAAAAACAATCCAGTGTTGGGTAATGGGGAAGGTATAGAGGATAGATAATATGAAATTTGTTGATCATTGCTGAAGTTGAGAGATATTTCTCCACTTTTGTTATGTGTGTCAATTACTTATAATGAAAAGTTAAAATAAGAAAATAAATATTGAAAAAATAAAAGAAGACAAGAAAAGAAAGATAAAGGAACAGAGAAGATAAGATAAATAGAAAGCTTTTAATAAAATGGTAAATGTAAGTGCAAATATTTTAGTGATCACAATTAATATAAATTAAGTTTCAGCTTTAAAAATCCACCTATATGCTACTTATAGGAAACACATTTAAAACATAAAAGTTTAAAAGTAAAAAGAATAGAAAATAATATTTCAGGCAAATACTAATCCAAGAAGCTGGTATACCTAAATTAATAGCAGACAAGGTAGACTCTAATGTAAGAAGCATTACTAGGAAGAAACAGAATCACTACACAATGATTAAAGTTTTAGTTCCCTGGGAAAATATAACAATTTTAAACATGTATATACCTAATAACATAGCCTCTAACATATAAAGCAAAAATATATGCAATTACAAGAAGAAATTTGCTTTTATGGTAGAAGAGTTTATTATAACTGTCCCAGTAATTAAAATATCAAGAATACTAAAAATAAAACCCAAAACTGTACAAATATAGAAGATTTGAATACTACAAAGTTGACTCAATATATATTTACAGAAAATTGTACCCAACAACTATAGGAGACATTATTTTCAATGACAACTGAGCCAAAACAAGTTTCAACAATGTTAAAGTATTGGTATTATACAGACCACACTGTCTGACAACAAGGCAGTTAAATGAGAAATTAATAGCAAAAAGATGATTTCCCAATGATTGAAAGGTTTTAAATGTGCTTATAAATAACGAATGCCTCAAATAAGCTAACGCATACGTTTATTATTTATTTATTTATTTATTTTGCGACAGAGTCTTGCTCTGTCGCCCAGGATGGAGTGCAATGGTGCAATCTCACTCACTGCAACCTCTGCCTCCCAGGTTCAAGCAATTCTCATGCCTCAGCCTCCTGAATAGCTGGGACTACAGGTGTGCGCCACCACACCTGGCTATTTTTTTTTTTTTTAATTTTTTAGTAGAGACGGGGCTTCACCATGTTGGTCAGGCTGGTCTCAAACTCTTGACCTCAAGTGATCTGCCTGCCTCGGCCTCCCAAAATGCTGGGATTATAGGCATGAGCCACCACACCTGGCCATAAAGCATACAATTTATAATAGAATTAATCATCTAAGCATATGATTTAAGATAGAAAAAGAATTGGATAATCCCAAAGAAAGCTAAAAGAAAGAGACTGATGAAATAAAAGGCAAAAATATAATAGAATCAACACAACCAAAAATCATTTATTTGCCAAAACTAATAAAATTGATAAATTTCTGGCAAGATTGATCAAGAAAAAGAGAAGACACAAGTAACAATGTCAGAAACAAAAAATGAGACATAAATACTGATGCTTCAAGACATTACAAAGATTTAAGAGGTTATTATAAACATTATACCAGTAAATTTGAAAATGTAGATGAAACAAATTACTAGATAAATGTGACTTTTCATAATAAACTCAAACTCAAGAGAACACAGAAAACTCAAATAGTCATAATCAATACAAAAATTGAATCAACAGTTTAAAAATCTTCCTACAAAGGAAACATCAGGCTCAGATGCTTTTAGCCACAAGTTCTACCAACATTCAAGAAATGGGCACGGTGGTTCATGCCTGCAATCCCAGCACTTTGAAAGGCCAAGGTGGAAGGATCGCTTGAGACCAGGAGTTTGAGACCAGCCTGGACAACATAGTGAGACTCTGTCTCTAAAAACAAACAAACAAAACAAAAAAAAAGAAAGAAGGAAAAGTAGTCTTAAATTATTTCAGAATAGAGAAACGTAGGTAAGACTCACCATCTCATTTTAATGAGGCTTGCATAACTTTGGTAGCAAAACCAGATAAGAACAGTAGCTGAAAAGAAGTTTGCAATCTCACTTATGAAATGTAGATATAAAAATCATGAACTACTAGCTACCTATGGAAAATGTAAGATGCCCACTTTTTTTTTTTTTTTTTTTTGCTACTCTTTCCACTGAGACATAGAGTCTAATTTATTTCCTCTTGAATCTGGGTTGGCCCTAGGAAAGTACTTAATAATAGAATATGGCAGAAGTGGCACTGAATGACTTCTAAGGCTAGTGAGCAGAAGCGTGTGGCTTTCATCTTAGTCTCAGAACACTCTGTCGAGGAGCCCTGAGCTGTCACGTAAGATATAAGACTGCCCTGAGAATGCCAGCTAGAGAGGCATCGTGAAAGCACTGCAGTGACAATCCCAGGCAATTCCAGTTTTTCTATCAATGGGCCAGAAATGTGAATGAGGCTCTCGAACCCGCCAGACCAGCCCATCTGCCAGCTTAATACCACCAAGTGACCTCAACGAGTCCATAGGGAATGGGAATATTCCTGAGCTGAATCCTGCCCAGATTCCTAACCTGCAAAATGGTAGGTATAATAAAGTGGATATTGTTTTATTTTTTATTTTTTTGAGACAGAGCCTTCTTCTGTCACCCAGGCTGGAGTGCGGTGGTGTGATCACGGCTCACTGCAACCTCTGCCCTCCCCCTACCACCTCCCCAGGCTCAAGCAATCCTCCTACCTCAGCCTCCCGAGTAGTTGGGACCACAGGCATGCACTACCATACCCAGCTACTTCTTTTACAGAGATGCCTCACCATGTTGCCCAGGCTGGTCTCAAACTCCTGGGCTCAAGGGATCTGCCTATTTTGGCCTCCCAAAGTGCTGGGATTACATGTGTGAGCCACTGTGCCCAGCCTGGATGTTTTTTAAATAACTAAGTTTTGAGGGTAATCTGTTATGCAGCAATAGACAACCAGAACACTCACGAACTCCAGCATTACATAAAATCATTATAGGCCAGGCACAGTGGCTCAGGCCTGTAATCCCAGCACTTTGGGAGGCAGAGCTGGGAGTTTGAGACCAGCCTGGGCAACATAGAGAGACCTTGTCACTACTAAAAATAAAAAAAGAGCCAGGTGTGGTTACATGAACCTGCAGTCCCAGCTACCTGAGAGGCTGAGTCAGGAGGGTTGCTTGAACTCAGGAGGTTGAGGCTGCAGTGAGCCATGATTGTGCCACTGCACTCCAGCCTAAGCAACAGAAAGACCCTGTCACAAAACAAACAAACAAGCAAATTTCAGGTGGGCTAAGGAGTTAATGTGAAAAACAAAACTATAAAACTTTTAAAAGACATTAGAGGAAACTATGTTTATGAATTTGTATGTAGAAGGGGAAGATTTCTGAAACCAGACACAATTATACAAACTATAAAGGGAAAGATTAAAGAATGGAACTGTTAAAATTAATAACTTCTGTTCAGCAAAAGCCACCATAACAAAAAAATAAGCCAAAATTGGGAGAATATATTTGCAATACACATAAGTGACTCAAGATTGGTATCCAAAACATATAAAGAACACCCACCTATTAATCTGTCAAGAAAAATAGGCAAAAGATTTGAATAGGTGTGTCACCATGGCCAATTTGCATGTGAAAAAACCCATCCTCGTTAACCAACAGGGAAATTCAAATAGAAACCACAGTGAGCTATCACTTCATGCCCACCAGGCTGGCAAATATTAAAGATGATATCAAGTGTTGGTAAGGATGTGAAATGAGTGGTAGATCTATACCCCACCTGTCAGAATGTAGACTGACCTAGCTACTTGGAAAACTGAAGATGTACAAATCGTATCATCCAGCAACTTTACTTCTACGGAAAGTCCTGAACAAGGAGCCGTGTCTAGAATGTACATAGCATAGCAAGGGAGTCTGGGAGAGTAAAAACCTGAAAACAACCTAAGTGTCCATCACAATCAATGTGTCCATCACAATCAATGTGTCCATCACAATCAATGTCTCCACACAACGGGACTCAAGGCAGCAGGAAACTGAACAACTCACAGCTGTGGCCAAATGATGCTTCTCAGGAGGCTGGTGTCCAGCAGAAAGAAGCACGTTGCAGAAGGCTATGTCCTGTATCATTCCATCATGTGAAGCCCAAAGATATGCAAACAGAAAGTTCTAGTTAGATGAAGAAAGGCGAGAGAATGGTGAATACACAACTCAGGATGATTAATTACTTTTAGTGTAGAGACAAGGGGACAAGGAACGGGGTGGAGGCCACACAGGAATCTCCAAAGTTAGGAGCAGTAGCCTTTTATGAAAGGAGGGTGTGGGGTGCATGAATGCTCCCAGGATCATTATTCTTTTATTCTATTCAATATTATTATTTAACACTGTTGGGGAGCCCCCACACCCGCCACCCACCCCAGGATTGGCTACTGGCATGGTCCAAGGTGCCACTACAGAACAGCTCTTCCCACTGTGACCAGAGCATTGAGTCAGACAGCCGCCAGGGCAACATGCTGCCGGATTCTTCAGTCACCTCCCAGGAGTAAGAAAAGACTTCTCTTTTCCTTTCCAAGCAGGTTTTCCACCTGAGCTACATCCAGGGAAATCTCTGACTCCATTGGATAAAGGGTGATGTATGTGTGAACTGTGCGTGTGGCCAGAGGAGGAGTGGAGAAGGACAACCAGAGGTGAAGAAAGAGTGCTGGTTAGGGCCAAAGACAAGCCGCGAAATAGGAGAGGTTATGGGAAAGCTCCTCACGGCACCCAAGGAACACGAGGATCAACGCTGAATGTACCAATTACCGCACATTGCGTCTACACTCAGGGCCTGATGAAACCAGTTTGATTCTGGCCAACAGCCAGGGGAAGAAACCCCACTGGGCCCACTTTCACAATGCCCTTGAGGATGGGCCTGGTAAATGGGTACCTTGGAAGGAAGAATAAAGGGTTCTGTCCATTCCTGCCAACTTCTTATCCATGCAAGGTCCTAGCATCAATTAAAAATGCCCCGTCCTGTTTGGCCTGTCTGCCAGGGGGCAGGGTGGAATACACTTGCCTCATCTAATACCAGGGATTGCTCTGCCTTCATTTCTCCTAAAGCAAAACTTGGCACTGGCCCCCAGCGTGGCAGAAAGACAAGCCCGTCCCTTCCAGGTCATTCATTCTTGGCCTCAGCTTGGGGCGGGAAGGTAGGAGACGCATGAAGCACCTCGGGAAAGTAGCCCACAGAGCTAGCTCACGGAGCTGGCCCAACTTCTCCAACCTCAGGGTTGGTATCAAAGGGCTGGGGGAACCACTGTGGCTCCAGTTTGCCTGACTTCAGAACTCCAGCGGTTGGGACTTTTTGGTTTTTATCCCATTCGTCTTTTTTTTAAGTTTCTAATCAGCAAGAATCAGCAAAGCAGCCTTTATGGTGCAATAATTCTGCATGTCTTGTTATAAATATCCCCAGGCAAAGTTAGGGTTATTTCATATGACTATCAAAGTAACACGCCCGCTTCGGTTGCAACAAGGAATCTGTGAGGACTAGCGAGCAGGAAGCTTACCAGCTGCATTGTAAGAGGCCTTTCTTTTAATAAAATGGGCACATATTTACCTATAAAAGAGAATGACCAGCTGGGCACATTCAGAGCCCATGTGACATAAAGATACAGAGAGAGAAATCACATTATTTTTGGAATTAAAAAAAAAAAAAGAAAAATTCGCCCATCCACCCACTTCCCAGGAACAGCCCTCAGTTGTGGGTTTTGGCGACATTGATGTTTACAATAAACTCCCAGAGCTCAAAGGCTCCAGGTCCAGTACCAGAGGCCTTGGATCTAAAGAAGATGCTGTGGTCTGGTTTTCTTAAATGGAGAATGAAGAGCCTCCTCCCCTTCCTCTGAACAAACCTCTGATGAAAGTTTGAAATTGTTAAATCCACGATGAAACGATACTCCTATGGTTCTGTTTTATTTACTGCATTCGATCTTGGTTATTTAGACCCTGATGAGGTTCAGCAGGGACACGAGTGAGCTCACAGAGGGGCAGGACAGAGGCAACAAACCCCCGCACTCTGTTCTTTCCTGTGCAAACTTGCTGCTCGGCCTCTTAAGATTTCCAAACTGCAGGCTCCCTACCAGGGAGGACGGCACAACTTTTTTTTTTTTCCCTCAAACTTCCCCAAAGCTGCAAGTTTGTTCTGGCTAAGAGAGAAATGTCTGTGAGGGGTCCGATTTGGTAAGAAGCTTATTTGTTCACTTATGTTTTTAGTTCACTAAGCACTTCACTTGCCCTGGCCTCTGTGAGGACATTTGCATATTGAATCATCCCAATTTGCATATACAGCAGGCACCTTTCCTCTTCGGACAGATCAGTCCGCTGAGGCTGGACAGGGGAGTAACTGCCCAACAGCACATGCTGCCCAGTCACTGGGGCCTTGGGAGGCTGCCCGCGCCTGTCCCTAATCTCTCCCGTCAGAACCCTTCCTGCTCCCCTTCCTCAGGACTCTCCACTATCCAGGTGGGGGAGAAACACGTGCGCCCGTTAGCTGTGACATGGACCCCACCTGGAGGCGGCTCCTCAGGCTCTTGGTCTATGGATATGGCAGCTGTGGGTCCTCCAGTCAAATCACAGATCTAGATTTTGAGTAGGGAAATATGAGCCCTGGCTATAGGGCCACAGGGACCCTCCCTCTGCCCTTTTTACCTCAAACCCTCTGCCTCTATCTGGAGCCCCAAGTTTTATATCCCCCAGGCGCTAATTAAAGGCCTCCCTTGGAGACCTTCCTGGAGGGCATTTCAGGGCAGCTCCCCCACTCCCATCCCACGCTGAGGTGGAGAATGAATGTATTTATCCTCCTGATCTCCATGACCACGTTTCTGAGCTGTGAGAAGATGTGGCCTGACACGTGGCCTGTGCGCCAGGGCGGAAACAGGAGAGGTGGGGTGGGGAGAGGGCGCAGGCAGCTGCTCCTCTGCCGGGTTCTGCCCTGCATCCGCCCCCTGCGTGGTGTCCAGGGACCAGGTGAAACCCAGACCTCCTCTTCCAGCCTGGACCGTGACTGCCACACCGGCAGCTCTGTGCAGGCCTGGGGAGAGAGAACTAATTTCCTTCGCACCCGAAGTGCACACCCAGTGAAGGCATAACCTCCTCGGGGCTCAACCAGGCACCCATGGCTATACTTGGAAGGGATTTCTTCTCTCAAATCCCTTCGTATAACAGACAGACCAGCCTAGTAGATAACAAACTAGTTCTAGCAAAATGACTAGGGAGCCAGTTGCTGGTTAATGGGCCTTTAGTTGGTGCAGGGCTATAAAACTTGGGGCTCCAGTTAGAGGCAGAGGGTTGGAGGTAAAACAAGTCTATTTGTCTTGATTGCAGAGCCGGAGGCTTCATCCCCCCGGACAATAGGATAATGAAAGGGGAGACACCGATCTTCCTCGAGTTTCTAGCTTGAGAGACAACAGGGAATCCCTTTGGGGAGTGATGGCTGGGATACCAGACTTCTTCTATCAACCTGCGTGAGGAGAAGGGTCTCAGCAGGTGAGGAGATGCAGGGAGCTCTCTGGTCAGAACTGCATGTGAGTAAGAAGGGCTTTCAGGAGGCCCATTGACAGATGCCTAGAAAGCTTGGGGCAGGAAGCATTTGAAAATGCTTAACCCGGGTTAACACTGAAACAGCACAAGCAAACCTGCTGCCTGTGGCTTCCACAAGGCCAGCTTAAAGGGCCTCCTGTGCTCAGTTTCCACCTGATCCCTCTGGGGAAGCCCAGAGGAACATGCCTGTGACTCAAAGGGTGGCCTGTGCTGCCACCAACTGTCAGGAGGACACTGCCAGGCTCTGCCAAGCTGCTTGGGGTCCCGCTGACTTCCAGACTTTCCGCTCCAGAGGAGCTAAAACAAGATGATAAAATCCCTAATTATGGTCTCTGTAGGCACTTCTACCCTTAGGCCCATGCTAGCTGCCAGGCAGCTAAGAGGCTCCCTGGGTGCTGAGTGCCCAGGGAGGAGGCCCTGCTGGATAAGACCTCTGATCCAGCCTGGGCCCACAACCCCTCCATCTCCAAACCTCTCACCAGTCATGAGTTTTCCCCCAAGCGAGGCTGCAGTCAAGGGGCACTTGTTGCCTGTTACCAAAAACACAAATCCCAAAAGTGGGACCTCAGTGGATACGTGTGAGGCTGTCTATAGATAACCCAGAGCTGTCCCTGCCCTCACCCACCCCCACCAACCCTACCAAGGAGGAGGAAAGGATGGTATTGGGGTGGAGGAGACCCCAGAATGGGGAGCAGCAAGGATTCTCTTCAAATACTGATTTGGTGGCAAGGCAGTGACCCCTCACTGGCTGTTCCCTCGGTGGTGGTACCTGGCAGGTAGGTGGGGCCACCCCGAGATGCTTTATCATTAGATCTGCGACCTCTGAAAGACCAAATCAGATGGACGAAGGTGGTTGTGTACGTGCACGAATGGGGGGCCAAGTGGAAACTACATGAAAGCCAGGACCACCCATACTTACATTCGAATAGGCACTATCCTTCAGGAGCACCTGAGTCAAGGGAGTTTGAGATACATGTTCTGTGCAAAACCACCAGCGGGGTCTGACAAGACAGTCTAGTTAACTCCTGTACTCCTTAGCTTAGCTCACAAAAGCTGTCACTCTGCACTCTGAACCAGACATGCCCCAGCTTTAGTTAAGCAATTCTCCAAATAAGACATGGCATGACACCTTCAGCCTTTGCCTAGAAAACCTTCCTGCTTAGCCTAAGTCACTCCTATTTATTCTCCAGGTCTCATGTAAAAAACACCCCAGTCCCTGTCTCTTCCAGAGTAGGCCCTCCTCCTGCATGGCCCACAGGACCTGGCACATGCCGTCACAGCACCCAGCATGCCCCATGTCATTATTTAGTGATAGATGTGTCTCCCTGATTTGGCTCATCTCTGTGGACCCATCACAGTGCTGGGGGTACAATGGACATGTGACAAAATAAGGGTATCACTAACTGTAAGCTATTCGATAAACACTCTTTTCGAGAAGACAAGGAAACAGAAAGGCAGAATGTGAAAGAAATAGGAGTTGAGACAAACAACAAATCTCCCACAGCTCTCGGGCCATACACTACCTGCACCGTCACCTGCTGTGTGTGCCTCACAAAGGCATTCTGATGTGAATCAAAATGGAAATTCAGAATACGAAAGATGTGTGAAGCTGGGCATAGTGGTGCACACTTGCAGTCCCAGCTTCTTGGAAGGCTGAAGTTGGGGGGATCACTTGAGCCTAGGAGTTCAAGACCAGCCTGGGCAACATAGCCAGATCCTGCATCTTAAAAAAAAAAGTGTGAGAATTTGCTTAGAAATGTTAGAGACAGGACAGACTTTAATAATCTCTCCTTTGAAAGTAAGACCAGATAGAGTGAACTGTGGGGTGTTAGCCCCTCTAACTGGAAGAATGGTGGTGTTTCTGTCTAGCAGACAATTCGGATTTCTTCCAACCCCTCATTGCACTAACCTCTTTAAATGCAGTTAATGTATGTAGTCAGCTAATTTGTCCATTGCTTTAGGTTCAGACCCAGTTCTTACATTTGTCTGGCTCAAAAACTGAGTGACATTGCCAGGGTGCATACGAAAATTTTTTTAAATACTACCAGTGTTCCTAGAAATTGTGCATAAATCAAAATGAATTCTAGTGCTGTGTCCTCAGGCAAACTACCTCATCTCTCTGGGCTTCAAGTCCTCATTCTGAAATCTGACTCTATGGCTAGAGTTCAATCCAGTTTTAAAATTCCTAAGCCTGGATTGGATCTGATCCTTAGGCAATGCAGTTTTAAGTAAATCTAATATACAGAAAAGTCCAGGTTTACTAAAAATCAATGAAGGGGTTTGGGAGTACAGCACTTCTCAAAGTTATAATGCCAGTCACCTAGGGATCTTGTTAAAATGCCGATTCTCACTGAGTGGCTCTGAGGTGGGGCCAGGGTTAGCATTTCTAATAAGCTCCCAGGTGATGCCTAGGCTGCTGGTCCGTGGACCATACTTTGAGTAACATGCCTGCTATGCTAAAACCTCAGATTATCTTGCTAAGGCCAGGATGACCAATTTCACCAAAAAGCAATAGTGGAAGAGAGGAGGGGATGGTCTATTCATTTGCTAGGGCTGCCATAACAAAGCACCACAGACTGGGTGGCTTAAACAACAGAAATTAATCTTCTCACTGTTCTGAAGGGCCAAAAATCCAAGATCAAGGTGTTGGCAGGGGGCAGTTGCTTCTGAGGACTGTGAGGCAAGACTGGTCCATCCAGGCCTTTCTCCTTGACTTGGAGATGGCCAACTTCTCCCTCTTTCTTCACATGAAGTAAGGACACACACACTCTATGTGTGTTTCTGTGTCCTTATCTCCTCCTCTTATAAGGACACCAGTCATTGGATTACGGCCCATCCTGATTCTGTCACTGTGACTTATCTCTTTAAAGGCCTTACCTCAGAATGCAGTCACCGTCTGAGGTGCTGGGGGTGAGGGCTTCAATGCATAAATTTGGGAAGGTCACAATTCAGCCCATCACAGATGGGGATCTTCCACCCATTGTCCTGCTCTTCTTTGAGATGGCTGCTAGACGGGTTAGCCACATGCTGCATAGTGCTTAGAACCAAGCAACTTGTTCTTCAGAGTTGCTCATAAACCCTGTGGACTCTGCAATAGTACCATCAGTTAGATACAGTCACAGCTGACTGTAGAGTGATATCAGTGCTAATTAATAGATTGATGTTGCAGGGCAGCAACATGCTTCATGGTTTTATTGCTGGCCCTGTCTTGCTCAACACATTTATGCACAAGTTGAATGAACACAGAAAGTACGCTTATGAAATTTGTGGATGACACAAGGTTGAGAGGGAAAACCAATTGTATAGTTGATTGAAGAACTTGAACTCAAATGTTCTCAGTAAGTGACAGAATCAAAATGATTGTGACCAGCTAAGAATAACAGGCCTAAACAAACAAAATGAAGTATAACCAGATATATTTAAACTTTCCTCTTTAGGTTGATCAAGGCAACTATCAGTTAGAAAGGCGCATCCCAAACTTCAGTGTGCATCACAATCCCCGGGGGATCTTGCTAGAAAGAAGCATCTCATTCAAAAGGTCTGGGGTGGGGGCTGGGCGTGGTGGCTCACGCCTGTAATTCCAACACTTTGGGAGGCCGAGGCAGGAGGATCACTTCATCTCACGAGTTTAAGACCAGCCTGGGAAACATGGTGAAACCCCATCTCTACAAAAAACCCAAAAATTAGCTGGATGTGGCCGGGCACAGTGACTCACACCTGTAATCCTAGCACTTTGGGAGGCTGAGGTGGGAGGATTGCCTGAGCTCAGGAGTTTGAGACCAGCCTTGGGAGCTTGGTAAAACCCCATCTCTACTAAAATACAAAAAATTAGCTGGGTGTGGTGGGTGGTGCCTGTAATCCCAGCTACTCAGGAGGCTGAGGCGGGAGAACTGCTTGAACCCAGGAGGCAGAGGTTGCAGTGAGCTGAGATTGCATCACTGCACTCTAGCCTGGACAACAGAGAGAGACTCTGTCTCAAAAATAAATAAATTTAAAAATAAAATAAAATACATTAGCAGGATATGGTGGCACATACCTGTGGTCCCAGCTACTCGGGAGGCCAAGACAGGGAGATCACTTGAGGTCAGGAGTCGAGACCAGCCTGGGCAACATGGCGAAACTCCATCTCTACTAAAAAAAAATATATATATATGTGTATATATATGTGTATATATATATGTGTATATATATGTGTATATATATATGTATATATATGTGTATATATATGCATATATATATGTATATATATGTGTGTGTGTGTGTATATATATATATATATATACACACACACACACACATACACACACATACACATATATATAAATTAGCCGGGTATGGTGGCACACGCTGGTAGTCCCAGCTACTCCAGAGTCTGAGGCAGGAGAATCGCCTGAACCCAGGAGGCAGAGGTTGCAGTGAACCGAGATTGCACTATTGCACTCCAGCCTGGGTGACAGAGCAAGACCCCATCTCAAAAAAAAAAAAAAGTCTGGGGTGAGGCTTGAATCCTACGTTTCTTGCAAGTTCCCAGTTGATACCAATGCTGCTGGTCCATGGGCCACACTGAATAGTGAGAGTGAAAAGCGCTAGGATGATTAATCACAGTCTTAACTTTGTACCTACAGAATTATGGAATTCTAAGTAGTAAATGGGCACACTGTCTTTCCTACTCCCCAAGCCCCACCTGCTGTGCTGCATTTAGTGTGGGAAGCCATATTTTAATGTGGCCTTTATGATATTAGAATACAACCAAGAAAACAATACAAATACAGAGAAATCTAGAATTTCCACTGTGAGAACTGAAAGAGCTGGGATCCATCAGCCTGGAGAAGGGAATAATAAGTGTAGGAAAGAAAATGGGTAGCTTTCCTTAGATTTTTAAAATACCATTAGGTGGGAGAGAGTAGCCCTAAGCATTTAAAGAAAATCTCAGTGTAGGGTGTAGGGATCAAGAGTCCAGGCTCTGAGGTTAGACAGATCTATGTTCAAATCTTAACACCACTTTCTCTGTGACTTCCAGTAAATTACCTAGTCGCTTGACACAGCAGTGTCTTTATCATATAATAAAAATATTAAGAGTAGTAGCCATCTGCATCAGTTAATTCGGCTGTTAACTGCTATCACAGAAATATTGTGTTAGTGGCTTACACATCAGAGCCTTATTTCTCACTTGTGTGTAGTCCAAAATGGGTGTTCTGGATTAGCAGGCAGTTTTGCACTAAACGAAGATTCAGTGACGTAGGGCTCCTTCCATCTGGTGGCTCTGCCATTTTCATCACCAACCTTCCAAGGTCACCATGAAAGGGAAAGAGCATGCAAGATCATGTGTGGAGCCCAGGCGCAGTGGCTCACGCCTGTAATCCCAGCACTTTGGGAGGCTGAGGGGGTAAGATCGCTTGGGCTTAGAGTTTGAGACCAGCCTGGGCAACATAGCGAAACCTCGTCTCTACTAAAAATACAAAAATTAGCTGGACATGGTGCTATGTGTCTGTAGTCTCAGTGACTCGGGAGCCTGAGGTGGGAGAATCACTTGAGCCTGGGAAGTCAAGGCTGCAGTGAGCCAAGATCGTGTCACTGTATTCCAGCCTGAGTGAGAGAGCAAGACCCTGTCTCAAATACATAAATAAAAAGCTCATGCATGGCAGGTTATCATGAGCCATATCTGAAAGTGTCACACATCCCTTCTGCCTACATCTCATTCGCTGGACCTCAGGCACCAGGCCACATTTAACTATGAGGAGGCTTAAAAATGTGGTCTAGCTGCACAGCCAAGGGAAAACGAGTTCAGTGAACCGCTAGCCCCTCTCTGCCACTCTCTATCAGAAGGCTGTTGTGAGGATTAAGTTAGATAATGCAGGTAAGATGCTTAGTTTGACATAGTATCTGATACATAGGGATCAGTAAATTGCTAGTTATGTGCTTTTGGAAGAAAAAAGTAAGTCCCAAATATTAAATTGTAGGAAGGCAGATTTCAAAATCAAACCAAGACAGAACATAAAGAGTAACAGGACAGTTCAATTGTGAATTCTAGGATAAGGTAGAACTATTCAAGTAGAAGGCTTGTTTCAGGGATGCTGAAGGGAATTCCTTTAGTAGATGGAACGCTGAGCTGGGTAACCTTTAGATATGCTGAGGAATATCAAGAACCTTGGGCTTCACACATGTGGCTTGATTCTAAGTGGATTTATGCTTAAATGTGGTAGACTAGACCACATCAGCATCGTCATTCTTTGTAACCTAGTCTGCATCTTAATAATCAATATCACTCAGTAAACTTGAAATAGACTTAAGCAGATAGAGGTTACAAAACCCTATCTTTTGCTTGGTTTGACATCTTTCTCTCCTTATCTCCATGCCTACCTCTGCATCTTTCCAAAAGATGAATTAAAACTTCATCTTGGGAACCTCAGATCTGAGTACTCCCTAGAGATAACCGAAGAGACTGATCATGAAAGAAATGTGAGAATCTGGTAGCTGATTGTTCCTATGTTAACATCTTAGGCCAAGCCTGCTGTTTTTGGATCTTTCCATACTGCATCAGATAGATTTTTCTGCAAGATTCTCCCTAGAGTATGTGGAAACTTCTAAGGGCCTTTTCCCCAAACCCCTGCCAACTATTGGTTTAGTTATTCAATACATTCATACATAGTAGAGAGAGGATGGCTTTTTAAAATTACAGTAGGCAAAACACATATTCTTTTAAAAATTAGTTAAGATCTGTTTAATATTCTAGGCACAAAAGAAATCTGATAAAAATCTGCACTGCCTGTAGTGGTCTTCAATTTACAACTTGCCACCAACTCCCAGCTCCAGAGGCTAATGCCCAATGGTGGCATCTGCAGTTAAGTCAATAAAGCTACTCTTGATATTTCTCTAATTTCCAAGTCTCCTCAGTGATGCATCTCTCCCCAGTCATTCTGAGTTTTGCTCCCTCCTTTCCTTCTCCAATAACACAGGTCTCCACCTGAAAGCAAGCCTGCCAGTGTCAGATAAATTAACTTGTTTGGTTTAGTGGTACCAGACCCCTAGCTGCTTTTGGAAGCAGACAGAGAACAGTAACTGATATTTTCCAAATATTAGCATGTTCTCATTTTAGGAGAACTAGAGTCTCCTGAAGTTCTTGGAGATAGAACCTTGGTATATTTATATTTAAAATGTTCTAATACTTGGTATCTGTTAGAATCAACACTTCCACATGAAATAAATTTATGATTTGCTCATGGTGTGGAGAATTTCCTTAAGAACTGTTAACATGTAAATAGCATGCGAAATCTCAAGTCTTCTGAATACATTCACTTGACTATACGGTACTACTCTAAACACCAGGACGACACTGTGTTAACCACACCAAAGACATTTCTCAGGACAGTCACCTACTAGGAACTTCCCAACCTTGCCTGAAGTGGAAGAGAAGTGAAAAAAGGTGAAAACCACTCTCTTGACAGACCTCAAGATTCTGTTTCCAGTGTAATGAGACACAAAATCAACTCCTACAAATCTTAGCCATAAGATTTTCGCTATTATTAAAGCCAAGGATAGAAAGTAGAAGAGCTATCGGGAATATAAAGTCATAAGGCATATGCTCCTTTGGTGGGGTGAACAGTATCCTCCCAAAATTCACATTGACCCGGAACTTCAAAAGGGGACCTTATTTGGAAACAGTGTCTTCGCAAATGTAACTAGTTAAATGTGAAGATGAGATTATACACTTGTGTGTAGTCCAAGTGACAGCCCTCAGGGAGGAGGGCCCTCCAACTGGTGTTTTTATAAGAGGAGGAGAGGACACAGAAAGACACAGAGAAGACTATGTGAACACAGACGCAGACATTGGCATTTTGTTCCCACAACCAGCAGCTTCCAGAGGCTGGAAGAGGCAAGGAAGGATTCTCCCCTAGAGCTTTAGAGTGAGGGCGGCCCTGCCGACCTTGGATTTGGGCTTCTAGCCTCCAGAACTGTGAGAATAAATTTCTGTTGCCTTAAGTCACCCAGTTTGTGTCATTTGTTACAGCAGCCCTAGAAAACGGATGCAGCCAATATAGGTCAATGGCAATGCTTGTATCCTTAATTGGGTCTGGTCCAGCAGCACACACACACTTTTTGATAATGGCAGAAAGTACAGAAGACACAAAGCACTATTTGTTCAATTTTCTTCCTTCCCTTAGCATTAAAGGCTACCAGTATCACTTTTATAAGAATTAAGATTGCAGAGAAGTACCCAGTGAGATTAAACTATTGAGAGTTGAAAGTTTAAAGGACCTGTGGAGACCCCCAGCACAACTTCCCACTTGTATTTAGGGAATTGGAGGCCTCAGCCATAAGATGTCGTCAAGAAGCCAACCATCAAGTCCTGACCTTTCCTTCATTCTCAGGCAAAGCCTCCATTAATATCACAAATATGAAAAGTCATCAGTCCTATAGCCTAAACCTCAAAAGTTACATTTCTATACTAGCTTTGAATCTAAATAATTTGCATAGAGTTATGGCAATTTTTCTTCCACAATACCTTAACATGTAGAGAACGCTGCAAGCAATGACGAGACTAAATGGGTACTTTCATTTCACCCATGACGACAGCAAATTGAAACACCTTAAACAAATCCATATGCTGTTTGAGGAAATGAGAAACATGGCCTCAACATCACTTTGAGGGACAGAATTAAAAAGCGATGCTTCATTCTCCTAGTTGTTTTTCTTCTCATTTCCCCCAGCATTTCCAAAAGTACATCAGTAAGACACAATGCTGGCTCAACAGTGTGATCTAAAACATCCACAGAGTTAGCACAGGAAAAAAAGGCTAGAAAGAAATGCATCAAAATATTAACAGTGCCACGTGTGTTTTCATTTTCCTTATATTTTTATTTTCCAAATTTTCTGCAATGAGAATATATCACTCATAATCAAGGAAAAATCTTTGAGGAAGATGAAAGGTTTACAGGCAACCCTCTAACTCCTTTTCTAAAATTTCTTAGAAAGAGAACCTGTGAACAATTTACCTAGACAACAAAGGTGGGGGACTTTACTGTATCTTCTTTTGTACCTTTTGAATTTGGACAGTGTATATACATTAATTGTCCCCATCTTACATTTCCAAAATTTGCCTTTTCTCCCCTATATGACCATCATAACTAGTCAAAGTAAATATTTTCTTTACTAAACATATTTTCTCTTTTTGGGTCTCTCAATCTTTTGCCTTAGAAGGCCCTAGAATACAAGACTTAAGAGTATTTTGGGTATCAGGCATCCCATCAGGGATCACTCCGAGGAATCTCAGATTTAGATCATCCCTATTCTGATCTATTCATTAATTTTTAATCAGAAATATAAATCTTACAGAAAAGAGGTTGGAGCGATCCTAAATTCAGGTTGGTTTCCAGGATACTAGTGGTTCATGGTGGGAGGATGCTGTCAGAGAAACTTTATAATTACAACTGGAATACTCAATCCTTCCCTTAAATGACTTTTCTTCTTTCCCTCTCTGCACCTCCTCATCTTAGGAAATCTCTACTCCCCTTACGATGCATGCCTCTTTGGTAAAGAAACACTGTGATCTACAAAATAGTAAGAGAACTTGTGACTAAACCCCTTGAGGAAACATTCATGTGTTGTTTTCCCAAAGATTACAGCAAGATTCTACCAAGACTCCTGACCTGGAACACAGTATAAATTGAATTAAGAATAACAGGGTTTTGAAAATGGCAAAGGACAGATCAGTATGCTGTCATATGCAAATAAGGGCGAATATATAACTATGGACTTATATATATATTGACTATGCTGGAAAGATGTATGAAATTGGCAAAAGTGGGTGAATCTAGGGAGGGGAGCAGGGGACCTGGGAAGGTCTGAGTAAGATAGTTATTTTGCTATGCTTTTTTATACTGTTTGAATGTTCACCATGTATCTATAGCGTTTTCAAGTAATGACATGGTTTCTTCACTGCTTCCAATTCCACAGGAAACTTATTAGGCAAAGCCACCGACATAACAATTATTCTGTCAAATGGCTCCACTGTATTATCGTACCTTTCTCCTTCTAGCCTCCCCATTACCCAATCCTCAATGCAATATATAACAATCTCACATGATCTTAGACTATCTATAAATAAGACACTAAGGTGCATGCATTCGGCCAGTGACTTTCATCAGTATAATATGGTACTGGAGGCCAGGCATGGTGGCTCACGCCTGTAATCCCAGCACTTTGGGAGGCCAAGGCGGGAGGATCACCTGAGGTCAGGAGTTCAAGACCAGCCTGGCCAACATGGAGAAACCCCATCTCTACTAAAAATACAAAAATTAGCTGGGTATGGTGGTCCATACCTGTAAACCCAGCTACTCGGGAGGCTGAGGCAGGAGAATCGCTTGAACTTGGGAGGTGGAAGTTGCAGTGAGGCAAGATGGTGCCACTGCACTCCAGCCTGGGCAACAGAGTGAGACTCTGTCTCAAAAAAAAAAAAAAAAAAAAGGTACTAGAGACAGACAGGAAGTAGAACTACGCCATTCAAAATCTGTAAAACAATAATAACCAACATACATAGCCATGTGCCACATAATATTGTATTTTCATAGTACCTTGTCTATGTTTAGGTATGTTTAGAAACACAAATAGCATTGTATTACAATTGCTGTATTCAGTACAGTAACAGGCTGTACAGGTTTGTAACCTAGGAGAAATAGGCTACACCATATATAGCCTAGGTGTGTAGTAGGCTACACCATCCAGGTTTAAGTATACTCTATGATATTTGCATGACAAAACTGCCTGATGCTTTCTTAGAACATATGCCCATGGTCTCTGTCATTAAGTGATGCAGGACTGTATACTGTTCACTACATGTTCTAGCACTGCTCACATATAAAGCACTTAGAACAGTGCTTTACATATGACAATGCATTGAAGTCCCCCAACCACCTCACAGGTGGTTCCTATTATATATACATAAGAAAACAAAGGCACAGCAAAGTTAAATAATTTGCCAAGGTCACACGCTGGAAAGAGGCAGGACTAAGATGGGAAGCCAGGGTGTGCTCTCACCCATAGCAATACTGCTTTAGTACCACCCATGGTAAAAGAACTTGGAGAGATGGCAACCTAACATTATTTTAAGAGTTGCCATTAAAATTGCTCTCATTGTGGTTTACCAACAAAGCCAAAAGTCTTTAGATGAGTTCCTCGGGAATATTTTCTTCCTACAAATATTCAACGTGGCAAGGTCTACATAGGCTGTGATGCTTCTACTTTATATATCTGTATTATTTTCTATAACTATATACAGTGTATAGTAATATACTCTATTACTTTATATTTCTATATCTCACCTAACCAGCCAGTGTTCAGCTGTATGATGATCAACACTTTCGGTTTCTTGTTTGGTACAGCACAGTCTCTCAATTGTTTACTGGAAGAAAAATAACAAAAATATCTACTGAAGACCAACTTCCAACTGGTGAAACAATTTTGGCAAAAAAGCAAATGCACCAATGTGATACAGCTGAAATGCATATGAAAATACTAAGCAGTATTAAAAAGTCAGAAAAAGATGCTGATATCAGCTATAAATCATGTCCACATGTAAAAAAATAGTTCAGAGAGTCATATGAAAGTGTTTAAAAAGATATAAATGTTAACAACAAAATAAAAACCGACTACTAGGTCGTGTATAAACATGTGACACATTATAGTTTTATCTCTGCACAATCACTGAGTCTTGCTGAGGAAAGTTTTATAAACAGTTGGTTGACAGTACAACTAGGCAAACAGATAAAGTCCAACTTAATCAGCTTGAGAACTTGGTTCCATATTTTTCTAAAGAATATGCCTTAACACTACTTGTGTTCTCTGCTGTAACCACGACTAACTAATATAAACATTCTTAATTCTAAATAAAGTTTTTCCAAAATTCTTACAAAATTTACCTCAAATGCAGGTCTTAAGAAATATTAAACTTTACTTTTTTATTTTAAAGAGAAGAATCAAAGATGTTCAGCAGGAGACCATTTAAAAGATCGTTCAGTCATATTTAAAGTAAATGGGGGCTGGGCACGGTGGCTCACGCCTGTAATCCCAGCACTTTGGGAGGCAAAGGTGGGTGGATCACTTGGGGTCAGGAGTTCGAGGCCAGCCTGACCAATGTGGTGAAACCCCGCCTCTACTAAAAATATAAAATTAGACGGGTGTGGTGACACAACCCTGTAATCCCAGCTACTTGGGAGGCTGAGGCAGGAGAATCGCTTGAACCCAGGAGGCAGAGGTTGCAGTGAGCCAAAATCGCACCACTGCACTCTAGCCTGGGCAACAGAGCAAGACTCCGTCTCAAAAAAAAAAAAAAAAAAAAAAAAAAAAAAAAAAAAAAAAAAAAAAAAAAAAAAAGAAAGAAAAAAAAGTAAATGGGTTTGGGCATGGTGGTTACACCTGTAATCTTAGCACTTTGGGAGGCTGAGGCAGGAGAATCACTTGAGCCCAGGAGTTCAATACCAGCCTGTGCAACACAGCAATGACCCATCTCTACAAAAAATTACAAAATTAGCTGGGCAAGGTGGTACTCATCAGTAGTTCCACCTACTTGGGAGGCTGAGGTGGGAGGACCGCCTGAGCCCAAGAGTTCAAGGTTACAGTGAGCCATCATCACACAACTGCACTCCAGCTTTGGGTGACAGAGTGAGACCCTGGATCTAAAGAGTAAGACCCTATATCTAAAATATAGAAACAAATCAAAGTAAATAGATGAAATGGGTAGTTTTTTTAATGTAAAATACACCTCAGTAGAGTTTCTTTAAAAAAGTAAACAGATGGAGAATTTCTGGTACTTTTTAACTGTTCATCACCCAAGATAAATATATGTATATGTGTGTATATAAACATACACACACACACACACACACAATTTTTTTTGAGATGGAGTCTCACTCTTGTCACCCAGGCTGGAGTGCAATGGCATGATCTCGGCTCACTGCAACCTCGGCCTCCCGAGTTCAAATGATTCTCCTGCCTCAGCCTCCCAAGTAGATGGGATTACAGGTGCCTGACACCCCACCTGGCTAATTTTTATATTTTTAGTAGAGACGGGGTTTTGCCATGTTGACCAGGTTAGTTTTGAACTGCTGACTTCGTGATCCACCCACCTCAGCCTACCAAAGTGGTGGGATTACAGGTGTGAGCCACCGTGCCAGGCCACATTTTGTTTTGAGATGGGGTCTTGCTCTGTCGTCCAGGCTGGAGTGCAGTGGTGTGATCATAGCTCACTGCAGCTTCAATCTCCTGGGCTCAAGCAATTCTCCTGCCTCACCCTCCTGAGTTGCTGGGACTACAGGTGCACATCACCACACCCAGCTAATTCTTTCATTTTTTGTAGAGGTGGGCCTTGCTATGTTGCCCAGGTTGTCTCAACCTGGCCTCAAGCAATCCTCCCACCTCGGCCTCCCTAAGTGCTGGGGATTACAGGTGTGAGGCCCAGCTGCAAAATAAATATTGAAGGCAGAGGGTCATGAACTCCAATGCCTAAATGAATCAGGCAAGGGAAGGTAAACTTATGCCTGTGTATCTCAAGTAGACAGCTGCTGGTTAGCTCTGGTGGATTGTTGCCATACAAAAGGATATAGCTAGGGATTCCAGATCTTCTAATTTCTCAAAAGAAATGGAAATATAGATTCTCATGAATTAAAACATTGGCAATACCGTGTGAGTCAAGGAGAATGCATTTGTAGATCAAATCTACTCCAAGCCCACCATTTTGCAAGCTGCACAGAAGAATACCTTGGATACATTATTTTTTCTTTCTTGTGTAAGATATATTTCACAAGACAAAGTTTAAAAATGAATATTAAAAATAAATTTTGAAAAATACCTCAGTTAAAAAACCCTGATAGGCAAGAAAAGCTTTTGTAATGAGTATGCCTAGCTTTCTTTGTGAATCAAATAGCATGCAAATTTACAACTATTTCAAAGAAAGTGATACAACAACTTGGATCTGAAGTGACTTTCTGGAACCAAAATGCCCATACTCCAAAGTAATTCACAATCCGAGCTAGGAAAAATTCACAGCCCAGCAATTTGAGCACATCAGGGGCTAACTACTAAGGACAATGGTTTTCAAAGTCAGTGAATGAGCAAAGTTATTCTTATAATAAAATAATTATTTTAATGAAGTATTTGGAATAATTTTAAACATCTGATCAGTAAGATTATACACAAATGAGTATGCTGCACTTTACAAAAAATAAAGGTAAGCATTTAAATATACAAAAACAACTTTGGATAAAGATCTCTTCTTAAAGTACTCCTTTAACATACACATAATTTATAGCATTTTACATAACTTGCTGAAACAAAAAAAAATGTGGCCAATTTAAAATTTACTATACTGTAGAATATGGCCATAACAGTCCCAATGGGAAGAACAGGATGAAGAATAACATACGTGAGGTGTTTTTTTTTTTTTCCTTCAATTCTTATAAGTATAGCATTTCCCATTTTTGAAATACCTTCTTGGAGGATTCAATCATTTTTTTTCTGTATGTGATTCTAACTACAGTGATTATTTTTCACCGGCTGTATTCCACACACGTGGAATTTTCTTTTTTTTTTTTTTAAAGAGGGTTTGCTTTGTCCGTCAGCTTCTTCCTCAGGTGAACACATATAACTTGCTTCTCATATTTAGAGCTCATATCCCCAAGAGTGAGATATTGACAGTACCTTTTAAGTACAGAATCCAACATAAAGTCCTATTGTTAAAAATTTCTCATCATCAATTAGGATTTTTTAAATGTGCCAACATGCTTAAAAATTAGGATAACTAAAATATATTATGACAGAAGGAACTATAAAAACTATCCTTGGGATTTAAAACAATACAAAACAAAAAATAACATTTTCCTTTTGAAATACTCTAATTTGAAAACATCTGGTACATTCTCCTTTCTGGTTGTGCTGTGATTTTTTTTGCCCATCAACAAAACATGTACCAGTTGTTTTGGAGTTCCGATTCCACCTCTTCCCCTCTTGGGCATATGAAGCACATTTCCTGTTTTATGATACCATTTTCACATTCCCCTCATCAGTTTGAAAGCAACGCCCTAACGTTCCTTCTAATACTTTGCACCTTTTCCATTTTTTCAACAAGATATATCAGTAGATTCAATTTTAAGGTTTCCCTGACAAGCATGTCCCCTCACTTGGTACCAGAAACGGCATATGGTGATATGAAGCAGAGAATTAGCAACCCCAGGCACAATCTATCCCCATTTGTCTTGTTTTGACAACACTGGAACTCAGCCGACCAAAGTCACCACAGTGGCCTGTCACGTACAGAGGGTGACTGTCATAGTTAGCTAAGCAACTTCTGATTCCAGCCCAGAAAACCTACCACTTTGGGACAGGTTCAATATAGAATGAAATAGTCATTCTTGTATTTTCTTATGCCTCTTCCTTTCTCCTGCATCTCAATGCATGCTGTATTAGGGAAGGACACCTCACCTGCTACAATTTGGCAAATGAGGCAGGTAGTAACAAATAGGGCCTTAACTTGCTTTAATTTAATGCACAGATAGGCAGATGCCTAATTCTGTGCAAAGTGTATTTCATAACTGATTTTCAGAAGACAAAGATGAATCTGAGTCTGTAAGAGTCCCATGAGATGGATAGGTAAGAGTTAATAAAGTTTCTAACTGTAAACAATGCTCTTTCATGTTGGTGATTATTTTCCAGAAATTGAAATTTCAGGACAGTGCAACAATGCTTTGTGTCTTCTTTGGCAGTAAATAGCAAGGATCTGGATGGAAGAGTGGAGTGGTCACTTCAGAAGGGCCAGGTATAGAGCTCGAGAATACTTCATCTCCCGTTCCTGTTCCATACAAAATATCAAGTCCCTGAGGCAGATTCTCGTGATTCTTGGACGATGCAACTGTTTGGTGGCTGTCAGGCTGGATGTCCCAGAAGCAAGAAGGTTGTCTTTTAAGCCCTAAAAATAATAAAAGGAAAAGCAATTTGAAATAAAAATCTTTCATAAAGGGAAAGCCTGTCAATTCTAGCATGTCAGAGCCCACTACCCTCTGGTCACTGGGTTAGGTACTGGAGATAATGTAATGATGAAGACCTAACCCTGTCCTCCAGCAGCCAATCTCAAATGGCCATTAAACCTATCACCTGACCTCATTCATTCTTTCCTGCTCACCTGCAGCATGGCAATAGCCTCTGAACTGGTTTCTCCATTTCCAGGCTCTACTTTGCTCCATTCTTTCCAGTGCATTGCAGGCCAGACTTTCCCTCTTTAAAGGTCTTACACAAATCTTTTGAGAGTGAAAGACTTGTTTATCACTTTGATTGTGGTGATGATTTCAAAGCTGTATGCATACATAAAAATCTATCAAATGTAGACTTTAAATGTATGCAGTCTTTTGTATGTCAATAATAAAAAATAACAATGAAGGCCTTTCACGGTTCAGATCCCACCAGGCCATGGTTCCAAAATCTTCAATGGTTCCCATTGCTCAGAGCAGGTTCTTGAGAACCACGCTGAGCACTTTTCATATATTATCTCTTTTCTATCATACAAAATTGCAGCCAGTTATATAAGCGCTGTCCCCATTTATCAAATGAGGAAACTGAGCTTAGATAGGTTAAGCAATCTGTTCAAGGTCACACAGCAAAGTTGAGCTGTGACTCAGTTTCTAATTTGACCTAAAGTAAGCTCTGGTTGGGCACAGTAGCTCACGTCTGTAATCCCAGCACTTTGGGAGGCCGAGGTGGGTGGATCACCTGAGGTCAGGAGTTTGAGACCAGCCTGGCCAACATGGTGAAACCCCGTCTCTACTAAAAATAAAAAAATTAGCTGGGTGTGGTGGCGCATGCCTGTAATCCCAGCTACCAGGGAGGCTAAGGCAGGAGAATTGAACCCAGGAGGCGGAGGTTGCAGTGAGCTGAGATCGCGCCACTGCATTCCTGCCTGGGCAACAGAGCAAGACTCTGTCTCAAAAAAATGAAAATAATAAAAATAAAAATAAAAATAAAGTAAGCACTCTTAACCACTGTGCTATATTATCCACCATATCACGTATAAACCCATCACTCTGGCTTCCTTCGCTCTAACCTCACTTCCCATTGCTCCTTTACAAGACATCTTAACTGCAGCCACATGGCTCCTCTGCCAATAGGCAGAGATTAGCAAAGAGGCCATTCTAGGCCAATCTACTCATCTTTTAAGACCCATTTCAAATGGGTCTACCTGTCCTTCATCCAAGGAAATCTCACTGTGGCAATTACCTTACGTTGTACTATAGTAATTTGTATATGCTCCCGCCACCACTACATACCCACTAGACCATAAGCTTTCTGAGGACAAGGACTATGGTTTCTGTCTCCTCTAGAGCTTAGCAGAGTTCACAGAACAACACAGGTTATCCGCAATATTTTCTAAACTGAATGTACTGGTTTAAAACAGAACAACATGAATTCTAAATGTCATTTTAAAATGATGAAAACACAACACTCCTGTAATTAAGACAGTTTTCTGAATATGTTTACCAATATGAATTACCAATATGTCTATATACTATTACTTTTAATTGGAAGAAAAGAAAAACACAGAACTCTCAAAAGATAATTTTGTAAAAATGAAATCCTTTAATTCTTTTTACCTTTGTTTCAAAACAAAATCCTTTGTTTCACAAAACGTCTCGATAGGACTGGCAACTCTCTTTTATCCACCCGAAAGACATACATAAGGAAAGATAACATAGGAAGAAAATCTGGTTCTGTTACTGTCCTTTTATAACAATTAAATTTTAATTACTCCTTCCACCTTTTTGGGTTTCTTGTTCTGATGGAGGGGAAGGAAATCTCTTAAGGTCTCCAAAACACCATGGTCAAAATCAGTCAAACTTAATTCCATGCATGTTCACAGCATGACTTAGGGGTACTTTATCTGACGGACAAATAAAACTTCTTTAAGAGATACTACCCAGTTTTTGAGGGACATGATGTCGCAGTCATATTTTTATACTCATTAAGTTAAACTTGTTCATAAGTATCCATGGAAACAATTTTGGAAAGTCCACGTTCTAAAAGAGGGAAAAAAATTGGTCTCAGCTGCCCAATTGTTCGGCTACTTATCCCAGAGCCCATCTACAGTATAGAGCCAGTCTCTCGCCACTTCTGCAGGGTTCTTGGTAATGAATGCAATTTGTACAAGTGTAAGCCTCTGGTACTTCAGCTAAGCCTGGCAGTGAAGCACTAGCATGCCACTCTGCTAGCATCAACACTCAGAGATGGTGTAACTCAGATGTAACTTTAACTATTGTAAATTATTACCATCAAAATATCTTCATAAGATTTTTGCGGAATGGGACCAAAAGCTCAGTTTTGTTTGGAAAATTGAATAAAAAGTACATATTAGGAAGAAAGTTACTAAAACATGTAATTGGCAGTGAGTGGAAATTTTGTTGTTTACAGGAGTAACCCATTTAAAACTACAACATATTTAGGCCAAGGCAAGCAAATCGCTTGAGGTCAGGAGTTCGAGACCAGCCTGGCTAACATGGTGAAACCCCACCTCTAACAAAAAATAAATAAAAATGAGCCAGGCATGGTGGTGTGCGTCTGTAAGCTCACTTACTCGGGAGACTGAGGTGGAAGAACTGCTTGAACTTGGGAGGCAGAGGTTGAAGTGAGCCAAGATCATGCCACTGCACTCCAGCCTGGGTGACAGAGTGAGACTCTGTCTTAAAAAACAAAAAACAACTACAATACATTTAACTAGAGGCAATTTCTTTAGCCATAAATTAGATACATTATGCTAAAACTGTATCTATATGTTTATAAATCTTCTAAGAGTTTTCCTAAAATCAGTACTTTGGTGTTTTATATGAGATTTTAAAATAACTGGCTAGACAGACACAATGTCTTGGCAATTCCACATCTATGTAAACACCCAGAAATATGCCATGGGTTCATCAAAAGATATGTATAAGGATGACTACTATTCACAAGAGCCCTAAGCTAGAAACAATCCGAGTGAGTACATTAAGAGTACAATAAATTGTGGAATAGTCATACCATGGAATAATACACAGCAATAACGACTGGGTAACATGAAAGAGTATCACAAAAATGTTCAATGAAAGGAACCAGACACAAAGGAATTCATACTGTATGATTCAATTTCTACCAAGTCCCAGAACAGGCAAAGCTAAAAAAAAGTCAGGAGAGTGAGTTCCCATGGGGGAGATGAGAAGTGATTAGAAAGAGACTGAAGTTTTCTGGAGTTCTGGTGATGTTTCCTTCTTGATCTAACTACTGCCTACATGAATGTGTTCATGCTGTGAAAACTGTGGTGAGCTTATGACTTGTGTACTTTCTATATTGATGCTATATTTCAATAAAAAAAATTAAATTGCTACCCCAAAAACCTTGCCTCAGGAGGAAATTAACATGGAAGCAAAGAGAGGGGGGAAAGGAAAGACAATAAGGCAAAATTGTCAAACAGAAAAAAAAAATAAAGAGACCTAATCATCTGAGTAAGGAACAAAGGGGTCACAGTTCATGTTTGTCATGTGACAAGCCTGAAGGATTCAGGGGAAAGAGCCATATTACAGCTGCCAGCACAGAGTTGAAAAGAAGGTCATTCCAACAGGATGCAGCAGAGAGCCTGAGGCAATGTTATAAATGAAAAAAACCCCAAGGGACATTCAGTAACCCAACAGAAATGTCTTTCATAATTCACAACTTTATGAAGGTGATAGCATTCTCTTCCCCCAAATAGCAGCTAACTTAGAAAGTCAATCTTTCTTGAATCTGAATACAAAATATATAGCATTTTTATTCCTGAGCTTTGATTTGGCAAAGTCCACAACTGTAACTTGTCAATCACAATGACCTGGCCAGAATAACCAGCTACTCTCAGTTATCCACAGTCAAGGGGGTAGAGAGTGCACAGGTAACTTACAGCCATAAAAACCAAACCTGCTTTTTCACCATCAGTTTTAATTTTCCTCTGCCTCACCAAGTCCTTTCCCCAGAGTTGACTAGGACTGATTTCTGGTCACATTAGAAATCACAAAGAATACTAATGTGGTTAAGGGCCCAGAGTTTGCAAGAAGAAGAAGAAGAAGAAGAAAAAAAAAAAAAAACGCTGTTTATTCTTCTCACTGTTAGTGTACTGTTCACTTCGGAAATAGAAGGTTTTCCCATGTAACTTTCTACATGAGGATATTCCTTAATCTGGATTCTTCACCTGGATGAAAATGAAAGATGAAACGACCAATTCATTTCCCAGGTGCACAAAAGATGTCCTAGGAAGCCTACTCAAACCTAAATGTTAACATCTTCTAAAATTGCCAGATCAATTATGTTAGCCTTCATAATTGTTACTCATTAATGTTACCCAGCCCACTAACAACTTATCTCACCTAATTTGTTTTGTTATACCACTGAACTAAGTTTCTTGTTTTTATAATGAAACTTCTGAGGAACTCTATTGCTCTAACAAGAAAAAATGGAAAATCATCAGTTATCAATTTTAGATAAATAACACCATTTTAATAATGATACTAAATAACCAAAAATAACTAGTAATCCAATTTTTATCCCTCAACTTAATACAGCAGTGTTGTGAAATAAAACCTTTAAAGATTTTTCTACTTCTTTTTCCACATTTCCTTAAATTGGATGACTGCTCTAAGTCAGAAGCAGAAAGGACATCTTTATGAACCCAGTGGCTTCGGGAATCCTGTTGGGGTTTGCAGTGACTCCATACGGGCCTCTCCTCCCAAGAGCCACCATCCACGGTAATGTAGCTTCATGCTAGTCTACGTTCTGATTCCATTCAAAATTCTCTGGGTTACTGGGTACCTACTATGGGCAAGAACTGTGCTAGGCGGCATAAGATATACAGAACTGAATGGTGGCAAACACTCGTTGTCTCCTCCATAGGCAATCTCAAATTACTTAATTTCTCTGTGCCTCAGTTTCCGAATCTGCAAAATAGGGATAGTAACACTAATTATCTCAAATGGCTGGTTTGAAGATTAAATGACAATGGCATACGCTCTCTAAATGTTGGCCCTATTCTCATAATGAATTCCCTAGTCAGTAGGAAGGCACTGAAGGTTTACAAACAGGAAACAGTGTAATTCTAGCTCCAGACCTTTTTTCCCATCCCGTAGTTAAAACTAGTTAAACTTTTCCTACCTAGGTCCTATTATCTCAAGTCTTCACTAAATCACTGGTTACTGAACTCAAGAGAAATCATTTGTGCTGCCATACTTACCTTGTCCCTCTCAGTGAAATTTCTGAATTTTAAGGGAGCCTTGAATGCCTAAAGCTCCAAAGTAGACTGATGGCCATTTCAGACATGTGACGGGTGGACAGTAAGTTTTTCTTACACCCCTCAAATTAAATAGTGGAGGAGCCTGCTGCTGTACAGAATCAACTAAGCTTTTCAATATTGTCTCTAGAAACTAAAAGTCAATCTCTTTCATTCAATTCCCTGAATCCTACGACTAATAAAAGCAAAATTTGTGTCCCTGAATCTGAACAGTTAACCAAACACAAAAACTGAGAATTTCTTAATAGAGGAATCAAGAGGCAAAGATTCATGACATTCTCAGATTCTACCTGATTTACACTAAGTCCCAACCTCATGCCACCATGGCAGCTCTTAAGGGATAGCTCAAGTCTTTTCAGCTTTAAGGAGGAAACAAGGTCCAAATGTGAGAAATAGGGAGTAGAATGAAGACTTGGCTCCAGAAAAAAGAAAAAAAACTGAACATCTTCTAAGTCTCAGAAGCAAAAATAAATAAATGTGCCCTGGATACCTGACCCAGTGTAACAAGAACACTGAAAATCTATATTCACAATACCCAAGCTTCTAGGCCTTAAAGGGGAACACAGGACAGAAAAATACTGAGCTTCAAAATTCACTGCCCTCTGCTGGTCAACAAGCAGAACTTCTGAAGCAACAGATCTCTCATCTTTATCACCTTCATTTTATTCCTTTCTAGTTATTTCAGAATACAGACAACACTGCATGTTAACTTCTGCCCCATTTCATCACTCCTAAATGTCTATGTTTCAATAGTACTTTACAGAAGAAAACACTGATGTGACACGGAATCACTGGCTTCAAGTTACAATTCTAGCTCTGTAATTATGAGAGCTATAGAGATAATATACTGCCTGTCATAGCTAATGATCACCCCCATCTTTATCTCCAACAGAACGCTCTCTCATTTTCCAGATGCCACTGTTCAATTTCTTAATGATTTCCAATTGAATGTATTATAAGTATCCCAAATTCTACATGTTTCAAACTATCATTCCTTCCCTTCCTCCTCTTCATTTCAAGGAATGCCTAAGCCAGAAAATTGGATGTCATCCTCAAATCTTTCTCTATAGTCCATCTGCCACTTATCTATTCTACCCCCTTAATAGTTTCTAAGCCATCTACTTTTACATTTTCACTTCCATTATCTTCTGCCTAGATTACTTCAACAGCCTTCTAAAAAACCTCCCTATTTCCAGTGTTAATATTGCTTACACTGCAGTGAGAAGGATCTTTCAAAAATAATCTGACAAAATTGTTTTCTTGCTTGAAATGCTCCAGTGGCTAAGATTTTCCTATAAGAACCAAGTCTAAACATCTAAGCATGACATATATGGCCATCCATGACCACACCAAAGTTTCTCTCCCTAGTCTCATCTCTCATTCCTTTCTTCTTGTCTCAAACTATTGATTATGAACAAAATATTTTTCCTTTTTGATACAGACAATTAATTGCACATAGCATTCTCTCTTCACTGAACTCCACTGATCCTATCCTTATTGCCACATCATCTAAGTTCTTTTGGATTCAGCTAGGATATCAAGTGTCCCCAGTGCCTACAAACACAAACTTACCCCAGGTCTAGCCTAGGTGCAACTCCTATGCACTTTAGTAGTACTTTTTATTTCCCTCTACCATCATACGTCTTCAGTGCAATGTAATTTTCTCTTTAACTTATCACTTACTAGAATAAAAAGATTTTGTACCTGTGAATACTTTACAGTGTTTGGCATTTAGGTGATATCATCTGTAGGAGAACCATGTGTTTGGAGTCACCCAATAACATCACTTATATGAATAAACAGTGAAAATAAACCACCCTATGAGCTTTGGACCTTCTAATTCAAGATCCTGCTGTCATTGTCAGCTTTAAGCCAAACCAATCTGGGGTGAAAGGTGGGGTATGTAAAGTCCTTTGATGGTTTATTCACAACTATTACCCAGCCCTCTAACATCTTACCTCACCTACTCATCCCCACCAAACTGCTACTAGATGGAATTTGTTCAAAAGACTATTTTCTGCCATTTTCTCCAAACATTAAGAAAGTGCTTCAGCCCACCAAGGAATTCGACACACAAGAACAGCAAAAAGCCAAATAAACAGTGAATTCTGAAAGGCAGTAAATTGATTATTTCCTATGGCCAAGCTGACAACCTCATGTCAAGACTTTCCTACTTACACTATGGTTATTTTCTTTAAACTTTTACTAAGACACTTGCAAAGACCTCTGAAAACTCACATAAACTATGTCCAGAGATCGGTTTTACCTATTATTTTCTTAAAATTTATTCAAAGGACTGCTAAACATTTTTCTTTAAGAATTAGCTTTGATTTTTCCTTGGAGAACTGTGAATATAAGTAAGAGCTATAATATAATAAGGGTTGCTGTGCCTCAAAACTAAAGGTGAATTTATCAATATCTTTAAATGTATTAACAGTAGCTTTGTTTAAAACTCTAGTAATTCTAGAGTTGGTGAGTTGCATACAGGCTGATAGAAAAATAACTCGAATGAAATATGAATTTATAGAAAAAAAGAGAAACCATTAGAAATTGGAAACATAAAAAAACCATTTTTATTTTCATAAATTCTTTAAAAGATATATGACCATTAATAATAACATATCAGGGAGGTTAGAACATATGTAGCAGTAAAGTAGGTGACAACAATAGCACAAAGGATGGAAGGGTGTGTATAATTAACTATTTGGTTTGGATTTATTTATTTATTTATTTATTTATTTATTTATTTATTTATTTAGAGGCGGAGTTTCGCTCATTGCCCAGGCTGGAGTGCAATGGCGCAATCTCGGCTCACCGCAACCTCTGCCTCCCAGGTTCAAGCGATTCCCCTGTCTCAGCCTCTCGAGTAGCTGGGATTACAAGCACCTGCCACCAAGCCCGGCTAACTTTTGTAGTTTTAGTAGAGATGGGGTTTCTCCATGTTGGTCAGGCTGGTCTCGAACTCCTGACCTCAGGTGATCCGCCTGCCTTGGCCTCCCAAAGTGCTGGGATTACAGGCGTGAGCTACCGCGCCCAGCCAAATTACTTGGTTTTAAAAGACTCTTCCATTTTGTGTGAAGTGGTATTAATTCAAAGCCAAGTGTAGTCAGTTAAGGATGCACATTGTACCTCTGAACAGAGTCACAGCAACCATTAAAAAAAATAAAAGGGCCAGACACAGTGGCTCACGCCTGTTACCCCAGCACTTTGGGAGGCCGAGGCAGGCAGGTCCCTTGAGCCCAGGAGTTCAAGACCAGCCTGGGAAACATGGTGAAACCCTACCTCTACTAAAAATGCTAAAATTAGCCAGGCGTGGTGGTGTGTGCCTGTGGTCCCAGTTATTCCAGAGGCTGAGGTGGGAGGATCGCTTGAACCTGGGAGGTCGAGGCTGTAATGAGCAATGATTGTGCCACTGCACTCCAGCCTGGGCGACAGGGCAAGACTCTGTCTCAAAAGATAAGTAGGTATATAAATAAGACTATTAACTAAAAAGGAAACAGACAACGTAGCATAGAATACTAAAATAGTGCTTGATTAACTCAAAAGATGGCAGAAAAGGAGAAAAAAACTGGGAAAATTAAAAATGAACAGCAAGATGATGGACTTAAATCCAGTCATAGCAGTATTTACATTAACTATTGAACCAAACACTCCAAGTGAATTCTCATTCTGGTAAAAAAAAAAAATCAAAACTCAATTATATGTTATTTATAAGAGACCTGCTTTAAACAAAGACACAGATAAGGTGGAAGTAAACCAAAGGAAAAAAGATGAACTATGTAAATACTAAGGGTGAGAAAGCTGACATGGCTATAATAGTATCAGGCAAAGCACTAAAATAAAACTTTTAAAAAAACAAAGCAGACTTCAAGACAAGGAATATTACTAGAAAGGAAGATCAATTCGCAAGGACAGAAGGAGGCAATTCACGAGAAAGACATTCAGTATTCATCAAGACAAACCATGCAAGCCCAAGTCATAGTAAACTTAAAGGACTAAAATCAGGCTATGTTCTCTGACCACAATGAAAACACCAAACATTTGGAAATTAAACAACATACTTCTAAATAATCTGTAGGTCAAAAAAGATACCAGGATGGAAGTTAGGAAATATCTTCAAAGTTGATAATAAAAACACAACATATCTAAATTTGTAGGGTTGAGGCTAAAGTAGAAAACAAATGGAATTGTATAGCTTTAAATGTAGAAAAGAAATGTGTAAGGTTAATTACAGGCAATTTCCCTCTAAGATCAGGAATAAGGCATGGATGTCTGCTCTCACCACTTCTATTAAACATAGTAATGGGGAAGTTAGCCAGTGCTCTAAGGCAAGAAAAGAAAATAAAAAGCATAAAGATTGGAAAGGAAGAAGTACTCTTATTTTTATTTGTGGCCAGCATGATTTGCTTAGCAAATCCTAAGACATTTATTCCAAAAAACCTCTAGAACAATTAAGTGAATTTAGCAGAATGGAGGATACAAGATCTATGTCAAAATCAACTTTACTTTGATATGTTAGCAACAAACAATTGGAAAGTATATAATTTTAAAATACTACTTTCAATAGCATCAAAAAAATATACCTATGTATAAATGGATAAAAGATGTCAAAGACTTGTACATGGAAAACTAAAACATTGAGATAAAGATGACAGAAGTAAATGGAACAATATTAGAAGCCTCAGTATTGCTAAGATGTAAATTCTCTGCAAATTGATCTATAGATTCAATGCCATCCTAATAAAGAATACCTAGACATTTTTGTAAGAATGACAAGATGATTCTAAAAATTCATATGAAGATACAAAGGACACAGAATAGCCAAAAATAACCTTGTTTTAAAAAAGGACAAAGCTGGAACACTCACACTATCTGATTTCTAAACTGTTACAGTAATCAAGAGAGATTGTAGTATGGCATAAATAGAGAAAAATAAACAAACAGAATAGAGTATGTGTATAGATATGTCCACATATATAGTTAATTGGTTTTCAACATAAGCTATAAGGTGATGCAATGGGGAAAGCCTTCTCTAATAAATGGGGTAGAGTAACAGGATACCTGTATGTGAAAAAATAAACTTTCAACCCCCACTTCACAGCAGACACAAATACTAAATCAAGATAGATCAAAGACCTATAACATAAAAGTTAAAACTATAAAGCTTCTAGGAAAACACAGGGTAAATCTTCACAACATGGGGTACACAAAGGTTTTTTTAGGATACAGCAAGTACTAATTATAAAAGAAGACAATGATAAATTGGACTTCGTCAAAATTAAAACCTTCTGCTCCTCCAAAAGTCACCACTATGAAAATAAAAGTACATTGCTAAAGGGAGTATGAAATGGTACAACCATCTGAAAAACAGTTTAGAGTCTCTTAAGATTAAATATACACCTATGATCCAACAGTAGTACTCCTAAGTATTTAGCAAAGAGGAATGAAAACATAGGCCACAAAATGACTTTTACAAGAATGTAGCTTTATATGGATAAAGCACCTTTATCCATACTAGCCAAATATTGAAAACAGTCCAGTAACACTGAATAAACAAATTATGGAGTATTTACACAACAGAAGACAACTCAGCACTAAAAAGAATGTACTACTGATATGCATAATGTGAATAAATCTCAAAAACATTATGAGTGAAATAATTCAGAAACAAGACTACATTATCATATGGTTCCCAATTCTACAAAGTTCTGAAACAGGAAAGATTAAGCTATGGTAACAGAAATTAGATCAGTAATTGCAGAGGGGGTTGCAGGTGGTAAAAGGCATAATAGAACTTTCTGGGGATCACAGAAATGTTTTATATCTTATCTGGGATAGTGGTTACAATTAAAACCAATACATTCTATTGTATATAAATTATACCTCAATCTGAAAAGCAAATGCAAAGTTAATTTCAATTTTTAACTTAAAATTGAGATTTCAAAGTCAACCCTTCCTGAAGACTTCCCCAAAGGAACATGGTTACTCTTTCTTATGATCTGGTGTACTTTGGTATAGAAGTATGAGAAGTTTGTCAAGCTGGAATTCTACATCCACAAACATTATGATAGCTACAGAAATTTTTACTCCAACACTTATGTGAAAAGATGTTTGTAAATTTTAAAAGTTACCTGAAAGATACTATAAGATCCTAGAGTATGGTAACTCAATTTTATAAATATTACTGAAATGCTTGAGAAATTTATGTATCAGTGTTTCTCAATGGGGATATTATTAGAATTTTGGGTAAGCTAAATTAAGTGAATTTGCCCCCTCACGATGTGCAATGTTTAGTACTGCTGGCCCCAAGCCACAAAATGCCAACAGCACACAACCCACCCCACCCTTCACTGAATCACTGTGTCAAAACACCACCCCTTCACACATTTCCAAACGCCCCATAGGAGTACAGTTGAAAACGGTCTATAAGCTAATGGTCAAAAACACATATAAGCAGCATTTTAAAAAACATCTAATTACTAGACTTAATCTAGCTTGCCATTTTATTTCCAAAGCTAATAATTTAACTAACAATTACCTTTACTTACTTAACTTCCAAGGACAAATGTACATACTTTTATTTGCTACATGTAATACTAGTGTAGGACGATGAAGAATAACTGATTTTGTTGAAATCCCTAATGACGGAAGCCAAATACAACCACTGAAAGCATGTCAACAGCAACAAACTGTAACACACAATAACATTAGCAAACTACTGAGAGGAGTAATAAATCCAGAAGATGAACTGTCATGAACAGACCTGGTGAATGGCCCATTTACGTATAATACTGGGTTAAAACAATAAAACAACAACAAAACGCCTGGGTATTCCCATGGTGTTCTTTGTGCCAGAAGAGTAGTAGCAAACAACTAAATCTCCTTGATAACACATTCAAGTTAAAGCAAGCAGATACTAATTAATCTACTTTACGGTTTTAATATTTAAACTTGTTGCAATCAAAACACAACATAACCATGTAATGACAAGGTTTGCTAGGCTTCTAGCATCTACTCATATATGCAGAGTTAAGAAGGAACACTGAGGAACAAAGAATAAAAAAGGATACAAGACCACATATATGCCTAGTGCTAAGAAGCAAAAGATGAATTAAACTGGCACATGATCCTAGAGGAAGAGATTGAATCGTAATCAATAAAGTTTTCCCAAAGAGCACAGGGCCAGATGGCTTCACTATTGAAATCTATCAAACATTTAAAGAAGAATTAACACCAATACTTCACAAGCTCTTCTAAAAAATAGGAGAGGAGGGAACACTTTCTAATCCATTCTCCAAGAATGGTATTACTCTGATACCTAAACAAGCTAAAGACATCATGAAAAAACCACTGCAGACCATTATTCCTTATGAACATGGATGCAAAACTCTTCAATGAAATACTAGCAAGCAGAAACTAACAGTATATAAAAAGTGCTATACACCAATAACCAAGTGAGATTTATCCCAGGAATACAAAGTGGGTTCAATACATAAAAATCAATCAATGTAATACACCTTCTTTAGATAAAGGGGAAAAAAAAGCACGATCATCTCAAAAGAGGCAGAAAAAGCATTTGAAAAAACCTAACATTCTTTCATGATAAAAAGACTAAACAAACCATAAATATAGAAGGGAAACCTCCTCAACCTTAAAAAAAAGCATCTATGAGAAACCCACTGCTAACATCACACTTACTGGTGAAAGACTGAACTCTTTTCCCCTAAATTCTGAAATAAAAAAGGATGTCTGCTCCACCATTTCTACTCAACTAGTACTGGAGGTTCTAGCCAGGACAATTAGGCAAGAAAATGAAATAACAAGGCATCCAGAAGTGAAAGAAATACAACTACCACTATTTGCAGATGACATGATCTTGTATATAGAAAATCCCAAGAAACTCACAAAAAATTATTAGAACTAATAAACAAGTTCAGCAAGGCTGCAGGATAAAAAAAAAAAAATCAATGTACAAAACTACATAGTAGTTCTATACACTGACAATGCACAACCCAAAAATAAAATTAAGAAACCAATGCTATGTACAACAGCATCAAAAATAGTAAAATATTTAGGAAAAAATTTAACTAGTGGTACAAGACTTGTTCACTGAAAACTATAAACATTGTTGAAAGAAACTGAGGAATATCAATGAAAAGACTATTTAATATTGCTGAGTTGGCAATACTACCCAAATTTGTCTATATATATTCAATGCAATTCCTATCAAAATACTGTCTACCTTTTTTTTTTTTTTGGTTGAAATTAACAAGCTGATCCTAAAATACGCATGAAAATATAAAGGACCCATAATAGTTAAAATGATCTTGAAAACAAATAGACTCACACTTCCCAATTTCAAAACTTACTACAAAGTTATAGTACTCAAGACAGTGTGGTACTGGTGTAAGGACAGATACATAGATTGATGAAATAGAATCGAGATCCTAGAAATAATTCTATATATCTACTATCAACTGAGTTTTGACAAGGCTGTTGAGATCATACAATGGGGAAAGAATAATGTTTTCAAAAAATGATGCCTGGACAACTGGATAGCCACACGCAAAAGAATGAATTTGGGCCCCTACCTGACGCCATATACAAAAATTAACTCAAAATGGATCAAAGATGTAAATGTAAGAGCTAAAACTATAAAACTCCTAGAAGAAAACATAAATTATTGTGACACTGGATTAAGTAATGGTTTTTTTGGATATGACAACTAAATACAAGTAACCAAAGAAAAAATTGATAAATTGAACTTATTTCTAGAAAGTCAATGTACAAATGGTCTACAAGCACATGAAAAGATGCTCAACATCATTAGTCTTCAGGAAAATGCAAAGTAAAACCACAATGAGATACTACTTCTACACACATTACAATGGCAGTAATAAAATTTTTAAAAGGCAATAACAAGTGTTGGCAAGGATGTGGAGAAAGTGGAACCCTTGTGCATTGTGGATGGAAAAGTCAAATCATGCAGTTGCTATGGAAAGCAGTTTGGCAGTTCCCAAAAACACCAAACATAGTCACCATATGACCCAGACATTAGGGATATACCCAAGAGAAATGAAAATACATGACCACCTAAGAAGTTATATATGAATGTACATAGCAGCATTACTTATAATAGCAAAAAGTATAAACAACCAAATGTCCTTCAGCTGATGAATGAACAAAATGCATATTCATACAATGGAATATTATTCAATCAAAAACAAGAATGAAGTACTGATACATGCTACAATAGAGGCAGACCATGAAAACATTATGCTCAGTGAAAGAAGCCAGACACAAAAGGCCACATGTTGTACGATTCCGTTTGTATGAATGCCTAGAATAGGTGAATCCTTACAGACTGAAAAATAGATTACCGGTTGTCAGGAACTGAGAGGATGACTGCTAATGGCCAAATAAACAAGCTATTTCTTTGTAGGGTAATGAAAATGTTCTGGGATTAAATAGTGGGGATGATTACACAGTCTTCTGAATATACCAAAAAGAGCTGGACTGGACACTTTACAAAAGTGAATTTATTGTACATGAATTATATCTCGATGAAAAAAGTTGGCACACACCTGATAAGCCAAAACAAGTTCAAATAAACACTTCAAAATCAACTTATGTTTACTTTTCCTTCAATATTCCATGGAATTCTTGAGAAAAATGCATACATAAACAGAAGCTAAATAGGGTACACTAAATATCATTATAAGGTATACCTAAGCAGATTCATTGTTTTTCATGTAAACTCGGTATTGTGGATAACATTAATTGAAAATCTGAACATCTAACTGGGACAAATTTCACAGAGAAATTAACCATCATTTAAACTATGAAAAGGTAATACAGTTACCAACCACTTTTCCCATAAACGTTGGTTTGTTGTTAATCAACACTCATTGATCACTTTGGAAAACCCTCTAAGACCTGACTGATACTTATTATAGGCAATCCTATGTAACAGGCAATTCATGCTTCTCATAGTCACTGAAGTGTAAACCAAACAGCTGCATAAAGGCAGAAAGAGACAGGTACAACATTATGGAATAATAACAATATAACTGGTCCTGTGAGAATACTACAACTTAAGGAGAGTAATAGTACTCTAAATTATAGAAGAAGCAGGCAGACGGAGTGTTTCAAAAACTGTTTCCTGGGAGCCTGAAAGCTCATAGAAATTATCTTAAAGCTGGACAGCCTTTTAAAAAAAATTTCTTAGCATAAGCTCATGATTAGGCTAACTATAATTAAAGTGATATGAAGAAAAAAATACCATGTAAAGCCTCAAATATTACATATAAAACACCATTAACACACAATTTGCCCTGGGAAGAACAGTAACTGAAATACTTAATGGGACAGTGGAATGTAACACTAGAAATACTTGAGGAAAAGACATGGGAATCTTAAATTCTGTGAGCTCAATATTTTGCTAATAATAAACTGATAATTTTCAGTTTAACAAGTATCTATGGCTGGCTATCATGGCCACCATGCTAACAAGGTACATCATGGGCTCCCCTCGTACATCCCTAATCATGCTTTGTGTTAAGGCAGAAAAGGCTATAGTGGCATAAATCCAGCACTGCTATGATAAAGAAAGCTAACTTTTTGGACTACTAAATTCCAAGCAAGCTGAGACCTAGCCATTGTACTCAGTAACACTGGGTGAACAGAGGGAGGGAGGGAGGAATGAATAAATGAATGAATGAATACAAATGCCATCTCAACAAGTATATTACAACTCCTAAAAAAAGGATGGAAAGAAGATTACCAATTCAATTAAAAAGACTGAGAGATGACAAATGCCATCATGGATAATTTTTTAAAATAATAATATCCAGTATTGATGAGATGCTAATAAACACTTTCATACAACACTGGTAGGAATGTAAACTAGTTCACTTTAAGAGGAAAGCAATTGGCAAAACATTTTTTTAGATAACCTTTAATTTCTTTTTATATTTTCTACAATATACATATATTGATTTTGATTAATATAAACATTTTAAATTTAAAAATTAAAATTAAAGAGGAAGGCAGGAACTAAAAGAAATCACCAGTCTAAGGAATCAAAAGGTATGAGTGACAATAACAGGAAAGGGACCTGGGAAGAGCTGACAGTGAAAAGCCCACTGGAGATAAAACACTAAGAGAAAGTGGGAGATAGATTCCACACACTAAAACTAAGAGAAGAGGGCAAGCTTTGGACCTCCTGACTAGGGTAATAAGGTGGAGCAAGGCTCATAGAAAGGGGTCAATCCCCATTTCAAATTAAATGAGGTGCATGTTGCCTTTAAAATCCAAACGTGTCTCTCTCTGTGAAGGGAGAGGGGCTGACACAAGTTGTCTTACCTTGGAAAGGGTTTCTCAACAAGCTCCCAACTACTGAAGCCCTAGAAAGTTCACCAAGATAGTAGGCCCCTACATTTCTGTGGGACTCATTGCTCACCTTCTGGTATGCAAGCACCTTACTAAACTGTCAAGAGGTGTTGTTACTTTTTTTTTTTTTTTGAGACAGAGTCTAGCTCTTTTGCCCAGGCTGGAGTGCGATCTCGGCTCACTGCAAGCTCCGCCTCCCAAGTTCACGCCATTCTCCTGCCTCAGCCTTCCGAGTAGCTGGGACTACAGCACCCGCCACTATGCCCGGCTATTTTTTTGTATTTTTAGTAGAGACGGGGTTTCACTGGGTTAGCCAGGATGGTCTCGATCTCCTGACCTCGTGATCCACCCGCCTCAGCCTCCTAAAGTGCTGGGATTACAGGCATGAGCCACCGCGCCCAGCCGGTGTTATTATTTTTTGATCACCAGGTCAATCAGCATGGTATTAACATAACGGATAGGCAAAATATGTGGAAGGAAGGGGCTATCCAGGTCCTTTGCATAAGACTTGATACGTCATAAGACTTAATATAGCCCTGATGTAGGTTAGTAAGAGTGTAATGCAAACCTTGCCAGTCAAAAGTAAACTGATTCTGATGGTCTTTACTAATAGGTATACAGAAAAGAAGTGTATGCCAGATCAATATCTGCATACCAAAAGTCAGGGATTGTATAGATTTGCTCCAGCAACAAAAGCACATCTGGAAAAAATACCTGCAATTGAAATCACCTGGATTAAGTTTATGGTAATCCACTGTCACTCTCCAAAGCCAAATAGGCAAGGTGAATGGGAATGTAATAAGAATCACCACTCTTGCATTTTTCAAATCCTTTATGGTGGCTCTGCAATTCCTCCAGGAAAGTTTACTATTTTGGTAGGTAGACACCATTCTAGTAGCTTCCATTTTACTTTCTCTCACTTCCATGGGTCAGGAAACCAATGTGGGAACTGTTAGTCGCTGAGTTTATTCATTCCAATTTTCCATTCCAGGAATGGGGAAATAACCATGTTGTGGGTTCAGGATCCGTTGTGAGGCAGATCTATGCCAAAACTCCATTAACTAATGGAAAACAACGGTGTTTTGGGTCTCCTATATTTCCTATACATTGAGCCCCAGTGTCTACCAATCCCTAAAGTGTCTAATTATTTCCCCTTCCCCAGTGCACAATCACTCTGGCAAATGGCTGCAGGCCCTTTGAGGAAAGGCTAGAAAGAAATTCACAGTAGAATTTCTCACTGTGAGGCAGGGTCTTTCCTCAAGAGGACCTGGCTTTTCCTTCATTCAAAGGTCTTGGGGTCTGTAAACTGGCTTAAATTTGGGGACTAGTTGCGGGAGTATAATCATTTACTGAGATCATCAAAGTCACCCATCTGTTCACCAGACCTAGAGCTTATATGTTTATACAAATCAAGGAAGACTAGATTGCCCATCTATTTCCGTTCTAGGGATACCATGATCACCTAGCCAATATCAAAGATCTCTGCAGCTCAGACTATTCTGATTACTGCACTGACTTTGCTGACCATTACGGTAATCACATTCACCTTGTCTTTAGCAATTAAATGACACTCCTACCTCTGCCACCTGGAATCCTATCATTCCCAATGAATTCCAGGACCTAGTTTGATGTCAGCAGTTCCCCTGTCATTACTAATTTAAAGTAAATAGCCAACAGAGCTCCTGAAGGGTGGTGAGGCTCCCCTCATGAATAGAGAAATAAGGAAATGGTAAGAATTAGGGGCACAGGTCTTTACCTCCATTCTCTTCTACCGGGCTACAGGGGACCACAGTTTTCTGAAGTGTTCTTTATTTACTTATTATAGCTGAGTTATTAAATGTTTAAACAGACTTATTGTCATCTAACACTTTTTATAAATATGTGTCGATTCAGTAGAATTTAGAGCATGCTGTTACTTTAAATGAAGTAGCTTCTTATATTTTAAGATTTTTTTTTTAACATTCTGTTTTGTTCACGCTTCATGAACAAATCTGCCTCACTTATTCATAAATGACCTAAACATAAATCTGAATCTTAGTTGGGTCTTTTTTGAGAATTCCTTATTTCTCACAGCTTTGATAAAATGAATATCCTCTGGACCCACATGTGTGATCAGGACCTACATGATAAATCCACTCTAGCATCCCAATTTCCCCAAGCCTTTGGATACAAATATTTACAATATACAAATAAAGTTCTATCATCTATCTCAATTTCACTTTCAGGCCACCTTCTGATCTAGCTTTAAGTCAACCAACTGAATTAACTGTTAAAGCCACTCCTAGCCTTCTCTCTGATCTAATGTCTTCTGTCTAGTATCTCTATTGGTGAGTCCATATCAATAACTTCAGCCTGATCCAACTTTATATTCCTTCTACCCTGAACCTACACCCTTAGGATCCATTCCCACACCATCCCCTCAGGTAACTGCAGGCAAAATCAGGTGCTTCGTACCTCATTCTCTGGGGGCTGCTGGAACCTGAGGCTGATTATAGGTATAGAAGCAATGAGAGGTGGTGAGGATAGGTCCTGAGGAAGATCAGTAGTCCCATGTAAGGCAACTTCCTTAAGGGAAGTCAATACAGGTGCTACAGGAGATTAACCTCCTTCAGACAGACAGGGGTAGAAGGACTGGCAAGGGTGGTTCAATAGAAATAGAACTGAGGAGTTCAAGATACCCAGTTTCATTGGAATCTGCTAATATCTCTCATGCAATTTTTAATTTTCCACTCTTTCCCAATAAATGTTGTACACTTTAACCCAAGAGATCTTACAAGATTGGAAGTTCAATCTGCGCTGTAATTCAGCCACCTGCAGGAAACAGACTTTGGGTGTGGTGTCCAGAAATCTCTGCCTTTGGCTACAAGACATAAGGATTTCTTTTAGGGCAATCACAGATGATTTCACTCCCTTATGTGGACTCTGAGTTCAGAATTTACAGCCCTTTTCTTAAGTTCTCCAGTGTACTTTGAAGGAACCAATCTATCTCATTATTATTGTCACTAAAATGTTCTGTGGTAATAAATACTTGTTCTCCCAAAAACTTGCCTTCTAAGGGCACTTAATTTCTACTGTCTACAAGTTTTGCCACTGTATGCCACGGACCACCAGTGTCCCTTTTACCACTAGAGACAGGATCATCATTGCTGTTAGATCTGATTAGACCAGAGAACCAATTCTGGAAAACCCAGAACTAATTCAGGAACCCATCTTTTAAGGTGCTACTCCTCTGCAGCTACCAATGGTATAAAGCCCTGTATTAGTTAGCATTTGACCAGAGAAGACTATAAATGATACAAAATATGGCATTACCAGAGATTTGGCCATGTGTAATTGTTAACCTAGTTAAACAGTTCATGTTCAGCTGTAACTCTGCATCTGGTGCTAGGTCTGGCCCACGGTTCAGAGGAGCCAAAAGAGAAGAGGAGCTAAGGAGCCCAGCTGCTGGGCAATGCCTGTGCCAGCCCATGCCAGCAACGCCTTTGAGCTGCAACAGCATCTGTTGTCCTCACCCTGATCTTCTAAGCAAAAGAATATGGCTGCAGTTTCACACTTACCTTTCAAAGTCAAAATGCTTCATGGCCCTTGCTAAGGATGCAAAAGAAAAAAGAAATCTGGGAAACAGTTCCAGCTTAGCTGGTTTGACACAATACAAGTCCAGCACACCATCTTTGTCTTAAAAACAGGTAACTTTCTTGGAGCAGTCCTGAGTCTTAACTTCTAACTCTTTTATCATTGCTTATTTCTTTCAGTATACCTTACATTTCCAAAGGGGTATTTCATTTTCCCCAACTGCTTTTCTTTCAAATACCCTTCTAGTCTAGTGTAACGGTTGCAAAATATTCCATTTCCTTTCTTTTCCCTTTTTTTTAGTTTCCTTCTGCTTCATGCCTTGTTTTTCTTCCATATTCTCCCTTTTATCTTTCACATAAAGGTTTTTCCTCAAATATCTGGCGATCCTTGCCAATCTGTTGTTATTTAAAAGTAATGCACCTGACTATTAGTATTTCAAGCTTCCTCTTTCCTCTCTTAGGCTAGTTATTTTTCTCAGAAAGAATGCCTCTAGTCACTAGTTTGAATCAACTCTCAAATTCTACTGAATACCCTTACTACCATTTTTCTCCTTTCTTCTTTGTTCTTGTTAATATATGTTTTCAGCCTCTCTATGTGGGACTTGTGAAAAAATGATAAGCCAATAATATGCAACTTAACATATTTCATAGTAAGTCCATAAAGATAGCTGACAAAGAGTCAACCTTTAAGTCTTTGGAAAATTTTAAAGACCAAACTAAAAATTCAGATTTATGTCTAGGTCATTTATGAATAGCAAGGCAGATTTGTTCATGAAGTGTGAACAAAACAGAATGTAAAAAAAAAAAAATCTTAAAATATAAGGAGCTGCTTTGTCTAAGGTAACGGCATGTTCTAAATTCTACTGAATCTATACATTTATAAAAAGAGTTAGATGACAATAAATCTGTTTAAACATCTAATAAGTCAGCTATAATAAACAAATAAGGAACCCTTTAGAAAACTGTGGTCCCCTGTAGCCTGGTAGAAGAGAATGGAGGTAAAGAGGGACTGCTATCTGTGCCCCTTAAGGAAATGCAAATTAAATCTGGGCCTTTCATGTGAATAGACTTTTAGTTAAATTACTTATGCACCTTTTCAGAGTGAAGAATCACCTGTAACAGCAACCAGAAACAGACAATTATCTTTAAGAAATACTGTTTGTCCCCAAAAGGTTTTAAGCCTTTGGGTTTTCCAAAATAATTTCAGGCTTAGTATTTCAATTATAATCTAACCCTATCCTCAAATGATGAAAACTAGCAAATATGGTAAAGAAAATGACACCTACTTAAGATCATTTAAATATCCATAAGAATTCAACCTGGTTCTCTATTTGAAAATGTACACATTTCTAAGTTATAAAAAAAACTATCCCTAAATGATTTTAATACTTAAATAAATGTTTTATAATCTAAGTATTTCTCACATAGGGTATTTTAGAGGTTGTTCAACACTTCTACACCATATTTCCATGTAAAAACAGAACTTTGACCTTTGAAGAGAGCACAAAGGAACGGTAGAGATGCAATAAATAAAAAATTGCAGTGACAAACATTTTTAAGTGATTGATCATATCTACTGCTAGCAAGAAAATGGAAAAATAGGCACTCAATCAGCAGTGGAAACTTTTGGAATGCTTTTGGTAAGCATTATGAGTGTCTATTAAATTTTGTGCATGTCCATGGACCCAAAAGTTCCACTTCTAGAAATCAATCCTGTAAAACAAATGATTACATGAAGATAAAACAGGATGCTCATTATTTATAACAAACAAGTGAAAATATTCTAAATGTCTATCAGTGGATATGTAACAGTATGGGAAAATGTCTATGATGGTTAATTTTATGTGCCAACTTGACTGGGCTAAGGGTTACCCAGATAGCTGGTAAAACATTGTTTCTGTGTGTCTATAAGAGTGTTTTGGGAAGAGATTAGCATTTGAATCAGCAGACTGAATAAAGAAGAACCACCCTTACCAATGTAAGGATGCATGACCCAATCAGTTGAGGGCCTGGATAGAACAAAAAGATAAAGAAAGGGCAAACTCACTCTCTCTTCTAGAGCTCGTACATGCATTTTCTGCCTTCAGACATCAGAGCTCCAGGTTCTCATTCCCGTATTTACACCAGTGACCCACCTCCAGTTAATTCCCCATACCCATTCTCAGGCCTTCCGCCTTGGACTGAGAGTTACACCACACCATTGACTCCCCTGTTTCTCAGGACTTCACATTCAGACTGAATTATACCACCAACTTACCTGGGTCTCCAGGTTGCAGACAGCATAGCGTGAGACTTCTCAGATTCCATAATCATGTCAGCCAATTCTCATTTTTAATATCCCTGTACATACATGTACATATGTATATCCTACTGGTATGCTCTTTTGGAGAATCCTATTAATGTCCAAGACACACTGTCCCACAAATTATAGAATAGTGCTTTTAGGATGATCCTATTAGAGTACTTAAAAGCACACATTTCTTTGGACATGTACTTGGGTTCTTCTACTTACTAATTATAGAACTTTGGGGAAGCAACTAATCCTCTCTATACCACAATTTTTTCATTTGAGGAAAACAATAGTATGATCTTACAGAGGAATTGTGAGGACTAATGAAGATAATACATTCTAATTGCTTGATAAAGCTAAACTGTGATTATTACATATATATTTTAAAAGCACATGTATATATAATGATTGTATTAGGTTGAACTATCTGAAACTGCCAATACTTAATTAACAACTGTTCACCTAAAAAAATGGCAAGTTTGTATGGTTTAACCTAACATATGCATGGAAATTTTCAGAAAGAATATCCAAGGAAAAGCTGTTTTAAATATTCTTCTATTGTTTCCTTACAAGGGAAAAATACTCTTCTCTACCATTTGGACATTTTAAATGTGAACATAGTTAAACATTCCCTCCTCTCAAATAAAAAGCTATCTATACCCCTTGCTTTAAGCAGTACTATCTTATAAGCATGGCAGACATAGGAGATCCCCCTTCCCTTCCCCCTAAATAAATAATCATTTGTTGACCGAGCAATCTACCTTCTTTTATTACTCTTCTAGGGAGATTCCACTTCATTTTAGAGAAACTTAAAGAATGCTGGCGTGCTCACTTTGACAGCACATATACTAAAACTGGAATGATACAGAAAAGATTAGCATGGTCCCTGCACAAGATAACAAGCAAATTCATGAAGCATTCCACATTTTTATATATATTTCATAAAATGTTGGCATTGGAAAACATGTTAGAGATTGTACACTGAGGTAAATTCATGCTAGTTTAAACACTGTCAGGAAGTTATTCATCAAATCTAATCTAAATATTACAATCCAAAGAGATCTGGTTTTAAAAATTCTATAACTCTTCCTTTATAAAATGAGCAGAAATAAAGAAGTCAAGAAATAAAAATAAAATAATAGGCCGGGCGCAGTGGCTCACACCTGTAATCCCAGTACTTTAGGAGGCCGAGGCAGCGGATCACCTGAGTTCAGGAATTTGAGACCAATCTGGGTAACATGGTGAAACTTGGTCACAACTAAAAATACAAAAAATTAGTCAGGCGAGGTGGCGTGTGCCTGTGGTCCCAGTTACTCAGGAGGCTGAGGCGGAAGGATGGCATGAGCCTGGGAGGTGGAGGTTGCAGTGAGCTGAGATCGCACCACTGCTCTCCAGCCTGGGTGATAAAGCAAGACCCCATCTCAAAACAAAAAACAAAACCAAAAACATTCTATCAGGTACAGTCAAAGAACTATGTACAGCACTGAGTTCGAGAAGACCACCACAAGTCTGTTGCTTTGGAAGCCCTATCTTGCTACATACTGAAGTGATTCATGGAAAGACAATAGTGTAGAAAATAATTAAGTCCACAAATCGCTACTACCACCTTCTCTGAAGATGACAAAGCCACGGACTCTGTCTCACTCTGCCGTCTGCTTTTTCCTCTTACCTGGTATAGACACACATGTCAACCACCAGAGTTCCTACGGTTCATGGACAGACCCCTCTCCAGTACCATCCCTCCTCTCCAAGACACTCCCATCTAGCTTTCCAGACTTTCTTTTTGGCTACAAGCCGGAAGCTTCTGCTGCCTGCTGAAAATCAGATTCATGTAATTCTGATTTTCAATCAAATATTCTAATGTATTGCTAACTGAAGTTTCAAAAAAGTCCTTTCTACTTTTATCCTCAAGAACAGAATTATAGGCCAGGTGCGGTGGCTCACGTCTGTAATCCCAGCACTTTGGGAGGCTGAGGAGGGCAGATCACCTGAGGTCAGGAGTTCAAGACCAGCCTGGCCAACATAGTGAAATCCCATCTGTACTAAAAATACAAAAATTAGCTGGGTGTGGTGGCATGCGCCTGTAGTTCCAGCTACCTGGGAGGCGGAGGCAGGAGAATCGCTTGAATCCAGGAGGTGGAGGTTGCAGTGAGCCGAGATTACGACACTGCACTCCCGCCTGGGTGCCAAAGCGAGACTCTATCTCAAAAAAAAAAAAAAAAAAAAAAGAATAGAATTATAGAGTAGCACTTTAACCTGCTTCTAGAAGGAGAGGACATATACTAATACATATTGCAATTTCTTTATTTTGGTTAGCAAATTCTATTTTAACTAAAATGATACTATAAGCACCATGTAGCTAATCTGGTGCTGTAAACCTGATTGTTACAGAAATATCAGCATTATGAAATCAACTGAATTACACGATCTTAGGAAGCTTCATTTATTTATGTTAGTAAAAAAGCATTCAAAGTAAAATAGTATGCTGAAATTCCTTAATACTTTCATAGCTCCAAAAATTGATTTTGTATAATTTTTTAGACATGTTATTATGTAAGGTTAAAATGTAACTTATCTTTGTGCTAAAAAAAAACGTTGCTGGATCATTAATAAGGCATGCAAAATATTTGAAAGTATAGCTAATGGGGGAAAAGAGAATCTTTCTAATCCAAGGATCTCTAATTAACACAGGAAGTAAAGTGATTAATGTTTTAAAATTCCAAAGAACCCCAAACACATCACCGATACAATACATATAAACAATACACACATACAAATACTCTAAATCTTAAAGTAGGTTTTATTTTACTGTATCAATATCTGTACGGCCTACATTAATTTAAAAACTAATTTCATATATATAACTTCAAACCACAGCAGCAAAAGGAAAGGACACATTTCAAAGTACTCCCAAATAGTACATTTTAACTATTTTTCCACCCTCCTGCGACCCACTAGCCAATAAGCTTATGGTATAAATATCTTATTCAAAATTGTAATTGGTACTTGCTGCTCTTTGTCAGGATAACATAAGGAGATAGCAGCTGATGCTATTCAATTTTACCAAGACTTCAGAGAATATCAAGTGTAAATTTCCAAAGGCTAGGTTAATATATAAATTATACAAATAGATCATATTTAATGAGAAAAGTTTTGCTTTATCATAACAAAAAATACTCAAGGACAAAGGTCTAAAACTAATTTCTCCAATTTCTTAGCAACAATAAAGGTAATCTTCGAATGTTAAAGTGCTATGTTTTTGAATGTTACATTTTTTTAAAAACTACCATCATTCTATTCAATCTTCCCAACTGAGAGTGCTCCCTTTTAGTAGGAAAAAACCTGCATTCAAACTAAAGAGTTACCCTCTGAAGAACTAGATTCTACTCCCACTTCTCTCTGGGATTATATGCTGATTCTAAAAAATTTAACTCAAACATGTTAAGATTTCAGGTTCCCATCGATAAAGAAGCAAACAAAAAGTAAAGGCTTTGTTTCCAGAGTACAGAATATTGAAAGTAAAAATGGTTTCATACATCATTTTTGTGTTATTTGTGAAGAAATAAAGCAAGTGAATAAAGGTTTCTAACAATTGTAACTAATGCAAATCAGCAGTATACCTAAACATTGAAGGAGCATGCAATAGGGCTCTCTCCTCTCTCTCCTTTTTTCTTTTATTTTTTTCTTAGGCAGGGTCTTACTGTGTCACCCAGGCTGGAGTGCAGTGGCCTGATCACAGCTCACTGCAGCCTTGACCTCCTGGGCCAAGCTATCCTCCCTCCTAAGCCCTCCAAGTTGCTGGAACTACAGGCGCACACCACCACGCGCTGCCTTTTTTTTTTTTTTTTTTTTTTTTTTTTGGTAGAGACAGGGTTTTGTGACCCACACTCCTCAGCCTCTCAAAATGCTGGGATTACAGGCTGGAGCCACTGCACCCAGCCTGTCTCTCATTTTGAAAACAAAAATGCCTTTAAAGTTAAAACACCATGAATAAAAATCAACAACAAGGAAACTAGTGTTCAGCAAATTTCAAAATAATAATTGTACTAAAAATGTCACCAGCTGATTAAAGAAATAGATATTTTCAATTCAAATTGACATTATAGTCATCCCTTGGTATCCTCGGGGGACTGGCACCAAGATATAGATAGCAAAAACCAAAGACGCTCAAGTCCCTGATATAAAATGGCATAGTATTTGCATGTAACCTACGCATATCTTCCTGTATACTTGAAATCACCTCTGGATTACTTATACTACATAATACAATGTAAATGCTATATAAATAGTGTAATACTGTATTTTTAAATTTAGTATAGTTTTTAATTGTTGTAGTGTTATTTTTTATTATGTGATGTTTTTTCCTCCGAATAATTTTGATCTGCAGTTGGCTGAATACACAGATGTGGACAGAACCCACAGATCCAAAGGACTGATTATATGACTATTATCTCAGCTTAAAGTACAGGAAGTACAGGGGAAAATATGCATGCCTGAGTTCTCAAAACTAAAGAAGCACCAAGTGACAGACAATTCAATATATTTATATCCAAGTTAGTAAACATCTGTTTTGAAACTAAAAATTAAATAATTTTGCATTTTATTGTAGATAAATCACATAATGGTTTTTATCATTGTTTTGAACACAAACAGCACATTCGGTTTTCTCCCTAACCAATGGATTTTCTCAGATTCAAACATATAATAAATAAAAACACCTAAAAATCTGTTTATTATAAATTAGAAAGTATTCTCTAAAATTTGTGACAAATTCAAAGGAGAATAAGAATTGATGCTCAGGAGAGATTAATGATTAACATTGCAAATTCACTATGGGCCATTAATGCTACTGATAAAATACTATTAAAAGCCAAAATCATGGAATTATTACTATGATTACAAATATGACAATTCATTAAGCACTTACTTGAGACCAGACACTAATTAAGTACTTCACATAAACCAATCCTTAAAACATAAGACAGGCAATATGCCCATTTTACAGGTGGGGATAATTGAGGTATGGGGTTTAAAGAACTCATCCAAGGTTACAAAGCTTAACAGAGTCAAGAAGCAAACCCAGATTTTTCTGAGTCTAAAGCACATATACTTATCCCATGTGCTCTGATGATTTCTCACAAAGCAAACATTTAACATAATTTGTTGTATAATGTTACTGTAGTAGAAAAGTCAGGAACTTAGACATGCCTATAACACATTCTCAAAGGAATTAAAAGTTACAAGTAACTACTCTTGCCACAAAATAAAATGTATGCTAACAAAGCATATTTATAGGAATATACTTAATGATGAAATAGCACACCCCAATTTAAATAAAATATTTACACATATCATATACAAATGGACCAAAAACAAAGAGCAGTGAGTTGTCCTGTACTAGAACAACTCAGTAGAGTTGTTTCTAGCAGAAAGATAAATTCTATGCTGAACTAATTTTTCCATACTTTTTTTTTTTTTTTTTTTTTGAGACGGAGTCTCACTCTGTTGCTCAGGCTGGAGGGGAGTGGCGCGATCTCGGCTCACAGCAACCTCCGCCTCCCGGGTTCAAGTGATTCTCCTGCCTCAACCCCCCACGTAGCTAGGATTACAGGCACATGACACCACGCCCAGCTAATTTTTGTATTTTTAGTAGAGACGGGGTTTCACATGTTGGCTAGGCTGGTCTCGAACTCCTGACCTCAAGCAATCTGCCCACCTCAGCCTCCCAATGTGCTGGGATTACAGGTGTGAGCCATCATGCCTGGCCAGTTTTTCCATAATTTCAAACATATTATATTAAGATTTGGGGCCAAGAGTGTGGCTCATGCCTATAATCCCAGCACTCTGGGAGGCAGAAGTGGGAGGACTGCTTGAGGCCAGGAGTTCAAGGCCAGCCTGGGCAACATAGTGAGACCCTTGTCTCTAAAAAAAAAAAAAAAATTAAAATTAATCTGAGGTACTTAAGTAGTCAAACTCATAGAAACAGAAAGTAGAATTATGGTTACTAGGGGCTGGCACAGAAATGGAGAATTGTTTACCGGGTATAGAATTTTAGTTTTACAAGATGAAAAGGTTTTGGAGGTTTTTTCAACAACGTGAATGTGTTTAACACTACTTAATTATACACGTAAAAATAAGATGGTTAAAAAAAAGGTTTGATACTAATATGTAAATAGTCATAAATAGAACTATATTGGGCTACTATATTGGGCAGTCCTGCAGTGCTGCCCAATATAGTGGCCACTAGCAGCATATGACTATTAAAATTTGTATTAAACTAAAAAAATTAAAAATTTATTTTAGTCACACTAGCCACATTTCAAGATCTCGACAGCCATATGTGGCTATTCAGGACACTGCAGACACAAATATTTTCAAAACCATACAAAGTTCTATTAGATAACACTGGTTCAGAGTGTACAGAAACAGACCCAAATACATACAAGAATTTGTATTTTTGATATACAGTTGTGTGTGATAAAGGTAGCATTTAAAATCAGCAGGGAAAGAATTACTGAGTAAATGGTGTTGGGACAATTATCTAGCCTAAGGGAGAATGAGAGAGGACTGAGGGACTAAAGCTAAATACACACGTCAACTCTTACTCAAGTTCGGTACGAATCAAAGATTTATGCTTAAAAAGTGAAATGATCAAAGTAGTAACACATAATTCTAATTAAGAAAGGGCCTTCTAAATAGAATATAAACCCAAAAGACAAAAATAAAAATGAAAGACTGTGGCATTTTTTAAAGGAAAAATAAAAACTTTTAGATGAATAAAGCCCAGACAAACTGAAAGAAAATGGGGCTAGGGAAAATGGGTTGTTCTATTTCCTTAATGGATTGAAAAATGTAACTCCATGGGAAAAAGAAAAATTGAAAATGCCTATTTATACATGAAAAGTTGCTCAACTTACTCATAACTTAAACACTCTATTAAAACTTGCATTTTCAGTCATGAGATGGCAAAGATAGTTCCCAGTGTTAATGTGAGTGTGGTGAGATAGGCACACTAATGAATATGAAAACTGATACAACTTAGAGGGTAATTTTTAAATTGTTAATAAAAATCATGAGCAACAAATAATATTTATGTATTAAATAATACTGAGTGTGGGAACGACTTTAAAATAATCTGAGGGATGAAAATTTTAACCTAAGAAAGTTGGTGCAAATATAAATGAAACAAGATTAAGCATATATTGATGGTCCTGTCCAGGTGAGGTGGCTTACACCTGCAATCCTAGCACTTTGGGAGGCCAAGGCAGGTGAACTGCTTGAGCTCAGAAGTTCGAGACCAAGCTGGGCAACATGGCAAAACTCCGTCTCTACCAAAAAAAAAAAAAATTAGCCAGGCATGGTGGTGTGTGCCTGTAGCTCAGCTACTCGGGTGGGTAAGAGGTGACAGGATTGCTTGAGCCCAGGAAGTTGAGGCTGCAGTGAGCCAAGATTGTGCCACTCCATCCTGGGTGACAGAGCAAGACCTATCTCTACATAAACAAACAAATAGGTAAATAAATAAAATTAAATTGACGGTCGCTGGAGCAGGGCGGTGCTATATAACAGTATAAGCACAGATAAGAAATACCTGAAGAATAAGTTGAATAGTATGAGAGAAATTGGTCAAGCTACAGTCAACCATTTCAGATATAAAGAAAATTACTTTAAAATAAAGGCAGTTTTTTGTACATTATACAGGACACAGTTCTACTATGCTATATAATTTACAAAGCCCTTTCTTAACTTTCACAACCATATGAGGGTTGATTATACTGCTCTCTCCGCCTTTGTATATATTTGAATTTTTTCCCATAGAGTTTTCCTAATGTTCATACCCTTTAAGTCAGGAATTCCATTTCTATGAATTTTGCCTGTACTTACATTGTACAAGCACACAACAATATAAGTGCAAAAATGTTATCTGAGGCAATAAAGGCAAAAACCTGGAAACAACCTAAATGTCCATTGGAGGGTTGGTTGAATAAATTATGGTTTACTTAAATACAGTAATGTCATACACCCTTAAAAAGTATGGAAGTAAATTATATGAGGTAGACTGTGGAAATGAGGAAAATATTAAGGGCATAATAATAGGTACAGTTTGATCATATTTAACTAAAAACAAAACCACACATGTAGATTTGTGAATGCATGTCATATATGTGCCCACATATATCCTGGAAGGATATGTGAAAAACTTAACAGTGGTTACATCTGGTTGGGCAGGAGAGGGGGAGAATATTTCATATGTTACATTTAAAATGAAAAAGAACTAGAATTTTTAAATCTTTCATCTATTAAGGTGAGTGGCGTTCATTTAGAAACTACCAATGTTCAGGATCAACAATGGTAGGAAGTTTGCCTCAAAGTAGATTTAAATTCTATAGAGAAGTATAAGATGAGCTATGGCTCTTTTATTGCTGACCTTATCTCAGAGCCCTTAGCATACCTCTATCTCAGCCCTAATGATTGCTCCTAAAGCCAAAAGGCTAATATTATCTTTTTTTTATTTTATTTTTTTGAGACGGAGTCTCGCTCTGTCGCCCAGGCTGGAGTGCAGTGGCGCGATCTTGGCAAACTGTAACCTCCGCCTTCCGGGTTCACGCCATTCTCCTGCCTCAGCCTCCCGAGTAGCTGGGACTACAGGTGCCCGCCACCACGTTCGGCTAATTTTTTATATTTTTAGTAGAGACAGGTTTTCACCGTGTTAAACAGGATGGTCTCGATCTCCTGACCTTGTGATCCGCCCGCCTTGGCCTCCCAAAGTGCTGGGATTACAGGCGTGAGCCACCTCGCCCGGCCCTAATATTATCTTAAATAATTACTCTGAAGATGTAAGTAAGATCCTTTCTTGGTGTTAACCAAACAATTAAGGTCATTTATTGAGTATACATGTGCCTATTCTATGGGGGAATACAAAAGACTATTATTATAGTCCTTGCTCAAAAAGTTTATAATCTAACAGAAGAGAAAATGTTCATACAAGGAAACAATGCCATGCAAACACATATACTCAGAAAAAGAGAAGCTGGTATGGGAATGAATAGTCAGGGTTTATGAAAGAAGTAAGAGGGCAGATTCGGTCTTACAAGATTAGCCAGATTTAGACAGAGGGAACAGGACTGCATAAAAACACTAGAAACAATGTACAGAAATAAAAAATTTAAATACTGGAAGATTCAATATGACTGGAGATGGGGGAAAGAAAAAGTATGAAATAAGTAACAAGTAGTATGAAATAAGTAACAAGTTCAAGGTGATAAACATCTTTAAAACCTGGCAAAAATTAAGATTTTATAAAATTGGCAAAGATGAATTTTAAGAAGTGTCTGGCAGCAACAGCGTGCATAACAGGGTAAACTATTTTTAAGTCTTTGCTTCTTTTTGGCTTGCTTTCTTGACATTAAAAATAAAATAATGAATATTATTTCAATACCTCAATTCCAGATTCTAGTGGTCTCTTCTTCCTTGGTCCAATAGCTGCAAGAGCTGTGAGATTAGCGTCTCTATGCTGTATCTGTGCAAGTTCCAATTGCTGTAACTAGAAGACGGAAGAAAAAAATATCAATGTTTATACACATTCATGCTCAGAGGGAAAAAGAAACTGATTACTAAGCCTAATTCTGCATTCACCAAATAAAGTTACAATATAAAATAAACATTAGATTCCCATAACAGCCAAGGGCACATTTTCTGATTCTTTTACACCAACAAACTCTTTAGTTCTTAATCTCTATATGGAAGAGGCAGAACTCAGGTAAAGGAGAAGTACAGAAAAGAAGAAAGGCATCTAAAGCTTAATTTCTCCCAGTATAACACAGATAAGAAATGCCTGAAGGATTAAGTTGAACAGTAAGTCAGAGAGAGATTGGTCAAACTATAGTAAACCATTTCAGATTAAATTCACTTTAAAATAAAGACAGTTTTTGTACATTATTGCACACAGTTCTACTATGCTATATAATTTACAAAGCACTTTCTTAATTCTCACAACCATATTGAAAGGTGATTGCTATAATATAAAAATTATACATCATCCTCTTTTTATTAATGGAGACAGTAAGGCTCTAAGAGGTTAGGGCAACTTCATAAAAGGCACCACACAAATAGTAAGCAGTGGAGACAGCATGTGGAGCAAAATGCTCTCATTAAAAACCTCTTTAGTACATCACACTTTCTCATTTGCAAATAAAAGTCTTAGATTTACTCTATAATATTCATGGCAAAATTCTAAAGTGATTTAGTACTGTTTTGTTGTACAGCTTTCGTCATACTTAATCAAGAATGCCCAAATCTACAGGGTATAATTTTTTTTTATGTGGGCAAAACTATACAGGGGTATGCATGAAAGATGTCCTATTAAAAGGCAGAAACTGCATTATTTCATTGAGGCAACTAAGTGTCAAATTAGGTATTCTGTTTAAAAAAAAAAAAAAAAACACCAAGTGAGAAAGTCAAAATAGAACACCACTAGATAAATCCCTAAGCTTTTTCAGAAGAGAAGAATAATGTTCAATTCCCATCAAAATCTTATTATTAATATTAATACTATGGAGGGAAAAGAGGAAAGAATCTGGGGCTGGTTGACAGTCACATATTCAAACAAGATCAAGACAGTCAACTGAAAGTAACCTGTTGAGAAACCCTATACATGTACTGAGAATATTCTTTCAAAAGAGTACTAACCAAAATCTTTTAACACATGTTTAAAAATAGAGCAGGTTGAAAACAAAAAGTAGTCTGTGGTGAAACGGTCAGTCTTAAGGATATACCAAGTACATAAATTCCACTTTAAGATTACTTCAGATTATTTTAATATTAGGGAAAAGAATGAATAACTGAATAGGTAACTGAATCTTTAGTAAAGCAGAAAATAATTGCTATGTTCTGAACGTCTGTATCCCTCCAAACTTCTAATGTTGAAATCCTAACACCCAGGGTGACTGTTATTAGGAGATGGGGCCTCTGGGAGGTGATTAAGTCATGAGGGTGGAGACTTAGTGCCCTTATAAAAGAGACTTAAGAGAAACCCCTCGCCCCTTCCACCAAGTGAGAACATAGTGCGCAAGTAGGCTCTAACCAGACACCAAATCTGCTGGCACCTTGATCTTGGACTTCCTAGCCTCTATAACTGTGAGAAATAAAATTCTGTTGTGTATAAGCTACCCAGTCTAAGATATTTCATTATAGCAGCCCAAATGAACTAAGACAACAATTAATTAAAGAAAATGAACTAAGAACCATTTTCCACTTGCTTCACAAATTATAGGACAGAAATCCTTTTAAACTGTGTGTTTACTTACAAATAAATTGTTAGAAAAGTGTTTTCAGAAGTTATAAAATATCTCTTGTTGCTGCTGGCCTTTTTAATAAAAAATATAGTTTTAGAGTCTAATGCTGCCACAATTCAGAACTTCTAGGTGACAAAATAATGATTTTAGTTAATCTACCCTGCAGTACAAATCAAACAACAAGCTATATTTTAAAGTCCTTCCCTGTAGAGAAATGGCATCTGCAAGATAGTCAAACCAAATAAAAGGTTTTTAAACTGACCACTGTCTTCAAATTCCCTATGTGTAGTGTAACATTTTCTCCCATTCTGCAAATTATACTTTGGTTTTCTGAAGTCTCTCACACAAAATTTTAGAAAATTTCACAAAAATCTAACAAAAATGGAAACTGACCATAGTTTTCATTGGCCCTGTATTTATAACAAGCTTTCTCAAAACCAATGCATCTTGACAAGCACAAAACAGTAAAACCAGGTACTTTTAACCAGAAAAGGAGGAAGTTCTGAGCATTAATGCAAATCTGGCATTTATCGAGGATAAAGACTACAATAAGTAACCTCAGTTCAATAAAAATGGCCACTGAGTTAGAGGCTTGCCTGTGGAAACAGGATGGCAAATGATACGATTATCTGTGCAGAAAACCCCAAGTTATCTATATATAAAAAAAATCCTCCTAAGACTGATAAGTGAGTTTAGCAATATTACAAGATGCAAGGTTGACACATGCAATAAGTGAGTCCTAAATATCATTAAGGTACAATTGGAAACTTAAAATTTTTAAATGTCATTTATAATTGCTCTCTCCCAAATGAAATACTGAGATATAAATCTAACACATACAGGTATTTCTACACTATAAATCACAAAATGCCTATGAAAGAAATAAAAAAATAAATAAACAAATGGAGAGACATGCTGTGTCCAGGCTTGTAAGACTCAACAAAGATTTCAATTCCCTCCAAATTCATCCACAGACTTAACACAATTCTAATAAAATTTTGTTGTGGATATGGATAAGTTGATTCTAAAGTTTATATGGAAAGAAAAATGAACTAGAATAGCTACAACAACCATTATTTTAAGAAGGACAAAATTGGAAGAATCATACCATGCAATTTTAAGACTTCTTATAAGGCTACAGTAATCAAAATAATGTAATACTGGTAAAGGGACAGACACATAGGTTAACAGAACAAAACAGAGAATCCACAAATAAGATGCATATAAATACGGCCAATTGATTTTTGGCCAGGTTAGAAAGGAATGCAGTTGAGAAATGACAAAAATTCTCTCCTTGACCAAACTTCTGAGCCCTCTTATCAACCAGGCCTGAACCTTGGCCTAAAAAACATTAACACAGTTTCTAACAGCTCAAGCCATAGGATGGCCTTAACTTCCTTAAAGAGCCTAACTGAAAAAACTCAAGACTGCTAGAATAATTTACTATTTGTTCCATCCAACATCTGATGATAAGGCCCCATCTTCCAGCCTCTATGGAAAGGCAGGAGCTGATTAAAGTCTATTCTTACCACTTTAGTGTCTGGCAGTCTTTTACACAAAAGTTGTGGGGCTGGGTGCTGTGCTCAAACCTGTAATCCCAGTATTTTGAGAGTTCAAGGTGGGCAGATCACTTGAGGTCAGGAGTTCGCACCAGCCTGGCCAACAGGGTGAAACCCCGTCTCTACTAAAAATACAAAAAGTAGCTGGGCATGGTGGGGACGCCTGTAATCCCAGCTACTTGGGAGGCTGAGGCAGGAGAATTGCTTGAACCCAAAAGCGGAGGCTGCAGTCAGCCGAGATCATGCCACTGCACTCCAGCTTGGGCAACAGAGTGAGATTCTATCTCAAACAAACAAACATCAAATGTTGTTGGAACAACTGAACATCCACGTGCAAAAATTTTTTAAAAATCAATCTGGATCCAAACCTCACACCTTATAAAAAAATTAATCAAAATATAAATGTAAAACTATAAAAATGTATAGGAAAAAACCATAGGAGAACATGACTTGGAGTCCAGCAAAGAGTCCTTGAACATGACACCTAATGCATATCTATAAGAGAAAAAATTGGCAAATTGGACTGCATCAAAATTAAAACTTTTGCTCTATGGAAGACACACTTAAAAGAATTAAAGGACAAGCTACTTTATTTCCATGTCTCCAATCTATTTGTCTTTCCTGCTTCATTGTACTGATAAGGACTTAAACTATAATGCTGAATAATACTGGTAAAAGCAAGTTTCTTTGCCTTTTTCCTAATCATTGGAAGAAAGCATTCAGTCACCATTAAAAACGATATTAGGAGGGTTTTTAAAGCTATCCTTTATCAGCCTCAGGAAGTCTCTTCATTTTTAAAATTTCTTACTTTAAGAGAGACAGGAATCTCGCTATGTTGCCCAGGCTGGTCTTGAATTCCTGGTCTCAAGCTATCCACCGGCCTTGGCCTCCCAAAGTGCCGGGATTACAGGCATGAGCCATCATGCCCAGCCAAGGAAGTCTCTTCTATTCTTAGATTCCTGAGAGTTTTTAATCATTAATGGATTTTAAATTTTATCAAACATATTTCTAAATTAATTGATAGGATCACATGGTGTTTCTTAGACTATTAATATATGATTATATTGACTGATTTTCAAATATTAAAGCAACTTTTCATTTCTAGAGTATAATATACATAGTCATGGTATATTATTCTTTCATATGTCAAGATCAATACATTCTTTTTATATCAAATCTAAAGTAGATTTGATTTGCTAACATTTTGTTTGGGATGTTTATATCTATGTTCATAAGAGATATTAGCCTGTAGTTTTCTTGTTTTGTAACATCTTTGTGGGTTTAACTATTAGGGCAACAATGGCCTCATAAAATGAACTGGAAGTGTTTCTATCTCTTCTATTGTCTGGAAGAGGCTGTGTAGAAGTGGTATTAATTCTTCTGTAAATCTTTGGTAGAATTTACTAAAAATCTGTTCTGGTATCTCTCTTAGAAGGTTTTAATTACAAATTCAATTTGTTTAATAATTACAGAACTAAAAAAATAAAGATTAGAGAACCATATCATCTTGGGTAAGTTTTGATAGTTTGTGCTTTTCGAGGTATTGGTCATTTAATCTATCTAAGTTGCCAAACTTATGCACAGTTATTTGTTATATTTGCTTTTGGAGAGAGGGGTGTGGCGGGGAGACAGGGTCTCACTCTGTTGTCTAGGCTGGAGTGCAGTGATGCGATCTCATCTTACTGCAACCTTCACCTCCTGGGCTTATGGGATCCTAACTCTGGAGGATGGCATCTGGGGGTAAGATCCCATGAGTCCAAGAGGCAGAGGTTGCAGTGAGCTGAGATCTCACCACTGCATTACAGCCTGGGCAACAGAGCAATATTAGTGATTTCTCTTCTTTGTTTTTTCCTTTCTCAGTCTTATGAAAAGTTCTCGATGTTGTTGATCAAAGAACCAGCTTCTGGGAACTTTTTTCCAAAGTCATTGATTAGTACTCAAAGATATGTGCTTCCTTCTGCTTGCTTTGGATCTATATTGCTCTTCCTATTCCAATTTCTCAAGGAAGAAGTTTAATTTATTGATTTGAGGCCTTTCTTCTTTTCTAATGTAAGCATTTTCTCCTATCTTGTTACTTTAGCTTACCTATATCATTACCTGTGATTTGAGTTGCTTAAAGATATAGTTCCATTACAGATTTTTAATCCATCCTGAGAGTCTCTATCTTTGAAATGGTATATTTGAATCATTTACACTTCATGTAATAATTATGATTAGATTAAGGTCTATCATTTTGTTTTCTGTATGTTCCCTCTGTTTTTCATTTCTCTGTTTCCCTTTTTCTACTTGGAATTATTTGAACTTTTTAACATTTTAATTTATCTACTGCATTTTGTAGTAACTCTAAATGTTTTATATTAATTTTTAGTGACGGCTCTAGGGATTACAATATACATACTTAAATTTTCAATCTGCTCAGCATCAATATTTTACCACTTCAAGTGGAATAGAAAAACCTTGGCCATATATATGGCTCTTTATCCTCCACATTTTGCTGTAGTTGTCTTATATATTACACATACATACAGTGAAAATCGCTGGTGTTAATTTTTCTAATCCATGCATATGGTAAATCTCAATTTATCCTTAATGAATTTCACCAATCATCATTTTTTACATCAGTCATATATATTTCATTAAACCTTTATTTGCATGTTAGATTTATGATCCTTTAATATCTTATTTATTTTCTGTTTGTTGCTGGTGTTTAAAACTATAACTGATTATTGAATATTAATTTTTATGAAGTCTGACATATAATTGTACATATTTATGGGTACTTAGTGATGTTGCAATACATACACAGTGATCAGATGAGGATAATTAGTATACCCATCATCTCAGATATTTATCATACTTTTATGTTAAGAACATTCACTAGCCTCCTTGTAGCTACTTGAAACTATGCATTATTAACTATAGTCATCCTACAGTGCTATAGAACTTACTTCTCCTATCTAGCTGTAATTTTGTATCCTTTAACAAATCTTTCCCTATCCCCTTTTCCCCCAGACCCTTTCCATCCTCTACTATTCTCTGTTCTCCTTTTTACTTCTATGAGACCAACTTTGTTTTAGCTTTCACAGATCAGTGAAAACAGTGTTTAACTTTTTTTTTCCTGGAATACTTTACTTAACATAAGTCCTCCAGTTTCCATCCATGTTATCATAAATGACAAGATTTCATTCTTTTTTATGGCTGTATAGTATTCCACTGTGTATATATAGCACATTTTCTTTATCCATTCATCTGTTGTTGAACACCTGGGTTGATTCCACATATCAGCAATTATTAACATGTATAGTGCTGAAATGAACAAGGGGGTACAGATGTCTCTGTGATATACTGATTTCTTTTCTCAGTACTGGGATTGCTGGATCATACAGTAGTTCTATTTGTAATTTTAAGAGGAATCTCCATGCCATTCTTCACAGTGGCTATACTAGTTTACATTTTCACTGACAGTGTTTAAGAATTCCATTTTCCCTGAATCCTCGATAACATTACTCATTTTTTGTCTTTTTGGTAATAGCCATCTTCACTGGGGTCGAATGATATCTAGTTGTGGTTTTAATTTTCATTTCTCTGATGATTAGTGACATAGAACATTTCTTCCCATACCTGTTGGCTGTTTGCATGTCTTCTTTTGAGAAATGTCCATTCTGATCATTTGCCCATTTGTTTGTTTTTAATTTTCTTTTTCTAGAAACAGGGTCTCACTCTATTACCCATGATAGTATGTAGTACCATGATCATGGCTCACAGCAGCCTCAATCTCCTGGGCTCAAGTGATCACACTACTTCGGCCTCCCAAGCAGCTAGGACTACAGGCCTATGCCACCATACCTGGCTAACCTTCAGTTTTAAATTTTTTGTAGAGACGGGGTCTCTATGTTGCCCAGGCTGATCTCAAATTCCTGGCCCCAAGTGATCCTCCTACATCTTCCTTCCCAAGTGTTGAGAGTATAGGCATAAGCCATTACACCTGGCTCATTTGCCAATCTGTTAATCAGACTGATTTTTTTGCTGTTGAGATGCCTATTTGTATATTCTGGATATTAATCCACTATCAGATGAATAGTTTGCAAATATTTCCCCCCATTCTGTAGTCTTATTTTTTTTACTCTGTGGATTGTTTCCTTTGCTATGCAAAAGTTTTTCATTTAATATAATCCCATTTATTTTTGCTTTTGTTACAGGCGCTTTTGACGTCTTATTCATAAAATATTTTCCTGACATAAAGTATGTCCTGAAGCATTTCCTCCGTTTTCTTCTAGTAGCTTTATAGTTTCAGGTTTTACACTTAGATCTCTGAACCATTTGACTTTTTAATAGGGTAAGAGGTGGAGGTGTACATTTATTCTTCTGCATATGGATGCCCGCTTTCCCAGCACCTTATTTTTTGAGGAGAACATGCTTTCCCTGGTATATGTTCCTGGCACCTTTGTCAAAAAATATGTTGGCTGTAGACACCTTGATTAACTTCTGGATTCCCTATTCTGTTCCGTTGGTCTATGTTTATGTTTTTGTTTTTATGCCAGTCACATGCTATTTCGGTGACTACAGTTTTGAAGCATATTTTGAAGTCCAGTAGTGTCATGCCTCCAGCTTTGTTCTTTTTGCTCAGGATGGCTTTGGCTATTTGAGGTCTTTTGCAGTTCCATATGAATTTTCAAATTTACTTTTCCTATTTCTGTGAAGAATGTCCTTGGTATTTTGACAGAGATTGCATTGACTCTGTTGATTGCTTTGGCTAGTATGGTCATTGTAACAATATTAATTCTTCTGATCCATGAGCATGAGATGTTTGTACATTTGCTTGTATCTTCTTCAGTTTCTTTCATTAGCGTTTTATAATTTTCCTTGCAGAGTTCCTTCATCTCCTGGGTTAAATTATTTCCAGGTGGTTTTGTTTGTTTGTTTGTTTGTTTGTTTGGCAGGGATTTTAACTGGGATTGCCTTCTTGATTTTGTTTTTTCAGCTAGTTCATTAGGTAAGGAATACTACTGATTCTTTTTTTTTAAATAAAGAGCTGTATGCATTTATTGCATTGGTAGTCAATAAGAATCCTTTGAGACGGCAACAATAGACACTGGGGACTTTCGGAAGGGGAAAGAAGAAGGAACAGAGGAAAAACTGTTGAAAAACTAACTACTGGGTACTATGCTCACTACCTGGAAGCTGGGATCAATCGTACCCCAAACTTCAGCATAATGCAATATAATCATGTTACAAACCTGTATGTGTACACCTGAATCTAAAATTAAAGTTGAATTTATTTTTAAAAAAATCCTTTGTTATTAAACAGTTTTGATCCTTGGGTCAAGGTCTTAGCATGCACATTGTTTATTTGGTTAATTCAAAGACATATATATAGGTGCCTAGAGTTTTGAGGCCTGGAAGAAGCCACTGCCACATATATTACAGTTATGGGGTTTCTCTTTAGTATGGCCGCTCTGAGGTAGATTAATGCTTAAACAAATGATTAAGGATTTACCAAACTCATTGCATTCAGAAGCTTTCTCTCAAGTGTAAGTTCTCTGATGTTGTGCATGGTGTAAATTTTGACTGAAGATCTTGCCACATTCATTGCAGTTGTAAGGTTTCTCTTCAGTATGGATTATCTGATGTCTGGTGAAGTCTGGTTGCCAAGACAAGGACTTATCACTTTCATTATATTTGTAAGGTTTCTCTCCCTTATGGATTACCTGATATTTAGTAATGCTTGAATGCTCACTAAAGGCACTGACACACTTATTACATTTGTAAGGTGTCTCTCCAGTATGGATGGAGGTATGACTACAGTAGACAAAATTTCCCACAGTCACTACATTTGTAAGGTTTCTCTCCAGATGGATTACATGATGTTTAGTATGGCTTGCACACTCAGTAAAGGCTTTGCCACAGTTACTACATCTGTAAGCCTTCTCTCCAGTGTGATTTCTCAGATGCCTTTCAAAGATATGAGATAACCAGAGACCTTGTCACATTCATTCTATTCATAAGGTTTCTCTCCAATATGGATTACCTGATGGTTAGTAAGGCTTGGACAATTTTTCCCTTCACCCATTGGTTGTCCAGGAGACTGCTGTTTAATTGCACAGTTTTTAATATTCCTCTTATTATTGATTTCTACTTTTATTCCATGGTGGTCAGGTAAGATACTTAGGATATGATTTTGATATTTTAAAATGTTTGAGGCTTGTTTTATGTCCTAACATATGGTCAATACTGGAAAATGTTCCATGTACTTCTGGAAAGAATATGTATTCTGCAGCTGTTGGGTGAAATGTTCCATAAATGCCTGCTAGGTCCAGTTGGTCTACAGTACAGTTTAAATCCAATGTTTCTTCGTTGATTTTCTGTCTACATGATCTGTCCAATGTTAAGAATGGAGTGTTGAAGTCTCCAACTATTACTGTATTGGGATCTATCTTTCCCTTTAGATCTAATAATATTTACTTTATATATCTGAGTGGTCCAGTGTTGGGTACACATATATATTCACAATTGTTATATGTTCTTGCCAAATTAATCCCTTATTGTATAATGTCTTTGTTTCTTTACCATTTTGTCTTGAAGTCTGTTTTGTCTTATGTAAGTATAGCTACTCCTGCTAGCTTTTGGTTGCTGTTTGTGGAAATGTCTTTTTCTATTCTTCACTTTCAGTCTATGTGTGTCTTTACAGCTGAAGTGAATTTACTGTCGGCAGTATACAGTTGAGTCTTGTTTTATTTAACCATTTGGCTAGTCTGTATCTTTTAAATGGGGAACTTAATCTGTTTACACACAGGATTATTACTGATAGGTGTGGACTTATTACTATCATTTTATTGATTGTTTTCTGGTTGTTTTCTATATTCATTGTTCCTTTCTTCATCTTTTAGTATTTGTGTAGGTGGATCTTTTCCTGTAAAGAAAAATTTGTTTGATTCCTTTCTATTTCTCTTTTCTGTATTGGTTCTACCAGTGAGTTTTATAGCTTCACATCCTTTCATGATGGTGGTTGTCATTTTTTCACTTTCAAATGTAAAACTCCCTTGAGTATCTCTTGTAGGCCTTGTCTAATGGTGATGAATTCCCTTAATTTTTGATTGTGAGACATTTTATTTCTCCTTCATTTCTGAAGGATAGTTTTGCTGGGTATAATATTCTTGGCTGGGCCGGGCGCAGTGGCTCACGCCTGTAATCCCAGCACTTTGGGAGGCCGAGGCGGACGGATCACAAGGTCAGGAGATCCAGACCATCCTGGCTAACATGGTGAAACCCCATCTCTACTGAAAATACAAAACATTAGCTGGGCTTGGTGGTGGGCACCTGTAGTCCCAGCTACTTGGGAGGCTGACGCAGGAGAATGGCATGAACCCAGGAGGCGGAGGTTGCAGTGAGCCGAGATCATGCCACTGCACTCCAGCCTGGGTGACAGAGCAAGACTCTGTCAAAAAACAACAAAAAACTATATATATATATATACACACACATATATATATATATATATATATACACATATATATATATACACATATATATATATACACACACACATATATATATATACACACACATATATATATATATACACATATATATATATATATACACACACATATATATATATATACACACATATATATATATATATTCTTGGCTAGCAGTTTTTTAAAATTTTCCTTTTCAGTATTTTGAATATATTATCCCATTCTCTCCTAGCCTGTATAGTTTCTGCTGAGAAATCTACTGTTAATCTGATAAGAATACCTTTATTTGTGAATTGACATTTTTCTTTTGCTGCTTTTAGAATCGACTTTGACTTCACAATTTGACTATACTGTGCCTAGGAGAGGACTTGTTTGGGATGAATCTACTTGGGGTTCTTCCAGCTTCCTGAACCTGGATGTGTCTCTCCAAATACTTGAGAAATTTTCAGCTATTATTTCATTAAATATGTTTTCTACATCTTTTCACTTCTTTTCTCCTTCCGGAATGCCCATAATGTGAATATTTGTTTGCTTCATGGTGTCCCATAAATCCTGTAGCTTTCTTCATTCTTTTTTTGGGGGGAGGGGGGGTCTGCCTGTGTTGCTTCAATCTCTTCAAGTTCAAAAATTCTTTTTTCTGCTTGGTGTAGGGTATTGTTAAAGGTCTCAACTGTATTTTTTATTTCATTCACTGAATTCTACAGCTGTAGGATTTCTGTTTGGTTCTTTATTACGATATCTATCTCATTATTAGATTTCTCATTCACTTAGCTGGGCATGGTGGCACATGCTTCTAGTCTCAGATACTCAGGAGGCTGAGGTGGGAGGATAGCTTGAGCCCAGAACTTCAAAGTTACAGTGAGCTATGCTCCAAACACTGCACTCCAGCCTGGGTGACAGAGTAAATAAAATCTTGTCTCTAAAAAAGACAAATAAAAATAAAATTTTCTCTATTCAAATTGTGAATTGTTTTCCTGATTTCACTGAATGTCCATCAGTATTCTGTATCTCACAGAGTTTACTTAAGATTATTATTCTGAATTCTTTTTCTGGCATTTTATGTACTTCCTTATGATTAGCCTCTGTTATTGGAAAATTATTGTGTTCCTTTTCATGGGTATTTATCTGTAGTTTTTTCATGTTTGATGTATCCCTACACTGATTTCCATTCATGTGGTAGAAAAGTCGCCTCTTCCAATTTTATGGAGGAGGTTTCACAGAGAAAAATTTACTCATATGAACAGGTGTTGGGGTGTCAGTTTGTTGAGTTCTAGGTGGACACAGTAGTGTAGTTTCTTCAGCTGTAATCCATACTAGTGACATATGCAAATGCCTCAGTGGCCTGGGCTGAGTTTGTGGTGGAGGTGGTGCAGTTTTGCTGGGTGTGGGCTCACTGGGCTGTTTCTCAGGTCAGAGGCATATACATACAAATGGTGGGTCCACCAACTTGGTGCATGGATTTGGGCTACAGGGCTCTTATTCTTGGCAGGAGGACATACACAGGGTTGCTCAGCCGGCCCGAGGACATGCCTGCAAGGAGCAGCCCACAGGGCTGTTACTTTTGCGAAAAACACAGGTGCACAGATGCCTGACTGGTCTAAAGACATGTCTGGTGAGGATGGCTTGGTCTCTCAGGCCCGAGATGTGGGCTCACAGTTGTTCAGCAGGCCTTGGAGTGTGGCTGCCAGTGGAGCGGCTTTTCAGACCCTGATTGTGGGTGCAGGGCTGTTGGGTAGACCAGGAGCTTATCTGTAGGGGGTAGGACACTGGAGGGCTGTGTACAAGCAGGCATATCTTGGTGTTCCTAATCCAGGGCAATGCAGCTGTGTGAATTCATGGTAGCTCTCCAAACTGGGTTCAGGGCTTTTGAGGACTGTGGGATTCTCCTGTAGTAAGGACTGTATGCGTTTGTGGTGGCAACAGGGGCTGGCTGGGTTATTCTGATTGCCTTTTCCCTGCAATGGGAAGTCTCTCTTGACTCCAGATTCAGTCCAGGTGGGGAAGACAGGACTGTAGATGCTAGATACCCTCATGCTGCCCTCCTGGATTTCTAATCATTTATAGGTGTGTCTCCATTCCCCAACCACACTCCAGCGCTCTCTCTGACATTCTAGTCAAATCCTATCTGTTTATTCATTGCCTCAGTCCTTTTTTGTAGAAGAAACAAGCACCAGGCATCTCTAGTCAGCCATCTTGCCAATGTCAGTCCTCAAATCTGCTTTCACTTAAACATACTTTAATTCAAAAGCAGAATAGCCTATTATGTTTTCCATTTCTGTTGTGCTTTCTTCATTCCTGAAGTTCAGCTTCCCTTTGGTGTCATCTGACTTCATTGTGAATAATTTCCTTAATAGTCTTACAGCAACTCTGTTGGCAATGAATTTTCTTCCTTTTCCTTCACCAGAAAATATCTATTTCACCTTCATTTCTGCAGGATATTTTCATGATATATAGGATTTTAAGTTGAAAGTTCCTTTTAAAAATGTTTTGCCACTTTCTTCTGATCTCCACAGGTTTTTTTCCCTTTTTTTTTAAAAAAAAAAAATAGTTTTTCTATTTGCTTTCTAATGAGAAATCTAGTCATTGTAATTATTGTTCTTCTATTGATGTGTCCCTTTCTTCAGTTACTTTCAAAATTTTTATTTTCTACATCTATATAGTTTTCAGAGATTGATTATGATGTGAGTTGAACCTGGGTTTATTGACTGGGTTAACTGACTCTTGTCATTTCTATCCGCTATTCAGCTCATTCAGCTGAATGTGTTTTATTTTGGTTATTGTCGTTTTCAGTTCCTAAATTTCCATTTTATAACTTTATTCTTTATATTTTCTAGCCCTTTGCTGGGAGTTTCTATTTTTCCTATCATTTCAAGAGTGTTTATAATTTGCTTCTTGGAGCATTTTTATAGTAGTGTGTTTGTCAGATAATTCCAACATCTATGTTATCTTGGGGCTGGTATCTGTTGATTGTCTCTTCCTATGGGAGTTAAGATATTCCTGGTTCTTCCTGTCAAGTGATTTTGTATTGTATCCTGAATATTTTGAATACAGTCGTCCCTTGGTATACATGGGGGATTGATTCCAGGATGCCGAGGTACACCAAAATCCATGTATATTCAGTTCTCAGTCAGTCCTGCAGAACTCGTGTATATGAAAAGTCAGCCCTCCACATATGTGGGTTTTGCATCCTGCACATAGTGTATTTTCCATCCACAAGTGGTTGAAAAAAATCCACATATAAGTGGACCTGTACACTTCAAACCTATGTCAACTGTATTATGAAACTCTGGGTATTCTAGAAATCCTTTGGAGAATGTTAATACCTTTGTTTTAGCATGCAATCAACACAGGTTCAAGCCACAGGTTCCAATGTGACTTCTGTGATCTGTGGCTACAACGTCAGCTCAGTTTTCAAAGCTTTTGCAATGTTATTTGGATCTGCCCTGTGCATCCCCCAGTGGTCAATCTGGGATCTGGTGGTGGTTTGTTGGTCCAGTTCTTAAAGGCTTTGGTACGCTCATTAGAATAAGATCCACATATGGCAAATGTATAGTTCAGGAGTAGGTCTAGGAGTTTAACACAATCACATGGGGTTGCTTTCCTGAGCTCCTCCCTCTCTGTCATCTTCCCAGTAATTTCTGGTTCCCTGGAGCTCCTCCTGGCCAGAAAGCTGGGGATTTAGCCCACTTTCCCACCCACGTCTGTGATTGCATCCAGGTCTAGAATCAAGCAGTAGGAAGAATGGGGGTAGGGGATGGAGGGTGGCAACCTCACCACCAGTTCAAGTAGTATTTTGAATTCTTATCTTCTTCCCCAATCTGTTTACTATTTACCTTTCAATGTCCTCAAATAGCTGCTCCATGCATCTGTTCAGGTTTTATAGTTGTATTCAGTGGGAGAGAAAATATGAAGTGTTTTTACTCCATCTTAACTGGAACTCTTTAATAGCCAGAATTCTGACAATTGGTTTCTGTTATATTATATACTGACTAGCCTTTGTTTAATAAAATGTAAGACTGCTTGCTCACCAACACCAGCAACAAACACCTTGCTCCAAAGAGACCAAACAGGTTTGGGAGGTTCTCTTTTAAGAATATGCTATTTCCTTTATGGCTAATGAAAAAGGCAGAAGCCTTCATTTCTCTTTTCACAGTCTCTATGATAGGAAGTAGAAGTCTCTAAAATTCAAGGTAGTGCCTTAGAAGGCAACTAAGCAACAGTAATTGAAGATTATTTTATTTCTGGTGTTAGGTACTCATCTCTTCATTTATAAGTATAACTCATGGTAGTACAGCCTTTAATCAAGACCCAAAAAACATTAAGAAATTACTTTGAAGATCACACAAGTTCTCAGAGGTAACGTTCAATAGACGTACTTCTTGATGCTAAGCACATAATTTTCAAGAATAAAAGGAAAATTAAAAACTATTGAAAACAGAAACCAAAAGATTAAGCAGAATCAGAGGTACTAGCTGAAGAATGAATAAACCAAGTTTCATATTAGCTAACAGCCTGGACAGGAACAGGGGCACATTTAACAGGAAGAACCAAATTTATCTAGATAGTTATGATATAGACAATATGGGAAATCAAAAAATGTTTTTCTTTCTCATGCTTAAGGAAAGTGTTAGTAGCAATGAAAATAATCACACCACCAAATAGGAATGTATGAAAAAATCTAAAGAAATTAGAGAAACAAAGTGTATCACACCAGGTTTTGAACTCAGGATAAAAGAACTAAGAATAATGTCCTGCTTAGATTTCACAATTAACGTTAAGTACACATAAAGGTAAAAACAAAACCCTAACACCAAACAATGGAAATGTTTTAAATAGTAAAAATTTAAATTGAATTAGATATACTTTGGAAAATTTCATGGATCAAACTCTAAAATTCTTAACAATGCTGATAATTACATCTGAATCATTACTTAAAAGATCAAGTTTACCAGGGAATGCAAGGTTAAATGCTAAAATAAACAAAACAAACAAACAGGAAAAAAAAACTACTAAACATTAACAGCTGAATCTTAAGTCAAGGGAACCAAAAAGCAAGTTGCAAATTTTTAAAAAATCACCAGTCCACCTTATCTTAACTTCAAGGATACCACAACCGAAATACAAGATCTTTTTTAAGCCCTCAAAGACAATTATTAGCAGTCATTCCACCAAATCAAACAGTTTAGAATCTATTTTTTTTTCTCCCAACCACTAAGGCTGGTTATTATGATACCAGGACACTGTCCAGAACATCTGAGATTCCTGGAATTTGATACGTAAACTGTGGTGCCTTGCTGGTCAACCCTACTCATCCATCCCTACCTTCCTGAAAAAAATGGTATATTCCTCATAATCTCAATTAGACACCTTCTCTCTTTAACTTAAACCAATAACATTTGATTTATAAATTGTGTAAAATATAAATGTGCTACAGTTATTCTATATTACAAAATTTTTTTTTCAGTTGTCATCCTTACACTCTTTTTTCTTCTCATTTTCTTTCCAGTCCTCTGGAAGGAAAGAAAGAACATATTCATGGTCTATCTCAAACCTAAATCTAAGAGCTCAATGACATCTATCTTAAATGTTCCTACAGTTAGTGTTTATAAACTACTGGTTTTTTCTTTTATGCCTCGCCTTCCCCTAAATTATGACAATCTTATAAGCAGAGCAGGAATCGTTAAGTTCATTTAAATATGAGGAAACAGAGGTAAGTTCAAAGAATTAAATCAAGCTCTTGATAATGGCAGCCTGAATCTAGAATCCAAGATACTTTACTTCCAGTTCAATGCTATTTTTTTTTTAAACAGGCATCTTTCTACTAAGAGAGTAATAAGTCTCTCAAAACACATAGATCCTACACATCAAAATAAAGTATGCACGCAATCTTCTTATGAATCTCTAATATTTTCTTTTCCATTTAAGGTATACCAGTAAAGAAATACTACCATTAAAGTTATCTTGTAAAAATATCCATGAAGGAAACCTAGTGAAGCTTTCATGGTTCCAAGAGAACCTAATGAATGATAATTGGATGATAAATGAACTATGACAGTTCAAGAGGCCAAATCTCAGATTCCCAAATCACAGTATTTTGACCATTTAGTTAGTGGGAAAATAAAAGTGATGACTTTTAAAGCCCCCCTTCTTTCTCATCCTAGATCAATGATTCTCAGTGTGATCTGCAGAGCAGCAGCAGCAATAGCAGCAACATCTGGTAATTTATTGGAAATCCCATTTTCAAGTCCTACCCTAGACCTACTACAGTATTATAAACTCTGGTTGTGGGACCTAGTAATCTGTATTTTAACAAGCTCTCCAGATAATTTTATGCATGTCAACGTTTGAGAACCACTGTCCTAGACTATCAATGCTTTGAAACCTTTCAATCTGTTTCTCTGCTGTCATACACAAGTTATTTATAACTTGTCATTTTAAGAATGTCTTCCTCTTGCTATATTAATTTGATTGCTAGAATGTACTTTTCATGACAAGTTTCATTTGTCCCTGTCCAGTACTCCATGAGTTTTGGCCATGTAGAACTTGCATGAAGTTTAAATACAAATTGATATAATTTAATAGTTTACCTATCACCTTTCATTGACTTCATATATTTTCAAATTTCATTTTAAAAATATACTGTGCTGTTCTCGTACCTAAATATTTTCTAATCAGTAATGAGCCTTATGATTCAGTATTTTATTTCTTGTACAATGTTTTATGAAGAATTGCACCAACAGTTTTTATAACCTATATTTTCTATAAACAAAAATCCCAAAAACTTTAGGATATAGGGCTTCTAATCTGGTCTACATTTTAATCATTTAGTATTTATTCTTTTTCCCAGTTCCTATAGGTTGCACTGTGAAGCAAATATACCAGGAGGTCTTGATTTCCTTTTTCTCCCTCACCATCCGATAATAAATCCAAGTGGAATGCTAGGAATTGGTAAAAAGAAAGTAAATGAATTCTTTGTCTCACTCTGCACAGATGCATTGAACTCACATTTCCCAAAGGAGAAAGAAGAAATTCAAAAGGAAATAAGGATCAGAAAATATATAACTATCAAATCAGAATGTTTCAACTGCAAAGTCAGACAAATAGCTCTACAAAATTCTGGACGATGTGCTAAGAAAAGAAAATACCGAGGGCCAGATTTTAATCTAGGACACATAACACACATCATAGAAGTTTGCAGCTGCATTAAATAAAGATATGCCTGCTTGTCTGAAGTTAGAGTTTAGCAATTAGTAACCTATTTATTAAAAAACAATTCAGCGGGCCACAGTGTCTCACTCCTGTAATCCCAGAACTTATGGAGGCTGAGGCAGAAGGATCACTTCAGGCCACAAGATCGAGATCAGCCTAGATAACACTGGGAGACCCCCACTTTCCAAAAAATTTAAAAAATTAGCCAGGTATGGTGGCATGTGCCTGTGGTCCCAACCACTTGGTAGGGTGAGGTAGGAGGAGCGCTTGAGCCCAGGAGGTCAAAGCTGCAGTGAGCTCAGATTGCGTCACTGCGCTCCAGCCTGGGTGACAGAGTGAGACCCTTCTCAAAAACAAAAACAAAAAAAACCAACTAAAACAAAACTTTCACAAAGAGATGGTAAAATGAAAGAATGCAGGTACTTACATTTTAGGAAAAGTATCTAGAAAAATCATAAACATTTCAGAATTTGAAAGGGCTAGTATAGAAAATATAAAGTTATAATAGCGAGAAAAAGAGAGAGGACGCTTATAATGTTTTTTCAGGCAACAGAGAAAGGGAAAGAAGACAGCCCGTAAGTTGAAAATAAAACGTTTGAATTACAGGAATATCCACAGACATATCAGCTGGTTTTCAAATAGACAGAAAACCTGTCAGGTTAATAAGAACACTATGCAGCAGGAACTTCTTCAATGGAATAAGACTAGGCTGGAGGCCAACCCAAAGGCAGTCTGTTTTTAAGAGCCAAAAGAGAATGACAAAATTGGTAGAAGTCGATAGGAAGAATGAAAAGAAATTATTTGATGCTTTTATAAAAACCTGTCCATTTTAACACAATTTGTCCTTACATGTGGAATGCAAAGATGAACAGCCTCTAAAACTTTATTAGAGGAAAGAAAAACTACAGGAGAAATGATCCAGGCGTAGTGGCTCATGCCTGTAATCCCAGCACTTTGGGAGGCCGAGGCAGGAGGATCACCTGACGTCGGGAGTTCAAAACTAGCCTGACCAACATGGAGAAACCCCATCTCCACTAAAAATACAAAATTAGCCAGGCATGGTGGCACATGCCTGTAATCTCAGCTACTCAGGAGGCTGAGGCAGGAGAATCTCTTGAACCTGGGAGGCAGAGGTTGCAGTGAGCCGAGATCGTGCCATTGCACTCCAGCCTGGGCAACAAGAGCGAAATTCCGTCTCCCAAAAAAAAAAAAAAAAAAAAAAATTCTAGTTCTTTTTTTCTGAGACAGAGTCTCACTCTGTCACCCAGGCTGGAGTCAGTCCAGTGGCACCATGTCGGCTCACTGCAACCTCTGCCACTCAGATTCAAGTGATTCTCATGTCTCAGACTCCTGAGTAACTGGGATTACAGGTGTGCACCACCACACTCAGCTAATTTTTTGTATTTTTAGTAGAGACAGGGTTTCATCATGTTGCCCAGGCTGGTCTCGAACTCCTAAGCTCAGATGATTCACCCATCTCAGCCTCCCAAAGTGCTAGGATTACAGGTGTAAGCCACTACACCTGGCTTAAGAATTCTAGTCCTTAACAGTTGAAAGCAAATATGGATAAGATTAGGAATGAAGGGGATTCAGATTGTGATTTAATATTTATATGAGAAATATCACTGCTGAAACATTTCTCAGCATAAATAAAGCCTACAGCTTCTGTAAACAGTTCTTCGAAGTTCTGCATTTATAAGATAGCCAGTAATCTTTTTTTCTATGACAAGCCTGGTAGGTAGGTTTGAAAGGGAAAACAGATCAGTTCTAAATCAAGCAAGCATAAGGCATCTGTGCTAAATAAAAAATTCATGAGTGAACAAAGAAAACTTCTCAGACAGCCAAATACCAAAAATTCACAACCCAAAGCATCACAGTTTATACCAGCATGATAGTGATTAGTGCATCCTAAATGCTAACCTCACAAATTACCATCAAGCAAGCAATCCAACTCCCTATTAAGATATGGTTAGCCAGGCACAGTTGCTCACGCCTGTAATTCCAGCACTTTGGGAGGCTGAAGCGGGTAGATCACCTGAGGTCAGGAGTTTGAGACCAGCCTGGCCAACATAGTGAAACCCCATCTCTACTAAAAATACAAAAATTAGCTGGATGCGGTGGTACGCGCCTGTAATCCCAGCTACTCGGGAGGCTGAGGCTGGAGAATCGCTTGAACCTGGGAGGTGGAGGCTGCCTGAGCTGAGATCATGCCACTGCACTCCAGCCTGGGCGACAGAGTGAGACTCCATCTCAAAAAAAAAAAAAAAAAGAAAGAAAGAAAGAAAAGAAAAAAGATATGGTCAATATTTATGCAATCAAACAATATACACTACCACTGTGTATTTGATTCTGAACTACAGCCCCTTAGAACACTCAAGTTATTAAGAACTCTAGGGGGCAGGAGAATGACAAAAATGACAATATTTGACTTTCACCAAACATTTGCAAAACAGAGTGGCTCTGTTCTTGGAAAGAGGCCAATGTATTTGATTCATTTTTTTGATCAAAGAGGATTTATGATAGGAAGCAACCAGAAAACTTTCAAAATATTTTGGAAAGAAGTTATACTGAATTCCTTTAACCTTGTTTGGAAAAAGAAATAAATGGAGGTGCAAAGGAAGAGAAAAACACAGGTTTGCTACCACCTGTTCTCATTAACAGAGGCATTTTTTTGGTACATTTCCTCTCACAGATTTCTTTGAAAAATGTTGTCTACCTATTCATCCCTTACGGAATTATTAAACAACATACTAAAATAAAATGCAAACAAAAACAAAACATCCCATACAAAGCTGAAGGAAGAATTAATCTAAGATTCAGATGCTTATGAAGGTTTATGAAGGAAGAACAGACAGGGTAAGGTTAAAAGGGTAAGCTTTCTGTTGCACATTTTCCAAAAAGGGAATGCAATTAGAAGATAAGCATCTAGTCAGTCCTTAATTAAAACAAGGTGGGATACCCATGATTCAGAGCAACAGTAGGTTGCCCATCCCTAAATAATCTATCCTCATGCCAGGTTTGCTTAAAGAGAATTATAGGTACAGTTCTCATACTAATAATTTTAGATACATTTTCCACTGGAAAGACATCAGTATAAGGAATATCTTGTTGCTGAAAATAAAATGTTTCTGCTCTCAACTTTTTTTTTAAAGTGTTCTCCCTTTCCATCGTTCCCTGTCCCAATCCTGAAATCCCTCCACCCAGAGTTCATGTATTTTCCTTCTCTATGTTAATGAAAACACACCACATTGATTGTAAGAATCTTACTAGATTTCCACTTGTTTTGCCTCAATTCCTACATTAATCCAAACAATAAGGGCCTTTAAAACGTTCATAAATAACCTGCTGCTGCTGGCACCTAGGAGCCAACTGCAGCAATGTTAAGCAACAACAAATTTCATAGTTCAAGAGGCACAGTTAAGGGAAAAGGTTGCTCAGAAAATCACTCTTATTTAGCACAAAGATCCTTAAAAATTGCATGAAATCAGTGAAGTAACTATAGAAACCAATTTCTTCAGCTCCATATCACACGTCTCACACCTCAATTGTCTTTATTATCATCTGCTGTCAGATCCTTAATCAGAAATGTGAACAGGCTTGATGATTTATTCAGGAGGGAAAAGAATCTGTAGGTCAAGTGAAAAATTTCACACACACACCCATACACACACTGCACCTTCAACCTTAGGTACTTTCATTTCATTCTGTTCTCAGCAGCTCTGGGGGCAACTCCAGTGAGATCCAATATTAAGGCTCAATTAAAATAAGCTCCAATTAGTGGAGCTTTTTTCTCTGGGGCTAGAAAAGTCAGGAAATGGATATTGGGAAATGTAAAAAGTCAGCTACTGAGAGGAGGCTGCAGACATAAATGAACTTATTTGTTGATTTCTACAGTTGCTATGCAGAGGCCTCTGGGAGTAAAAGCTTAACCAGTCTAAGCTATAAACTAAAACCCCTGCAGCTAAACATGAACTGTGTGAAACAAGGGCTCCATTCCAGAACAGAAAACTGCTGGGCCCAGAAAATTAAAAGCCAGAGGCATTTTCCATTTAAAACTAAATCCCAGCACCGCCTCCCAGCCAAAGAATTATAAGCAGTATCAGATTTACAAAACGAACAATTACCCTGGAAAAATGTAGCCTATTGTACAGTCCCAGATGCTAAATCTCAAAAGTTTCTTTTTTTTTAAAATCTCACATTATATTCCTCCAAGTATGCTGCTGTAGTTTACAAAGACCCATTTCGAGACAGGCCTAAGCCTTGAAAATAAATTTTAAAAAGAGAGCACATAACTCATTGACCTCATTTGAAGTACTGCCCTTGCCTTTAGCAGTTCCTGTCCTTCCCCAAGGCTTCTGCAAATGGTATGCAACAGCAAAATAAACCCTGACCTAATTGCCAGGAGAGAGCTGCCAACCTTCCCTCAAACACAAAGACAAGCATGGTAACTTGAAAGTCCTACCTCTTTGGCTTTCTGCTTTAATCTCAGCTGTTCTGGATCTTCTTTATTAGAACGACTCTATCAAAGGAAAAGAAAATTTTAATAGAAATTACTAGCATCTGAACACCATAGTTGCCATTAAATATTTAATAAATGACAATTTTCTCTTGTGATTGAATATCTTAGCTCCAGGGGAAAATACCTCAATCCAGTCTAGCTGCACTCCCACCCTGGTTTCCCCTGCCCCCTCATCATCTGGGCTGGCTGCTGCAGTTCTAGCCTGGAGGAAGCTTATACTGAAAATGATGCTAACGATGTCAGTCAGGTCCAGTTGAGGCATGACGTTGTTCTTGTAGGAACACTGAAAACTAAAAAATTGGTGGTACAGATGAAGGAAAAGAAAAAAAGAGTAATTGTTGGTTTAAATGAATAAAAACAATCAATACTGGCTGATCTTCAGGTGAAGCCATTTGGGAAAACATAGGTATTTCGAGGACTATTAAAATCAAGAACCTGACTAACCTTGAACCAAATCTCTCTTTAAAGGTATAATTTCTAAAATTATAAGTAGAAAATACATCTCAGTATTTTAATTAGAATGTCTTATCATCTTTGGGTCCTCTATAGCACTTAATAGAATGCTGTGCACCATGTTCAATAATTGTTTATTGGATGTCGCCTTCCATAATACAGAACTGGCATAAGAAGAGAGCTGTTTTCTATGTATCAAGCTATGATGGAACAAAGGGTAGGGAACTTTATTTCTGACACCATGAATATCTGTCCACTGGAAAACATGTTTGGGATACGTATATCCTTTTTTCTCACCATGACAAAGTTATTTAATTGCTTATAAATCTGAGTATTTGTTCCATAAAATGAAACCTTCGTTAACTAAGGTAATATCTAGATAGCTAACTAAATAAAAGCTAAAAGTATTTTCATATTTAATAAGTTTACCTGATACATTTATTGATTTACCAGAACCTTTGGTTAAAGGAAAATATAAGAGATAGTCTTTAAATTTGAGTGCCTACTAATTTCAAACATCTTAAATATCTACACAAAATTCAACCCAAAGCTGGTAAAATTTTTCTTCATTTTAGTCCCCAATCTACTAACAAAATTTCATTTCAAGCGAAAAGATAAACTCTTTTGTTACTCTAGTTATAGTATCACCAGAGAATGAGTCTGTGTATATATGTATTTATATTAAAATATGCATTATATATATATACATATATATGTGGGTGTGTATATAATATTTTGCCCCAATATAAAATGGGCACATTTCAGTATCAAGTCTTTGTCAGTCACCCAATATTTATTGGTCATCCATAGTACAGATTCTACTCTGTGTGCTACTGTTCTAGCCTTTGGAGACAGATGATATAAGGAGACAAAGTAATTGTAGTAACTCAAGTAACTTACATTTTAAGAAGAGAAAAATAAAAAATTTTATAAAAATGAAACACATTTATGATATGTAAAATATTAGTGATGGGTAAAAATACAAAACAAATAATTGCTGACACTGTTAAGTGCTATAAAAGGAAATTAAATAGGCTAGAGGCAGTGGCTCACACCTGTAATCCCAGTACTTTGGGAGGCCAAGGTGGGAGAATTATTTGAGCTCAAGTTCGAGACCAGCCTATCTAATGCAGCAAGACCCCATTTCTACTAAAAATTTAAAAAATTAGCCAGGCATAGTGACACGTGCCTATAGTCCCAGCTACTCAGCAAGCTGAGGTGGGTGGGTAGACAGCTTGAGCCTGGGAGATCAAGGCCTGTAGAGAGCTATTATCATGCCACTGCACTCCAGCCTGGGCAACTGAATGAGACCCTGTTTCAAAATAAAATAAATTTAATTTGGGCATGGTGGCATGCACCTGTAGTCCCAACTACTTGGGAGGCTGAGACCTAAGAATCGTTTGAACCTGGGAGGCAGAGGTTGCAGTGAGCTGAGATGGGGCCACTGCACTCCAGCCTGGGCAACACAGCAAGACCCTGTCTCCAAAAAAAATAATAATAATAACAATTTAAAAATAAAATATATATAATTTAAAAATTAAATTAAAAACAAAAATAAAGAAAATAAATAGAATAATGTGATAGAGAAGTGTGGTGTGTACTTCTGTAGCTAGGATAGTAGGGAAGACATCTCTGAGAAGTGATATTTGAGTAGATATCTAAACAACAAAAAAGATGTAGTCATGCAAAGATCTGGAGGAAAACATTCCAAGCAGAAGGGACAGTAATTGCTAAAGCCTTAAAATGGGAATATACTCGAGGAAAGAACGATGGTCCATGTGGTTGAAGCATAGAAAAAAGGTGAAAGAGAAAGGCTGGAGATCATGTGTTGCCTTGTAGGCCATGATAAGGAATTGGGGCTTTAATTCCAGCTATAAAAACAATCCACTGGGCTGGGCACGGTGGCTCACGCCTGTAATCCCAGCACTTTGGGATGCTGAGGTGGGTGGATCACCAAAGGTCAGGAGAGTTCGAGACCACCCTGGCCAACATGGTGAAACCCCGTCTCTACTAATAATGCAAAAAGTAGCCAGGCATGGTGGCGGGCACCTGTAATCCCAGCTACTTAGGAGGCTGAGGCAGGAGAAATGCTTGAACTTGGGAGGCGGAAGTTGCAGTGAGCCGAGACCACCCCATTGCACTCCAGCCTGGGCAACAACAAAACTCCGTCTCAAAAACAATAACAACAACAAAAATCCACTGGCGTGTTTGGAGCACAGGGGTGAGATGTCACTGATGTAACACTTTAAAAAAAACAAAACAAAACAAAACAAAAGGCTCTGGCCACTCTGTAGAGGGTGCACTGTAGGGATCCAAGATTGAACGGAAAGGCACGCAGAGCAATTTGTAGACTGCTCTAAAACAACTGTTGTGAAGAAGAGACTGACTGGAAAGAAGATAAGGGAAGCGTGGACTAGCATCAAAGCACAGAAGATGATAAATGGTTGCATTCAAAACATATCTTTGCAGGTAAAGTTGATCAGATTTGCTGCCGGGCTGGTTGTCAGTTATGAAGTAAAGAGAGGAATCAAGGATGACTCCTGGGATTTTGTCCCAAGCATCTTGGAGGATGGTAATTGCAACTTTCTAAGAGAGTAGAGATCTAAGAAAAAGCAGACTTAGGGGAAGGGAACTCAATGGTCAGTTCAAGATGCCTAGTTAGAAGTCTAATATCCTAAGTTGGGCACATTCAAGGAACAGAAAGGTCAGTGTGCCTGGAGCGAGTAGTTGACAAGGCAAGCTCAGAGAGGTAGGTGGGTGCCAAACAATATAAGGCCTTTTAAAATTTGGTAAGAAGTTTACATTTAAGTGCAACAGGAAGCCACTGGAGGCTTTTAGGCAAAAGAGACACACATGATTTGTTATAAAAACATTATTCTGACCACAGTAGGAGAAATAGAGGAATGGACTGTAGAAGGAAAAGAAGGCTACTTAGAAGTTAGTATGAAAGTCCAAGTGAAAGATGAATTAGACTAGAGTAATGACAATAGTGATGAAGAAAAGTTGGGTGCATTTTAGAAATAAGATAGGAGGTGGTTTGGATGTGGAGAGAGAGGAGACACAGAATGGAGTTAAAGATGATGCCTATGTTTTTCAGCTTGAACATCTGGGAAGATGGTGGTGTAATTTATTGAGTCAAGAAAATCTATAAGAGTAAAAGGTATTTAGAGGGGAGAGGAATAACAGGAGCTGTTTTGGACATATTGATTTTGAAATAACTATTAGCCAGTGAAGTCATGTCAAGTAGGGAGTTAATGGTATGAGTCCAGATTTTCATAATGCAGGCTGAAATGGAGATACAAACTTAAAAGGGAATGAAGACAGAGAAGGTGGCATAGGATTCAAAACTACTAAATCCAACATTTAGACATCTGGTAAAGAAGGAAAAGCCAAAGGAGATAAAGAGCAAGTATAATACATTATGATATTCAATAATAACTAAACTAGTATTTAATAGTTTATGACCTTGTTTACAGCACAGTAAGTGGAAATAAAATACCAATAAACCACCTCATTACAATGACTAAGTGCTTACTTATAACACTTGAGGGCTCAAGAAAGAGCATCTTTCTGTCCCACCTTCCTGCTCTTCCCAGTGCAGTGGGTGTCAATGTGGGGACTGGGACTGTAGGACAGCAGGAAGCAGCACAGTGACAAGGCTGTGGTGCTCCATATCCTTACGGGGAGCTGGGGCATGTGAAGGTATAGGCCAGTGGTGAAGAATACAAGGTGGTGAGGGAGTGGGGGTCTCATCAAGGAATGGGTCTGTGAGCATGGTGGCCAATTACACAGACAATGAAATGGGGTGGGGATATTAGTAGTAGCAGACAGAGGAGTCAGCCAGCATGGCTAGTTGAGAGATTAGTTACATTGATTAAATAACTGATAGAGGACATAAGTTAAATATATCAAGGATAATGGGAACCAAGTTTCTCAAGACTGGAGAATGTTTTTACAAACATGGAGAGATTAAGGGTAGAAGGAACTCTGAGGCACTGGATTGGAGTTGCAGGTATCCATATGAACTCACGGTTTTATAATATATACACAGATATAGAAATAGTTACAGATGGACATTTGTGTGTATATATATAAACGTGTACATATACACATACCATATATACATTTCCTAGATCTGTCCATTGAGAAGGCCTAGATGTAATGACACCCTTTTAGCAATGAGTATACCGTATGACCTAAGCTCAGTTTCTGAATGTCATCCTCAACAGAAAAGAAGGCAGGCTTCTTAGAGAAATGGCTGAATTTGGGGCTAGAGCACGAAAAGTATAAGCTGGGCCTGGAGTGCCTTGTGCCTGAAAGTGAGGACATGCTCAGTGAGTGATGGATGGACACATGACTAAGGGACAGAAGGGCCAGCTGGAAGGGTCTTCCACTCAGGGGCAATTTGAGCAACAAAATAAATGACAGTAATGAATTACAACCTATTGAGACAAAGAGAAATCATTAGCCCATACTAATATGAATAAAGAAGGAAAGCTCTTCCACATGGTAGGGTGCTAATAAAACGAGGAGAGTTCATGGGAATAAATTGACATTTTGCAACCATGACAGAGGTAGCTGATTTAGGCAGACATCACAACAGATGTTATGGTTAACACACGGAGGTTTGATGAGGAATTGGATATTGGTATCATCTTAGAATGCCGTCCTATGAAAAACTAATTGATTACAAAGGGAAAAATGAGCCTGGGCAATATAGTGAGACTCTATCTCTAAAAAATTAAAAAATTTATCCAGGTGTGGTGGCATGTGCCTGTATTCCCAACTACTTGGGGGGCTGAGGTGGGAGGATTGCTTAAGCCCAAGAGGCCAAGGCTGCAGTGAGCAGTGATCACACCACTGCACTCTAGTCTGGGCAACAAAGTGAGACCCTGTCTCAAAAAAATAAAAATCAAAAAGTGGGGGAGATGGCAAGTTTAAAATGGAGAGAACTAGTAGGTACCAATATGACCCTTTTGAAATGATCAGCTGAGAAGAGTGCAGCATCATTTCTGTGCATTCCTGCCAAGCATGCTTGACCTAAGTCAAATCATAAGGAAAGATCAGATGAGCCCTGGTTGAAGGTCATCCTACAGAAGGTAAGGCTTATACTCTTGGAAACTGTCAAGGGCATAAAAGAGAAAGACTGAGAAACCCTAAAAGAATCTGAAAAGAGATGACAACTACATGAAATACAAATTCCTGAATGGGAAAATGGACCATGAAAGAGAGACATGGTTAAGCCATCTAGTGAAATCAGAATGGGTGCTGTGCATTAGATGATAGTGTTACATATGAAAATGTTCAGGAGTGGTGGAACATCATGTCTGAAGACTACTTTCAAAAAGCTTAAGAAAAGAAAAATGGCTGGGCACAGTGTCTCATGCCTGTAATCCCAGCACTTTGGGAGGCTGAGGCAGGAGGACTGCTTGAGTCTAGGAATTTGAGACTAGCTTGAACACTGTAGGGAGATCCTGTCTCTACAAAAAATCAAAATTTAGCCAGGCGTAGTGGTGTGTGCGTGTAGTCCCAGCTACTTAAGAAGCTGAGGTGGGAGGATTGCTTGAGCCTGAGAGGTGAAGGCTGCAGTGAGCCACGATCACATCACTGTACTCCAGCCTAGTAACAGAGTGAAACTCTGTCTCAAAAAGAAAGAAAAGGAAAGAGAAAGAGGAAAGAAAGGTAGGAGGAGAGAAGAAGAAAGAAAGGGAGGAAGAGAGGAAGTGGGGAAGGCAAGAAGGGAGGAAAACAGGGAGGGGATTAATGATTGTATGTGTAGAAAGGGTAATGAAAAGGGTACAGATAAGGCTGGACACGGTGGCTCAGTCCTGTAATCCCAGAACTTTGGGAGGCTGAGGTGGGCGGATCAAGCTCAGGAGTTCGAGACCACCCTGGGCAACATGGTGAAACCCTGTCACTACTAAAATACAAAAAATTCGCCGGGCGTGGTGGTGAGCGTCTGTAGTCCCAGCTACTCAGGAGGCTAAGACAGGAGAATTGCTGGAACCTGGGAGGCAGAGGTTGCAGTGAGCCGAGATTGTGCCACTGCACTCTAGCTTGAGCTACAGAGAGAGATTGCTCAAAAAACAAAAAAATAAAACAAAAATGGTAGAGATGAAGCAAATGCAGTAAAATGTTAAAATTGGGGGGATCTGGGAAAGGGGACTGAGAGTACTTTGTACAGTTTTGGCAACTTTTCTGTATTAAATAATTTCAAAATAAATTAGGTTTTTCTGGAGTTTTTTTGTTTTGTTTTTATTTATTTATTTTTTGGAGATGGAGTCTTGCTCTGTCACCAGGCTGTAGTGTAGTGGCACGATTTCAGCTCACTGCAACCTCCACCTCCCAGGGTTCAAGAGGCTCCCCTGCCTCAGCCTCCTGAGTAGCTGAGACTACAGGCGTGCACCACCACACCCGGCTAATATTTGTATTTTTAGTTGAGATGGGGTTTCACCATGTTGGCCAGGATAGTCTCGATCTCCTGACCTCGTGATCCGCCCACCTCAGCCTTCCAAAGTGCTGGGATTACAGGCATGAGCCACTGTGCCCGGCCTCAAAATACGTTAGTTTTTAAAAAAGTAATTGCTATGTGATTAGGAACAAATACTCTAAAAAGGGAAGCTATCAAGAACGCTAGAAATTAAAACAAATGTGCTTAAAACAAAAATTAAGACTCCAGTGCTCAGCCTTTAAGATTTCTCACAATGGCCCAAAGCCTACGAAGAAATGTGGAGCTTCAAAATGGAAACTGTAGTGGAATTAGCTTTTACCTCATGTGACACTAATAGCCCAAGAAAACGTTTAAATAAGGGAGAAGGGAAATAAATAAATAGCCTTGGCCAGGCGGGTGGCTCACGCCTGTAATCCCAAAACTTTGGGAGGCCAAGGCAGGCGGATCACCCAAGGTCGGAGTTCCAAGACCAACCTGGCCAACATGGTGGAACCCTGTCTCTACTAAAAAACAAACCAACAACAACAAAAAAAATTAGCCAGGCGTGGTGGCAGGCACCTGTAGTCCCAGCTACTCAGGAGTCTGAGGCAGAGAACTGCTTAAACCCAGGAGGCAGAGGTTGCAGTAAGCCGAGATCATGCCACTGCATTCCAGCCTGGGTGACAGTGCAAGACTCTGTCTCCAAAAATAAAATTAAATAAAGAAGCCTCGCTATTCTTTTACTCTATTTCCACCCAGCCTGTATTTTGTTCCACAAAATCCAAATTACTAATTTTACCCATAACCTTCCTGTCTACTTTCCAAATTTTCCCTATCAACTTCAACTTGGCATGTATCAAATTGGATTCCTAAAAAGACCCTGAAATTTTACGAAACATTTTACCTGGGTTTGAGGATGGGGAGAGCACACAGGAAATGTGAGAAGACAAAAGATTATGACTCATTAAACTAAATTAACTGAAAGCCACCACACCATCCTGGCTGTGAGACATCCTATTAGTAATTTCGTTTTAGGAAATCCTCTGGAGAAATCTAAAGGCCTAATAAAACCAAGACAGTCAACCAACGATAAAGCCACCTCTGACCACACTGCCAGGCCACATTCACTCATAAATCACACTGGCCCTTACCTTGGCTGCCTTAAGTAACATTTCTCTTTCTTCCAAATCCTTTCTCTGCTTCTCCAATTGATCCAGCTTTTCAAGAAATTTGAGCTGTGACCTGGTATCACTACACAGGATGTAATTTTCACTTGCCTGGGAAAAAAAAGAAAACAGAAAGTCTTATAATGATCCTGGGCCACACATTCTACATTAGGTATTGTATAAACCTGCTAAAGGCAGGAATACCAACATAAATAGGAAGCTGAACTTTCAGAAGGTAATGATTTTGTTTCTATTAAGCAAACATCCCCCTACATCCACTCCACCAGAAAAGAAACTTTAATCATTCTTAAAATTTGAGAGATGATTAACCAGTTATGTTTCAAAGAACTTTGCTAGTAAACATCATTGTGGGGTGAAGGGGGAGGAATTAAGCCAAGCAGATCCTTCCAACAATAGGAAGGAGAAACTAAAGAGTGCCCCATTCACCAATAACCAAAATCTTTTTAGATTATTATCTACCTCAGCAGACATTAATATAAGTAATTAAATCTTAGTTTTCTGAAAGACAAAAAGCAAGAAACAATCACCTCACTAAAAAATATACCAAAGATGAAAGTTATCACCTTGGTTACCATGATTAGATTGGTTTAACCTTGACAACTGAATATAACTTCTATCAAAATATAATCTAAGTTAAGATGGCAAACATTAAAATCTTGAAATGCTATTTTGAGGATTACTCAGGGGTGTGAATTTGGACAGAAACTGTGGTCAAAGAAATTTAGTATACAATTTATAAATGACAGCCATAACAGAAGTATAAACTGTCTTAATTGTTCCATAAAATGATAAAATGCAAATTGCTCAATCTATTCTGTGGATGTAAAACAGTGCTTTCCCACCTAAATATTTTCTAATTTTCTTCACCTATATAGCTGCCCCTTTCTCCTCTATGAGTGTGTATAGGCAGGAGTGGGGGACAGGGTTGGAGGAGGCAATGGGACAGGGAGAGCTTTCTAATCAATGTTTAAGACATCTTGCCATCTATTCATCTCAGTAATTCGGATATTCAAGAGAAACTGTATAGTAGAAAAACCGAATGTCTTTAAACAACAGTCAGTGCCTGGCCTGGAAATCATGAGTACTGTACCACTCCCATCTTTGTTTTATCCCCCTGCTTATGGTTGATTCAATTAACTGTGACTGAGGGATTTCATATGCCCAAGATTCTTTTTAAATTAAATTTTTATTGTTGGTATTTAACTAGATCAAAAGAGTATTACATAGTTTAAGGAACAAGGATATATTAGTGCTACTTATTTTACTTCATGTTTAATACAAAAAGAATTCTCAACTGTTTTTAAAGTTAAATAACACAAGATAGAATATGGAATACATTATAGGCTAACCATAGAGATTAAATATAATAACCAGTGGTTTCTTAAATACTTAATCTTTACCATTTTTGTGTTTAGACACTCTGGAAATGGTTTAATGATGGGATTTAATTTAAAAAGGACAGCAAATACTAAATTAAAAAGGGTCACAGACTTTTTAAATTTTAGCCCAATCATATTCCCATGCTAAGATTCCTTCCTCTCTCTCCCCCAACTCATATACAACGACCTCTGACATTCGCATCCTTTTTTCTTCCGTATCACTAAACAAATGAGTGCCCTCCCTATTCATATTAAGTCTATAACCTTATTTAAACAACAGCAACCCCAATCTTATGTTCCTTCCTATATACCCAGCTGGCCTAACTGAAGATTTCATGCACCAACAGAGTAGGGCTTTACAATGTTAAGGCCACTGCATATTAAATGGTTTAGCCAAGAAAATGTAATGACCCAGACCAAATGATATCAACACCATCAAATGAATCCCATCTAAAGCAACCCAAATAGCACCTTTCAACTGGAAAACACTGAATGAAGCTTCTTCAGGGCCATAGTCATATAGGCGACTATAACATATCTTCAGTGGGAAAACACCTGGTAGCCAGATCAAAAGCTCTGTACTACATGTCACTTTCTACTTATTTACTTAGATCTCAGTTTATGACTAATGATTAAAGAATTATATCAAACCAGGTGAAAGATTATCAAAAGTAAATGGATGTTCAAGAGTGGAAAGAGATGGGGGGATTTCACTTTTTTAAAAAGAGTAACTCACTTTTATAAAATCTATGGAGTAGAATTTCCTACACTGTACAGATAAAAATAAATCCTATCAGGGATGAACTGAAATATAAGGACAGGGCTAAAGCTGTGACATAAAGATTATTACAAACAAAGTCTACAAAATAATGGTGATTTCAAACTGAATCCAAATATAACCAAATGATAATTATTTTGACTTAAAAGGGCTGATAATCTTTTGTTATTTTATATATACGCAAATGTAGACAGTGGCATTAGCTGTATTAACAAATGAGTGTAGGAAAAGGAAAGCTCGGGAAAATCAGTCAGAATAGGTAGTATACAAGACAGCAGGTTAAGGAAGTGTTAGCTTCAAGCTAACTTAGTGAGGTCTTCTAGGTGGGGGAGATACCATCCATTTTGCCTAGTGCAACTAAATGTTTGGAAATACGCTACTGATATACAACAAAAGAATTCCAGCTGAAAGCTATACACAATAGAGCTTTGAATGCCATTCAATAAATATTACTTTAAAAATTCTATTCCATTGTAAATTATACTTATTATGTTTTATACAGAAACTGCCTACTATAAATCAAGATGTACTCACGTGGCCAGGCATGGTGACTCACACTTGTAATCCCAACACTTTGGGAGGCCGAGGCGGGTGGATTGCTTGAGGCCAGGAGTTTGAGACCAGCCTGGCCAACATGGCGAAACCCTATCTCTACTAAAAAAGGTATTCATGTATCTCTGAAACAACAGTGTGATTAAGGCAGAAGTAGGGAGAATCTAAGTTTGAAAAACTGTAAGATACTTTAAAGAGTTATAGTAAAAAGCCAAAAATATGTCTATAATTTTCCCACATCACAAAATTAAAAGTAAGCTGATAACAATCCAAACTAGATTGTAGATTTAGGATGTTAATTGTAATCTCTATGGTAACTGCTAAGAAGATATCTAAATATATCCAAAACGAAATGAGAAGGGGATCAAAATGGAACAAAACAAAAACAATTAAACATAAGAAGCAGAGGAAGTGAGGAACACAAAACTTATAAGGCATACAGAAAAGAAATAGCAAAATAGAAGTTATTTATCAGTAATTACATTTTAAATGTAAATGGAGTAAGCTCTTCAAAGAGACTAGCAGAATGAATTTTAAAAAATGATCAAATTATATGCTGTCTATACTTTAGTTGAAACCATACCAATACGCTGAAAGTGAAAGGATGGAAAAAGATATTCCATGCAAGTAACAAACAAAAGAAAGTAATATCAGACAGTATAGACTTTAAGTACAAAACCCTTAAAAGAGACAAACAAGGACATTATTATATATTGATAAAAAGGTCAATTCATCAAGAAGATATACACATCAAACCAGACTTCTCAAATATATGAAGCAAACAAACATTGACAGAATTTTGTTTAAAAAACAATTCCACAGCATGGGCAACATAGTGAGCCCCTGTCTCAAAAAAAAAAAAAAAAAAATTAGTTGGGTGTGGTGGCACACGCCTGTTAGTCTTAGCTACTGGAAAGGCTGAGGTGGGAGGGTGGCTTGAGGTGGGAGGGTGCTTGAGTCCAGGAGTTCAAGGTTGCAATGAGCTATGATTGCACCACTGCACTCCAGCCTGGATGACAGAGTGAGACCCTGTCTCTAAAACAAAAAGAAAAATAGAGCTCCACAATAGTTGAAGATTTTAATACTGCACTTTCAATAATGAATAGAACATCCAGATGGATGATCAATAAGGAAACAGAGGACTTAACATTATAAACCAACTATATCTATCAGACATCTATGAAACAAGAGCAGAACACACATTCTTCTCAAGTGCACATGAAACATTTTCCAGGATACAATGTATGTTAAGTCATAAAACAAGCCTCAGTACATTTTAAATGAATGATTCATACAAAGTATCTTCTCTGACCACAACGGAATACAGCTAGAAACCAACAACAAAAGGAAAACTGGAAAATTCCCACATATTTGGAAATTAAACAACATACTCTACAGTCACAAAGAATCAAATAAATCTCAAAAGAAATGAGAAAATATTTAAAGATAAATGAAAACGACAACACAACATACCAAAACTTATGGAATGCAGTGAAAGCAGTACTCAGAGGGAAATGTATAGTAGTAAACGCCTACATTATAAAAGGAAGATCTCAAATAAAAAACCTAACTTTACATCTTATGAAACTAAAAAAAAAGAAGAGCAAACTAAGCCTGAAGCTTAGAAGGAAAATAATATAAAAACTAGAGTGGAGATACACGAAATCAAAAATAGAAAAACAGAAAATTAATAAAACCAAAAGTTGGTTATTTGAAAAGCTCAACAAAATCAACACACCATTCGCTTTACTAGCAAAGAAGAAAAAGAGAGAAGATGCAAATAACAAAAATCAGTAATGTAAGGGGGATCATTACCATTGACCTTACAGAAATAAAAGGTTACAAGACAGTATTATTAACAGTCCTATGCCAACAAATTAGATAACCTAGGAGAAATGAAAAAATTCCTAGAAACACAAAATTAATATCTTTATTTATTTTTGTGTGTTTCTAGGAATTATAAAATACTGATATTAATTTTTTGTTTTTTTCATAGCTTTTTCTCCTGTTGATCACATATTCCTAAGTCAGTCCAGCAAATTCTCACAAAGATTTATGCAAGTGAGGACCTTGGCAATCATATGTAGTTTTTCCAAAGTTCTAAATGGAAAGGAAAAAAAAATAAAATAATATGATTCCTCCAGGGAACTTACTGGTGGTGTAGTAGCTGACAATTTCCTAGTTTCCTTTAACCTTTGACTAGGATATCACGGCAATGACCATTCTTCCAAATTCAAAATCTCTTAAGGTTACCTACATACCATCTTGTTCAAAATCTAGCTATAAACATTTCTTGGAAAGAGGGAAACAGTTATCTTATTTATTTATTTATTTTCAACTCAGGTTACCTTCTCTTTTCATCCCTAATCACCCAATATATTCGCCCTCCTCCAAAACTACATCAAGTTATTTTACCTTGATAACAGCAAGTCATTTGGTTCATACCACTAGGGATACAAGCTATTCCTGTATTTAGTTTTTTTAATAAAAGTAGCCAATAACACTTAGTAGCATCAATATGAGCACTCAATGCAATCATTTAACTTATTAAAAGGAACAGAGGATGAACAAGTGGAAAGATCTAATGTAGAACATAAGGACTATGGTTAGTAATATATTGTTTTCAGGATTTCTGCTAAATGAGTAGATTATAGCTGCTTTTGCCACAGGGGAGAAAATGGGTAGATTTGAGATAATGAAAATGTTAACTTATTCAACTAAATAGTAATAATTTTACTATACATGTGTATCTTTAACACGTTGTATACCTTAAATATTAATATATACAATAAAATTTATTTTAAAATAAATCAATCTCTGGAAAACTGAAAGGCAAAAAAAAAAAAAGGAACAGGAATGCGAGGAGAGTGCAGAACACTGAAGAGAACACAAGTAGCCAATATTCCATTCTAACATATCTTTCCTTCCCCATCAAAAGCTTAAGAGAAGCCTCATGCAGAACAGATACATATTTCAATCTACAGTGACACAGAAGCTTTTAATATCATTTTAAACTCCATTTTAATTTTATTTGTCATGTAAGCTTATCTAAATAAGAATGAGACTTTGATTTTCCACTAATATGAAATATAAGCCTCAACCATTCCTTTAAAAACGTGTTTAGAATATCAATCCACGCCCAAAAGACTACCTATAACACTCGAGAGTTTATACTTCTTTAATGATTTCCTTTACCTTGTAAGTAGTCATTCGATGCTGAGCAATTGCAGTCAGTTTTTCTAGAAGGCCTCGTAGTCGTTCCTGTGTTGCTTGGGAGATCAAGTTCACAGCATCAGAGTTAAGTTCTGTAATGTCATGCTTTTTACCTGCAGAAGCAGAGAAAATCCATTACGTGTTTTAGTAGTGGCTGATAATTGAAATAATTAGCACAGCAGGTATTCTGTTCCCCCTGGAAGTCATACCCATTATGAATAAAGGTTTGGAGATTATGATTTTCCTAGTAAAGTCACAACTTCAAAGATCTTAGACATTACATTAATAAAACCTAGCCTGAAGCCTCAGAAAATATAGACATTGTTTCACTTAGCCTCTAGAATCATTCTCCTTGCAAGGTCATTTATAGGACAAAGTTAATAAGAACACAAATCAAGTCTATTGTTCAGGGAGGAAAATGGTAACTGCAGAAATTAGTACCATATTCTGTTAATTTTAGTAATTAAAAAAATAGAAAATTACATTTTGCCCTGTTTGACACTGTTAACAATTTATGACATTTATTTAAATGAATTCAGATTATGAGTCTCTGTTAATGCCTTGTCTACAAGACATACCTATATTCCTTTTGTCTATTACCAATCATGTTTACTTTGCATTAACTGATGTTCTGATATATTCACTTAGTAGTCAATTTACAAGTTCAAATGGGTTCAAAACCTCATCGTTTCACCTACCTATCTGAATAACTTCTCTCTCACTAGATTTCCTTTCCATAAAAAAATCAAACTTCTTCCTTCTGCTAACTAGCAAGAAAGTTTCAGGAAAACAATTTGGACCACATACTCAAAAGAGTCAGAAGTTCATTTATAAATCAACCTTGTCCGTAATTTAAATAGTACTTCTCAGCCCCAGTGAAACCACTTATATCAACAGAGGCTTAAATCTAAAGATACAGGCAATTAGGTCATCTGTTTTAAATAGGCTTTTTAAAAAGCACTACTGTGATTGTTTTTAACATATACACATGAATTTTTAAAATATTATAGTTTGATTTTATATTCTAATTTACCTGAAATATACTCTTATATTCTCATCAAAGGGTGAACTACAGAAAAAATATGCTTGAATTAAAAGTCAATAACTCAAATACATTGATATTATATAATGAAAGCAAATAGGAAGATACAAAATTAATCAACTTCTCCTAAACCAACCCTTCAAAATGTAATTCATTACTTGTAACAAAGCTGAAATCCTCTCTAATCTCAGATTCAGGCAGGGAAAAAAATTCTACAAAGTCAACTCTACTTTAATAAAACCCTCAGCATAGGCCAGGCATGGTGGCACACGCCTGTAATTCCAGCACTTTGGGAGGCCAAGGCAGGTGGATCACCTGATGTCAGGAGTTCGAGACCAGCCTGACTAACACGGTGAAACCCCGTCTCTACTAAATACAAAAAAAATAGCTGGTCGTGGTGGTGCATGCCTGTAATCCGAGCTACACGAGAGGTTGAGACAGGAGAATCACTTGTACCTGGGAGGCGGAAATTGCAGTGCGCTGAGATCGCACCATTGCGCTCCAGCCTGGGTAACATGAGCAAAACTGCATCTCAAAAAAAAAATAAAAATTAAACTAAAACCCTCAGCATAAACAAATAGTGGGGCCTTCTATAAAAGAAAAAGTACAATTTTATTTCTTATTTTTATTTTTATTTTCTTGAGATGGAGTCTTGCTCTGTCACCCAGGCTGGAGTGCAGTGGTGCAATCTCCACTCACTGCAACCTTTGCCTCCCAGGTTCAAGCAACATTCCTGCCTCAGCCTCCCAAGTAGCTGGGATTACTTATAGGCAAGCGCCACCACACCTGGCTGATTTTTTTTTGTATTTTTAGTAGAGATGGCGTTTCACCATGTTGGCCAGGCTAGTCTCAAACTCCTGACCTCAAGTGATCTGCCCGCCTCAGCTTCCCAAAGTGCTGGGATTACAGGTGTAAGCCACCGCTCCTGGCCTATTATTATTATTTTTGAGACAGGGTCTCACTCTGTCACCCAGGCTGGAATGCAGTGGAGCAATCATAGCCCACTGCAACTTCGACCTGCCAGGCTCAAACAATCCTCCCACCTCAGCCTGCTGAGTAGCTAGAAGTACAGGCATGAGCCAACAGGCCCAACTACTTTTTTAAATTTTTGTAGAGATTGGGTCTCACTATGTTGCCCAGGCTGGTCTCTAGCTTCTGGGCTCAAGCAATCCTCCTGCCTCAGCCTCCCAAAGTGCTGGGATTACAGGTGCAAGGCACCTTAGTGTTTGAAGAAGAACTTCTGAAAATAATTTCATATGTATTCATAAAACAGAGGTAATTCATCCAACATAAAAACACACATATCTTTTAAATATTGGAAATAAGTGCTGAGATTAAACAATTCCAGGGTTTAGGGAACAACCAAATGTTGTAATGTCTTCACTAAATTGGTAATAAAATACAACTTAAAAATTACAAAGTAAAATACTGTAGAAAAATTCCCATTTTAAAACAAAACACCCTTTTTAACAAAATCAACAAAACTGATTAAGATCTAGTTGGTGCTTGCACACTAGTTATGTGATTTTACTGAACGTGCAATTTAATTTAGGTTATTAGGAAAAAAAGAAAAGAACACTGGCATTTTATCTGTTAACATTATTCAAGTAGAAAAATCCTTTTTCCAAAAAGAAAATCTTTGGGTAAATTTGTAATTTCTATTTTTAACAAACAGCCTTGGTTCTGACCTATTCTACAAGGAAGGAATTTTATTATAAATGGAAAGCATTCCTAGAAATATGTAACTCCATTCACTCTATGATCCTACTTTAAAAAAAAAAAAAGCTTAGCTAATTCAGAAGTAAGAATTCTTGAAGTTTTCCATATTATTCGACAGGTTTGTACTTCATCACTAAGAACTGAAAATGATTTAAGACCAGGAGTTCAAGATCAACCTGGGCAACATAGTGAGACCCTGTCTCTACAGAAAAATACAAAAATTAGCCAGATTTAGTAGTGCGCACCTGTAGTCCCAGCTACTTCAAAAGGTTGAGGCAGGAGGATCACTTGAACCTGGGAAGTTAGGGCTGCAGTGAGCTGTGATAGCACCACTGTACTCCAGCCTGGGCAACAGAGCAAGACCACATCCCAAAAATAAATATTTTTTTAAAAAAGAAGTAAAAATGCAAATAGTTGTTCCCTTATTGTGCTAAATTAGAGGTTACCAAACTATGGCCAACAAGCCAAATCTGATCACTCTTTGTAAGTGAAGTTTTACGGGGATACAGTTGCATGGACTAAATGTTTGCATCTCCCCAAAAGTCATTCATGTTGAAGCTCTAATGCCAGTGAGATGGTATTTGGAGTTGGGGCCTTTGGGAGACAATTAGGTCATAAAAGTACTGCCTTCGCCCTAAGAAGAGACCAGAGAGCTAGCTAGTTATCTTTCTGCCACATGAAAACACAGCAAGAAGATGGCTGTCTGAATACCAGAAAGAAGGCCTTCACCAAGAATCTGACCGTGCTGGCACCCTGATCTCAAATGGCCAACCTCCAGAACTATGAGAAATAAACATTTGTTGTTTAAGCCATCCAATTTATGGTATTTTGTTACAGCAATCCAAGATGACTAAGACAATAACCATGCCCATTTGTTTACACATTGTCTATGGCTGCTTTGTACTATGACAGCCGAATTGAGCAATTGTGACAGAAACCATATAACCTACAAAAGTGGCAAATATTATCTGCCCTTTGAAGGAAAAAGTTGCTTATCCCTGTCCTAAGTGATCAAAAATGCTTTTAATGCCAAAAATTTTTCTATCATATAATCAAGGTTTAAACCACACTGGAAATAGAATTTGGAAGCAGGCTGGGCACAGTGGCTCACGACTGTAACCCCAGCATTTCGGGAGGCCAAGGCGGGTGGATGACTTGACGTCAGGAGTTCAAGACCAGCCTGGCCAACATGGTGAAACCCCATCTCTACTAAAAATACAAAAAATTAGCCGGGCATGGTAGTGGGCACCTGTAATCCCAGCTACTCGGGAGGTTGAGGCAGGAGAATCGCTTGAACCCGGGAGGCGGAGGTTATAGTGAGCCGAGATCGTGCCACTGCACTGCAGCCTGGGCAACAAGAACAAAACTCAGTCTCAAAAAAAAAAAAAAAAAAAATCGGAAGGGAGGGTGACCGATAAAACTAAGTATCTACTTATATTTTACCAAAGCACTAGATAATTATATGGCAATAAGGAGTTAAGCTACCAATAGATTTCCCAAGCCATCACAGGAAGGTTTAGTGCTGAGACTTGTTCCCAAATTAAGGAACTGGTTTCTGTATAATACAAAATACATATGCAAAAAAGAAAATGGAAGAAGCAAAGGAATGAAGGAACACAGGGAGAGGGAGGGAAACACAAGCAAATAGAAAACAAACACATTTTACAATCAGCTCTTCTGGACTTCAAAGCTCTAGTTTTTCATAATAATGTATTCTCGATTTAAATTAGAAATGTAAGCCAGGCACGGTGGCTCACGCCTGTAATCCCAGCACTTTGGGAGGCGGGTGGATCACCTGAGGTGAAGAGCTCAAGACAAGCCTGGCTAACATGGTAAAACCCTGTCTCTACTAAAAATTCCAAAATTAGCTGGGTGTGGTGGTGGGTGCCTATAATCCCAGTTACTCAGGAGGCTGAGGCAGGAGAATCACTTGAACCTGGGAGGCAGAGGCTGCAGTGAGCCAAGATGGCACCACTGCACTCCAGCCTGGGTGACAGAGTGAGGCTCCCTCCATCTTGAGGAAAAAAAAAAGAAGAAGAAGAAGAAAACCCTGGTCATTTATATAGCATACAGCAGCTAAAACATTTATTTACTGAGTACCTGTGAAGTAGACCTAAAAACTGTAATAATAATGAACTTTGTAGTCCTTAAATATACCATAGGTCTATAAAAATCGAAACCTTCACGTTTTTGTATCAAGCCTTCGTTATAAAATATAAAGGTCTTACTTAAGTATATTTGAAGCTCATTAGTACTGGCCCCAAAAATTTGACATAGGTGAAGAAGCCTCCCGGGTTCAAGCGATTCTCATGCCTCAGCCTCCCGAGTAGCTAAGACTACAGGCGCACCCCCACCACACCTGGCTAATTTTCTGTATTTTTAGTACAGACAGGGTTTCACCATGTTGGCCAGGCTAGTCTCAAACTCCTGAACTCATGTGATCTGCCCACCTTGGCCTTCGAAAGTGCTAGGATTACAGGCATGAGACACCGTGTCTGGCCGTGTTTTCTTACATTTTCTTTCACACTGCAGCTATCTAACAACTACTCCTGGGCCTAGAGAGGACCCTAAGACTCTAATCTAGTTTTTTAAAGTAAGAATGGGTTTAAACTTCAAGGTTAAGAAAAGGGAAAGGGAGTTACTTTCTTTGGATGTCCCTGTATTTCATAAACACAAACATGTAACATAAGTGTGCATTTGTACATATATATGCCAAAAGTCCAACTATGGAAGGAACAGGACAGAAAAAAAAATAGTATATTATATATTCATGCAAAAATATATTCCACTATTCCTCCATTAAGAAATATGAGTAAAATATTAACCAAACCCAATACCATGTTATATTAATAATTTTTAAAATAAACTACTTCTTTCTGTAATGCCCATGAAATCTTGATTATTTCTAGAATCTTATTTAAGCCTCAGAGTTCCAGGACAACCAACCCAGGTTGTCTCTTTTGATAATATTTTCCCTCAAACAGACATCTCTATCAGGTCAATAATCATAACTCTACACTTACCAATGTCTAAAATTCTCTTTTGTAGAGCTCCAATAAAAAGAAATGGTTCATCTTTACATGACTGAATGAGTGTGCCAACCAATTCAGAGTTTGTTGCTAAGATGCAGGCATTTTCTTCATTAAGGTTGACCCCTGCCATAGAAGTCACATCATTGATGTCATCCTCATCTCTAATAGAAAAAAAAAAAAGTTATACATTTTAGGTTGTGTGTGTGTGTGTGTGTGTGTGTGTGTGTGAGAGAGAGAGAGAGACAGAGAGAGAGAGAGAGAGAGAGAGAGAGAGAGAGAGAGAGAGAGAGAGAGTTTCAGAGAGCAAAAGAATTAGAGGTCTCTCCTTGTAACTAACGGCATTATTTTACTTAATTCATCCAATCAAGAGAAGTGAAGAATGGCTACCTTTCCCTTTAAGCTTTTGAAAGTAATTAGTGTCTCTAACCACCAATGTATATTTAATAACAGAAGGATGAATCAGAAGTAACTTTGTCTTCTAGGTCCCAACTTTCCCTCTCTCAGTCTGGCAAATAAGAAACACCAAGAGGCATTTGGAGTTACACCAAGTCATCCATAAATCCTCTGCAATGAAAGACAAAGAAATGAAAACAGACATCTTTCTTTTCATCCAAGATGGTTAAAAGTCCATCAGCTGTCCCCAGTGTACTCTACCATTCATTCCACTTAAGGGCAGCAGAAATTATCTGGTCCTGAAAGGTCCATATCCACATAAAGACCCTTGGGAAGAAGCTTACTAGACTAGCCATTCTAAAACCAAATGGTATAAAACTAGTTTTGTTTTTCTGTTTCAGACTTTTGGTGTGCTCCATCTATACCAACTGAATTCGTTAAACCACATCCTCAGCAATTACCCAAAAATGGCCTATATATAAAATATAAAACACACTCATGTACATATACACACACACATACATACATGTGCATAAAAAATACAAAAGATGTCTGGGCTCCTTGCTTTGTATCAGCAAAATTAAACAGTTGTTTTTATCTAATGGAATTGTTACGTGGCCACAGCACTAAGATGAGTATATATATTTAAGGGTAAAGAAGAGGGAGAGGAAAGAAATACTAAAATTCCCTCATAGCATCCTTGTCACTATATGTAATAAGAAGCATCTTACCAGTGTTATATGACAATGTATAACATAAGTTACAATAATGTGATTATATAAAAAGATGTTGTTTCTCTTTATTGCATGGGCCAAATGGTATATAATATGGTCTTTTGTCAATAGGATTTAAATTACAAATTTCTCTGTGGTAATGCATCTGTGCACAGAAAAAGGAAATAAAGTGTAAAATGCTCAAAAAATGAAGGCCTCTGGTGTTCAACTTTAAAAAACAACACATTAGGGATGAGGGGGAAAAGAACTCATACTCAAACACATATAAGAGATGTAAGCAAAATAAAAGAAAGTAGGCCAGGAGCAGTGGCTACCATCTGTAATTCCAGTACTCTGGGAGGCCAAGGTGGGAGGATTGCTTTAGGTGAGGAGTTCGAGATCAGCCTGGGCAACATAGGGAGATACCACCTCTACAGAAAACAAAAAAAAATTAGCCAGGCATGGCTGTATATGCCTGTGGTTCCAGCTACTTGAGAGGCAGAGGTGGGAGGATCACTTGAGCCTGGGAGGTAGAGGCTGCAGTGAGCTGTGATCAGGCCACTGCACTGTAGCCTGGGTGACAGAGTGAGACCCTGTGTTTAAAAAAAAAAAACTCAAGGAAAGTAAACTGCTAAACACAGCAATTGAAAAAATGAAGAGAAGTAACAATGGTCTTACATGAACAGTATACCAAAAGCTCAAAATTAAAAGGCATGTCTCTGTAATGGGGAAAGAAAACAGTAAAAACTTAATTTCTCAAACCACCAAATGAAATATGCAGAGCAAAGAAACGTCACAAAGGTATCCTCAGAGACATGGGATGCTAAGAACGATTTTAAGAATCACTCTGCCACCTATATAAATAAATCAATGTGTCCAGATTTAAACATCTAAACATTTAAACATCGAAAGCATTAAGAATGTAAGGAATCATAAGCCTAAAGATGGACCAAAATCTGAGTAAAAAAATTTTAATGGGACTATGTAAAATTTATTTTCAAAAGAACACGTGAACATAAATGAAAAGTCAGATGACTGCAAAACAGAATCCTAACCAGTTATTTAACATCTCTGGGACTCAGTTTCCTCCTCCAAAAAATACATAACTCAGATTAGGTGCTTTCTAAGGTCCCTCTCAACCACTTAAAAAAATGATGCAGCTCTCTTTGGACTGACATGGAACAAAGAGACTGCACCTTGAAAATACATACGCTTACATAGGCATAATATATTTTTGGAAAGATACATAAGAAATTTTCTGGAGAGAGAAATACAAAACCAGGGATAGGAAGAAGGCTTACTTTATACCAATTATACCCTTTTCTATCTTTTGAATGTTGTACTATATATATGGATTGCCCAATCAAAATAATTGGTGATATTGAAAGTAACATAAGTAAACACTCAGATAAAGAAAAGTAAAGATAGAAAAATTGAAGTGTAGAGATATAACCTCATCCCTGCTTTAAAGTAAAACTGGAGTTTTAACGTGCGGGTAACTCCACATGACCTTTACACATATACATACAACACTGAGTGCCTGTCAACTAAGATGTGCGCCAGGTACACAGGCCCCTGGAAATTGCACCTTGCTTCTCTAGCAAGGTCCCTGTACAGCCTTTGTTGACATCTCACACACAGGCTGGCAAGACCAGTGCCAGGCCTACTTACTACCAATACCTAGCATTGTATTAGCACTGAACAGAATTCAGTCAATGAGGAGACAGTCCCATGTCTTTTAGAATCTTGCAGCCTTTCCCTGCAAATGAGCAGGGAACTAACTACTCAATAAGATTTGTTCTTGCCTGCCATCCTTCCTTCTATCTAGCCCCAAGCTGAACACAACTCCCTCTAGTTACCATGGTTACAGATGGTGGCAGGCGTAGAGGAGGACCCCTACTGAGGAAAGAGGAAAAGGTGCCACAAAAAAACAGCACCCAAGCTATTTAAAACTTCTTTAGTCAAGGAGGCAGACTAAAGGAAAGCAGTGTTCTAGCAGCATATCAGTAAGGCTAGATAAGAGGTCAGGACACTAGCAAAGGCTTTGATGTTTAGAGATATTTGTGATTCTGGTTTGGTTTTAATTTTCAAGAAGTAAGTAAGAATCACCAAACCAAGTCTTCAAGTCTTCTGGTCTGATGCGGTGTCTTTCGATGAAGGTGCTGTGAAAGACAATCTGTTTTGTTTTAAAAGATATTCAGAAAAACAAACTTAATAGTGCCTCAGTAGAAAAAGCCTTCCAACTCAAGATTCTATGGAGTGTTACAGGGAACTAGGCAAATATTACAAAAATATCACTAATTTATCACAAATGCTTTGCATTCTAGCTTCTGAAACTGATCTAATTCTTTAGCTTTTGAGAATGCCTGCTCATGCCTGCCTTCTTACAATGTCTTCTTCTATCCCCTTAACTTCTCTAACAACAGCAGACTACTTCTTCTAAAGTAAAGTCAGTCACGTTATTTTCCTGTTCAAAAATCTTTCACATTACCCTGAACTCAACTTGACATCCAAGGTCTTCCAGGTAATGACCACAGTTAGCACTCTTCCCCCTTCCTTCCATTACTCACTATAGAATAACTCCTCCTGATTCTGGACTTTGCTTAGACTATTCCCTTCCTGTTCTAGTCTTCAACTTCCTATGCTTGTTTTTTTGTTTCTTTGAGACTGAGTCTCGTTTTGTCGCCCAGGCTGGAGTGCAGTGGCAAGGTCTCGGCTCACTGCAACCTCCACCACCTGGGTTCAAGCGATTCTCATGCCTCAGCCTCCTGAGTAGCACCACCACGCCTGGCTAATTTTTGTATTTTTTTTAGTAGAGACAGGATTTTGCCACGTTGGCCAGGCTGGTCTCAAACTCCTAACCTCAGGTGATCTGCCTGCCTCGGCCTCCCAAAATGCTGGGATTACAGGTGTGAGCCACCACGCCCAGCCCCTTTGCTTTTTTCTTATTTTCAAAGCTTTCAAAGCCTTATCTATGTCCCAGATCCACTTTGAATGCCTACTTTAGAAATGCTGGTTTTATACTTTTAAATCATTTGTCCAACTGCTACAATGCTGAACTCCTGAGAGCACATGTTTGTCTCTGTTATGGTAGTTCTTACTCTGTCTTCTTTTCTAATCAATGTATTTGCCTTAAATTCCAACTAATTTTATTGATCATATTAATCATCTTCATCACCTATCACTGCAGCTTTTTTCCTAGTATGAAACAATGGAAACAACCTAAATGTCCATCATTATGGAACTTTGTTAAAAATATCAAAATCACAGTGAATATGTACTGATGAGACAATCTCCAAGATTACTATTAAGTGGTTAAAAAAAAAACAAAAAAAGCAAAACATTATGTATGTATTATATATTACCATCTGTGTTGAATACTATATCTAGGGAGCTCCATCTTGTCATGTACCATCAATAAAGTATACTGTACCCAAGAAAAAAAAAATACTATACTTAGAACAATACATAAGAAACTGAAAAAAAGTGGTAACTGGTTGGCTCTAGGCTGGGAACCTGGGTAATAGGGGGGATAAAGAAGTCAGGGGAACCCTTACTTTTCCCATTGCATACCTTCTTGTACCTTATAAATTTCGTGTAAAATGTTCACATTACCTACTCAAATAAATGAGTTTTTAAAATATAAACAAAAACTTTTATTTTAAGATCTAGTTATTTCCTTAGATTACTAAATCTGTAATAAAATTAGTTTGCCTTCAATATTCTTTTTTCACCTCTCTCAAGCAGAGCCTCTCTACCACAGTGAGCCAGTAAATTCACACAATATCCTGCTTATTCCTTCTTCTATGCTTTAAAGTTGTTTTTCTCATGGGAATTTCCCTCTCTTCTTATTAACTCAAATGTAGCGTAGCATACTGCAGTACTTCTCAAGCAATAGTGTTTTTAGGAAACACCTAGGAAGTATATTTAAAATGCAGGTCTCAATGTCAAACACACATCCACACAGTACCCATGATTCTCATTTGGTAGGCCTATGATGGAGACCAGGGATTTGGAGTTTTCTAACAGGCACACTTAAATGATCATGATACAAATGGTCTAAGGACCACACTAAGAAAAATACTGAGTTATAAAAATTAAGAGTACTGATTCTAAAGAGGTCAAGGTTTCAGTCCCTGTTCTGACCATTATTAACAGGATGGCTGGGTGCAGTGGCTCACACCTGTAATCCCAACACTTTCGGAGCCCGAGGTGGGCGTGTCTCCTGAGGTCAGGGGCTCAGCACCAACCTGGCCAATATGGTGAAACCCCATCTCTACTAAAAATACAAAAATGAGCTGGGCATGGTTGCATGCCTCTAATCCCAGCTACTCGGGAGGCTGAGGCAGGAGAATCTCTTGAACCCGGGAGGCAGAGTTTGCAACTGAGATCGCGCCACTGCACTCCAGCTTGGGCGACAGAGTGAGACTTCATCTCAAAAATAAAAAATAAAAAATAAATATTAATAGGATGACCATGGACAAGTTTCTTCCCACGTCTATTCATTGATCCCCTTATCTGTAAAATGGGAGTGAAAATGACCCTCTCATGTAATTTTGTGTGAAAACTGTATTAGAAACTAAAACTGCATCAGAAACTAAAAATTGGTATTATTTATTCATTGAAAAATAAGAAATATATATTACCATAAATAACATACTTTAACAAAAATTAACATATCAAAATTTAAAAATAGATCAAGAGTGGTACTGCCTTCTATTTTTACAAATCTTTTTAAAATCCACGGGTCCTCTTGCATTTTGAATGGGATCTGTTACTCAGACATGGTTTTGCAACATCATCCATTGGTAATATGGAAAATACTAGTTCACTGAGTCATACAGTTCTTCCAAATTTAGATTCTAATACATAATCCAAAATTACATGTATCTCCACCAACCAAATCAGAAAATATAACTATTGGAAAGCTGTCAAAGTCATGGTAATAGATATGTTTTGCAAAGTTTTCATTTTTGCTTGATAGCTCCAACTTTATCATTGGCAAAAAAAAAAAAAAAAAAAAAAAAAAAAAAAAAAATACTGTCAGGTTTTTTCCCTAAAGTGACAGACTCACTTCATTCATTTTCATGAAAATGTCTGTCAAATGCTGGTCTATATATACTTATAGTTCCTAAATTTATAATGAACATCAGAAATATGTTCATTATAAGGATTTTTAAAATACAAGTTCCTGCCATACCCAATCCCCAGAGATTTTATTCTAGATTAGATCAGCTCCAGGAACCAAAATTTTAACAAATTCCCTGGGTAACTCTGAGACTGCTGATCTATAGTATACTAGGAAATATTTAGTTATCAATTGTTTCCTGAAGTATGTACTAGCTCTTTCCTATATTCATGTTCTCAGTTCAATTATCAATTTCTTTTTTTTTTTTTTTTTTTTGAGACAGAGTCTCACTCTGTTGCCCAGGCTGCCAGGTTGGAGTGAAATGGCACAGTCTCGGCTCACTGCATCCTCCGCCTCCCAGGTTCCAGCGATTCCCCTGTCCCAGCCTCCCAAGTAGCTGGGACTACAGGCATGCACCACCACACCCAGCTAATTTTGTATTTTTAGTAGAGACAGGGTTTCACCATGTTGGCCAGGCTGATCTCGAACTCCAGACCTCAGATGATCCGCCCACCTCGGCCTCCCAAAGTGCTCGGATTACAGGTGTGAGCCACTACGCCTGGCCTAATTTAATTTCTTAACAAGAAATTTTTAGATTTTTCACACCACAGCATTATAACTGTCTCTTGGCTTTGACCATTCTTGAGAATGCTCATGACAAATAAATAAGATATGCCCTATCTCCTACCTATATAACTTCAACCTTCACTTCATGGTGTACCTACCTCTAACGTCCTCCTTCTCAGTTTATTCTGCACTAAAGTACACAGATAAATTTTCCTGAACATAACTTTACTATGACAACATATGACTAAAAACTCTGAAAGACTTCACAATATAATCTCCAAGTCTTCACTCATATAATTCACTTGGAATGTTCAACAACCTCATTTCTTTTTTCTCTCTCTCTTTTTTATTAAGACACCCAGGCTGGAGTGCAGCGGTGCAATCTCACCTTTCTGCAGCCTTCACTTCCGGAGCTCAGGTCATTCTCCCGCCTCAGCCTCCCAAGTAGCTAGGATTACAGGCGTGCGCCACCATGCCCAACTAATTTTGGGGGGTTTTTTGTTTTTGGCTTGAGTGCAATGGCTCCATCTCGGCTCACTGCAACCTCTGCCTCCCAGGTTCAAGCAATTCTCCCTGCCTCAGCCTCCCAAGTAGCTGGGACTACAGGCGCACCACCACACCCGGCTCATTTTTGTATTTTTAGTGGAGATGGAGTTTCGCCACGTTGGTCAGGCTGGTCTCGAACTCCTGACCTCAGGTGATCTTCCCAACTCAGCCTCCCAGAGTGCTGGGATTACAAGCGTGAGCATACACAAGGACAAACAGACTCGTAATACATAAAACAATGAATTATATATGATGAAAGTTAAATAAGTTAATATACACTAGACAATCTAATTCCTGCAGTATGGAAAAAATGGACATTAAAATTGATGGAGTAATACCATCTATGCAAACAGCACATAATCTGGTCCTATATTATTTTCCAAGAGTGTCTTTTTAAAGTAATAAAAATCACACTAAAACCCCTAGTTGTTAAAACACCTTCACTACCAGATATAGTATATAGATATTATCCATAAATATTTTATTATGTATCTCTAAAATATAAGGACTTTAAATAAATGATCACATAAAAATATTGATATTAATTCCTTATTATCATCACATCTTCAGTTGAAATACGGTTATGCAAACATGCAGAGGTACTATCCTGTTTGCCACTTCTGATTCTGAAGTATGATGGAAAGAACATGAATCTCTGGCACCCTCTGGTGTTTAAGCACAATACAGCTTCCCAAATTCACCCCAGCTATACTGACAAGCAGAATAGAAAACAGAATCTTCTTAGCAGAAAAAGTCACAAATGAATCCCCCCGAAAAGTGTAAGTTAACAAAATAGTTTTTAAAAACTATGAAAATATCATTCTATATTATTAAATGTCATACAGTTTGGTCAAGACAAGAGCTAATATTATTCGCTACTATTTCTTCTTATTTAACAAAAGAGCCAACATCGAGGGTCTATTATCAGTTTCATTTAAAAAGTAACTGAAGTAAGGCTGGGCACGGTGGCTCATGCCTGTAATTCCAGCACTTTGGGAGGCCGAGGCAGGTGGATCACGAGGTCAGGAGATCGAGACCATCTGACCATCCTGGCTAACACGGTGAAACTCCGTCACTACTAAAAAAATACAAAAAAAATTAGCCGGGTGTGGTGGCGGGTGCCTGTAGACCCAGCTACTCAGGAGGCTGAGGCAGGAGAATGGCGTGAACCCAGGAGGCAGAGCTTGCAGTGAGCCGAGATCGTGCACTGCACTCCAGCCTGGGAGACAGAGTGAGACTCCATCTTAAAAAATAAATAAATAAATAAATAAATAAATAACTGAAGTGATGTAAGTATCCAGGGAAGCAAAATTAAATTTAAAAAGACATCACTATGAAAAGATATGCATAAAGCCATGTGTGACTGTGAATTACTAGAAAGTACTGTACAAAAATGAAAAGTGCACCTTTGTACAAAAATATCTAAGAAATAGCTGAGATTATAAATACTCCTTTTCCAAAACTCACCATTTCAACAAATATTTGAATGCCTATTATGAAACAGGCATTGTTCTAAACACTCGGTATACATACAATGGTAAACAATCATTGTAAGCTTTCATAGACGATTAAGAAGAAGTGGGAAATACATGGAAGCAGGGGTAAACAAATAAATGAACAAAATAATTTTAGATAAGTACCTCAAGACAGCAGATATCACTGTGGAAGCTACTTTATGTTGGTTGGCCAAGCAAAATTTACCTCTCTAAGGAGGTAGATTTGATATATGAAAGACCATGTCATATGAAGACTGAGGGACAGCTTTCACTGCATACCACATCAAAAACTATACAGTGGGTTTTATCAAAATCTCACATAACCCATAAATATACGCCTATGTACCCCCCAAAATTAAACATTAAAAACATTAAAGAAAATAATAAATAAATAAAATTGTACATCAGGACCATGACTAGTGTGTCCGAAGAACAGAAAGGAGGCAAACATGGAGCACGGATCCCTAACACCACAGACCGTGATCCTTGCAATTCAGTTTTTCTGAATATGAGAGATAATTTGCTTATGCAATGGCTTTTCAGTTTTTCTGTTCCCTACAACCTTACCAAATTCTAACAAATATAACCATGGTTTCAGATGGGAATCTTCTATATCGTAAAAAGAAAATTCTTTAAGCCAATTCTCTGCCCCCACCACCCAAATTAACCTAATCACACAATTCTATACAAACTTCATGGAACTGCCATGCTGATTCTAAAATTCATGCACGAGAGAAAAATAACAAGTAAAATTAAGATACCTTCGATAAAAAGGAATATAGAAAAAGGACTTACTTTAACTATGGGCTAGATAAATAAATAAAGATGTTATAACAATCGAAAACACCAAAATAGTAATATCAAAACAAAACAAATATTTGGGAGGCCGAGGCAGGTGGATCACCTGAGGTCAGGAGTTTGAGACTGGCCTGGCCAACATGATGAAACCCCGTCTCTACTAAAAATACAAAAATAAGCTGGGAGTGGTGGCGCGTGCCTGTAGTTCAGCTACTCGGGAGGCTGAGGCACGAGAATCGTTTGAACCCAGCAGGTGGAGGTTGTGGTGAGCTGAGATCGCACCACTGCACTCCAGCCTGGGCAACAGAGTGAAACTGTATCTCAAAAAATAAAATAAAATAAAACAAAAACATATCACTAAAATGAAATTTGCCCTTTTTTAAATGGGAATTTACTATAAGATAAAGGTGGCATTGCAAATAAGAAAGTTAAAGATGATGAACTCTTTACTAACTATTGCTCAGACAATTCATTTGAGGAAAATTTAATCTCTGCCTCACACATTTACAAAAATAAAATCAAGAATTATTGAAGATATAAAGGTAAATATCTGTATTTGAGGTAAGTGCATACAAGTATCTTAGAAGAAGATACAGAAGGCACATCATTCTGGGCTCATAATACGAAAGGATACATTAGAATTCAAAAGCCATAAAGGAAGAGACTGCTAAACTTTATACTGTAATTTAAATTTTCCATATATGAAACACTAAAAACAAATTTCCAAGTTAAACAAAAAACTAGGAGAAAAATACTTACAATGTATATATCAAAGAATTACTACTGTCCAGCATATGTACATAAGTCTGGAAAGCAATAAGTAGTCAACAGATAAATGGGCGAAAGTAATAAGTCAGAAATTTCCCAAAGAAAATACTTATAGTGACATTTTTCCTTCAGGCAGTAAGTGGACTAGATTTACTGAGGAGCAATTACACAGCATAAGACATTTTCATTCCATTGTTTGGTTCACAGGACCTGTTAAAAAAAAGGTGTCAGTAAAAATCAGCAATAAGCATATCCTAAAGGAAGAATTGCCTCAAGGGCAAATGACTGTGGCTAGCACTAGTTCTTGATTACAATGGGAAAAGTGTATCTGAGACTCCTGGGTAAGTCAAGTTCCCAGGAAGAAGACTAAAGTGGTTCCAAGTCAATAGTAATCCCTGGGTCTACTAGAAACAGTCACAAATCCTCTCTGGAAGAAAGCAAACTCAGTTTAGACCCTCAGGTTTAATCTGATTTACCTGTCCCACAAAGTTTTAGATTTATTGACTACATTTTTTACTTCTAAAAGTCCTATTTGGTTCTTTTTCAAGTATTTGCAGTCATTTTTAAAAATAGTTTCTTGCTCATTCTTGAGATTCCGTATTTTATTTTTAAATACTTTATACTATTTTTTAACACTTACTATTTGATCATCCTATGTTTGAAGTCACTGGAATTCCAAATGTATTACTGTTTCCCTGTAGCTTGACTCAAGGATACTTCCTTGCATGTTTATCTTTAAATGTGAACATATATTTTATATGAACACCCAAAAACAATGGAATAACATCTTCAAAGCAAAAAAAAAAAAAAAACAGTCGACCTATAATTCTAATCTCAATCTTGACATTGTCTATATAAATAATCTAAAATCATCTAGAAATTATTAGAAATAATAACAAGGCTGTTGGTATATGATTTTTTTAAGTCCTGAATTTCTCTATGCTAGTAAAAGAAAAGGCAGTTACCAAAAATATTACTTATAATAACAACAAGAAAGATATCTAGGAATAAATCTAACAGATAAATGCAACAAATCATGCAGAATCTGCATAAATAAAATTATACTACTTTATTGAAAGATGTTTAAAAAGGTATATATAATGGAGATATAAATCATGTTCATAGAAGGATCCAAATTATAATAAATCAGCTGGAAGACAGTGGGCCTATGGACTCAGGCCACGCCAATTCAAATTCTAACAGATTACTGGTAGAATTTAACAAGTTGATCATTAAATGTATAGGGAATAGCAAAAGCCCAAGTAGAGCCAAGGAGTATGAAAGTGGAGGGAGTATGAAAGTGGAGGGGGTATGAAAGTGGAGGGGGTATGAAAGTGGAGGGGGTATGAAAGTGGAGGGAGGATGAAAGTGGAGGGAGGATGAAAGTGGAAGGGGTATGAAAGTGGAGGGGGTATGAAAGTGGAGGGAGGATGAAAGTGGAGGGGGTATGAAAGTGGAGGGAGGATGAAAGTGGAGGGGGTATGAAAGTGGAGGGAGGATGAAAGTGGAGGGGGTATGAAAGTGGAGGGGGTATGAAAGTAGAGGGAGGATGAAAGTGGAGGGAGGATGAAAGTGGAGGGAGGATGAAAGTGGAGGGAGGATGAAAGTGGAGGGAGGATGAAAGTGGAGGGGGTATGAAAGTGGAGGAGGTATGAAAGTGGAGGGAGGATGACAGTGGAGGGGGTATGAAAGCGGAGGGAGGATGAAAGCGGAGGGAGGATGAAAGTGGAGGGAGTATGAAAGTGGAGGGAGTATGAAAGTGGAGGGGGTATGAAAGTGGAGGGGGTATGAAAGTGGAGGGGGTATGAAAGTGGAGGGAGTATGAAAGTGGAGGGAGTATGAAAGTGGAGGGGGTATGAAAGTGGAGGGGGTATGAAAGTGGAGGGAGTATGAAAGTGGAGGGGGTATGAAAGTGGAGCGGGTATGAAAGTGGAGGAAGAAAAGGAAATAAAGAAGAAGGAGAAGTAGGTAGAAAATATGCATTACCAAATATAAAACTTCTTTTGAAATTATAGTAAATTAAACTGTATGCTATTGGAAATTTTAAAATTAACCAATAAAATGAAATAGAGATAAAAAAGATTAACTATTGATTAGAGGCATTTTAAAAAAAGAAAGATTAAAAAAAAGAGAAGATCCATATATATATGACATAGGAGACATTACAGATCACTGAGGAAGGACAAATTATTCAATAATGCTGCTAGAACAAGTGGTTTCCTATATGGGGAAAAACGAATCAGGATCTCTAAACCTCCAAACCATAGCAAAAACAAAAACCAAATTTTAACTCCTGAAGACAAAAAGATATTCAAATAGGCTGGGCATGATGGCTCACACCTGTAATCCCAGCACTTTGGGAGGATGCGGCAGGAGGATCACTTGAGGCCACCAGTTTGAAACCAGCCTGGACAACAAAGCGAGATCCTCATCTCTACAAAAAATTTAAAAACTAGCCAATTGTTATGGCGTGTACCTGTTGTCTTAGCTACTCTGGAGGCTTGTTTGAGTCCAGGAATTTGAGGTTGCAGTGAGGCATGATAGTGCCACTCAATGCACTCCAGCCTAGGTGACAGAGACCATTTCTCAAAAAAAAAAAAAAAAAAAAATTTAATATGAAACTTCAAAACTTTTAGAAGACAATATAGGAGACTATCTTTGTGATCTCCAGAAGGATCTCTAAAATAAGGCATAAGTATTAATCATAAAAGAAACTGCCAAATTCAACAACTTTAAAATTAAGAATTTCTGTTCATCAAAATATACCATAAAAGAAAGTAAATTGCAAAACACTAACTCTAGTAGATATGTGTAACACAAAAAAAGTATAAAGAATTAAAAAGGACTTCTGTTTCTGTTACAGACCATTGTAACCTCAAAACAATCAGACAATTGTTTTGAGGACAAGAAACTAATAAAGCCATAACAATTTTAAGTTTATTTGAAGGCATCAGAGAGCTGCCGAGGGAGCCAGGTCTTGAGGGACGACAGCCCTGAGAGAAGAGAACCTCACTGAAGTAACCCCAAATTTCTCCATGTTTTTTTTCCTCTGGGCACATGCTGATTCTTGACGTGGAACAAGACACTAAGAAACCACAGAGCCAGCAGCTGCTAAGAGGCAGAAAAGCCAACAGAGCATTAGGCAATCTCATGAGGAGAGAGAGAGACAAGAAGTTGAAGTCCAAGGCTGCCAGAACTTGAGGGATGAATGGACCATGATCCTATTAATAAGTGAGGCATTTACCAATGTTTTTCATACAGATCTGACATTTAATTAAATATTACCAAGTGCAGCAAAGAAACGGGATTAAAAAGCCAGATAATAGAAATAGAGTCACAGGTAACCCGGACATTGGAAACATTAAGCATTTGACTTTAACCACAAATGGCAGGGTGTGGTGGCTCATGTCTATAATCCCAGCGCTTTGGAAGGCTGAGTCAGGAGGATCACTCGAGGCCTGGAGTTCAAGACCAGTCTGGGAGACAAAGCAAGACCCCACCTCTACAAAAATAAATTTTAAAAAAAGCTAGCTAGGCATAGTGGCACATGCCTGTAGTCCCAGCTACTTGGGAGGCTGAGGCAGGAGCATCACTGGAGCCTAGAAGTTCAAGGCTGCAGTGAGCTATGATTGTGCCACTGTACTTCAGCCTGGGCAACAGAGCAAGACTGTCTCAAAAAAAAAAAAAACAACAACAACAACCAAAGAAAACCACACATGCACACAATAAAATAACTACAATTAATTGTTCAAGAACATAGAGGCAAACAACTATACCACAGGACAATAATCCATTAAAAAAGAAATGATGGTCGTGGTTTCTAGTAATGCTACAATAGTTTGATCAATAACAATTACAAAATCTACAAACAGTTTTTAAAAGGCAATCATTTGGAGACTTAATAAAGGCAGGCAGAAAACAGAGGTAAGTCAACCGTTGGATGATGGGAACAGTAATGGGTAAAATTTGTGAGTTTATGTCTTTTGGTCTGAAAGCACTCCCTAGTCTATGCACTCCCTAGTCTATGACTAGTGGCTTGAGATGTCCCAATAACAGAGCTTCAAATATATAATACAAAAATTGACAGAACTAAAGGAAAAAACAAGCAAAAGGAAAAAAAAAATCAGAGTGGGAGATTTTAATACCCACTCTACGTAAGTGATGGAAACAGTCTGAAAAATAAAACCAAAAAAAAGCCCAGGGTATAGAAGATGTGAACACTGTCACCCACCTTCACCAAACTGATGTAGACAACAAAAAACTACTTCCCCAAACTGAATAATACGTATTTTTCTCCCAAGTGCTCATGAGATATTAATCAAAATTAGTCACACTGAGAAGTCTCAATAAATTTAATAAAATTGAAATTATATGTTCAAGAATATGTTCTCTGATCACAAAACTGTATTAGAAAACAAATAAAATATTCCAGAAAAGCATCAAATATTTGTACCAATAAATTAAAGAAAGGAAACTATCTTGACATGAATGGAAAGGCAAAAAAAAAAAAAAAACACACCCTATAATCAGTTGGGTGCTAAATCAGTATTTAGGGAGAAATTGATAGGATTTTTTTGTTGTTGTTGTTTTTATCTTGTAGCCTCAGCTCAAATGAGGAAATGTATAATTTTAAATGCTTACATTAATAATAATAATAATAATAATAATAATAAATGCCTACATTAGAAAACAAGCCAGGCATAGTGGCTCATGCCTGTAATCCCAGCACTTTGGGAGGCCAAGATGGGAGGACTGCTTGGGCCCAGGAGTTCAAGACCAGCATGGGCAACATAGTGAAACCTCATTGTTACAAAAAATAAAAATTAAAAAAATTAGCCGGGCATGGTGATGCGCACCTGTAGTCCCAGCTGCTCATAAGGCTGAGCTAGGAAGATGGCTTGAGCCCAGGAGTTTGAAGTGCCACTGCACTCTAATCTGGGCCACAGAGTGAGACTCTGTCTCAACAACAAAAAAATTAACAAAACTGATAAAAGCCTACTAATAAAAAGAGAGAGACTACATATTTTATAGACATTAAAAGGATAAAGAAATAAAATTAATTTCATGCCTGAAAAAGTCAACTACAAAAATAAAATCCTTGAAAAATGTATATACTATACTACCATTAAAGCATCTATACACATTCAAAAGAAAAGTATTAGGAACAATTTCTTGCTGATAAATCTGAAAATCAATATGAAATGTACAAAAACCTTAAAAAAATACAACTTCATGAAATTGGCATTAAAATGAAAAAGAAAATCTAAATACCTTTATATCTATCAATGAAATTGACTTTGTCAAAAAACATTCTCCCAAAGAAAACAACAGACCTATCTAGTTTCAATGGTAAATTCATTCATACATTTAAGGAAGAAATCATAACAATTCTACACAAAAGCTTAAAACAAAGGAGGGGGGGAAGACTATGACTCATTTTTTTTAAGCCAATATAATCACAGATACCAAATTCTGGCAAACACACTCTAAGAACAAAAAACTATAGACCAAATCGCTCATGAATATCAACACAAAACCCTTACAAAACATTAATCAATGCAGCAATAAATAAAAAGGCTAATACTCCAGGAATGCAAGAACATTCAGAAATTTAAAAATCAATGTAATTCATGATCCTAGAATAATAAGAAAAATCAATGACCACCTTAAATAGATGCAGAAAAAGTTCATGACAAAAACACTCAGTTTAAAAACAGGCAATAGGAAGACTATACTTTCAGGGATCATTTCTATAGTTCTTTACTAGAGAAGTTTCTCTGAACATGTAGAGCACTGTGCCTTAAAAAAGAAAAAAAAAAGGGCTGGGCATGGTGGCTCACGCCTGTAATCCCAGCACTTTGGGAGGCCGAGGCAGGCAGATCACCTGAGGTCAGGAGTTGGAGAGCAACCTGACTAACATGGAGAAACCCCGTCTCTACTAAAAATGCAAAATTAGCCATGCATGGTGACACATGCCTGTAATCCCAGCTACTCGGGAGGCTGAGGCAGGAGAATCACTTGAACCCGGGAGGCAGAGGTTGCGGTGAGCTGAGATTGCACCATTGCACTCTAGCCTGGGCAACAAGAGCAAAACTCCATCTCAAAAAAAAAAAAAAAAAAAAAAAAAAAGGCAATAGGCTGGGCATGGTGGCTCATGCCTGTAATCCCAGCACTCTGGGAGACTGCAGTGGGAGGATCTCATGAGGCCAGGAGTTCAAGACCAGCCTGGGAAACATAGTGAAATCCCTGTCTCTACAATAAATGGGAAATAAAAAAAAAAGTTACTTGGGCATGGTAATGTACACCTGTAGTCCTAGCTACTTGAGAGCCTGAGGCAGATGGGTCGCTTAAGCTCAGGAGTCTGAGGCTGCAGTGAGCTAGGATTGCACCTCTGCACCCCAGCCTAGGCAACAGAGCAAGACCTTGTTTCTTAAAATAAAACAAAAACAGGCAGGGCACGGTGGCTCACACCTGTAATCCCAGCACTCTGGGAGGCCGAGAAGGGCGGATCACAAGGTCAGGAGATTGAGACCACCCTGGCTAACATGGTGAAAACCCGTCTCTACTAAAAATACAAAAACAAAATTAGCAGAGTGTGGTTGCGGGCGCCTATAGTCCCAGCTACCCGGGAGGCTGAGGCAGCAGAATGGCATAAACCCAGGAGGCGGAGCTTGCACTGAGCCAAGATCCTGCCACTGAACTCCAGCCTTGCAGCCTGCGTGACAGAGCAAGACTCTGTCTCAAAATAAATAAATTAATTAATTAATTACAACAAAAACAGTCAAAATATTTGAACACATATTTCACAAAAGAAGTTACATAAATGGGCAATAAGAACAAATGCACTCAACATCATTAGTCACTAGGGAAATGCAAATTAAAGTCACAGTGAGCTACAACTACATACCAAACCAGAATAGCTAAAATTGGAGGGGTGGGGGGCGGGGAGAGACAAAGTAAAACTGCAGTATCAATTGTTAGCAAGGATGCAGAGCAACTAGAACAGAATCTCATACTTTGTTGGTGGAAATGGAAAAATGGTATAACCATTTAGGAAACTAGTGTGGTGGCTTCCCATAGAGTTAAACATATGCTTATATACCTACCATACGACTCAGCAATTCTGTTCTATGTATTTATAGAAAAGAAAATCTATGTCCATACAAAGATATAGACACAAGTGTTCCCAGCAAGCTTTATCATTGCCAAAAACTGTAAACAACCCAAATATCCATCAACAGATAAAGTGATCATTCAGTGCAAACAAAAGCAATATACCTGTATAATAAAATATTACTCAGCAATAAAAAATGCAACTACTGATACATACAACAACATGGTATATATAAAACACATTATGCTACCAAAAGAAGCCAGACACAACATGAACTGTATGATGTGTGAATATTGATGATATGAATTGGGTCACTCATGTCATACCCAACTAAAACAGAATAGAGAAGCCAGGGGGAAAGCATGCAGGGCACAAAACATTGCTCTAGAAATGTAATTCTCTACGAGTCCAGCTGCTGAAACTGCCTGTTGTAACCTGAGACCAGTTTAATCTATAACTGCTGAGACAACTTGCTGCAACTCTAGAACTATTTTGCCTACCACCTTCACATGTCAATCAGAGCTGACCAGCTTCCCAGAACCTTAACAGTGCCAACGAATTTTCTCGAAGAGGATTTCATGTCATGTCTCTTTTTTAATCTCCAGCCTTCTCTTTGTTCTTCGGACATACCAGAGATGATCTGGTCTGTGTGTATGCTTTGAACTGCAATTCTTTCTCCCCAAATAAAATGTTAAATTTAGAGATTCACTTCTACATTTTTTTTTTTTTTTTAATGAGACAGTCTCACTCTGTCACCCAGGCTGGAGTGCAGTGGCGCAATCTCAGCTCACTGCAACCTCCCAGGGTTCAACTGATTCTCCTGCCTCAGCATCTCAAGTAGCTGAGACTACAGACATGCACCACCATGCCCTGCTAATTTTTATATTTTCGGTAGAGACAGGGTTTCATTATGTTAGCCAGGCTGGTCTCGAACTCTTGACTCAAGTGATCCACCTGCCTCGGCCTCCCAAAGTGCTGGGATTACAGGCATGAGCCACTGTGTCCGGCCTACCTCTACATTTTTAATTTGACTTTGACAGATGCCACTCATGCAAAACTCTAGAAAGGACAAATCCAAACCCAATCTACAATGATAGAAAGCAGATCAATGGTTGTGCAGAACCTGAGGTGTAATGTGGGGACTGGCTGGTAAGGAGTGCAAAGGAATCTTTTTGGTGTATTGAAAATATTCCATGTATCCTGACAGTGATACTTGGTACATGGGTTTAGCTTTTTGTCAAGAGTCATTAAACTGAAAGATGATGATGACTGCCTGGATTACTGTCTTCCAGAATACCCAAACTCCAAACTATAAAGGAAAAAAAAACAAATCCCATGCAAACTTTTTCATCTTCTCAATCTCATCTACCCCTCCCCACCCCACCCCATGCCTCAAGGCTTGCTACAGGCAAAAAGAGATGGAAAAAAAACTGCAGAAAAGAGAGACAGGGCAGAGCCAGTGGTGGGCATAAGACTAAATACATCCCAAGTCAGAAAATGCTAAAAAGGTGTTCCCATAAATCAAAGCATGACTACATGCAATTTAAATTGGCAGACTGAAATGTGCAGATTCTTGGAAGGAATAAAAGGCAAAAAGGAGAGGGAGAAGCACCATTTGGAAGCGGAGAAAATGCAAAAGGGGAAAATTTAGAGTGCTGCAAGACAAAAAAGGACCAAACAGTTTTCCCACGGCAAATAGATACAAACAAAACTCTAATAAAAGAGGCATTGAAGAAAGGTGGAAAAACAAGGGAAAAACTGACATAAATAAAGGGTAAAAAAAGGGTCAGAGACAAAGTAATGGGAATGAAAGAGAGGCAAAAGGACTAAAATCCATACTATTACACTCCCTGAAACACACACACACACACACACACAAAATCGTGAACAAGAACTAATATTTAAAACTATACTCCAAGAACGTTTTCCAAAAATTACAAAAGACCAGAATCTACATACTGAAAGGGCCAAATAGGAATTGAGGAACCACCACCTTTACAACATATTCTAGGGCAAAACTATGAGATTTCAAAAATAAAAAATCCTGAAGTTCTTCAGACAAAAAGATCAAATAAGAATAAGACAACAATGGGGCAACATTTAAAAAAAAGGTAATACAAAAAGTGTTGATTTCACAGCCAGCCAAGCTGTCCTTCAAGTATCAAAAGACACTGAAAAATAGTTTTAACATACAACAACTTAGGACAGGGGTCCCCAGCCCCCAGGCCATGTACCGGTAGCAGTCCGTAGCCTGTTAGAACCTGGACTGCACAGGAAGAGGTGAGAGGTGCGCAAGCGAGCATTACTGCCTGAGCTCCAACTCCTGTCAGATCAGTGGTAGCATTAGAGTCTCATAGGAGCACAAACCCTACTGTGAACTGCACAAATGAGAGATCTAGGTTGTGTGCTCCTTATAAGAATCTAATGCCTGATTATCTGAAGTGGAAACTATCCCCTCCCCCTCAATCCTGGTCTGTGGAAAAATTGCCTTCCAAGAAATCAGTCCCTGGTGCCAAAAATGTTAGGGACCAATGACTTAGGGAATTCTATACCTGTGAGCCTTTCCTGAGGAATTTACCAGCAGATGAACTTCATCCAACCAAGAGATGACAGAACACGACAGAAAAAAAGACCGATGGTGAACATTTTAATATACGCATATAAAAGTAGACCTACAAATAAAATGTACATGGGGGGATGAGGAAGACTAAGGTACAAATTTTATACAAATATTATATTGAAATATATATATAAATTATGCAGTTAAAATATATATATTTAATATATATATTATATATATTTAAGATCCAAATGTTTGCCAGATAAACAATTTGGAAATATTTTCCTTGTGGCATGTTTATTCATTTCCTGGACAGTGTTTTTCACAGAGCAAAAGTTTTTTAATTTTCTGAATTCCAGTTCATTAATTTTTCCTCTTGTAGATCACTCTTTTCATGTGTTATCTAAGAAATGTGTGTAACCCAAGGTTACAAAGATTTTCTCCTATGCTTTGTTCCAGAAGATCTCGTTTCAGGCTTGCCCTTTTTCTTAATCGTCATCCTTTAATTCCCATCTATTACCTATGTAAAAACTATTGTGTACATGTTCTATTTTCTCTGCTTTCCCCCACTTTAACTGCATAATTTCTATATATACAAATGTTATATTTCTGTATATATACATATTTTTAATATAAATATTCATAAATAAATATGTATGATACATATATATACAAATGTTATATGTTTGTTTATATATTTGTACATATAAAAATGCAAAAGGGAGAAATTATATAAAAATTTATTTTATATATTTGTATATATAAGAAATATATACAAATATAACATTTGTTTATGCATATATAAACTCTTAAAAACACTTGATCGTAAGAAACCAATGCAAGAAACAAAAATGGGCCAAAAATTTGAACACACACTTCACCAAAGATATATAAATAACAAATAAGCACAAAAATAGATGATCAGCATCTTTAGCCATTAGAAAAATGCAAACTAAAACCACAATAATAACCACTTATACACCTATTAAAATGGATTTTTAAAATATCAAAAGAACTGAGAATTACCAATTGCTCACAAAGTTGGACAGGAACTAGAACGCTCATCATCAATGACAGAAATGCAAAATGATACTGTCATTTTGATAAACAATTTGGTAGTTTCCCTACCAAAATTCACACTTACCTAATGACTCATCAATCATATTTCTAGATAGCAAAAGCATATGTTCATGCAAAATTCTGTACATGAAGCTTTATTATATAATCATCAGAAAAACTGGAAACCACCCAAATGTCCATCAATAGTGAAAAAGATCAACAAATTTAATTTCATAAAATAAAATGCTTCCCAGCAATGCAAAAGAACCATCGTCTAATATTCCAAATGACACAGATGCTCTAAAAAACATGTTGAGTAAAAAAGTCTGATGCAAAAGGGTACATAATAACGTAAAACTCCATTTATGTGAAGTTCAAGAATAGACAAAAATGATCTATCGTGATGGACGTAAGAACAGTAGCTGCCAGAGGCAGGGGATAAGGGTAATTGATTTCAAAGGTGCATAAAGGTGATGAATATGTTCAGTATCTTGATCGGCATGATGATTACACAGGTATATATATTTGACAAAATTCACCAAGCTGTACATTTAATAGTTGTGCATTTTATTGTTTATAAATTATACTCAATAAAGTACTGTTAGCTTTGTAAAAAGGCATCAGTATATCTATTTTAGTAAGGTATTATTCTGTCATCTCTCCTTTTTAAAAAAAAATTACTTCCTTAAACCAAATTTAACTATTTATTTTCTTACCGGAAGCATGATGTTACATTCTCTTTTATTCTATTTTTCTGAGTAGGAGATGCTTGAAGTGACAGAATTTTATTTCCAGGCAGAGTAATTTGCTTTAGAATGGAAGCTATAAAAACAAAACAAGAAAAAATAGAATACAAAAAAAGCAATCACACCACATTAGGAAAAATCCAGGACAACCGTTTTTTATATATATAGAATAATCAAAGAAAATTCCAAGCTGCCCTAGAACTATGTTTAAATTCAAACATGACAATGAATTTATTCCCTGAATAAGAAATAATCTTATAAAATAAGAATCTTTCCATTTCTTTTTAGATAGTCTATGTTAGCAGTATTATAAAAATATCATGGGTAAAAGGCACCTGAAACATGTTAATAATACATTGCTTATATTGGTATTTTTTAAAAATACATAAAGCTCTACCTGACATTGGTAAGACTGATTTCCCAGTCTACCTGACTTGGGTAAGACTGATTTCCATACATATGCATGCATGTACATGCATACAAGTGTGTACATAGAGAAAGAACTACATTTTAAGAAGAAAAAATCTATAGCAAATTTTATAAGTTAAATAAGTCCTTATTTACTAATAGGTTGTTTTATCAAATTACAGAATACCATGAATAGTTGCTTTTTTTATTCCAAAACAACATATAACCCTAAAAAGTTTCTATGTATGTAAAAAGAAATGTGATCATAGCTGGGCACAGTGGCTCACACCTGTAATCCCAGCACTTTGGGAGGCCAAGGTGGGTGGATTGACCACTTGAGGTCAGGAGTTTGAGACCAGCCTGGCCAACATGGTAAAACCCAGTCTCTACTAAAAATACAAAAATTAGCCAGCTGTGGTGGTGCACGCCTGTAATCCCAGCTACTCCGGAGGGTGAGAACATGAGAATTGCTTAAACCTGGGAGGTGGAGGTTGCAGTGAGCTGAGATCATGCCACTGTACTCCAGCCTGGGCATCAGAGCAAGACTCCGTCTGGGGAGAGAAATCTAACGATTATCTTTCTGTTTTCTCTCAATGGGTGCCAACTTTAAAAGACCAAACCTCTCTTCTCTTAACACAGCAACAAAAAAGTTATACAAAACCCCTTCATGTTCTAACCCAGCATGATGGGACTGAGATGGACCAGCATCTACCTGGAGGAAACTGACTAGTAGGTATTATGGTGTTCACTGGCATCGTCTTCTGTCCACATTTCTGAATGGTCAATGTTGAGGAATGTGAAATTGTGGTCACTTGTTTTTCATTGCCTCCTGAAGGCTGCTGAACTACCTGAAACAATGAGAACTATCAATATAGTTGTTCAACTTAAGGCTTTAGAAAAGGATAAGATTTCAGTTTTAAACAACAGATTGTGTTCCCCCAGCCATAAATATACCTTTATCTTAACAAGAATGCCTACTTTAAATTTGTATGAAGCAAAATTATCTTGTTCAAAAGTGAAAAACGTTACTATCTCACATACATTATTTTCAGAGTGGAATTTAAATTTTATTTCACCATACTCAATTTAAATCTCCCTATAAATCCGATTTCCAATTGTTAACTTATAGTGAAAAATTTAAAGCATGTATAAAAACAGACAGGATAAAACAAAACCATCTATACCATTACCCAGCTTCAACAATGATTAATTCTTGATCAATCTTGTTTCCATCTACACCCCTACTCACTTCCCTGCCGCCCTCAATTATTTTAAGGCAAATCTCAGATATATCGTTGTATCCATTAATATTTCAAAATATATCTTTAAAAGGTAAGGACTTTTCATGTGCCATTTTAACCAAGTATTTTCTTTTTTTTTTTTTTTTGAGACAGAGTCTTGCTCTGTCACCCAGGCTAGAGTGCAGTGGTGCCATCTCAGCTCACTGCAACCTCTGCCTCCCAGGTTCAAGCGATTCTCATGCCTCAGCCTCCTGAGTAGCTAGGATTTCAGACACGCACCACCAGGCCTGGCTAATTTTTGTATTTTTAGTAGAGACTAGGTTTCACTATGTTGGCCAGGCTGGTCTCGAACTCCTGACCTCAAGCGATCCGCCCACCTCAGCCTCCCAAAATGCTGGGATTACAGGTGTAATCCCAGCCGTAATCCCAGCGGGGATCACACAGGGCGTGAGCCACCACGCCCGGTCTAAAGTATTTTCTTAGACCATCGCTTGAAAGCAGGAGGCGGAGGCTGCAGTGAGCTGAGATTGCACCACTGCACTCCAGCCTGGGTGACAGAGTGAGACCCTGTCTCAAAAAAACAAGACAAAACAAAACAGGTAGAAAAACAGTCATCATGTATTTGAGCCAGCTATTGATAGTGAACTTTCACTCATATATGGCAAATATAAATGTGCCATGGTCTTGCCAAAAGACAGACTTCTAAACAGAATTTTTAGAGTTCAATTTATTCAACTTATGTGTATTACTTTAAAAAAAGTAACAAGAAACACAACATTCCTGGTAAGTAATCCTATAGCAACTAATGCCCCTAGAGAAGAAATGTTAGTTAGAATAATTCAATTGCCCTTATTCTTTGAGAATAGACAAGAACTCTTTTAAAAATGATACATTTCAATGAAGCTGAGATCATATTCATGTACTATAGTTCTAGGGACCAGGCTTACATTTTACAAAGTAATATACAGGTCTCATTTTATGCATTCAGACTGAAACTCAAGAGAAACACTCCCAGCTTATTTCCTTATTATATGCACTGTCCTCCTTGATGCTCCTTATTAGGTATTCCTGTCAGTATTTTAATTATGAAAGACAGTAATATTCAAAAATTGTTTACCAGTGTGAAAGTTGTCAGAATCAAAATGAAGTCACTCGTGTTTGAAAGAAAACCAAAAACAAAACTCTAACAAATAGAGCTAGGGAAGACTAAGAGGGGGTTCTCATGCTTGTATGCCTAATCACAAAAACTATCCCAATAGACCACCAAAACCACAACCTTGCACAAAGGCCATAGCAACAGTACACAAAAAATACTGCAAGGACATCATCTGCTCAGCAACTGCCTATTTAAACTCAGACTGGTGTCGCCCTTGTTACTGAGCTTTGCAGTCAAGGATAATCATTTCAAAACAACTATATAATTCTCATTTTTCTTTTTAAAACCCGTCCTCCTTTACTCAGGAAGACTGCTTGAGGCCAGGATTTTGAGACCTGACTGGGCAATATAGCAAGACCCTGTCTCTAATCAAAATAAAAAGTTTTTTAATTAGCCAGGCATGATGGCATGCACCTGTAGTCCTAGCTACTCATGAGGCTGAGGCAGGAGGATTGCTTGAGCCCAGGAGATCGAGGCTGCAGTGAACCATGATGGCACCACTGCACTCCAGGCTAGGCAACAAAATGAAACCCTGAGTCTTTAAAAATTAAAAATAAAAAAACTTTTGTCTTCCTTTACCTCCCCGAATACACATAGTTTACTATGGCACCTGTATTCCCATTGCAATGCTCCATTACCAATTAAATGTCTTATTCTTTTAAAAAGCCTTTCTGTTATTTAGGCTGACACCAGTTAGTCTTCATACTATTTTTGATGGGTACACAAAAATATAACACAGTTTTATTTTATAATACAGTTTTGTATTGGGACTTAACAACCTTCAATCCCCATCACTTCCCATCTTAATGACTCTAACACCTGGAACAATGTATATGTCTAGTCTAACAAAAATATGGGAGGTACACTCCTGAACATCTGCTGAGAAAAACAAAATGAGTGATAATGTAAGAGAATTCATTAATGTTCTTTCAAAGAAAGCACCAAATAAAACCATAGTACTAAGCGGATCACTTGAGCTCAGGCGTTCAAGACTAGCCTGGGCAACACAGCGAAACCCCGTCTCTACTAAAAACATAGAAAAATTAGCCGGGTGTGATGGTCTGCATCTGCAGTCACAGCTAGTCAGGAGGCAGAGGTGGGAGGATTATCTGAGCCCGGAAAGTCAAGACTGCAGTGAGCCATGTTCATGCCACTGCACTCTAACCTGGGTGACAGAAGTAAGACACTGTCTAAAAAACAAAGCGAAACGAAACAAAACAAAACAAACAAAACAAACGCAAATGAGAAATAAACATTAAAAAGGAATTTTTAAATCCATGATTATTAAAGGAAGTAAGTGTGTATTCTTCAGACCATATGGAGTTAGATGAACCCCAGATTTGATACAGTGCAGTAATTCTTATATTTTAAATGATTATTTGCCATATTTCTTATAAGCTGCATGGAATACGTTATTTTATAGCAACTTGAGTGTTTTCCTCCTCACTTAGAACTAGGATTAAATTGGACTATGGTTTATAATAGATTCACTGATGGTATTCTTTAATTACTTTCAAACGAGTAATATTAATTTTCTAACTTAGTTTATTTGAAAGAATGCCCTAGTTCAATCTTCTCTATGGCATTACCATATAGAATGGTTTATGTTGTTTTGCTCCAGGTAAATCTGTTGTGAAATAAATTACAATCTGTCTTCAGGGTCTGGCCACTCTGGCTCTTGCCACTTTAAACAGGTAGGTGTAAATACTAACATCAAATTTACTGGCTAAACTTGAAACAAAGGACAAACAAGAAAGCAGAATTCACAGGGAAAATGAAATTATTAAAAATGAAGGTAGGAAGTAAAAAAACCCTAAAATTTACCATCAAATTTTGTTGCATTATTTCTTTATTGAAATGATTTATAATGTATAACAAGTCAAACCTACAAAACAAAAATGCTGTCAAGATATTATCATGAGACAGCTTCCTGCTTCAGGACATTCCAGAAACCTAGAAGTTCTTTCTAAGAGCACCATACCCTAATGGAAAAGTCATCTGGGTTCTAGTCTGAGATCCATTACTTGACTGTTTTTTGTTTTGTTTTGTTTTTGTTTTTTTGAGATGACGAGTTTCGCTCGTCACCCAGGCTGTAGTGCTGTGGTGCGATCTTGGCTCACTGCAACCTCTGCCTCCCGGGTTCAAGCCATTCTCCTGCCTCAGCCTCCCAAGTAGCTGGGATTACAGGTGCCCACCACCACACCTGGCTAATTTTTGTATTTTTAGTAGAGACGGGGCTTTGCCATGTTGGGCAGGCTGGTCTCAAACTCCTGACCTCAGGTGATCCGCCCGCCTCGGCCTCCCAAAGTGCTGAGATTACAGGCATGAGCCGCTGCGCCCGGCCACTTAACTGTTACTGGATGAGTCAGCTCAGAATTTCTGGATTCTTAGTTTTCTCCCTACCTTTTTATCATAAAATTATTTTAAAATCCATAGCATATAATGACATGCTTTTAAAACTATGTAGCTATAAAGTATTATTTCACCCCAGGGACCTATATGCTATAGATGCTCAATAAAGATTAGCATTGATTCAAGAAACAACTATGACATATAAAGAGGATTTCAATTCTGTTCAGTGCTACCAAAAAGAGGCCTTTCCTTGGGGCAATTCCTCTATTCCAGTGGTTCTCAAACCTGGCTGCCCAGAACAATGTTTAAGAATCACTGCTTCTAAAAATGTTGTTTCATCTCTGAGATTAAATTCACGTACCCAAGAGAAATCCTGCAAGGCAGTTACATTTCCCCACTTGAAAATGAGATGCAGAGTGGGAAGGGATGAGAAAAGATTAGTGCCCAGGAAATGACCATCATTTATCTGCTCAAGAGTCTGACTACTCTCCAATTCTGGTCACGGATCAACCCCTTTCATTCTATGTCCAAAGCTGCCCTGTTGCCTCAGACGACAATCACTCAGATACCTCTTATTCTGATAAAACAAACAGGGCTGGAAAGGCTACCCAAGAAGCAGAATGAACCAAAACAGAGATTTAAAACACAGCGTCTAATGCAAAGCATTACAAAAGAGAACAAGGACATTCACCAAAAGAACAGCAAGCTCTGTTATCGTAGAAGATAGGGAAGAACTTTACTAAAAACGTTATGATTTTTAATTAATGCATCATGTAGTATCTCCCATGAGTTAACAATACTTTCATAGCCTTCTGGTAAAACTTACCTTTTCTTAAATAAAGAAGAACATTCTAAACACTAATCGACAAACAGCTAAAATTTCCTTCTTTCACCCAAGAACCTCCCAACCTACCAAGTTTAGCAAAAAAACACAACAATCAGACAAAACAAAGGACTATTCTGCAAATATTCTGGGCACTTAAAACATTACAATATAATAAACAACCACAAAAAGCTAGAGAAGTATTCTAGATTAAATGAGCCAGGTACAGTGGCTCATGCCTGTAATCCTAACATTTTGGGAGGTCTAAGTCGAGAGGAACAGTTGAGGCCAAGAGTTTGAGACCAGCTTGGGCAACACAGCAAGACCCTCTCTCTACAAAAAAATAAAAATAAAAACACATTATTGGGACAACTACAGAAATACTGTACCAATATTAATTTCCTGTGTGTGACAACAGGTATGTTGTGGTTATGTTTTACAAAAAAAACCTTTTAGGAGATATACACCATGCACTGTCATAATTTTTGCAACCACTCTCAGGTGGTTCAGTAAAGACTTACGTGTGTGTTTGCTGCTGGGCGTGGTGGCTCATTGCCTGTCTGTAATCCCAGTGCTTTGGGAGGCCAAGGCGGGTGGATCATTTAAGGCCAGGAGTTCAAGACTAGCCTGGCCAACATGGAGAAACTCCATCTCTAACAAAAATACAAAAATTAGAAAGGCGTGGTGGTGCACACCTGTAATTCCAGCTACTCAGGAGGGTAAGGCATGAGAAATGCTTGAACCTGGGAGGTGGAGGTTACAGTGAGCCGAGATCGTGCCACTGCACTCCAGCCTGGGCGACAGAGTAAGACTCTGTCTTTAAAAAAAGGACTTATATGTGTGTTTGTGGGTGTGAGTAGAAAGAGGAAAACAAAGCAAATGAGGTAAAAAAAAAAAAAAATTAATTGGTCAAACCCGTAAACAGTATATAGCCTTACTAGTTTTCTACTAGTCTTACCAGTTTTCTGAATGTTCAAAATTTTCAAAATAAGTAACTGGGGAAGAAACAAAATGTTACTCACTAGTTGCTTGACTTGAACTGCCTGTGGAATCCCAGCTGGTTGTGAAAGGACAGGGCCCGGCTGGGCAAGTTTGATTTGAACTGGAGTCCCAATAACAGGCTTGTCAGATGTGGTCCCAGCAGAAGAAACAACAGGTTTCACAGATGGAAGACAAATAGCTGCACCTGAAGTTTCTCCAAAAGTTACTGCTGGAAGGGACAGTGTTACTGCTGTTCCAGAGACAACTGGCTTTTCAGGTTGCAGTGAGACCGTGGTCACTGTGTTTGCCACAGATGTCACAAGTGGTTTTGAAGTCTGAAGCAAACCAGTTCCAGCTGTTGTTCCTCCTGTTGCAGCAGTTGGGCCCACAGAATGAAGTGTCACAACTCCAGCTTTTGCTCCCACTGGACCAGCAAGTGGGTTCAAAGTTTGCACTGACACAGTTCTGGGTGCTGTTGCTCCAGAAACAATAATTGACTTTTCAGACTGGCTTGAGGACACTGTAGTTGTCACCACAGGAGAAGTTGTTACTGTTGTAGTACAGGTAGCAATGACCATGTCACTAGAAGTCTGCTGAACACATTGCTGGATGAAGCTCTGGGAGTTAGGCAGAAGTTGTCGTAAGGCAACCACGCTTTTCTGGAAATGCAGAGGAATGGAAAAAAACACTGCTAACAAATCAGCTACTTGTGAAACAAAATGTGGTATTTCATACCTTTACAACTTAAAACCAATCAAAAGTGTATCAAGTATTTCAGTTGAAGACAGCTTGTATCACTTACTTATATCCTGCCAATATCCAGGATACAATCAATTTAAAGCCCAAGTGCCTGTTTTCCAATATGAAATTACTATATCTCAGTATTAAACTTATTTGTATTCCCTCAATATCAATTTGGTAAACACTGTATTATACTTTTCTATAATCATCTAAACCCTATAATAGATCATTAGTAACTTCAGTATCTATAAGTTTATTTAAACCACAGCAGAATCTAGGTCTCTTCATTAAGTAACTTTCAAACTTTGGATAGAAATAGGTGCAGTGGCTCATGCCTGTAATCCCAGCACTCTGGGAGGCCAAAGTAAGCAATCACTTGAGGCCAGGAGTTTGAGACCAGCCTAGGCAACATGGCAAAACCCCATCTATACAAAAAATACAAAAATTAGTCAGGCGTGGTGGCACACACGTGTAGTCCCAGCTACTCGGGAGGCAGAGGTTGCAGTGAGCTGAGATCATGCCACTGCATTCTAGCCTGGGTGACAGAGCAAGACCCCATCTCCAAAAAAAAAAAAAACAAAAAAAAAAAGGAAAGGAAGAAATAGTCTTTAAAAGCCTAGGCAACATGGTAAAACCTCGTCTCTACAAAAAACACAAAAATTAAATTAGCAGGGCATGGTGGTGCATGCCTGTAGTCCCAGCTACCGCAGGGGCTGAGGTTGGAGGATCACTTGGACCCAGGAGGTTGAGGTTGCAGTGAGCTGTGATCGCACCACTACACCCCAGCCTGGGTGACAGAGCAAAACCTCATCTCAAAAAAAATTTTTTTAAATAAAAATAAAGAAATATCTTTACATCAAAACAAAATTAAATACAAAGTGAATTTTACGATCTGAAAGAATTGAGCTAGCATATTTTCTTTTTTCTTATTGAGACGGAGTCTCACTCTGTTGCCCAGGCTGGAGTGCAGTGGCGTGATCTCGGCTCTCTGCAACCTCTGCCTCCTGAGTTCAAGAGATTCTCCTGCCTCAGCCTCCTGAGTAGCTGGGACTACAGGCACATGCCACCACTGGCTAATTTTTGTATTTTTTAGTAGAGACAGCCATGTTGGCCAGGCTGGTCTCCATCTCCTCACCTCAGGTGATCCGCCAACCTCGGCCTCCCAAAGTGCTGGGATTACACGCGTGAGCCACCACGCCCAGCCAAGCATACTTTCTGACTGTCAGCATCTATCTTTGTATCCTACTTAAAGAGTAAAGGCAGTTCAAACTAAAAACTAATAGGTTGTGCCTTTTCATTCCTGGAGTTTTCATTTGTTTAGCCAACAGAGATGGAAAGCTAGGACTCTTGTGCCAAACAGCCAAGTCGTGAATGCAAAGGAAAAATTCCTGAAGGAACTTCAAAGGGCTACTCCATGTGACACATAAATGATAAGAAAACGAAACAGTCTTATTGTTGACATGGAGAAAGTTTGAGTGGTGTGGACAGAAGATCAAACCAGCTACAACATTCCCTTAAGCAAAAGTCTAAACCAGAGTATAGCACTAACTCTTCAATTCTATGAAGGCTGAAAAGTGAGGAAGCTGCAGAAGAAAAGTATGAAGTTAGGAGAGGCTGGCTCATGAAGTTTAAGGGAAGAAGCTCTCTTGATAACTAACATAAAAGTGCAAGGTAAAGCTGCAAGTACTGATGTAGAAACTGCAGCAAATCATACAGAAGATATAGCTAAGATTTTTTTTTTTTTTTGAGACGGAGTCTCACTCTTGTCACCCAGGCTACAGTGCAATGCACGATCTTGGCTCACTGCAACCTCTGCCTCCTGGATTCAAGCAATTCTCCTGCCTCAGCCTCCCAAGTAGCTGGGACTATAGGCATGCGCCACCACGTCCAACTAACTTTTTTATTTTTTTTAGTAGAGTCAGGGTTTCTCCATGTTGGCCAGGCTGGTCTCGAACTCCTGACCCCAGGTGATCTGCCTGCCTTGGGCTCCTAAAGTGCTGGGATTACAGGCGTGAGCCACCACGCCTGGCCAACGACAGATTTTCAATGGAGACAAAACAACCTTCTATTGGAGGAAGCTAGGTCTTTCATAGCTTTTGGCTGAGGAAAAGTCAACGCATGGCTTCAAGGCTTCAAAGGACAGGCTGTGACTTTCTTGTTAGGGGCTAATGTAGGTGGTGACTTCAAGTGGAAGCCAATGCTCATTTACTATTCCAAAAATCCTAGGGCTCTTAAGAATTATGCTAAATCTACTCTGCCTGTGCTCTATCAATGAACAAAGCATGGATGACAGCACATCTGTTCACAGCATGGTTTACTGAATATTTTAAGCCCACTGTTGAGAACTACTGCTCAGAAGAAAAAAAAAAAAGATTATTTTCAAAATATTACCACTCATTGACAATACACCTCGTCACCCAGAAGTTCTGATAGAGATGTACAAGGAGATCATTATTGTCTTCCTGTCTGCTAACACAACCTCCATTCTGCAGCCCACATATATCAAGGAGTAATTCTTACTTTCAATTATTATTTAAGAAACAGATTTTGTAAGACTACGGCTGCCATAGACAGTGATTCCTCTGATGAATCCGGGGGCAAAGTCAACTGAAAACCTTCTGGAAAAGATTCACCATTCTAGATGCCATTAAGTATATTTATGAGTCAGGCAGGAGATCAAAATATCAACACTAACAGGAGTTCATAAGAAGTGGATCCCCATCCTCATGGATGACTATGAGGGGTTCAGAACTTCAGTGGAAGAAGTCACTGCAGATATGCTAGAAATAGCAAGAGAACCACAGTTGAAAGTGGAGCCTGAAGATGTGACCGAATTGCTGCAATCTCAGGACAAAACTGAAAGAGATGAGGAGTTGCTTCTTACAGATGAGCAAAGAAACTGGTTTCTTGAGATGGAGTCTACCCCTGGTCAAATGCTATAAATGTTGTTAGGATGGTAACAAAGAATTTAGAATATGACAACAACTAGTTAACAAAACAATGGCAGGGTATGAGAGAATTGACTCCAATTTTGAAAGAAGTTCTGCTGTGTGTGAAATGCTATCAGACAGCACTGCATGCTACAGAGAAGTCTTTTGTGAAGGGAAGAATCAACTGATGACACAAATTGCACTGTTGTCTTAATTTAAGACATTGCCACAGCTGGGTGTGACCACCTTCAGTGACCACCACCTTGACCAGCAAAAAGTCATCAACATTGAGGTAAGACTCTTTACCATCAAAAATATTATAACTTGCTGAAGGTTCAGATGATTGTCAGCACTTTTTAGCAATAAAATATTTTTTAATTAGCATATGTAATTGTTTTTTCAAATATAATGCTATTGTATACCTAATAAAGTATACCATAAAGTTTTATATGCATTTGGAAACCAAAAATTTCATATGACTCACTTTATTGTGATATTAGCTTTCTTATGGTGGTCTGAAACCAAACCTGCAGTACCTCTGTGGTATGTCTGTATATTCTCATACAAGTATTAAACAATATAATAATGAACTTATGTTCATGAATAAAATGTTACTTCTCTTTTTTCAAAGTGTCCAAATTAAAATAATATTATGAACACGCTTTATAGCTTACAAAAGCACTCAGAGGTTTCTCCCACACTGTCAGTATCTTCACATTCAATTGCTGTCATATTGAAATATTCCCATTTTTAATTATTTTAGAGTAATCTAATCCAAATTATTTCTTCTAAGTGACACATAACTCTACCTTAAGAAAAGGAACCAGGTGAGGCTGAGGTGAAGACTTGAGTTCAACATACAGTTTCCTAGTAAATTCTTCTGCTTCGATTTTTGCATCCTGAGGGATGGGAGAAATAGAAACAATTTTAAGTCTACAAATCTTTTAAAAGAGACAAAGTATATAATTCATGATTGTAGACATAGCAAACTTTTCACAAATGATAAAGTCAATTAAATATAGGCTTTTTTCTTCATGCCACCTATGAAATGTGTAAGCATAAATGATAGAGATGTTTATTCATAGAGAATACAATGAAGGGGTGATTTTTTTTGTTTTAAAGATCACAGGAAGCAAAGAGAAGAGCTGATGGGTTAAGTAATACTACATTATTACAATCTGTTAAGAACAATTAAGAATTGAAGGCACGCGTGTCTTAAATTTCTTAGGGTGGGGAACAGGAAGTTACTCAGTTTGGAGACCTTAGGGTTTAAGTTCTCTACAACGATTTGGAAATTAATCTGCTAGCCTGCTGGTGTTCTTTGCACACAAGAGCCAGGGACAACATTTCCAGAATTAGTAGAAGTACTTCCAAAATAACTTGATGCCAGTGATAATGTGTAAGATGTAGCTGATTGAATTATCTTATTCTTTTCAAATGTATAAAATATAGTTTTAAAAATTTTGCCTAATAGGACATATTATATACTTAATAAAGATTATAATTGTGCGGTGACAGAGAACATCTGGTTTTTTCTTCATGAAGTTGTGGAAGGAGCATTCAAGGAAAGGTAACTATGATCTTAGATTAAAAAAAAAATTCAGCTTTTATTTTAGATTCAAGAGGTACAAGTACAAGTTTGGGGTACAGATGATCTCGTCACCCAGGTAGTGAGCACAGTTATCTAGGAGGTAGTTTTTCAGCCCACACAACCCCTCACTCCCACTTTCTAGTAGTTCCCAGTGTCTATTGTTCCCATCTTTACGTCCAAGTGTACTTAATGTTTAGCTCCCACTTGTAAGTGAGAACATGTAGTATCTGGTTTTCTACTCCTGCACCAATTTGCTTAGGATAATGGCCATTCACATTGCTACAAAAAACATGATCTTGTTCTTTTTTATGGTTGTGTAGTATTCCATGGTGTATATGTACCACTTTTTATTTATCCAACCCACTGTCAATTAACACCTCTGCTGATTCCATGTCTTGGCTGTTTTGAGTAGTGCTGCGATAAACATACAAGTGCATATGTCTTTTTTATAGAATGATTTATTTTCTCTTGGATATATACCCAGTAATGGCACTGCTGGGTCAAATGGTAGTTCTATTTTTAGTTCTTTAAGAAATCTTCAAACCGCTTTCCACAGTAGCTAACCTAATTTACATTCCCACCAACAGCGTATAAGTGTTCGCTTCTCTTTGCAGCCCCACCAGCATCTGTTTTTTGACTTCTTAGTAACAGACATTTTGACTAGTATGAGTGGTATCTCATTGTGGTTCTGATTTGCATTTCTCTGATGATTAGTGATGATGAGCATCTTTTCATGTTTGTTGGCTGCTTGTATGTCTTCTTTTCAGAAATGTCTGTTCATGTTGTTTACCTATTTTTTAATGGGGTTTTTTCTTGTTGATTTTTAAGTTCCTTATTGATTCTGTATATTAGACCTTTGTCAGATATATAGTTCGCAAATATTTTCTTCCATTCTGTAGGTGGTCTGTTTACTCTGTTGATAGTATCTTCTGCTGTGCAGAAGCCCTTAGTTTAGTTAGGTTCCACTTGTCAATTTTTGTTTTTGTTGAAATTGCTTTTGGAGAGTTTGCCATAAATTCTTTGCCAAGGCCGATGTCAGGCAGGGTATTTCCTGGGTTTTCTTCTAGGACTTTTACAGTTTGAGGTCTTACATTTAAATCTTTAATCCATCTCAAGTTAATTTTTATATATGGTGAAAAGTAGGGGTCCAGTTTCATTCTTCCGCACATAGATAATGAGTTATCCCAGCACCATGTATAGAATCAGTCCTTTCCCCACTACTTTTTTTTTTTTTTGAGATAGAGTCTCACTGTGTCACCTAGGCTGTAGTGCAGTGGCGTGATCTTGGCCCACTGCAACCTCCCCCTCCCAGGTTCAGGCAATTCCCCTGCCTCGGCCTCCTGAGTAGCTGGGACTACAGGCATATGCCACCACACCCAGCTAATTTTTGTATTTTTTTAGTAGAGATGGGGTTTCGCCATGTTGACCATACTGGTCTGAATCTCCTGACTGCAAGCGATCCACCTGCCTCAGCCTCCCAAAGTGCTAGGATTATAAAAGGTGTGAGCCACTGTGGCCAGGCCCCATTACTTATTTTTGTTGACAATGTCAAAGATCAGATAGTTGTAGGTGTGCAGCTTTATTTCTGGGTTCTCTATTCTGTTCAATTGGTCTATGTGTCTGTTTTTGTATCAGTGCCATGCTGTTTGGATCACTGTAGCCTTACAGTATAGTCTGAAGTCAGGTAATGTGATGCCACTTGGCTTTGTTGTTGTTGTTTTTTTTTTTTTTTTGCTTCTAATTGTTTTGGCTATTCAGGCTCTTTTTTGGTCCTATATGAATTTTAAAAGAGTTTTCTCTAATTCTGTGAAAAATGACATTGGTAGTTTGACAGGAGTAACATTGAATCTGTCAATTGCTTTGGGCAGTATGGCTATTTTAATGATATCAATTCTTTCAGTCCATAAGCATGAATTTTCAACAGTGTTTTGTATTTCTCCTTGCAGACATCTTTCACCTCCTTGGTTAGCTGTATTCCTAGGTACTTCATTTTTGTGTGTGTGGCTATTGTAAATGGGACTGTGCTCTTGATTTGGCTCTTAGCTAGAACATTTTTGGTGTATAGAAATGCTGATTTTTGAAAACTGATTTTGTACCCTGAAACTTTACTAAAGTCGTTTATCAGTTCTAGAAGCCTTTTGGCAGAGTCTTTAAGATTTCCTAGGCATAGAATCATATCATCAGTGAAGACAGAGTTTTACTCCTTTTTTTTCCTATTTGGAGGCCTTTATTTCTTTCTCTTGCCTGACTGCTCTGGCTACAACTTCCAATATTATGTTAAATAGGAATGGTGAGACCTTGTCTTGTTCCAATTCTCAAGGGAAATGGTTCGAGCTTCTGCCCATTCAATATGATGTTGGCTATGGATCTGCAAGACTATTTTCAGAATGACATTGTAAATCCATAACAGCAGTTCCAAAGAACTGAGGAACCTTTACACATTGCTTACACTATTAAGCATTTCAGGGGTATGTGTGATCTAAATTATTTTCCATTAATACTAACATCTTGGAGAGAAAGCCTTTTTCACTAAGCTAATGTTTGCACACATGGTGCAAAGGCAACAATGGGTAAAACTACCGGTAAGAAAGGCAATGGCAAAGTGAAACAGCCATCATCACATTCTACAGTGCTATGTGCTTGGAGAAAAAAAAAAAAAAAACAACAGAAGGCCAAGCACAGTGGCTCACACCTGTAATCCCAGTACTTTGGCGGGCCAAGGGTGCAGGATCGCTTGAGGCCAGGAGTTGGGAAACTAGCTTGGGTAACAAAGTGAAACCCTGTCACTACAAAAAAATATTTTAAAACTAGCTGGGCATGGTGGCACACACCTCTTAGTCCTAGCTACTTGGAGGGTGAAGTGGAAGGAGCCCTTGAGCCCGTAAGTTTGAGGCTGCAGTGAGCTAGTATCATGTCACTGCACTCCAGCCTGAGCAAGAGAGCAAGACTCTTACTCTAAAAAATAAAAATAAAAAAAAATAGACCCAATTTCACTTTGAAACATCCTTGGATGAAGCAGTAAAAATTAACTTTACTAAATCTCAACTCTTCAGTAGATACCTCTTTAATATTGTATATAACAAAATAGGAAACATACATGGAGCATTTTTGTTGCAGATCAAAGTCAGAGGATCAAGGAAAAGCACTGTAATTGAGTCGCTAAACTAGCCACTTTTTTCCATTTTTACTGAAAAGAATGGCAAAGCAATTGTGGTTATTCAGACTTGGGTATTTGTTAGATATTTTCTCAACAACAAACTAAACCACTAACAGTAAAGAAAACAATGGATAGCATTTGTTGCTAATGATAAAAATTAAAGCTCTCCAGCCAAAATTACAATTTTGAAAAATGTGTAACAACTATTCTGAGCTTGATAGCTTCCTGGTACAAGAATTTTCTAATAAGGTTGGTGAATTTAATGAGCATGTTATTTTGATATCTTAAATAATAAATCTGGAAACATTTGAAAGATCTGCATAACTCAGTGAACCAGTATTTTCCCAATGAACAATGAATGTCATTACAAAAATCATACGTGGGTAAAAGATCCATTCAGCATGCAGGATAAACCAGTAGACTCTAAAGAATATCCACCATGATCTGGAGAAAAGCTATTTTTAAAAAAATAATCACTATTCCAACCACCTCTCTTCACAAGACCAGATATTCTCCAAATACTCCCAAAAAAATAACATATCACAAAACAGATTAAATGCAGAAGATATGAGAATCCAGCTGTTTTCCATTAGGTCAGCCACTAAAGAGATTTGCAAAATTGGTACAGCAATGCCACTCTTCTCATTCAATTCTGTTGTTGTTTTGAAACTCGGTTTTCACTTAAATGTCAGTTGTGTTAACATTTAATGGGTTTACTGTTATTTGTTAATAAACAAGCTGGGCACGGTGGCTCATGCCCGTAATCCTAGCACTTCGCCAGGCCAAGGTGGGATGATTACTTGAGCTCAGGAGTTTGAGATCAGCCTGAGCAACATAGCAAGACCCTGTCTCTACAAAAAAAATCAAAAAATTAGCCAGGTGTGGTGGCACATGTCAGTGGTCCCAGTTACCTGGGAGGTTGACGTGGGAGGATTGCTTGATCCCAGGAGGGTCAAGAAAGCAGGGAGCCTTGTTCACGCCACTGCACTCCAGCCTGGGTGACAGAGTTAAGACCCTATCTCAAAAAAAAATTTTTTCAATAAAAAAAGTTAAGCATTTTTCAGTTTTAATGTTAACCCCACAAAAAACAAAATGCCTTGGGGAGTCCTCAAGTTTTAGGAATTTAAAGGTATCCTAAAACCAAAATGTTTTAGAACTGCTGTTTGTCGTTCTAAAGTAAACAGATCTTAAAACTAGAGGTAATATTTAATTCCTAACTGTTTCTATCTGTCCATAAAATTCACACATATGTTTTGTGGTTAAAAAGTCTTTAATATTTTATGGGATACGTATTCATTTCCAACAGGTCTCTTCATCTAGAGTATTCCATTTCAGAGAAACAAGTCATCATATCCCCTTTCAAAACTAGCATACCTTGAAAAGGGAAGATCAAAAGCTCAATGTTTACTTTTAAAAAGACACCCGTAAGTTGAATTAAAAATTTGTTAGTATGAGGTATTTTAGACATCTGTAATAAAAACATCTTCCCAAATGAAAAACTAACCATTTCAAGTGTGCTCTAACATCTTACAGGCAGCATTAAAAACAGTAGTAAAGAAGGTATTTTAATATTTATAAACTATGCTTGTTTTTGCTGTATAATATTTGAAATATACACATTTTATACTTGGAAAAAGGGATAATTTTTATGTGAAAAATATAATTCTAATTACGTGGTGAGAGAAATCTGTATATTATAGTAGTTCAAAAAATCCAAATCCATTTGTTTGTTATATCCTCAGCATGTCTTAAGCATATAATATGAAATATTTGCTAACTTCTATCTCCACTCTTTTTAGTGCACCTACATATTTTACCTGAAAGAGGATGTAAGAAACCAAAGGCATATAATTTGGTAGCTAAAAGACACAGCATCTTGGCACTCATATAAACATCAACGATCATCATGTTTAACATTCTCATCTGCAAGATGAGAATCTTATAGATAAGGAAAGTGAGGCCTAAGAGCATTAACTAACTTCTGTGGTCCCAAAGCTTGGTGTCTATCTGGACATATAAGAACCGAATTTCATTATCTATTGATAGCCTGGCTTTCTGAGATTTCATAATTCTTTTTTCTTTTCTTTTCTTTTTTTTTTTTTTTTTGAGACAGAGTCTTGCTCTGTTGCCCGGGCTAGAGTACAGTGGTGCAATCTCAGCTTACTGTAACCTCTGCCTCCCAGGTTCAAGCCATTCTCCTGCCTCAGCCTTCCAAGTAGCTGGGATTACAGGCGTGCGCCACCACACCTGGCTAATTTTTATATTTTTAGTAGAGAAGAGATTTCACCATGTTGGCCAGGCTGGTCTCAAACTCTTGACCTCAGGTGATCCACCTGCCTCGGCCTCCCAAAGTGCTGGGATTACAGGCATGAGCCACTGTGCCCAGCAGAGATTTCATAATTCTAATAACAATTTCCTATTGACTAAATAATGAACCTTTTCTCCAAGGCCCTTTGTAGAGTAAGGGAGGCAAGACTGATGTACAGAAATAATATATATATCAAAACATCATGTTGTATACCTTAAACATATACAATTTTTTTAAAAAGGTAAATTTTCAAAAGAAATATACAATAGGTTTTTCTAGCCAAGATTTATAGTCTTTACAAAGCTTTCAAGAAGCAAAAAACAAAATTTATCAAGAACTACATTTAAAATAAATCTCAGGCCGGGCTTGGTGGTTCACGCCTGTAATCCCAACGCTTTGGGAGGTCAGGGCAAGTGCATCACTTGAGGCCAGGAGTTTGAGACCAGCCCAGCCAACATGGCAAAACCCCGTCTCTACTAAAAATACAAAAATTAGCCGAGCGTGGTGATGCACACCTGTAATCCCAGCTACTCAGGAAGCTGAGGCAGGAGAATCATTTGAACCCAGGAGGCAGAGGTTGCAGTCAGCCTAGATCACGCCACTGCACTCCAGCTTGGGCAACAGAGCGAGACTCTGTCTCAAAACATAAATTAAATAAATAAATAAATTAAATAAATCCCATTTAAAAATATGCATTTCCCAATTACAACATGTTATATGGATTCCTCCAGAATTTGCAGGATTTTATAGCACTACTTACCAAAAGTTGTTCCACCAGCTTCTTCACATTTTGCCCCATTTCTGGGGACTGTGATCCACTACATGCTAGTTTTATTAACATTGCAAGGAAGTTCTTGCATTTCTTCACATTTTCTAGCATTGTCTAAATATGAAAATGTAAATATAAGCAAACACAAGTGTTAGTGAGCAAACAATTCAAAAGAACTTGCAAGGAACAAGATTTATGTAAGGTGCAAGTAAGAGCTTACCGGAGAAAGATTAATCTGAACAGCTGCTGAGTTCTCTGCTTTAAGATTGGGCTCATTTGAAGGAGTGGATGATGCTCCCAAACTTGAAGGCTTCAGGGTAGTTACAGTATTCAATGGCTTTCCAGGAGTAACTGTGACGACACTGGTTGGCACAGCCACAGACTGAAATTAAAGGTATTAAATATTTAGGCATGTATTACTATGATACATTAGTGGGTGCCTCATTTCACACTCATCAGACAAGTTAATTTTGACATCTGTGGTTTTATGTTATGCTCTAGTAGTCTAAGGCAATATAATACAGTTCTAGGAACTCTTGAGTCTAGCAGATCTGGGTTTCATTCTCACCCCATCTACTATTTCATTACCACCTACCAAGTGTTGACTGCAGGCAAGTTACTTAATCTTGCTAATCCTGATTACTCTCTGCAAAAATAGGGATTGCAACGGTACCTGCTGTCCTAGGATTTTTTGTGAAAAACAGTGCTAAAGCAAATAAGTCCTCAAAAAATATTATTAATACTCCAAGAAGTATCTGAAAGTCTTTATGAGAACATAGAATATTCTGCTTTTTCTTAAGAACAAAGCAGAGCAATCTACTTATTATCTAAAATTTAGATAAACTGCTTTTATGTAGACCATTAAAGTAAGCATGAAGAATATTATAAAACGTGGTATCTTATATTCACACTGAAAAGAATTTCAGTTGTTTCTCTACCTTCTATCAAAATGAGGTGTGACTCTAGCTAGCATCACCTACAGGACAAAAACCTCATACAAGCAATCACAAGTCAGGCAGTAATTTAGAAAATCACATTGAGATAAAGCAACAATCTTAAAGACAAACACTAAAAGTTACAGAACATAATAAAAGTTTGGGGATCAGGGATAAGGAATAGTATTTACATACAATTCACACAGAAAACTGAACAATGCACCATCATTTAATTTAAATGTCTATGTTCTACAAGCATGCAACACAAAAAGGTCAAGTTGCAATCACCTTCAAGAAAATTTCCTTCTATAATAGTCAAGATAGGTGAATTTGAATGTACAATAAAATCTCCCACATTAGAGAGACTGGAATATGTACTAGACAAGAATGTTCTGAGGGTAAAAAATGGGAAGAAGGACAAGTGCAGTGGCTCACACTTACAATACCAGCACTTTGGAAGGCTGAGCCAGGAGGATTGCTTGAGGACAGGAGTTCGAGACCAGTCTGGGTAACCTAACAAGACCCTGTCTCTAGAAAAAAATTTTCTTTACAAACAGGAAGAACATTTAAAATGCTGAGAATTGATAGAAGGAGAGGAGTGGGGACACATGGTGGCCCTAACATGGGTTTGGGGTATATGGGCCTTCATTTTACTATTATTTTTTTCAACAGCAGACATATTACATATGTGTACATATTACATATGTGTACATATCACATGTAGTCTTGTTTGCATGTATATTTCATAATGCATAATAAAAATATTAAATACCATATGCTAATACATTTGAAACAAAACCAAAAGGGTTTTTGGAAAAACATGAAATGACAAAATTAGCACAAAACACAGAAACTAGAATAGACAAATTAAAGACATTGAAATGATACCCAAAAAGACCTCCCTCCCTCAAGTCTCCAGGCTCAGATATTTTCCATGTGATTTTTCCACACTTTTGCATAACTCCTGTCTTATACAACATGTTCTAGAAAAACAGAATAGGGAAAGCTGTTCAGTTCATTTTATGAGAAAGGTCTGTAACATATTTCAATATTGAATAAGGATAATAAAAGAAAAGTAAACTAAAGGCTCACCTGGCAAAAACTTTAATAAGATTTTAAAATTACTGATTAATGATGAGGACTAGAACAATAAAGTTTTTAACAAAAGAGATAAAATTAAAAATTACACCTAAGTTAGTACAATTTTGTTAAATATAGAGCCTCAAATGCACATTCAAAAGGAAGTCTCCCTCCTTTTCATATCTTTAGTCCTGCTCTCCAACCTACCACTCAGTTTCTTCTGAATTCTTGTGGAGATTTTCTAATAAATTTTTAGTTTTCTATACAGTAAATAAGCCTCTTTCTTTAGTCTATCTTATAATCAGTCATTAACTCTCTGTACTGCCATATTTAAGAAAGTGTAATCTGGAATTTTAGCTGGTGGTTATGATCACCTCTGAGGACTGATGGGAGAGGTTCCTTGGGGGTGTACTGTCCCCCTCCCTCAGGAAGCAAACTAAGGTCCAACTGAAATGTGAGTTTAGGAAAAACGTCCTATCGTTTACAAGTAGAGGGGGCATTTATGGAATTCTATTTTCCTTGTCAATGTTTTATCCTGTCTCCAGTAAAAAAAAAATCTGTCCTTCATAACACTTTCTAGTATAGCTACTACTTGTATCTTACCACAGGGGTCCCCAACCCCTGTGCCGCGGGCGGGTATAGGTCTGTGGCCTGTCAGGAATAGAGACACACAGAGGAGGCAAGTGAGCATTACTGCCTGAGCTTTGCCTCCTGTCAGGCCAGCGGTGCCATTAGTCTCATAGCAGCATGAACCTTCTCGTGAACTGCACATGCAGGTGATTTAAGCTGCACTCTCCTCGTGAGAATCTAATGCCTGATGATCTTGATAGACGCAACCGGAAGATTAGGGGAAAGGTTCCAGAAGAATCCCCCACGCGCCTGCCCACTGGGAGGAGGAGGGGTGGAGCCTCAGGAAGATCAGGCCCTTTGCAAGGGGGAGGAGCCTGGCCTCTCCTGTTCCTGTGTGGTGACCCGAGATTCAATTTGTGAGATGGGGGCCTGCTAACGGGAACCCCTCTGGCTTTGCTGAGTTTTTTTTTTCTTTTCGCCTAATAAATTCCATTCCCCCTCACCCTTAAAAGTGTCTTTTTTTTTTTTTTTTTGAGACGGAGTCTGGCTCTGTCCACCAGGCTGGAGTGCAGTGGTGCGATCTCGGCTCACTGCAATCTCCGCCTCCTGGGTTCAAGTGATTCTCCTGCCTCAGCCTCCTGAGTAGCTGGGATGAGAGCCGCCCCCCACCACACCACCCGGCTCATTTTTGAATGTTTAGTAGAGACAGGGTTTCAACATGTTGGCCAAGCTGGTCTCAAACTCCTGACCTCAGGTGATCCACCTGCCTAGGCCTCCCAAAGTGCTGGGATTACAGGTGTGACTCACCATGCCTGGCCCAAAGTGTCTTAAACTCAATCACAACTCCGCCTTTGACTCAACAGACCAGCCAATGGTAACTTCAATGCTTTTCAAGGCTGCACTGACTGACTAGGCATGTCTTGAGGACAGGAGGAAAACGGACTGAAGTATATGTGAAATAAATGTGTGAAAACCAATTCTACACAGAGCCAATAAAATGAGTTGTATGGAAATTTAGAAGATGAAATAGCATTTCAAGGAGGGTCATTTTCTGTACCTGTCTGAAACAGCAATTGCTTTAGGTTTATTCACATTTAATTAGAAATACTAGTCATTTGCACATTAGATTCCAATCTAACAATGGGCCAAACTACATCTTCATCAAATACAAGGTAAAAGTGAACACAAGATTTCTAACTAGTTCTTGTGTTATATTTATCAGACTAAGCCTAATAGGAAAATACTTTCAAAATTTCTTAACACACACATTTGCATTTACAGTCTGACAATCAAGTACAAGGAGTTGTATCTTCTCTCATTTTTAAGTTCTAGCTCCTTATTTCCATGCCTAAAACTGAGATGCTTATCCCTTAAAGTGGACAGATATCATTAACTTCATTCTTTACTAATTTCCACTGTTCTAGGCTACCACTAAGGAGTAGCCCAACTTAAAATATGCATCAACCTAAATTAGCTAAGAAAAATAAATGGTCCACACAAAAATATCAATGACAGATTAACATGAGCATTTTAAAATAACTACAAACACGAGGAAACATACAAATTTCAATTATTTCTATTGTGACAAAGTCACAGATATGTACTAACACAATGTAATACTCCATGGTTCTGTAGTTTGAAGCCTACATTTGTAGCTGAAAGAAATTCTAAGTTTTAGTTTAAGCTTAGTAAAGATTTTCCCCCTCAAAATGGTTCCATAGTTTGAAGCCTACATTCATAGTTGCAAGAAACTCTAAGTTTTAGTTTAAGCTTAGTAAAGATTTTCCCCTTCACCTGAATTCACAGGCTCCAGGTTGTCTCTTTTATAAAAACTACTAATAAAGGCTGGGTGCAATGGCTGATGCCTATAATCCCAGCATTTTGCAAGGCAGAGGCGGGAGGATTTGCTTGAGCCCCAGGAGTTCAAGAACAGCCTGGGCAACAGAGTAAGACCTCATCTCTATTTTTTAAATAAAGTAATTTTTTTAAAAACTACAAATATAATTAGTGATCACTGGCTATGATTACTAAGTAAATGAACACAAGCTTTCATGTTCTAGAACTATTAAGACTTCAACGAATATTCAGAGAGCACAGAAATAGAATTGTGGCTGTAGCTGGCAGGGGACAAATTAAAGCCCATGGATGTAGAGAATCCCTAATACACTCTAAGAAGTAATATCCAAGAAACTCACTTTACCACTAAACTGGCTCCCAAAAGGGCCCTGAAGAAGTAGTGTAATGGAGTTCCTTCAGTTATCCCAGCACAACATAATTTGCTCTCTGTGTCCTGAAGAGCCATAATGTGCAAATGGCAGTCTTAAGTATCTAAGATCATGTTGCTAAGTATGTTTTCTCTCCACAATATATTTTTTTAACCTGTGGTGTTATTTATGTACTCAATCTTTAAGAACTATATCCAATGAAAAACTGATATACTCGAAGTACTGATAGTCTAAAGTGGTTAACTTCTTCATAAAACAATATGATAGTAGCTATCAATAGGCCTAAATTTATATTCTTTGGCCCAATAATCTCCTTAAAATTTATCCTAAGGAAAAAAATACAGTAGGTTTTGAGATAATCAGTACATAGGTCATTAAGAACAGTTTCCAGAGTCAGATAAAGGCTCAAATCCTCACTCTGCCACATACTAGCAGAAATCAAGCAAGCTTCTTAACCTCTCATATAAAATAGAGATAACACTTCCTTATAGTATAGTCACAAGGATGAAATGAGATGAATGTAAGGCACCTAAAAAAGTGTCAAGCATGTTAAGTGACAACAAATGGTATTAGTAGAAAAATATTACGTTTAAAATCAGATTCACTGCTCATCATTTCTGTTAGATGAAAAGAACGTGAGCAGTATGGTTCAAGTTTGGAACACCAAAAGAAGGTCTGATCTACTAGCATGGGATTCCAGGTAGCAGGCTCCAAGAAGATGCATAGTCCCAGGACTATCAGATCCACTGGTTTCATCACATATGTCTTGACTCGGAAACTAGGAGTCTAGTAAAATATTAGAACAGCCAGCAAGAGGTACAGGTGAAGTACAAACATAGAGGCAATACTCTATGAGTATGGGATTCCATCCTCCAAGACTCAGCATACTCATTGAATCAAAAATTTCCATATAGTACTATGTCCCCAACAGGACAAACCCATAGATCAAGGAATCAAGGAGAAGAAGCATGAATGGCCCCCACTTACCATCACTCACAACAAACACTCACTGGAGGACTTTGTGTTTCCCATTTCTGCCCACAGGAAGCAAACACCTCTACCAGAGGACAAAGCAAGAGTTCCTGTAAATAGACACTAAGAACAGACACTAAGAGTCGGGTGCGGTGGCTCATGCCTGTAATCCCAGGACTTTGGGAGGCTGAGGTAGGCGGATTACTTGGTCAAGAGTTCGAGACCAGCCTGGCCAACATGGTGAAACCCCATCCCTACTAAAAATACAAAAAATCAGCTGGGCATGGTGGCACACACCTGTAATCCCAGCTACTTGGGAGGCTGAGGCAGGAGAATCACTGGAACCCAGGGAGTAGGGGTTGCAGTGAGCCAAGATTGCACCACAGTGCTCCAGCCTAGGTGATAGAGTGAGACTCTGTCTTCAAAAATAAAATAAAATAAAACAAAACAAAATAAAAAATAAATAAAATAGACACTATGGCTGCACTATGGTTCCTTGTAACCATGATCCAGCAGGAAAGACAGGAGTAATTATCTTAGGAAGAGTAATCGACTCCCATCATCTGGAGGAGGTAGGGTTGCTATTACGCAATGGAGGCAAAAAGAAGTATGTGTGGCAAATCCACATGATTCAGGTGATTCACTTAAATGCCTCCTTGTATTTCCTTGCCCAATTGTGATGATAAATAGACAAGCCGTAGCAACCCTGACCTCAAATGAACATGGTTATTAAGACCACAGATCCCTCAGGGATGAGGGTCTGGTCGTTATCATTTAAGTTAACAAAGACCAGTATAGTTGGTAGTTGAGGGGAAGGGAATCTAGGAAGGCACAGTGGAAGAGGGAAATAATTAATATCAGGTGCCACCAGAAACCAGCTGCAGCAGTGGGGACTGTAGTTCATCGTATTAGCCTCCTCTTTGTTTCCCCAAAGACGAAAACCATGAGAATCCCAGAACAGCTGATCTCCAACATGTATGAGGAAACACATACAAGTGATGCAAGGAGTAGCCTGTGATGAACCATGACAAGGAGTGATATGTACTGTCCTAGCTAGCTGCTAGGAATGATATTAGACAGCCTCCATTTATAAGTTCCATCAGGCTTCCCTCAGCTGCAGAGGATCACCTTGCCCAAAGGTAACTTTCCCAGGAAAGTCCACATCCAGTGACTGAACAGAGAGTAGGAATTAAGGCCCAGCCAACCATGTTAACCCATAGTGGGACAATGCTGACCGGCCATATATCCTCCAAAGTTCTCCACTAAGATGGCTAAGGCTTTATTGGGCCTGCATCTAGTTTAAACCCTTATCTACTCTCCTTTCCTTCCATGGGTATTTATCCCTACATATCCCAAATTTTATCTCAGAACCTGCTTCCAGATACTGCAACACATGGCTATTAGGCAGATTTGTATTAACTTAATACACTGAAGTAAAACTGGTATTCCAAGAATGTACACCATGTTTATCTTGTTTCCCATACCTCCAACAGTTCCCAGTTTGATAAGTGCCATCATATATTACTGAATTGCTATCTTCAATGTCACACAGTAACTTACATATCTAACAGGAGATAGCTAAATGATTTTTTTAAAAGTTAAGAGAACAACAAGTGCACGAATGGCCAGCACAACTTACTTGTACTGAGGAAGGCTTCGGAACAGTGGTTACCACAGTAGTTCCTATTTGTGCCAATTTTTTAACAGGTGTCACTGCCACTTTCTTGATTAATTGTGAGCTAGAGTTCTTGGCGGTGGAGGGGAGCAAGATAACACAAAGTCATTAGCGTTAGTAATTTAAGATCAGTACTGCAGTGAACATTAGAACACTTTATGACAGCAAATGTATTTGTTATGACTGGAGTTATAACCTAATGTGTTTTATGCACATTCTATACTATAAACCTAACTGGTCAGCTGCCCAGATGACACTCATTTCATATTTCTAAGGTGGCAACTGATTCAATAAATAACCCATTTATCTGAAATTTCAAACTAAATAAATATTACAGTATTCAACATTAAAATCTTAATCTTGACTCTTTGGTTCATACAGAAAAAATAGATTCTTATGTAATATTTAATTATAAACAAAAACCTGCTAATCTACATTCTCAACCCACAGCAGTTAAACCAAACTAGAAAGGGAAGGAGTGGCTATTATTGACAGATACAGTAACAGAGAAAATGACTGTTTCAGGACCTAGAATCAAATTAGTAGGGCACAAAAATGAAAAACACTGGCAGAGAATGATTATTATAAAAAACAATGCAATCTGTCATTACAATGAGCCTGATTCATCAAGAAAATGCTAAACTACATTCAGTATTTTTATTTAAATAAAATACCCATTAAAAAATATACATATATAATTTTTGTTTGTTTTTTTTGTTTTGTTTTGAGACAGAGTCTCGCTCTGTCGCCCAGACTGGAGTGAGGTGGCACGATCTCGGCTCACTGCAAGCTCCGCTTCCTGGGTTCATGCCATTCTCCTGCCTCAGCCTCCCGCGTAGCTGGGACTACAGGCGCCTGCCACCACGTCAGGCTAATTTTTTTGTATTTTTAGTAGAGACAGGGTTTCACCGTGTTAGCCAGGATGGTCTCGATCTCCTGACCTCGTGATCCACCCACCTCAGCCTCCCAAAGTGCTGGGATTACAGGCGTGAGTCACCGCGCACAGCCCCACAAAAATATTTTTAACTCTATCAAACAAGGTAAGCTTCAGTTATCTAGAAAGATCACCATGGATGTAAAATAGGTCATTCTAACAATGCCAAGTTAATGAAATGCAGCAGATTTCTGTATTTCTTAAAGATAATTTCTGTAAGATACAAATGAAAATGAATACTATAGGCTGGGTACAGTACTCAGCCTGTAATCCCAGCACTTTGGGAGGCCAAGGTGGGCGGATCACCTGAGGTCAAGAGTTCGAGACCAGCCTGACCAACATGGAGAAACCCCATCTCTACTAAAAATACAAAATGAGCTGGGCGTGGTAGCACATGCCTGTAATCCCAGCTACTCAGGAGGCTGAGGCAGGAGAATCACTTGTACCTGGGAGGCAGAGGTTGCGGTGAGCCAAGATCATACCATTGCACTCCAGCCTGGGTAACAAGAGCAAAACTCCGTCTCAAAAAACAAAAAAGAATATTACTATTTTACCAAAAATTAAAATTAAAGCAGAACTGGTCAAGTGCAGTGGCTCACGCCTGTAATCCCAACACTTCGAGAGGCGGAGGCGGGCAGATCACCTGAAGTCAGGAGTTCAAAACCAGCCTGGCTAGCATGGCAAAACCGTGTCTCTACTAAATAAACACAAAAATTAGCTAGGCATGGCAGTGGGCGCCTGTAATCCCAGCTACTCGGGAGGCAGAATTATTATATTCTTTCCATTTAAGATGCAAATAGGCCAGGTGCAGTGGCTCACACCTATAATCCCAGCACTTTGGGAGGCTAAGAGGACTGTCATGAGCCCAAGAATTCAAGACCAGCCTGAGCAACAAAGCGACATGCTACCTGTGCAAAAAATAAAATTAGTCGGGCATGGTGGTATGCAGTTGTGGTCCCAGCTATATGCGAGCCTGAGGCAGGAGGATTATCTGAGCTCGGGAGCTTGAGGCTGCAGTGAACCAAGTGAGCCATGTTCACGCAATTGTACTCCAGCCTGGGAGAGAGAGTGAGATCCTGTCTCAAAAAAGATGCAGATAGCCCTCTGAACATTCCTTTGAGGACATAAAATCTGAAGACTGAATTTACTATTTTGGCAATTATCAGAGGACAAAACCAAAAATCTTTATTAAATTGACATATTCAAGGCAAGCTGACCTAAAAAGCTGAATAGAATCATGTCTTACATTATTTTTTACTAGCAAACATATACACAACATTTATATGAAAATTATAGCTGAGAAACAAAGAAAGATGAAAAATATTTAAGGTATATTACCGGCACTGTACAGATTTTGACTGTTTGAGGATTCGCTGGTACTGCTGGCCTTGAGGTTATGTTACTTGTGGTCTCGGCTCTTGTTACAGTTTGCTGAGGAGATACCAACATCAACGGACCACTGTTACTTTTAATCAAAACGGTTCCTATATTTAAAAAAGAAAAAAAAGTGACCTCTGAGCCACTAAATACAGCATAACCATCACATATTTTCTTCTCCCATTTCTTTCAACACTTTAAAAAGATGTCTTCAATACATACTGAATTTCATGTCTGCTACTTATATACAAAGATGAACAAATGTTTTTACTCCAAGCTATTTAAAAATTTAAAATCTATGAATATAATGAGATGCTCCTGAAGAAAGCAAAACACTTTTCCTTCATGACATCAAAACTATCTATAAAGCTACAGTAATTAAGATGGTGTAGTTAACAGCATAAGACTGAATAAGCTGACCACTGGAATAGAATAGAGAACCCCCAAATCAACTCATGCAGATATATCATATCACATTTTCCTAAAAGGCTCTGTAGACTTATGAGGAAAGGAGACTATTCAGTAAGTGGGGCTGGTCAATTAGCTATCTATACGAAAAAGATAAAATTTGAGAAAGAAAAATATATGTAAATGTGAGCCCTTTAAAATTATCTCCCCCAGAGAGGCATTAAAATGAGACAGCAATTAGGTCTTACTCCCCTTTGCTATGTAATCAATCCTCTCTTGAAACTGCTTGCTATAGCCACAAGTAGCTCTAAAGTAACCTAACAATGCCACATGCCAGATAACATAAACCACACTCTATAGTTCAACAATCTATAACCAATCAATGTTATTTCTGTAAACCAATGAGGATTCCTGACAAATAACTCTTTTATTTTTATTATTTTTGAGACAGAGTCTCGCTCTGTCGCCCAGACGATCTTGGCTCACTGCAACCTCCGCCTCCTGGGTTCAAGAGATTCTCCTGCCTCACCCTCCCCAGTAGCTGGGATTACAGGCATGCACCACCATGCCCAGCTAATTTTTTTGTATTTTTAGTAGAGATGAGGTTTTGCCATGTTGGCCAGGCTGGTCTCAAATCCCTGATCCCAGGTGATCCTCCCACCTCAGCCTCCCAAAGTGCTGGGATTACAGGTGTGAGCCACTGCACCCGGCTGACAAATAATATTTTAATCAACCCACTCTTTATCCTTTTTCTGCTTTTAAAAACCTGTTTATTACAAAGGCACTCCCCAAGGCAATTTGTGTGTCCTGGGCAGCTGTACTCAACCTCGGCCCAAATAAACTCTCTATATTAATTCTGCCTCAGCTTCTTTCTTTTGGGTAGACCTTTCAGATGCCTATTTCACACACATTCACAAAAACCAGGTGTATTAAGAATATAAAAGTAAAAGGCAAAAATTTTTAAACTCTTAGACAATGTAGAAAATTATCTTTCTGCATGCCTGTAGCCCGTAGTCCCAGCTACTTGGGACAACTGCTGAGGCAGGAGGACAGCTTGAGCCCACAAGCTCGAGGCTGCAATGAGCTATGATCGCATCTACACTCCAGCCTGGGACACAGAGCAAGACCCTGTCTCAAAAAAGAGAGAGAGAGAGAGAAAGAGAGAAAGAGCGAAAGAAAGAAAGGGCTTTCTGAACTTGGGATAGGGAAGAATTTCTTAAAGTTCAATAAACTCAACTACATTAAAAGTAAAAACTGTTATTCAGCAAAAGACACCATCAGGTAATAGGACACGCCACAAAATGAAGCAAAATTTTGGTTCACATATATTCAAAGGATGAGTATCCAAAATGCACAAAAGAAACACAGAGGCCAAGGACAAGGAAAGGTAAATTAAGACCACAGTGAAATATCACTTCATATCTACATAGACAAGCAAAGATTAAGATGACCAATGACAATACCAAGGGTTAGAGAAACGTGTATCAACGGAATTCTAACATCTTGGTGGTGGTAGTACAATTTAGTACAACTAACTACTTTCTTCAACTTTACATCAAATTTATTTCCATTTGCATATCCTGTAACTCAGTATTTCTAACCTAAAGTAATTATTGGCCAGGCATGGTGGCTCACGCCTGTAATCCCAACACTTTGGCAGGCTAAGGCAGGAGGATCTCTTGAGACCTGGGGTTTGAGACTACCCTCAGCAACAAAGTGAGACCCTGTCTCTACAAAAACAATTTTTTAATTAGCCAAATGCAGTGGGCATGTGCCTGTAGTCCGAGCTACTCAAGAGACTGAGGTGGGAGGCTCACTTGAGCCCAAAAGTTCAAGGCTGTAGTGAGCTATGATGGTGCCACTGCACTTCCGCCTAGGTGACAGAGCACAACACTGTCTCTAAATAAAATCTTTTAAAAAAAAAAAAGTCTTTTGTGTCAAAAGGAGGCACAGACAAAAATATTCACAGCTGGAGTTCCACTTTCAGAATGGTGGCAAGAGGATCTCTACAACTCTGTTCCCCAGTAAAATAGGCATAACTGGTGAAAATTATTTTTATAAAACAATCATTCAAAGTTTTTGGAAACCGGTCAGGTATGGTAGCTCACACTTGTAAACCCAGCACTTTGGGAGGCCAAGGCAGGCAGATCACTTGAGGCCAGGAGTTTGAGACAAGCCTGGCCAACAGGGTGAATCCCCGTCTCTACTAAAAAAATACAAAAATTAGTGGAGGGTGGTGGCAGGCACCTGTAATCCTGAGTAGTAACTCAGGAGGCTGAAGCACAAGAATCGCTTGAAACTGGGAGGTGGTGGTTACAGTAAGCCGAGATCGCGTCACTGCACTCCAGCCTGGGCAACACAGAGAGATTCTGTCTCAAAAAAAAAAAAAAAGTGTTTGGAAACTGTCCTAAGGCATGCAGAAAATGACTACAGTTATTGGAGATCTGCTAAAACTCAGTAAGAATAGCAAGAATATGTGGCATTTGCTGCAACCAACTCCCCTCTCTTTCCCTTCTCAGCTCAACATGACAGAAATTCCATTCCAGGGAGTGTGGCCAAGAAGACAGGGCTCCCTCTCTCCTAACCTCCCAATCTAAGGCTATGGTATCTTCCCGGGAGGAGGAAGTCACTTGCATTTCTCATCTACCCCCAATCCTCACCCCCCATCCCAGCTACATATTGAAGAGGATAAACTTGAGACAGGTGCATCTTAGGGTTCAAGTCTCCCTTCTTTCACCCATTCCCATTCATAAAAGGAAATCTGTACTTCAAGGAGAGCACACTGGGAACACTTGGACCTCAAGTGTCTCACCCCAGCTCTTTCACAGGCTGGAGGTGTTCCATGTTGGGAGAGGTGAGCAGAAAAGACCTGAGTACTGCCCACACCCAGTACCTTGTTCCTAGAGCAGGGATATCACTCAGAGAGAAGAAAGCCACAGTCCCGACCTCTGCTCCCAATATCTCCCTAAATGAAATGTCTTTACGTTAAACAGAGTGGAGAAGTTCAAGGCTAAAGGCACCCTCAAATACAAAGTAGCAATTAAGACGAGGCTGGTAGCTTCATGAGAGATACAAGCTAAACCATAAGTCTACTAGTTTACCAAAGAAAACCAAAGAGACAACTAAGAAGGGTCCTCCTTGGGTCAGAACAAACCTCAAACACTGGCCTAAAAAATTATCTCTGTAAAGGAGCCCAAATTTAATTGGATCAGACTGTGGAACAAGTTAGGCTCTAGGGCATTGTTGAAAACAATAGGGCAATCAGCTGGCAATGAGTGGATCCTAACAGCCAGCTGTGATACCAGCATAAGCAGACAGCTTAACAGAGAGATGAGGCAGAGACAGAGTCCTGCTAAAGATGACAGTGCTGGCCGGGCGCAGTGGCTCACGCCTGTAATCCCAGCACTTTGGGAGGCCGAGGCGGGCGGATCACAAGGTCAGGAGATCGAGACCATCCCGGCTAAAACGGTGAAACCCCGTCTCTACTAAAAATACAAAAAATTAGCCGGGCGTAGTGGCGGGCGCCTGTAGTCCCAGCTACTTGGGAGGCTGAGGCAGGAGAATGGCGTGAACCCGGGAGGCGGAGCTTGCAGTGAGCCGAGATCCCGGCAGTGAGCCGAGATCCCGCCACTGCACTCCAGCCTGGGCGACAGAGCGAGACTCCGTCTCAAAAAAAAAAAAAAAAAAAAAAAAAAATGACAGTGCTCATGTTCAAGGATGTGCCCTCTAAAAAGTAACATCAGCAGCTGCTTATTGTAGCAAAAGGAGACCTCACTAAAACAGTCTAGCCAGACCTTTTTTAAAAATCAAAAAACAGTAACACACCCAAGGAGTGGGGACCAGTATTAAGAGTTGCTACACTATAGTTAACAACAAGCTATGACATGTAAAGAAACAGAAAAGTGTGACATAAACACAGAGGGAAAAGCAGGCAACAGAAACCACCTGTGAGACAGATTAGATGTCAGATTTAATAAATGTCAGAGTAACAATTATAAGTATGTTCAAAGGAATAAAAGGAACCATACTTAAAGAAGAAAGGTGTGATACATCTAGAATATCACTAGAGATAGATATTATTTTTAAAAAACGGAACTTCTGTCATTACAGTAACAAATTCACAAGAGATTCAAAAGTAAACCTAAACTGGCAAAAGAAAGATCAGCAAACTTGGAGATAAATCTGTAGAAATTATGTAATCCAAAGAACAAAAAGAATGATGAAAAATATAGACCAATGGAACAGAACAGAGCCCTCAGAAATAGTACCACACATCTACAACCATCTGATCTCTGACAAACCTGACAAAAACAAGAAATGGGGAAAGGAGCCCCTATTTAACAAATGGTGCTGGGAAAACTGGCTAGCCATATGTAGAAAGCTGAAACTGGATCCCTTCCTTATACCTTATACAAAACTTAATTTAAGATGGATTAAAGACTTAAATGTCAGACCTAAAACCAGAAAAACCCTAGAAGAAAACCTAGGCAATACCATTCAGGACATAGGCATGGGCAAGGACTTCATGTCTAAAACACCAAAAGCAATGGCAACAAAAGACAAAATTGACAAATGGGATCTTATTAAACTAAAGAGCTTCTGCACAGCAAAAGAAACTACCATCAGAGTGAACAGGCAACCTACAGAATGGGAGAAAATTTTTGCAATCTACCCATCTGACAAAGGGCTAATATCCAGAATCTACAGAGAACTCAAACAAATTTACAAGAAAAAAACAAACCCCATCAAAAAGTGGGTGAAGGATATGAACAGACACTTCTCAAAAGAAGACATTTATGCAGCCAAAAGACACATGAAAAAATGCTCATCATCACTGGCCATCAGACAAATGCAAATCGAAACCACAATGAGATACCATCTCACACCAGTTAGAATGGCAATCATTAAAAAGTCAGGAAACAACAGGTGCTGGAGAGGATGTGGAGAAATAGGCACACTTTTACACTGTTGGTGGGAATGTAAACTAATTCAACCATTGTGGAAGACAGTGTGGCAATTCCTCAAGGATCTAGAACTAGAAATACCATTTGACCCAGCCATCCCATTACTGGGTATATACCCAAAGGATTATAAATCATGCTGCTATAAAGACACACGCACATGTGTGTTTACTGCGGCACTATTCACAATAGCAAAGACTTGGAACCAACCCAAATGTCCATCAATGATAGACTGGATTAAGAAAATGTGGCACATATACACTATGGAATACTATGCAGCCATAAAAAAGGATGAGCTCATGTCCTTTGTAGGGACATGGATGAAGCTGGAAACCATCATTCTCAGCAAACTATTGTAAGGACAAAAAACCAAACACCACATGTTCTCACTCATAGGTGGGAATTGAACAATGAGAACACTTGGACACAGGGTGGGGAACATCACACACTGGGGCCTGTCGCGGGGTGGGAGGAGGGGGGAGGGATGCATTAGGAGATATACCTAATGTAAATGATGAGTTAATGGGTGCAGCACACCAACATGGCACATGTATACATATGTAACAAACCTGCATGTTGTGTACATGTACCCTAGAACTTAAAGTATAATAAAAAAAAAAGAAGAAAAATAAACAGATTCTCAGAAAACATGGAACACCATTAAAGACACCAACATAGGCATAATGTTAGTACCAGAAAGAGAGGGGAGAGAGAAAGGAACAGAAAAAAAAAAAAATCAAAGAAATAACAGCTGAAAGCTTCCCAAATTTGGAGGAAAATAATCCAGACATCAAAGTAGCTCAAGAAACCCCAAGTAAGCTAAACGCAAAGAGATCCCCACGCCAAGACACATGGTAGTAAAAATGTTCAAAAACAAAGAAAAAAGGAAGGCAAAGACATTTAAAATTTAAAAACAGGCTGGCACAGTGACTTGTAATCCCAGCACTTTGGAAGGCTGAAGCAGGAGGACTGCTTAAGTCCAAGAGTTTGAGACCAGACTGGACAACAAAGCAAGACCCCATCTCTAAAAAAAAAAAAAAAAATTAAAAGTAGCCCAGTGTGGTGGCGCACACCTGTAATCCCAGCTACTGGAGAGGTTGAGGTGGATCACTCAAGCCCAAGAATTCAAGGTTGCAGTGAGCTATAATCACACCACAGCACTCCAGCACAGCCAACAGAGCAAGACCTTGTCTCTAAAAAAAATTTTTTTTTAATTTAAACTGAGAAGATTCATTAGTAGCAGATACTCCATACAAAAAACACTAAATGAAGTTCTTCAGGCTGAAAACAAGTGACCAAGGCAGTAATTCAAATTCACGTGGAAAAAACAAAGAGCACTGGTAATTATGTAATTTGGCAGTATAAATGTATTATTACTTCTTCTTTCATAACTGGTTTTTAAAAACTATTGTATAGAACAATATATATAGAATTACGTCTTTGGAAATTTAACATACAGGAATGTAAAATTTTTACAAATAGAAGCACAGAGGAAATGGGTGGAAGCAAAGCTGTATTGTACTAAAGGTACTTCAGATGGTAGCTCAGAAGCAAAGGAACAAATGAAGAAAATCCAGAAAAGACAAATAAGGTAATATAACAAATGACATAAACATGTCCTTGCTCTCTTCTTCCCTCAGCTTTTTTTTTTTTTTGAGATGGAGTCTCGCTCTGTCACCAGGCTTGAGTGCAGTGGTGCGATCTCAGCTCACTGCAACCTCCGACTCCTTGGTTCAAGCAATTCTCCTGCCTCAGCCTCCTGAGTAGCTGGGATTACAGGCACATGCCACCACGCCCAGCTAATTTTTGTATTTTTAGTAGAGACGGTGTTTCACCATGTTGGCCAGGATGGTCTCAGTCTCCTGACCTCGTGATCTGCCTGCCTCGGCCTCCCAAAGTGCTGGGATTACAGGCATGAGCCACCACACCCAGCCTCAGCTTCTTTAAAAGACATAAAATTATGTAACATAATAATTGTTGGGTTTGTAATATAACTAGATGCAAGGTATAAAGCAATAATTACACACACACACACACACACACACACACACACACACACACACACGCACGCAGAGGAAAGCCAGAAATGAACTATATGAAAGAAAGGGCTTCTCTGTCTCACTGAAATAAGTTAATATACACATGAAGGAGATTCCAATGAGGTTCATATTGTAAGCCCTAAAGCAACCTCTAAGAAAAACACTCAAAAACATGTTGAAAAAATTACAAAGGATAAGTGTTACCCTAGAAAATATTTGCTTAATACAAAAGAAAGCAGGAAAAGTATAGAGGAAAAAGTAAAAGAAACATATAGGAAACAAAAGTAAATGGCAGGCTAAGTCCAACTATATATATATAACAACATTAAATGCAAATGTGAATGTACAAAATAATCCAGTCAAAAGGGAGAAAGTGCTAGGTTGGATAAAAAACAAAATTCAACTATATGCTCCTTACAAGAGATATACATTAGACTCAAAGATATAAAAGAGTTGAAAATAAAAGACATCATACAAACAGAACCACAAGAAAGCTGTAGTGGCCATACTAATATCAAAATAGACTTTAAACAAGAGATAAAGAAGGGCATTTTGTAATGATGGGGCTAACAGATCAACACGATGTAACATTTTAAGCACATATACCTCACACACAGAGCCTAAAATACATGAAGCAAAAAGTGATAAAAGGAAAAATAATTCAACAATTGCTCGGACACTGCAATACCCCACTTTCAATGAAGAATAGAACTAAACAGAAAAGCAGCAAGGAAATCAACCACTTGAAAAAACTATAAACCAACTAAACCTAACTCAGATCTATGGAGTACTTCACCTAACAACAATAGCATTCTTAAGTGTATGCGAAACATTCTCCAAGACAGACCATATACTAGGACACAAAACAAACCTCAATAAACTTTCAAAAATTGAAATTATATTAGGTTGGTGCAAAAGTAATCACGGTTTTCGCCATTGAAAGTAATGGCAAAAAAAACACAATTACTTTTGCACCAACCTAATACAATGTATGGTCTCCACCTACAATGGAATGAAATTAGAAAACAGTGACAGAAAAAAAAAAAAAAGTGGGGTAACTCCCAAATATGTGCATAATAAACACACTTCTAAGTAACCAATGGGTCAATGAAGAAATCATAAAGGAAACTAGAAAATACTTTTGAGATGAATGAAAATGAAGATACAGCATACCAAAATCTATGTGATGCAACTAAAGCAATATTCAGAGAAAAATGTACAGCTATAAATGCCTGTCTTAAAAAGGAAGAAATATCTCAAATCACTAACAACCTTTTACCTTAAGACACTGGAAAAAGAAGAGCAAAATGAAAACTAAAGCAAGCAGAAGAAAAGAAATAATAAAGATTAAGAGCAGGGGCAAATAGAGAATAGAAAAACAACTGAGAAAAATCAACAAAACTGGAGTAGGGAGTGCTTGAGGGGGACTGGCCTGGCGTGCACTCTGCACCTCGGGGACGTTATTGCGCGTGGAACGGCTGCTTTTGGAAGACTTTTGCCCAGAAGAAAAGATGTTTGGTTTTCACACGCCAAAGATGTACCGAAGTATAGAGGGCTGCTGTATTTGCAGAGCTAAGTCCTCTAGTTCTCGATTCACTGACAGTAAACGCTATGAAAAGGACTTCCACAGCTGTTCTGGATTGCATGAGACTCCTTCAGGAGACATCTGCAATGCCTGTGTCCTGCTTGTGAAAAGATGGAAGAAGTTGCCAGCAGGATCAAAAAAAAAACTGGAATCATGTGGTAGATGCAAGGGCTGGACCCAGTCTAAAGACTACATTGAAACCAAAGAAAGTGACTCTATCTGGGAACAAGATAAAGAGCAACCATATCAGTAAACTGCAGAAGGAATTTAAACATCGTAATTCTGATGCTCACAGTACCACCTCCAGTGCCTCCCAGCTCAATCTCCTTGTTACAGTAACCAGTCAGATGACGGCTCAGATACAGAGATGGCTTCTGGTTCTAACAGAACACCAGTTGTTTCCTTTTTAGATCTCACATACTAGAAAAGACAGAAGACATGTTGTGGGATCATCTATAAAGGCCGTTTTGGGGAAGTTCTCATTGACACACATCTCTTCAAGCCTTGCTGCAGCAATAAGAAAGCAGCTGCCGAGAAGCCAGAGGAGCAGGGGCCACAGCCTCTGCCCATCTCCACTCAGGAGTGGTGACTGAGGTTTTTATGTAGAAGGGGAACAAAAAAAACCATCTAAATTTTGAAGACCACAAAGCAACAAACTGACCCTCTTTTTTTTTTTTTTTGGAGACAGAGTTTTGCTCTTGTTGTCCAGGCTGGAGTGCAGTGGCGTGATCTTGGCTCACTGCAACTTCGTCTCCCGGGTTCAAGTGATTCTCCTGCCTCAGCCTCCCAAGTAGCTGGGTTTATAGGTGCCCACCACCAGACCCAGCTAATTTTTTAGTTTTAGTAGAGACAGGGTTTCACCACGTTGGCCAGGCTGGTCTCAAATGACCCTCCTATTTTTAACTTGGATACCTGCTATTCTGCCAAAAGACAATTTCTAGAGTAGTTTTGAATGGGTTGATTTCCCCCAGTCCCACAAACTCTGAAGCCAGTGTCTAACTTACTAAAAAAAGAGTTGTACATAATATTTAAGATGCTGAGTATTTCATAGGAAAGCTTAATGCTGCTGTAAAGTGCTCTTTAAGTCTTTTTTTTTTAATCCCCTTCTAATGAATGAAACCAGGGGAATTTCAGGGGACAGAGATGGGATTTGTTGTATGATAAACTGTATGTAGTTTTCAGTCTTTCTGTATTGAGAAGCAGTGGTTGGGGCATTTTTTAAGGTGGCTGGCTACTCTTGTTTTCCCTCATGATAGTAAGTTTGTCATAACTCAGTAACATGGACTTGCCCCTAGAGGCAGCTGTTAATAATTTTGAAATATTAAGGTCTTGCCAAGCTTCTGATGATTCAAACCTGTACTACTGATTATTAAGCAGGACAGACTGAGCTTTCTGTTGCAAATCCCTTGGAGGAGAAAGTAATTTCTAAATATACAGAAAGGTAACTTGACTATATATGTTGCATCCTGTGCCTCCCTTCATATTAATATTTGATAAAGATTTTAATTTATATAAAACTTCTAAAGCAGAATCAAAGCTCCTCTTAGGGAAATGGCACGTCTCTAGGACAGGCGAGACCCTGTATAAATAGTACCAAAGCATTACCGCACAGTAGAAAACACACTCTATTAAAAATGTTAAGCTATCTGAAAAAATGTGCAAGTCTTCGGGATGGCACAAAACAAAGGTTAATGCTTCTTGGGGCACATTTCTTAGAGGGCTTGCTGAGTGTGTAAATGTAATCGATTTTTGTGTTACATGACTTTGATGACTTCATTGAAAATCTGCACAATTCAGTTCCAGCTCCGGATTACTTCAGTTGACCTTTGTGAAGGTTTTTATCTGTGTAGAATGGGTGTCTGACTTGTTTTAGCCTATTAAGTTTCTATTTTCTTTCACTCTGTATTAAAACTAAAATTTACTAAAAGAGAAAAAAAAGAAAAATCAACAAAACCAAAAGATTGTTCTTTGGAAAAAAAATAAACAAAACTGACAAACCTTTACCTAGAATGACTAAGAACAAAGGAAAGACTCAAACTATTAAAATCAGGTGTGAGGCCAGGCATGGTGGCTCAGGCCTGTAATCCCAGCGCTTTGGGAGGCCAACGTAGGTAGATCATTTGAGGTCAGGAGCTCGAGACCAGTCTGGCCAACATGGTGAAACCCCGTCTCCCCTAAAAATACAAAAAAATTAGCCAGGCATGGTGGCACATGCCTGTAGTCCCAGCTACTCAGGAGGCTGAGGCAGAAGAATCGCTTGAACCCGGGAGGCAGAGGTTGTAGTGAGCTAAGATCATGCCACTGCACTCCAGCCTGGGCAACAGAGCGAAACTCCATCTCAAAAAAATAAATTAATTAACAAAATAAAATGGGGGGGGTGGGGGGGCATAAGTTTTACACAAATAAGGATTATAAGGGAAGACTAGAAACAATTATAAACTAATAAATTAGACAATTTAGATGAAACAAATTCCTAGAAACACATAAACTACTGAAATTGACTCAAGAAAGAATAGACAACCTGAATAGGCCTTTAAGAAATGAAGATATTGAATCAAAAGAGGATCTGTAAGAAAAGCGCAGGTCCAGATGACTTCACTGGTCAATTCTACCAAATATTTAAAAGAAAATTTAATGTTAATCCTTCACAAAGTATTCCAAAAAATAAAAAAGCAGGGAACACGTCCCAACTCAATCTATAAGGTCAGTATTAACGATACCAAAAACAGACAAGGACATCACAAGAAAACCACAGGTCAATATCCCTTATGGATATAGACACAAAAATTCTTGACCAAGTACTAGCAAACTGAATCCAGCAATGTTTTATATGTGTTATATACCATGACCAAGTGATAGTTATCTCAAGAATACAAGGGTGGTTTAGTATCCAAACACTAACTACTATAAAACACCCTATCGATAGAATGAAAGACAAAAAACACATGATCATCTCAACAGATGCGGAACAAGCATTTGACAAAATTCAACAAGCCTTTCTTTCAGATAAAAAGACCCAAAAAAAGAGAAACAGAAATTTTCTCAACCTGATAAATGGATTTACAGAAGACCCACAGATAACATCATACTTTTGGTGAAAGTCTGAATTTCTCCCAAGGATCAGGAATAAGACAAGGATATCTAAGATGAAGGATGAGACAAGGATGCCTACAATCACTACTTTTGTTCAACATTATATTCAGAATTCCACCAAGGGTAACTGGGCAAGAAAATGAAATAAAAGGCATCCAAATCAGAAGGGAATGAGTAAAATTATTTACAGATGGCATGATCTCATAAGGTTCCACAATCTCAGTGGATGCCTAAAACCTCAGACAGTGCTGAACCCCACATATTATGTTTTTTCTATACATACATACCTATGATAAAATGTAATTTATAAATTACACACAGTAACATACTGGCAACAATAACTAATAATAAAATATATATAAATAAATAAAATAACTAATAAAATAATAAATAAAAATAAAAATAGAATAGAATAAAAAAATATGCCACCAGCATCACCACTCTTGTAAGCTTTGGGGCCCTTATTAATTAAAATAGGGTTACCTGAACACAAACGCTGTAATACTGTGTACTATAACAGTCAAGAGGGCTACTAAGTAACTAATAGGTAGGTAAGTGTACAGAGTGTCAATACACTGGACAAAGGAATGATTCACATTTCAGGCAGGATGCAGTGGAATGGAGGGAGATTTCATCACGATACTCAGAATGGCACACGATTTAAAACAAATTGTTTATTTCTGGAATTTTCCACTTAATATTTTTGGAGGCAGTTGACCATGGGTAAATGAAACCATTAGATAAGGGAAGAGGAACTACTATATATAGAAAATCCTAATGAACCCTCTAAAAAACTATTAGAAGTAATCAATTTAGCATGGTAGCAGGATACAAGATCAATATTCAATAATCAACTGTATTTTTATACACTTGCAATGAATAACCATAAATGAAATTAAGAAAATGATTCTATTCACAATAGCACCAAAAAGAATAATATACTTCAAGGATAAATTTAACAAAGTACAAAACTAACACTATGAAAACTAAGAAATGTCTTCATACTTTAATTACTTTCAACATGTAAAAAACACGTTGAAAAACGTATGTTGAAAGTAATTACAGAAGATCTAAATAAATGGAAAGAGATCCATGTTCATGGATGGGTAAACCTCAGACCCACCTCACTGGATTGTTAAAGGAACCAAATGAGACAATATATGTGAGAGGATTTTTGAATTTTTGAGCAGGTAGCTATTAATGCCAAGAGGTCCACAATTCAAACTTTTCTTCAACTAAGTACTCAAAACATCAGTAGGAGGCAATATTAGAATAGCTGTAGACAGGCAATGCTGAGAATAAAATAACCAGCTCATCTTCAGACCAAAGTGTTTTCAAGATGCAAAACACTCCTTTTGCAACCTTAACCAATTATTTATCTCAAAGGCCCAATGCCAATGAGAAGCAATAATATAATAGAAAGCACTTAAAAACAAAGGGAAACTGAATGTTAGTCTCTTCTCTGAAGACCAGTGACCAAGTTTCTTTGAATCCAATCCTGATAAGTATCTGAGACTCACTTTTTCCAATCATAAAAGAATGGCCTGTTTATTCTACAAGCATATTGACAGAATGTAATCATATATTAGGTTACATAGCACCGTTCCTCTATAAATATTAAGATATTAAAGTGTATCGTGGTCCAGTGTCCACTCTCTACTTGGTACATGATTTACATATTCTACCCTTCAGCCCAGTGAACTGCTACATCCCAACATCCAAAAATGCCAATTTCTTGGTGTCAAGCTGATCTGAATGGAAGTTCTCTGACTTCTCCACATTCACAGCATTTGTAAATACTGCCCCTGAAAAAATAGCAGATCCTTACAAATCTAAGAGCCTTAAAGATGCTAGAATTCATCTATTACAATTTAATACATATACAGAATGCCTCACTAGTCACCTTTTAGCCTCTTTTCAAATAGTCCAGGGTTAGGAAAACGCAGATTTCTTTGTGTCACTCTTTCACAAGCAGATCACGAATATAAGTCCTTCCTTAATATGGAACCAAACGTGCCTCCCATTAATATCCAGAGATGTGAGGGTACCTTCTGCAACCACACAGAATAAGCCCACTCTCATTTCCATAGGACTGGAAACACTTAGACGCTAAGTTGTTTCCTTCCTCAGGCACTAGAGGCCAAATTTCTTCCATTTTTCACGTCACAGTTTTCCTTACAAAGAGCTTAAAGTCACTTAAATTTCCCTCATTTCCTGAATTGAATAAATAAAAGAAAAAATTAAAGCAATCAAGAAGTTTATATCCCAGGTCGTGCTATTAGTTATGGTATATCTCCCCTATCCTCCATTTACACAGCTGATTTGCCAAAATTGAGCTTCTATTTATCTCTATTAAATTTCATTTTTTAAGGATAGGTTGTTAGATTTCAGGTGATGTTTACTTTCTTCTTTTTACTTTCCATATTTGTTGGTCTTTTTATATGTATGTATTATTTTACAAAAATAAGTTTGTTAGACAAAAACTAAACCCACAGAATATCTACCCTATTTATTACTGCATCTATGGCACTTAGCGTAGAATCCAGGATATAGTTAGCACTGATCACATTGGTAATCTCAGCACTTTGGAAGGCTGAGGTGGGTGGATCGCTTCAGCTCAGGAGTTCAAAACCAGCCTGGGCGAAATGGTGAAACCCCATCTCTACAAAAAAAAATTTTTTTTTTTTTTTTTTTGAGATGGAGTCTCGCTCTGTTGCCCAGGCTGGAGTGCAGTGGCGTGATCTCGGCTCACTGCAAGCTCCGCCTCCCGGGTTCACGCTATTCTCCTGCCTCAGCCTCTCGAGTAGCTCGGACTACAGGCGCCTGCTACCATGCCTGGCTAATTTTTTGTATTTGTAGTAGAGACAGGGTTTCACCGTGTTAGCCAGGACAGTCTCGATCTCCTGACCTCGTGATCCGCCTGCCTCGGCCTCCCAAAGTGCTGGGATAGGAGGCGTGAGCCACCGCGCCCAGCACAAAAATTTTTATAATTAGCTAAGCCTGGTGGTACCTGCCTGTGGTCCCAGCTACTTGGGAGGCTGAGGCAAGGAACACTTGAGCTCAGGAGTTTGAGGCTGCAGTGAGCCATGTTCGAGCCACTCCACTTCAGCCTGGGGGACAGAGTGAGACCCTGTTTCAAAAACAAACACAACAACAACAACAAAAACTGGACGGCTGCAGTGGCTCATGCCTGTAATTCCAGCACTTTGGGAGACCAAGGCAGGTGGATCACATAAAGCCAGAGGTTTGAGACCAGCCTGGCCAACATGGTGAAACCCTATCTCTATCAAAAATTCAAAAATTAGCCGGGCATGGTGGCATGTGCCTGTAATCCCAGCTACTTAGGAGGCTGGGGCAGGAGAATTGCTTGAACCCAGAAGGTGGAGATTATAATGAACTGAGGTCATGCCACTGCACTCCAGCCTAGGCGAAAGAAAGAATGAGACTTTGTCTCTAAAAAAAAATAAATAAAGTGTTGAGTTCACAATATAGAAAATTGTCACCATATAATGATAAGTGAAAATCAGGATATAAAAGTGGTATCACAGAATCCCAATTATGTGAAAAATAGAGAACGTGTGCATAACATTTTTATTTCCAAAGAGACAAAAAGCTTTTGGGAATGAAATGCTCTATATCTTAATTTCATTGGTGCTACACCTTTATTAAATGTTTCAGCACTCAATTCACCGTAAATGATCTTTTTTTTTTTTGAGAGAGAGAGAGAGTTTTGCTCTGTTGCCCAGGCTGGAGTGCAATCTTGGATCACTGCAACCTCTGCTCCTGGGTTCAAGCGATTCTCAAGCCTCTCCTCCCAAGTAGCTCACACTACAGGCATGTACCACAATACCCTGGCTAATTTTTGTGTATTTTTAGTAGAGACCGAGTTTTGCCATGTTGGCCTGGCTGGTCTCGAACTCCTGGCCTCAAGTAATCCACCTGCCTTGGCCTCCCAAAGTGGTGGGATTACAGGCATGAGCCACCGCACCCAGCCAGGTTCCTCTTTTTTTTTTTTTTTTTGATATGGAGTCTCGTTCTGTCACCAGATTGGAGTGCAGTGGCACAATCTCGGTTCACTGTAACCTCCAGCTCCCTGGTTCAAGTGATCCTCCTGCCTCAGCCTCCAGAGTAGCTGGGATTACAGGCACGTACCACCACGCCCAGCTAATTTTTGTATTTTTAGTAGAGATGGTGTTTCACCATGTTGGCCAGGATGGTCTTGATCTCCTGACGTCATGATCCACCCACCTCAGCCTCCCAAAGTGCTGGGATTACAGGCGTGAGCCACTGCGCCCAGCCTAGGTTCCCCTTTTTTAATAACAAAAATTTTACCTCAATAAAGATGACATTTAAAAAGGAGATTAGGGGCCAGGTGCAGTCGCTCACGCCTGTAATCCCAGCACTTTGGGAGGCTAAGGCAGGAAGATCACTTGAGCCCAGGAGTTCAAGGCCAGCCTGGGAAACAGTGAGATCCCAAATGTACCAAAAAAAAAAAAAAATTAGCTGGGCATAGTGAGGCACACCTGTAGTCCCAGTCACTCAGTAGGTTTGACGTAGGAGAACTGCTTATGCTAGGGAGGTCAGTCTGAAGTGAGCCCTGATTGTACTAATGCATTCCAGCCTGGGTGACAGCAAGACCCTGTCTCAATTTTTTTTACTTTTTTTTGAGACAGAGTCTTGTTCTGTTGCCCAGGCTGGAATGCATTAGTACAATCAGGGCTCACTTCAGACTGACCTCCCTAGCATAAGCAGTTCTCCTACGTCAAACCTACTGAGTGACTGGGACTACAGGTGTGCCTCACTATGCCCAGCTAATTTTTTTTTTTTTTTGGTACATTTGGGATCTCACTGTTTCCCAGGCTGGCCTTGAACTCCTGGGCTCAAGTGATCTTCCTGCCTTAGCCTCCCAAAGTGCTGGGATTACAGGCGTGAGCCACTGCGCCCAGCCTAGGTTCCCCTTTTTTAATAACAAAAATTTTACCTCAATAAAGATGACATTTAAAAAGGAGATTAGGGGCCAGGTGCAGTCGCTCACGCCTGTAATCCCAGCACTTTGGGAGGCTAAGGCAGGAAGATCACTTGAGCCCAGGAGTTCAAGGCCAGCCTGGGAAACAGTGAGATCCCAAATGTACCAAAAAAAAAAAAAAATTAGCTGGGCATAGTGAGGCACACCTGTAGTCCCAGTCACTCAGTAGGTTTGACGTAGGAGAACTGCTTATGCTAGGGAGGTCAGTCTGAAGTGAGCCCTGATTGTACTAATGCATTCCAGCCTGGGTGACAGCAAGACCCTGTCTCAATTTTTTTTACTTTTTTTTGAGACAGAGTCTTGTTCTGTTGCCCAGGCTGGAGTGCAGTGGCACGATCTTGGCCCACTGCATACATCTGGGCTCAAGTGATTCTCGTGCCTCAGCCTCCCAAGTACCTGGGATTAGAGGTATGCACCACAACGCTTGGCTAGTTTTTGTGCTTTCAGTAGGGACAGGATTTTGCTATGTTGGCGAGGCTGGTCTCGAACTCATGCCCACAAGTGATCTGCCTGCCTCGGCCTCCCAAAGTGCTGGGATTACAAGATGTGAGTCACCATGCCCAACCCTGTGTCAATTTTTTTTAAAAGAAGATTTTTTAAATATACTCAAAACTTTGGGGGGAGGGTAATATTTTTGTGTAATTTTTCTGTTTTCCAAATTTTCTACAGTAAGCATCATCTTTTTAATTTAAAAAATAGGGACAGGTAGGCACTGAGATAACTTAAAGACCCATACTTTCAGACGGCTGAGAATTTGGAGGGTCCTCATACATGTTAGCTAAATAGCAACCACAGAGTACCTATCAACAAATGCTGCATAAGTACCTTAAATATTCATGACACTTCTGCTGTGCAACATTGTATTCCACATAAATGGTGTTCCCCAGAATTCTGTGATATGCAGACTCTGTATACTTATTCTATTTAACCCTTATGATATTTTTCAGAAGGTATTAACCGTATTTTAGAGACAATATAGCTGACATTAAGAATGAGATTAGGACAGGCATGGTGGCTCACGCCTGTAATCCCAGCAATTTGGGAGGCCGAGGCGGGTGGATCACCTAAGATCGGGAGTTCGAGACCAGCCTGACCAACATGGAGAAACCCCATTTCTACTAAAAATATAAAATTAACCAGGCATGGTGGCACATGCTTGTAATCCCAGCTACTCGGGAGGCTGAGGCAGGAGAATCGCTTGAACCCAGGTGGGGTCAGTGGCGGGGGAGAGGGTTGCAGTGAGGCGAAATCATGCCACTGCACTCCAACCTGGGCAACAAGAGTGAAACTATATCTCAGAAAACAAAAAAGAAAAAAAAAAGAATGAGATTAGGCCAGGTGCGGTGGCTCACGCCTGTAATGCCAACACTTTGGGAGGCCAAGGCCAGCAGATCACCTGAGGTCAGGAGTTTGAGACCAGCCTGGCCAATATTGTGAAGCCCCATCTCTACTAAAAATAAAAAATTAGCCAGGTGTGGTGGCACACACCTGTTGTCCCAGCTACTTGGGAGGCTGAGGCAGGAGAATGGCTTGAACCTGGGAGGTGGAGGTTGCAGTGAGCTGAGATCGCGCCACTGCACTCCAGCGTGGGCGACAGAGTGAGACTCCATCCAGAAAAAAAAAACCACAAAAACAATGAGATTAATAACTTGCCTAGATTACAAAGCTATCAAGTGGTAGAGCTGGGATTCAAACTCCAGGACCAATGTTCTCTCCTATGTTGCTACACTCTATTACATTCCACAAAAAGCCAACCCTACAAGCCCATTATTATCTACAAACTTGATTGGCATACCATCTAGGCCTTATTCTGTGGTCTCGGACTGAACTTTCTAGACAACTATGTATCATATACCTAGTTTACTACAAGGTAACAAGAGCCTTCTTAGACATAGTCATTCAGTAAGTAACAAACCCATACACTGGTATTATCATCCAGCCTACATTTCTCTATATTGAAATCCTACCTTCCCCCTCAATTTCAATGCTCATATATTCTTACCATTAATTAATGTCTGAAAAATGACTTCTTAGATTCCATGGGTAGTTTTCTAAAATTAAGTATTAATACTGTTGATTACATATTTAAACAATTTTTGGGGAGTAAAATTTAGCAATGCCGATTGAAATATTACCATTTGAACCAACAATTCCACTTCTAGCAATTTATCCTATAAAAATCCACGTTTCCAAACTGCACAAAAATACACATGCAAAGATGTTTATCACAGCATCATTTTTAACAGCAGAAAGTAGTGCAAACAGTATCAACGCCTGCGAATAGGCAAGTGGTCAAAAAACAATGTTATGTCAATACAGTGGACTACAATGCAGTTGAAAAAATGAAGCATTTATAGGTACTAATGAGAGGTGAAGCCAGCTGGACTTCCTGGGTCGAGTGCGGACTTGGAGAACTTTTCTGTCTTACAAGAGGATTGTAAAATGCAACCATCAGTGCTCTGTAAAAACGCATCAATCAGCACTCTGCAGACAGCAAGAGCATTCTAAAAATCACCAATCAGCGCTCTGTAAAATGCACCAATCAGCGTTTTGTAAAATGCACCAATCAGTGCTCTGTAAAATGCACCAATCAGCAGGATCCTAAAAGTGGCCAATCACAGGGAAGATTGAAAAAAGGGCACTCTGATAGGACAGAAATGGAACATGGGAGGGGCCAATAAGGGAACAAAAGCTGGCCACCCCAGCCAGCAGCAGCAACCCACTTGGGTCCCCTTCCACACTGTGGAAGCTTTGTTCTATCGCTCTTCACAGTAAACCTTGCTACCACTCACTCTTTGGGTCCGTGCCATCTGTAAGAGCTCTAACACTCACCACGAAGGTCTGCAGCTTCATTCTTGAAGTCAGCGAGACCACAAACCTGCTGGAAGGAACCAACTCTGGACACATCTTGGGGGCTTGTTCAGGATATCGCCACGTGATAAGGACCATCGGACCCCTTTTGCTTGCTATTCTGTCCTATTTTTCCTTAGAATTTGGGGGCTAAATACTGGGCACCTGTTGGCCTGTTAAAAATGACTAGCATGGCCGCCAGACTAAAGACACGGGTGTCAGGCTTTCTGGGAAAGGGCTCTCTAACAACCCCAGACTCTTTGGAGTTCGGAGCGTTGGTTTGCCTGGAACCAGCTTCCACTTTTCCTATACTTCTGGGCTGAGCCAAGGGTCGACAGAGAGGAAAGACATTCAGCTCTGGGGTCCCGACAAAAAGTTGGTTGACCCTGCAGCAGTGAGCGGAACTCTCAAAGTTATGTCGCCCAAGCGAGACTCACCCATCTATCCTATCTATCCTGAAACTTGCCTCCTGCGTCCTAATGCCTGTCAGACAAACTTCCTCCCACCTCTCTTCTCCAAGGCTACTCCCACTCCTAAAAACCACTCCCTGTCCCTGTTGCTCTTCTAGTTTCTCTTATAAGGATAATTTCTAGTATAAATTTCGGGGGGAGGTTCCAAGATGGCCGAATAGGAACAGCTCCAGTCTACAGCTCCCAGCATAAGTGACACAGAAGACCGGTGATTGCTGCATCCCCAACTGAGGTACTGGGTTCATCTAACTGGGACTTGTTGGACAGTGGGTGCAGCCCACGGAGTGTGAGCCAAAGCTGCGGGGGCATCGCCTCACCCAGGAAGCACAAGGGGGTCAGGGAATTGCCTTTACTAGCCAAGGGAAGCCGTGACAGACAGTACCTGGAAAATCAGGACACTCCCATCCTAATACTGCACTTTTCCAATGGTCTTAGCAAATAGCACACAAGGAGATTATATCACGCGCCTGGCTCAGAGGGTCCCACGCCCACAGAACCTCGCTCACTGCTAGCACAGCAGTCTGAGATCAAACTGCAAGGCGGCAGTGAGGCTGGGGGAGAGGGGTCCGCCATTGCGGAGGCTTGAATAGGTAAACAAAGTGGCGGGGAGCTTGAACTGGGTGGAGCCCACTGCAGCTCAAGGAGGCCTTCCTGTCTCTGTAGACTCCACCTCTGGGGGCAGGGCATAACTGAACAAAAGGCAGCAGAAACTTCTGCAGACATAAACATCCCTGTCGGACAGCTTTGAAGAGGGTAGTGATTCTCCCAGCACGGAGTTTGAGATTGGATAGACTGCCTCCTCAAGTGGGTCCCTGATGCCAGAGTAGCCTAACTGGGAGGCATCTCCCAGTAGGGGCCAACTGACACCTCATACAGCCAGGTGCCCCTCTGAGACGAAGCTTCCAGAGGAAAGATCAGGCAGCAACATTTGCTGTTCTGCAATATTTGCTGTACTGCAGCCTCCACTGGTGATACCCAGCCAAACAGGGTCTGGAGTGGACCTTCTGCAAACTCCAACAGACCTGCAGCTGAGGGTCCTGACTGTTAGAAGGAAAACTAACAGAAAGGACACCCACACCAAAACCCCATCTGTACATCACCATCATCAAAGACCAAAGGTAGACAAAACCACAAAGATGGAAAGAAACCAGAGCAGAAAAGCTGAAAATTCTAAAATTCAGAGCGCCTTTTCTCCTCCAAAGGAACGCAGCTCCTCACCAGCAATGGAACGAAGCTGGACGGAGAATGACTTTGATGAGTTGAGAGAAGAAGGCTTCAGACGACCAGTAATAACACACTTCTCTGAGCTAAAGGAGGATGTTTGAACCCACTGCAAAGAAGCTAAAAACTTGAAAAAAGATTAGACGAATGACTAACTAGAATAAACAGTGTAGAAAAGACCTTAAATGACCTGAGGGAGCTGAAAACCATGGCACGAGAACTACGTGATGCACAAGCTTCAGTAGCCGATTCGATCAACTGGAAGAAAGGGTATCAGTGATTGAAGATCAAATGAATTAAATGAAGCAAGAAGAGAAGTTTAGAGAAAAAAGAATAAAAAAAAATAAACAAAGCCTCCAGGAAATATGGGACTATGTAAAAAGACCAAATCTACATCTGATTGGTGTACCTGAAAGTGATGGGGAGAATGGAACCAAGTTGGAAAACACTCTGCAGGATATTAACCAGGAGAACTTCCCCAACCTAGCAAGGCAGGCCAACATTCAAATTCAGGAAATACAGAGAACGCCACAAAGATACTCCTCGAGAAGAGCAACTGCAAGACACATAATTGTCAGATTCACCAAAGTTGAAATGAAGGAAAAAATATTAAGGGCAGCCAGAGAGAAAGGTCAGGTTACCTACAAGGGGAAGCCCATCAGACTAACAGCAGATATCTTGGCAGAAACTCTACAAGCCAGAAGACAGTGGGGGCCAATATTCAACATTCTTAAAGAAAGAATTTTCAAGTCAGAATTTCATATCCAGCCAAACTAAGCTTCATAAGTGAAGGAGAAATAAAATCCTTTACAGACAAACAAATGCTGAGAGATTTTGTCACCACCAGGCCTGCCTTACAAGAGCTCCTGAAGGAAGCACTAAACACAGCAAGGAACAACCAGTATCAGCCACTGCAAAAACATGCCAAATTGTAAAGACCATCGATGCTAGGAAGAAACTGCATCAACTAACGAGCAAAATAACCAGCTTACATCATAATGACAGGATCAAATTCACACATAACAATATTAACCTTAAATGTAAATGGGCTAAATGTTCCAATTAAAAGACACAGACTGGCAAACTGGATAAAGAGTCAAGACCCATCAGTGTGCTGTATTCAGGAGACCCATCTCACGTGCAGAGACACACATAGGCTCAAAATAAAGGGATGGAGGAAGATCTACCAAGCAAATGGAAAACGAAAAAAGGCAAGGGTTGCAATCCTAGTCTCTAATAAAACAGACTTTAAACCAACAAAGATCAAAAGAGAAAAGGAGGCCATTACATAATGGTAAAGGTATCAATTCAACAAGAAGAGCTAACTATCCTAAATATATATGCACCCAATACAGGAGCACCCAGATTCATAAAGCAAGTCCTTAGAGACCTACAAAGAGACTTAGAATCCCACACAATAATAATGGGAGACTTTAACACCCCACTGTCAACATTAGACAGATCAACGAGACAGAAAGTTAACAAGGATATCCAGGACTTGAACTCAGCTCTGCACCAAGCAGGCCTAATAGACATCTACAGAACTCTCCACCCCAAATCAACAGAATATACATTCTTCTCAGCACCACGTAGCACTTATTCCAAAATTGACCACATAGTTCGAAGTAAAGCACTCCCCAGCAAATGTGAAAGAACAGAAATTATAACAAACTGCCTCTCAGACCACAGGGCAATCAAACTAGAACTCAGGATTAAGAAACTCACTCAAAACCGCTCAACTACATGGAAACTGAACAACCTGCTCCTGAATGACTACTGGATACATAACGAAATGAAGGCAGAAATAAAGATGTTCTTTGAAACCAATGAGAACAAAGACACAACATACCAGAATCTCTGGGAACATTTAAAGCAGTGTGTAGAGGGAAATTTATAGCACTAAATTCCCATAAGAGAAAGCAGGAAAGATCTAAAATTGACACCCTAACATCACAATTAAAAGAACTAGAGAAGCAAGAGCAAACACATTCAAAAGCTAGCAGAAGGCAAGAAATAACTAAGATCAGAGCAGAACTGAAGGAGATAGAGACACAAAAAACCCTTCAAAAAAATCAAAGAATCCAGGAGCTGGTTTTTTGAAAAGATCAACAAAATTAATAGTCCGCTAGCAAGACTAATAAAGAAGAAAAGAGAGAAGAATCAAATAGATGCAATAAAAAATGATAATGGGGATATCACCATCAACCCCACAGAAATACAAACTACCATCAGAGAATACTATAAACTCCTCTACGCAAATAAACTAAAAAATCTAGAAGAAATGCATAAATTCCTGGACACATACACCCTCCCAAGACTAAACCAGGAAGAAGTTGAATCCCTGAGTAGACCATTAACAGGCTCTGAAATTGAGGCAATAATTAATAGCCTACCAACCAAAAATACTCCAGGACCAGATGGATTCACAGCCGAATTCTACCAGAGGTACAAATGGGAGCTGCTACCATTCCTTCTGAAACTATTCCAATCAACAGAAAAAGAAGGAATCCTCCCTAACTCATTTTATGAGGCCAATACCATCCTGATACCAAAGCCTGGCAGAGACACAACCAAAAAAGAGAATTTTAGACCAATACCCCTGATGAACATCGATACAAAAATCCTCAATAAAATACTGGCAAACCGAATCCAGCAGCACATCAAAAGGTTTTCCACCATGATCAAGTTGGCTTCATCCCTGGGATGCAAGGCTGGTTCAACATATGAAAATCAATAAACGTAATCCAGTATATAAACAGAACCAAAGACAAAAACCACATGATTATCTCAATAGATGTGGAAAAGGCCTTTGACAAACTTCAACAGCCCTTCATGCTAAAAACTCTCAATAAGTTAGGTATTGATGTGACGTATCTCAAAATAATAAGAGCTATTTATGACAAACTCACAGCCAATATCATACTGAATGTACAAAAACTGGAAGCATTCCCTTTGAAAACTGGCACAAGACAGGGATGCCCTCTCTCACCACTCCTATTCAACATAGTGTTGGAAGTTCTGGCCAGGGCAATCAGGCAGGAGAAAGAAAGAAAGGGTATTCAATTAGGAAAAGAGGAAGTCAAATTGTCCCTGTTTGCAGATGACATGATTGTATATTTAGAAAACCCCATTGTCTCAGCCCAAAATCTCCTTAAGCTGACAAGCAACTTCAGCAAAGTCTCAGGATACAAAACCAATGTGCAAAAATCACAAGCATTCCTATACACCAATAACAGACAAACAGAGAGCCAAATCCTGAGGGAACTCCCATTCACAATTGCTTCAAAGAGAATAAAATACCTAGGAATCCAACTTACAAGGGACGTGAAGGACCTCTTCAAGGAGAACTACAAACCACTGCTCAATGAAATAAAAGAGGACACAAATGGAAGAACATTCCATGCTCATGGATAGGAAGAATCAATATCATGAAAATGGCCATACTGCCCAAGGTAACTTATAGATTCAATGCCATCCCCATCAAGCTACCAATGACTTTCTTCACAGAATTGGAAAAAACTACTTTAAAGTTCATATGGAACCAAAAAAGAGCCAGCATTGCCAAGACAATCATAAGCCAAAAGAACAAAGCTGGAGGCATCACGCTACCTGACTTCAAACTATACTACAAGGCTATAGTAACCAAAACAGCATGGTACTGGTACCAAAACAGAGATATAGACCAATGGAACAGAACAGAGCCCTCAGAAATAGTACCACACATCTACAACCATCTGATCTCTGACAAACCTGACAAAAACAAGAAATGGGGAAAGGAGTCCCTATTTAATAAATGGTGCTGGGAAAACTGGCTAGCCATATGTAGAAAGCTGAAACTGGATCCCTTCCTTACACCTTATATAAAACTTAATTCAAGATGGATTAAAGACTTAAATGTTAGACCTAAAACCATGAAAACTCTAGAAGAAAACCTAGGCAATACCATTCAGGACATAGGCATGGGCAAGGACTTCATGACTAAAACACCAAAAGCAATGGCAACAAAAGCCAAAATTGACAAATGGGATCTTATTAAACTAAAGAGCTTCTGCACAGCATAAGAAACTACCATCAGAGTGAACAGGCAACCTACAGAGTGGGAGAAAATTTTTACAATCTACCCATCTGACAAAGGGCTAATATCCAGAATCTACAGAGAACTCAAACAAATTTACAAGAAAAAAACAAACCCCATCAAAAAGTGGGTGAAGGATATGAACAGACACTTCTCAAAAGAAGACATTTATGCAGCCAAAAGACACATGAAAAAATGCTCATCATCACTGGCCATCAGACAAATGCAAATCGAAACCACAATGAGATACCATCTCACACCAGTTAGAATGGCAATCATTAAAAAGTCAGGAAACAACAGGTGCTGGAGAGGATGTGGAGAAATAGGAACACTTTTACACTGTTGGTGGGAATGCAAACTAGTTCAACCATTGTGGAAGACAGTGTGGCAATTCCTCAAGGATCTAGAACTAGAAATACCATTTGACCCAGCCATCCCATTACTGGGTATATACCCAAAGGACTATAAATCATGCTGCTATAAAGACACACGCACATGTGTGTTTACTGCAGCACTATTCACAATAGCAAAGACTTGGAACCAACCCAAATGTCCATCAATGATAGACTGGATTAAGAAAATGTGGCACATATACACTATGGAATACTATGCAGCCATAAAAAAGGATGAGTTCATGTCCTTTGTAGGGACATGGATGAAGCTGGAAACCATCATTCTTAGCAATCTACTGCAAGGACTGAAAACCAAACACCGCATGTTCTATCTCATAGGTGAGAATTGAACAATGAGAACACTTGGACACAGGGTGGGGAACATCACACACTGGGGCCTGTCGTGGGGTGGGAGGAAGGGGGACGGACAGCATTAGGAGATATACCTAATGTAAATGATGAGTTAATGGGTGCAGCACACCAACATGGCACATGTATACATATGTAACAAACCTGCACATTGTGCACATGTACCCTAGAACTTAAAGTATAATTTAAAAAAAAAAGGTATAAATATTAGTTCATTACTTATAAAAAAATAAATAAATAAATTTCAGGACTCTGTTTCCTTCTTTAGGCACCCGGGCTCACCAATCAGACATAATTTTTGCCCAAAGCCCGACTGCAGAGTGGGGACTATCTGGAATTTTAGGATCCCTCCTCAGACTAGCAGGCCTAACAAAGGCTATTCCCGAAGCTAGGATATGGGGAGCCTCAGAAATTATATCCTTCCTATTCATATGATAAGAAGTGAGGACAAAAGGCATCACTCTTCCAACCCTGGAGATCCCTTCCCTTCCTCAGGGTATGGCCCTCCACTCCATTTTGAGGCACATCAGCTTTATAGGACAAGAGTAAGGTCCCAATACCAACAGGAGAAAATGCTTAGGACTCTAACAGGTTTTCGAAAATGTGTCAATAAGGCCCACTAAATCCGATTTTTCTTGGTCCTCTTTGTGAGCTAAGAGGAAAGGCAAAGGTACAGGTTTTCGAGAATGCGTCAGTAAGGGCCACTAAATCTGACATTCCTTGGTCCTCTTTGTGGTCTAGGAGGAAAACTATTGTTTCTGCTGCTGCTTTGGTGAGCACAACTATTCTGAACAGCAGGGTCCACGGACCGTTGCAGGTTCTTCGGCAGGGGTAAAAAACCACAGGCAGTTTTCTCTTTTCTGATGGGAAACGCTCAGGCATCAACAGGCTCACCCTTGAAATGTATCCTAAGCCCCTGGGACCAATTTGACCCAAAAAACCTGAAAAAGAAGCAGCTTATTTTTTCTGCACTATGGCCTGGCCCCAGTATTCTCTCTCTGATGGGGAAAAATGGCCAACTGAGGGAAGTATAAATTACAATACTATCCTGCAGTTTGACCTTTTCTGTAAGAGGGAAGGCAAATGGAGTGAGGTATCTTACGTCCAAGCTTTCTTTTCATTGAAGGATAATTCACAACTATGCAAAGCTTGCAATCTACATCCCACAGGAGGACCTCTCAGCTTACCTCCATATCCTAGCTTCCCTACAGCTCCCCTTCCTATTAATGATAAGCCTCCTCTAATCTCCCCCACCCAGAAGGAAACAAGCAAGAAATCTCCAAGGGACCACAAAAAAAACCCCAGGCTATCGGTTACATCCCCTTCAAGCTGTAGGGGAAGGGAAATTTGGCCCAACCTGGATACATGTCCCTTCTACCTCTCTGATTTAAAGCAGATCAAGGTAGACCTGGGGAAGTTTTCAGATAATCCTGATAGGTATATAGATGTCCTACAGGGTCTAGGGCAAACCTTCAACCTCACTTGGAGAGATGTCTTGCTATTGTTAGATCAAACCCTGGCCTTTAATGAGAAGAATGTGGCTTTAGCTGCAGCCCAAGAGTTCGAAGATACCTGGTCTCTTAGTCAAGTAAATGACAGAATAACAGCCAAAGAAAGGGATAAATTCACTACCAGTCAGCAAGCCATCCCTAGTACGGATCCCCACTGGGACCCAGACTCAGATCATGGGGACTGGAGTCACAAACATCTGTTGACCTGTGTTCTAGAAGGACTAAGGAGAATTAGGAAAAAGCCCATGAATTATTCAATGATGTCCACCATAACTCAGGGAAAGGAAGAAAATCTTACTGCCTTGCTCCAGCGGCTACGGGAGGCCTTAAGAAAATATACTCCCCTGTCACCCGACACCCTTGAGGGTTAATTGATCCTCAAAGATAAGTTTATTATGCAATCAGCTGCAGATATCAGGAGAAAGCTCTAAAAGTGAGCCCTGGGCCCTGAACAAAATCTGGAGGCATTATTAAACCTGGCAACCTCAGTGTTCTATAATAGGGACCGAGAGGAACAGGACGAAAAGGAAAAGCAAGGTAAGAGAAAGGCCGCAGCCTTAGTCATGGCCCTCAGACAAACAAACCTTGATGGTTCAGAGAGGACAGAAAATGGAGCAGGGCAATAACCCGGTAGGGCTTGTTATTAGTGTGGTTTGCAAGGACACTTTAAAAAAGACTGTCCAGTGAGAAACAAGCGCCCCCTCACCCATGTCCACTATGCCAGGGCAATCCCTGGAAGGCACCCTGCCCTAGAAAACAAAGGTTCTCTGAGCCAGAGGCCCCCGACCAGATGATCCAACAACAGGACTGAGGGTGCTCAGGGCAAGCACCAGCTCATGTCATCATCCTCACTGAGCCCCAGGTAAGTTTAACCATTGAGGGCCAGGAAATTGACTTCCTCCTGGTCACCAGCGCGGCCTTCTCAGTGTTAATCTCCTGCCCCAGACAGCCGTCCTCAAGGTCCATTACCATCCTAAGAATCCTGGGACAGCCTGTAACCAGGTATTTCTCCCACCTTCTCAGTTGTAATTGGGAGACTTTGCTCTTTTCACGTGCCTTTCTTGTTATGCCTGAAAGTCCTACACCCTTATGAGGGAGGGAGATATTAGCCAAAGCTGGAGTTATTATTTGCATGAATAACAAGTTACCCATTTGTTGTCCCCTAGTTGAGGAGGGAATCAACCCTGAAGTCTGGGCATTGGAAGGACTAAAAATGCCCACTCAGTCCAAATCAGGCTAAAAGACCCCACCACTTTTCCTTATCAAAGGCAATATCCCTTAAGGCCTGAAGCTCTTAAAGGATTACAGGATATTGTTAGACATTTAAAAGCTCAAGGCTTAGTAAGAAAATGCAGCAGTCCCTGCAACACCCCAATTCTAGGAGTACAAAAACCAAACAGTCAGTGGAGACTGGTGCAAGATCTTAGACTCATCAATGAGGCAGTAATTCCTCTATATCCAGTTGTACCCAACCCCTATACCCTGCTCTCTCAAATACCAGAAGAAGCAGAATGGTTCACTGCTCTGGACCTCAAGGATGCCTTCTTCTGCACTCCCCTGCACTCTGACTCTCAGTTTCTCTTTGCCTTTGAGGATCCCACAGACCACACATCCCACATCGACAGTCTTGCCTCAAGGGTTTAGGGATAGCCCTCATCTGTTTGATCAGCCACTGGCCCAAGATCTAGGCCACTTCTCAAGTCCAGGCACTCTGGTCCTTCAGTATGTGGATGATTTACTTTTGGATACCAGTTTGGAAGCCTCATGCCAGCAGGCTACTCTAGATCTCTTGAACTTTCTAGCTAATCAAGGGTACAAGGCGTCTAAATTGAAGGCCCAGCTCTGCCTATAACAAGTCAAATATCTACGCCTAATCTTAGCCAGAGGAACCAGGGCCCTCAGCAAGGAACAAATACAACCTATACTGGCTTATCCTTGCCCTATGACATTAAAACAGTTGCGGGGGTTCCTTGGGATCACCAGCTTTTGCCAACTATGGATCTCTGGCTACAGCAAGATGGCCAGGCCACTCTATATGCTAATCAAGGAGACCCAGAGGGCAAATACTGTATCTAGTAGAATGGGAACCAGAGGCAAAAACAACCTTCAAAACCTTAAAGCAGGCCCTAGTACAAGCTCCAGCCTTAAGCCTTCCCACAGGACAAAACTTCTCTTTATACGCCACAGAGAGTGGGAATAGCTCTTGGAGCACTTACTCTAACTCATGGGACAACCCCATAACCAGTGGCATACCTAAGTAAGGAAATTGATGTAGTAGTAAAAGACTGGCCTCACTGTTTACGGGTAGTTGCAGCGGTGGCCATCTTAGTATCAGAGGGTATCAAAATAACACAAGGAAAGGATCTCACTGTCTGGACTACTCATGATGTAAATGGCACACTACGTGCCAAAGGAAGTTTATGGCTATCAGACAACTGCCTGCTTAGATACCAGGCGCTACTCCTTAAGGGACCGGTGCTTCAAATATGTACTTGTGCAGCCCTCAACCCTGCTACTTTTCTCCTAGAGGATGGAGAACCAATCGAGCATGACTGCCAACAAATTGTGACCCAGACTTACGCCACCCAAGAGGATCTCTTAGAAGTCCCCTTAGCTAATCCTGACCTTAACCTATATATCGATGAAAGTCCATTTGTGGAGAATGGGATACAAAGGGCAGGTTATGCCATAGTTAGTGATGTAACAGTACTTGAAAGTAAGCCTCTTCCCCCAGGGACCAGCACCCAGTTAGCAGAACTAGTGGCACTTACCCGAGCCTTAGAACTGGGAAAGGAAAAAAGAATAAATGTGTATACAGATAGCAAGTATGTTTATCTAATCCTACATGCCCATGCTGCAATACGGAAAGAAAGGGAGTTCCCAACCTCTGGGAGAACCCCCATTAAATACCTCAAGGAAATCATGAAGTTATTGCACACAGTGCAAAAACCCAAGGAGGTGGCAGTCTTACACTGCCAAAGCCATCAAAAAGGTGAAGGAGAAAAGGCAGAAGGAAACCGTCAGGCAGACGCTGAGGCCAAAATTGCTGCCAGGCAGAATCTCCCATTAGGAATACCTATGGAGGAACCCTTGGTATGGAACAACCCTCTCCAAGAGATTAACCCCCAGTATTCCCTGACTGAAACAGAATGGGGACTTTCACGGGGGCATATTTTTCTCCCCTCGGGGTGGTTAACAACAGAAGAGGGAAAGGTACTCATACCCAAAGTCAGTCAGTGGAAAATACTTAAGACCCTCCACCAAACTTTTCATATAGGTATTGAGAACATTCATCAAATGGCCATATCCCTATTTACAGGGCCAAATCTCCTCCACACCATCCAGCAAGTAGTCAAAACCTGTGAAGTGTGCCAAAGGAATAATCCCTTGGTCCATCGTAAGGCCCCTCTGGGGGAACAAAGAATAGGGCACTATCACGGAGAGGACTGGCAGTTAGACTTCACCCATATGCCTAAGTCAAGGGGATTTCAATACTTGTTGGTCTGTGTTCATACCTTTATAAATTGGATAGAAGCCTTCCCCTGCAAGACAGAGAGGGCTGAGGAAGTGGTTTAAGTCCTAATTCATGAAATAATTCACGAGCAATGAAAAGCCCATACACAGCCCTGTAACCATGAAACCGTCTTAACTTCCCAAGCCCCTTTATGCATGCAGCGCAACCTGTTATCAGGCCTGCCCCTGGGGCACCTACTATCCCATCAGCATAATTACACCCTACAACTTCAAGCCCCAACTGATCATAGTAACTTCTGAGTCACCCAAACAGCTCCATTCAGATGGCCTGTCTGCTTCACAGGGCCTCCAAAAATCATCACTTCCTCCCTGCTTAACAAACAGTCCGGGTTTTGTCATGGCAAACATACTCCCTGCATGACCATTCACCTCTGGACCCCCTGCAGCAGCGCCCCCACCGCTAGTGAATGCCTTCTCCTCCCTTCTTTCAATTACTTTCTTGAATGCTTCCTAGTAGATACAAAACGGTTTTTTCTCCAATGGGAAAATAGAACACAGAGAGCCACTCAGTTTGCTCCCAACACCCCTTCCCAGCCGCTCACCAGAGCTACCTTGGCAAGTACTTTAGGAGTATGGGAAAATGAAAACAACAAATTCACACACCTTTTTAACATACACAACCAGTTCTGTCTACCCAGCGAAGCCATATTCTTCTTATGTGGAACTTCAACCTATATCTGCCTCCCCACCAACTAGACAGGCACCTGCACCTTAGTCTTCCTAAGTCCCAACATTGACATTGCCCCAGGAAATCAGACCCTATCAGTGCCCCTCAAAGCTCAAGTCCATCAGCGCAGGGCCATACAACTAATACCACTACTTATAGGGTTAGGAATGGCCACCACTACAGGAACCAGAATAGCCAGTTTATCTACTTCATTATCCTACTACCACACACTCTCAAAGGATTTCTCAGACAGTTTGCAAGAAATAACAAAATCTATCCTTACTCTACAATCCCAAATAGACTGTTTGGCAGCAGTGACTCTCCAAAACCGCTGAGGCCTAGACCTCCTCACTGCTGAGAAAGGAGGACTTTGTACCTTCTTAGGGGAAGAGTGTTGCTTTTATACTAACCAGTCAGGGATAGTACGAGATGCCACCAGGTGTTTATAGGAAAAGGCTTCTGAAATCAGACAATGGCTTTCAAACTCATCCCAACCTCTGGAGTTGGGCGACATGGCTTCTCCCCTTTCTAGGTCCTGTGACAGCCATCTTGCTATTACTCGCCTTCAGGCCCTGTGTTTTTAATCTCCTTGTCAAATTTGTTTCCTTCAGGATCGAGGCCATCAAGCTACAGATGGTCTTACAAATGGCACCCCAAATGAGCTCAACTCACAACTTCTACTGAGGACCCCTGGACCAACCCACTGGCCCTTTGACTGGCCTAGAGAATTCACCTCCAGAGGACACTACAACTGCAGGGCCCCTTCTTCGCCCCTATCCAGCAAGAAGTAACTAGAGCGGTCATCACCCAATTCCCAACAGCAGCTGGGGTGTCCTGTTTAGACGGGGGTGGGGGGAGATTGAGAGGTGAAGCCAGCTGGACTTCCTGGGTTGACTGCAGACTTGGAGAACTTTTCTGTCTTACGAGAGGATTGTAAAATGCACCAATCAGCACTCTGTAAAAACACACCAATCAGTGCTCTGTAGCTAGCAAGAAGATTCTAAAATGCACCAACCAGCACTCTGTAAAATGCACCAATCAGCGCTCTATAAAATGCACCAATCAGCGCTCTGTAAAATGCACCAATCAGCAGGATCCTAAAAGTAGCCAATCACAGGGAGAACTGAAAAAAGTGCACTCGGATAGGAAAGAAACAGAACGTGGGAGGGGCCAATAAGGGGATAAAAGCTGGCCACTCCAGCCAGCAGCAACAACCCGCTCAGGTCCCCTTCCACACTGTGGAAGCTTTGTTCTTTTGCTCTTCACAATAAACCTTGCTACCGCTCACTCTTTGGGTCTGTGCCATCTTTAAGAGCTATAACACTCACCGCCAAGGTCACGGCTTCATTCTTGAAGTCAGCAAGACCACAAACCCACCAGAAGGAACCAACTCTGGACACACTAATACTTAAAAGACACAATAGACGGGGCACAGTGGCTCATGCCTGCAGTCTCAGCACTTTGGGAGGCTGAGATCAGCAGATCACTTGAGGCCAGGAGTTCAAAGATCAGCCTGGCCAACTTAGCAAAACCCTGTCTTTACTAAAAAGAAAAAAATTAGCCTGGTGTGGTGGCACACACCTGTAATCTCAGCTACTTGGAGGCTGAGACATGAGAATTGCTTGAACCCAGGAGGCAGAGGTTGCAGTGAGCTGAGATCATGCCACTGTACTCCAACCTGGGCAACAGAGTGAGACTCTGTCTCCAAAAAAAAAAAAAAAAAAAAAAAACCCCAAGCAGCTGGGTGGCTCACATCTGTAATCCCAGCATTTTGGGAGGCCAAGGTGGGCGGATCACCTGAGGCTGGGAGTTCAAGACCAGCCTGACCAACATGGAGAAACCTCATCTCTACTAAAAATACAACAAAAATTAGCCAAGGGTGGTGGCGCATGCCTGTAATCCCAGGTACTCAGGAGGCTGAGACAGGACAATCGCTTGAACCCGGGAGGCAAAGGTTGTGGTGAGCCAAGATTGCACCATTGCACTCCAGCCTGGGCAACAAGGGCAAAATCCATCAAAAAAAAAAAAAAAAAAAAAAAAAGCAAAACAACACACCACAAGTTTGTCAATTACTTTGAAGAGGAAATTACATTTTAGTGATTTTCACATGAACATATACTGCTTTTGTAAGTAGAATAAGCAAAGAAATCAAAACTCAACACACTGATATGTGTGATGACCCTCAGAATCCCTTAGGGGCTGCAGCCCTATTGCCCCCTACTCTCTCCATATATGCCTACATTCAAATACTTGAGCGCCTTCGTGCACAACTCACTAGGCCCTGAGGATAGATAATAGCGACATAGAGTCCCTGATTACAGAAGCAGGGACTTGTAATCAAAAAGGACCTTGTAATCAAAAAGAAAACAAAGTGTGGGAGTACTATGAGAGTGAAAGCACGGCATCCAAATGGAAACACGTAACAGGAGAACCTAACCTCACCTTGAGGAAGATCCGCAGGAGAGGAGCACCAGCACTTTCTCCTGTGGGCTGACTACCGACAGAGTAATGCCATGGCCACTATCACTTTACGCCAACTCTACAGTCTGAAAATCAAACAGTGGATGGTGTATGGTGAACACTGAAAAGAATACCCCTCATTTCACAAAGCCCAGCAGCACTGTGACAACTGTGGAAGTGATGATCATGTACACTGTATCCCTTTGATAAAGCCAGAGTGGAAACAAAGAACTTATCCAAGGACTGGATCAAGAAGTTGGGAAAGGAGATGCAAATTCTATGCCCTGTCTCAGCATGAAAACAGGCTGATGAAAAGGGACCTCACTGCTTCATAAGTAACTTTCACACTTTTGTACAGTATGACTGTCATGCAGAATTTATCCCAGTTTATGACCTAAAAGAAGGAATCAAGTCCTTGCTTATCATTCTCAAACAGGTGATAGACAAGATGAAGAATATCAAGAAGAACCACAGTTCAGCCTAAAACCCCACATGTTCACAAAAGACTGAAGAAATTACTGAAAACCTTTTATTAATATTTCCTCAAATATTCTCTTGTGCATTCTTTTTATTTCAAGCTCCTGCTCCCTAGAAAAACCTGTGGTGCATATATATGTATATGTGTGTGTGTGTGTGTATATATATATATATTTTTTTTTTAAACCAGTTCTGTTCATAGATGAAACTCTGAAGTAAAGAGAATCAAATACTTAAAGTATTCATTATCTTGAAAAATGAAGAACTGACATATATAAGCACCCTTGTGTAATCAAGTGCTAATTCTTGGTATGCAAAGGAAATAGTACAAGATTCAGGCCAGCGCAGTGGCTAACGCCTGTAATCCCAGCACTCTGAGAGACCGAAGCAGGCTGATCACTTGAGGTCAGGAGTTCGAGACCAGCCTGGCCAACATGGTGAAACCCCATCTCTACTAAAAATACAAAATTTAGCCGAGCATGGTGGCGTGTGCCTGTAATCCCAGCTACTCGGGAGGCTGAGACGGGAGAATTGCTTGAACCCGGGAGGCGGAGGTTGCAGTGAGCCGAGATTATGCCACTGCACCCCAGCCTGGGCAACAGAGTGACACTCCGTCTCAGAGAAAGAAAAAAAAAAAAAAAAAAGAAAGAAAGAAAGATATAAAAGAAATAGTATAAGATTCATAACCTTTTTAAAAAGTTACTTTAATCAGTGTTTCCATTTTATTCTTCAACTATTGGTTATCTTATTCTATCCAATAAGAGCACAAATGTAGTTAGTACACCCTTCTGCCACACGTCAGCAGAAAATTCCCAAAAGCAAATCCCCACTTCCTCTATAACGACCAATTCCTAAAGACAACTTATCTTCTTTCTCTCTTTTGTATGGGTTTCTCAGAGGTAAATAGCATGCAATGTTTTAATACAGTGCTAGGAACATAATTAGACTATGGTCCTAGTATGCTATTATTTTAACTCTGCCAAGTTTCAGTTTTGGTTCCTTGGTATATAAAATAAAAGACTGGAATCTAAAGTTCTCTGAATCACCTTTCAGTACTGACACTCAATGAGGCATACCGTACACATACAAGTAAAAAAATAAGCATAGCGTTGTGGAAAGAATAAACAGACCTGAGCTAAAACTCCCCCGACACCTATGGGTTGCCTGGCATTGGACAAATTATTTACTCTTAGAGACCTCTTTCCTTATTTGCTACCTACCTATTATGACCAACAAATAAAAGAATATAAATAATTTGTTAAAAGTGCTTAGCATGATAAGGCCCCAATCCTCCAGTAAGTGATTCACTCTCACTTACCAGCAAATTTTCACTCTTGACAGTTCTTTCTTTGGGGGGTTGGGGAGGGATGGGGAGGAACAGAGTCTCACTCTGTTGCCTGGGCTGGAGTGCAGTGGCAAGATATCTTGGCTTACTGCAACCTCCACCTCCCGGGTTCAAGCGATTCTCGTGCCTTAGCCTCTCAGACAGTTCTTTCTTAATACTTTTTTTTTTTGACTATTTATAAACAAACTTCAGTGACTAGACAGGATTTACAGTTTAACAAATTAGGGGGTAATTTCATTCTAACACATTCAGAACTACTTTATAAACATATATGCAGAATAACAACTCAGAATAACAATTTAGAACTGCCAAATAATGTATTCGGTGCTGCACACTGCCGTAACAGTGCCTTAACAATTTTACATACCTTGTATACCATATAAAACTGAAACAGAACTTCATAAAAAGTGAAATCTATCCACAACGTGTATGACTAACTACAACATTAGATACAAAAAGGGTCCCTGTCATTTTATTAGGGGATATAGAATCTTTTGAATCAATGCTTCCCCTTTTTTACCATCTTTGCAGTTCAGAGTTCCAATTACTGCTAAACAAAATTAACAGAAAGCAAACTCCAAGAGACTTTCAGTAAAGAAAGGCTGAACACCCCAAAATCATTCAGCATATTTACAATATGTAAATTATCACAAAGCAAAACCTTTATACAAACCATGAAATACAGCCCAATAGAGTAAAAAGCCCTAGGATAGAAAGTAGTGAAAGACTCATTAACAGTAGCGTTGACACATGGCTTCAATTGCAACTGTAACAATTGCATGACTGATCTGTTTGTCAACTGTGGCACGTGTTCCCAGTCAGGGGTTCTGCTAATTGAAAGTTAGAATCATAAGACATTTAAAGATTGTGCAGGAACAGCATTATTCGTACTTGGTACTAGAAAGCAGTAAACCGATTCTGACTTGGTTAAATTTAAAAATCTCTTTCAGTTGTAATACACAAGAACTTCACTGTTAGGCCGTACGCGGTGGCTCACGCCTGTAATCCCAGCACTTTGGGAGGCCGAGGCGGGAGGATCGATTGGGCCCAGGAGTTCGACGTCGGTGAGCCATGATCGTGTCACTGCACTCCAGACTGGGCGACAGAGCGAAACCATACCTCATTCGTTCATTCATTCATTCATAATTAATAAAATAAGTACAACGCACTTCTACATAATCTAAGCGTATGGAAATCCACGGTATAAACCGGTCCATCCTCCACATGGAAATTAACTTCGGCTATATTATCTCCTCCACCTAAGAGCCAGTGCCTGAAAGCCCCCCCGAATACGCTGATGTAGCTTTTTACTGTATCACTTAGGTGAAAAGATTCTTTCCTTAAATATGAAAAGAAAAACTATGTAGTAATGACACAAAAAGAATATGTTAACTGTAAAGTCAAGATTATGAAATGTTCCCGTGGCTCAGTTTTTTTAGGAGCAATCTGGAGCTGCGAATTTTCCCGTCGCCGCCAGCTGGACCGACAGACAAGGCTGGAAAGGGTTATCAACATACCTGGAGGAAGCTGCAAATTAGCAGGAAACTGGATTGTCGTGGTGTTGGGGGCTTTCACGGCGACTATCTGAGGAGCAGGCAGCCTAGGGCCGCTGCTGACTTTAGGAGGGGCGCTGACCGGAGCCACTTTGGTCACCAGGGTCCCCACGGGGGACCGCAGGGGCTGGGACGCCGTGGGCTCCACGCAGACGCTGACAGGAGCCTTAGTCACGGCGCCCAGGGCCACCGGAGTGCTCTCCACCCGCACCGGCAGCGCCCCGGCCGGGGCCATGGTCACGGTCCCCGAGGCGCTCACAGCAGCCGGGGGAGCGGCGCCGGCGGGTTCGGTGAGGCCGGCGGGCATCCCCCAGGGGCTCAGCGGCAGCTTTGGCGCTGCGGTTCCGGGAGCAGAGGTGAGGGGAGGCTTGGCGCGCGGCAGCCGACTCCGGTGCGGTTCGGGTTCCACAGCATCGCTGGGGAGAGGCGCGGGGGCCGCAGCAGCGAAGTCAGTGACGGGCGCCCGCTGCACGGCAGGACACGCGCGTCCCGGACCTTCCTCTCGTCCGCGCGAGCCTGGGCTGCCCCCGGAGCGACACCCGCCCGACCTCTCGCAGCTTCCTCAGCGGCGCTCACACGTGCGCTGCCTCAGCCCTGCGCCTCAGGCTCGGGTCCCGCTGCGGGGGAGCCTGGACTTGCGGCTCCCGGAAGGTCGTCGCTCACACCTCGAGCCTAACTGCGCAGCTGCTCCCCCGCCAGAAATTTCAAAACTACGAACCCCGAGTGCCCACAGCCCCCTACGCGCGATTGGCACGGCCCCGCCGCGCGGCCACGCCAGCCATGTTTATATAGCCACGCGGAGACCTCGCGCACGCGCCCAGGCCGCCGCCACCGCCCCGGGTTTCCCCGGGATCCGGCCGCGTGATTGGCCAAGGAGCGGAGCCGCGCCCGTGACGTCACTGGGGACGGCTCCAGGGAGCGTTAAAATCTTCCCCAGAATCGCCAGCAAGGAGGGGCGATGCCAGAAACCTATCACGTGGGAGGGGCAAGCTGCACTTGGAAAACTGCGGCATCCGTGTTCCTCTCCTTGTGTCCCCTGTAGTGTGTTCCTCGAAAAGCCAGCACTAGACTATCTCCAGGATTCTATTTTTTAAGGAGAAAATGGGGAGGACTGATTTCCGAGAAGAGTGACTCAATAAGAATTCAATCACGCATTTTCAGTGTTTTTCTCTGCTGTCTTCACACTGAAGCGTTGCTAAAATTCGCAGTTAGAATTGACATTGTAAAAATTAAAATGGCGTATAGTTTTATAGTCTGTGAGATGTGCCTATTTTCATATTTTAGAGTTAAACTGCCTAAAATCTTAAATGGAAAATCGTTTCTTCTTTGGTGCTGCTATAGGTGTCTCTATCACCTCTAAACATTAAAATTGTATGTCTGTCTTCTGAAAAACTTAATGCCTTTTGATATCTATATAATTAGATTCTAGCACTTAGATATTAAGCGTGATCCTAGATATTATCTGGATAAATAAAAGGTGTTGAGTGAATCGATATGAAAAAACTTGCCTGTTTGTAATGCAGTCAGAGAAGATGCCTTAATTTCAAGCTAAAGTCATTATATTGTATGTTTGTAGGAACCAACACTGCACTGAAAGGCGATTTTACAAGTAGGCAGATGCTATGATCTGAATGTTGTGGTGTTTTGTTTTGTTTTGTTTTGTTTTGTTTTGTTTTGGAAACAGGATCTAACTCTGTCACCCAGGCTGGAGTGCAGTGGCACCATTGGCTCATTGCAGCCTCCACCTCCTGGGCTCAAGTGATCATCCTACCCTCCTACCTCAGATTCCCGAGTAGCTGGAACCACAGGGGAGCGGCACTATGCCTAGCAAAAACGGGATCTCGTTATATTGTCCAGGCTGGTCTCCAATTCCTGAGCTCCCGCCTGGGCCTCCCAAAGTGCTAGGATTATACCCCCAACTGAGTGTTAAAATGCTAAAGCTGGAGTTGATAATATTAGAAGGTTGGGCCTTTGAAAGGTGATTAGATCATAAGGGTGGAGCCCTCATGAATGGGATTCCATTCAGGACAAATCATGTTAAAGTGATGAATATGTTAACTTGATTTAATTATTTCACGACACATACAAATGTAACATGATACCTCATAAATACATACAATTATTATTTGTTAGTTAAATACATTAAATAAATAATTTTTTTAAAAAAAGAAACCTCAGAAAGATCCCTCACCCCTTCCAGCAAGTGAGGTTATGGTAAAAAGACTGCTGTCTAGAAAGTAGACTCTCATCAGATACCACATCTGCCTTGATCTTGAACTTCCCAACCTCTGGAATTATGGGACATGAATTTCTCTTTTTATAAGCTACCCAGTTTATGATATTTCATTATAGAAGCCCGAGTGGACTAAAATAGCAGGCAACCTGATGGTTACAGCTCCTGCTTTTCCCCCTCTCTGTAAACGTGTGCCGGCACGTTTAGATAAGATCTACTCACAAGATCTAGTAAAGTCCACACACTTACTACCTTTACTGTCTCTCACTTCTTGACCAGTCTAAATCCATCTCATGACCTAAACCAATCACCCTCCCTTTCTATGGTGAATTCCCTGATCACTTACCTTCTAGCAAATGCCTCAAAGTGGAGTTGGGGAGAGAAAAACTCAATTTATTGAGCACCTCCTGTGTGCTGGTCACCAAGAGATGCATTTCCTTTTTCTAACTGCTTCATTTTACAAACTTAAAAACTGCAGTTAAAAGAGTAATGTTTCCAAGAAGCTGGAATTCAAACTCATCAGTATGATGCCAAAGTACATCTCTTTCCATTACTCCAAAACGTCTGATTAATCATGTATCCCACAGTGCCCTTGGCAAAATGCCTTGAGCATAAAAGGCATTTAATAAATACTTGCTAAGGTAATGAATTGAATGAAGCTATGCAACATTTTCAGTGAAGCAAAATGGTGTAGTGTATTTGAATCTTAGATATGTTCTTCACTAACTGGCCAAATTATCCCCGATTTTTTTCCCTCCATATAGTATGTTTCAATAGATACTTGGGTACGGAAGCATCAAAGTTTGTTTATAGAACTCTCCCTTTCTAAATTTCCACTAGACCCCCACCATCAATTCACACACTTTGTTTAGATAGGCAATTAACCTCCACCATCAAATTACAAAGAGACTTGGTTGGGGAACTATATTTTTTCATAAAGTTAACCTCATGCATTTCCCTCTCTCTCTCTCTCTCTGGTGTATGTGTGTGTGTGTGTGTGTGTGTGTGTGTGTGTGTGTTTCGGCAGGGCAGGGCTGGGTGGGGGTGAGGTCGTGCAAGGGAGAACAGGGTATCCCTGTCTCTGTCACCCAGAGTAGTTCAGTGAGGCCATCATGGCTCACTTGCAGCTTCAACCTCCTGGGCTCAAGAAATCCTTTCACCTTAGCCTCCCAAGTAGCTGGGGACCACAGGCTGTACCACCATGCCTGGCTAATTTTGTTTGTTTGCTTGTTTGTTTGTTTTGCAAAGACAACGGTCTAACTGTTAGGTTGGTGCAAAAGTAATTTCGGCAATATGTTGCCAAGGCTGATTTCAAACTCTTGGACTCAAGTGATCCTCCTGTCTCAGACTCCCAAAGTGCTGGGATTACAGGCGTGAGCCACCCATTTTTCTTATAATTGTTTATAATATGCAAATGCCTGATGTGGTGGTTCCTGCCTATAATCCTAGCACTTTGAGAGGCCTCAAGCAGGAGGATTGCTTGAGGCCAGGAGTTTGAGACCAGCCTGACCAACATGGCGAAACCCCCTCTCTATTAAAAATACAAAAATTAGCTGGGCTTGGTGGTACACACCTGTAATCCCATCTAATTGGGAGGCTGAGGTAGGAGAATCGCTTGAACCTGAAAGACAGAGGTTGCAGTGAGCTGAGATCGTCCCACTGCACTCCAGCCTAGGTGACAGAGCAAGACTCCATCTCAAAAGAAAAAAACAATTATTAACCAATAAACAGATACTCATAAAAAATTAGATTACACACAAAACTATTAATGGAAGATATTTCTATTTAGAGACATTCCAAGTGATAGTTTTTGTCTCTCTGCATTTTCTAATTTTCCTACAGTGAATGCGTCTTATTTGCATAATCCAAAATTAAAACAAGCTTTTTCTTAAAATATATATTCTTAGTGACAATTGAAATCTGTAAGCACAGCTAAATACTCTCCAGTCTCCTCAACATAGCATCCAAGTACCTTTAATGGATCTCATGAACCTGGACAAATATGGTAGCTTGCTGAAGCTATGCCAAGCTGAAACTTATTACAAATACTGTCTTAACCTAAGAAGACAGGCTATTTTCTCAGTGAGAGTAATCATTTCTTTTCACTTCACATTAAGTGTGGAAAAAGTAATAAGACTGTTTAAGAAGCCAAAAATCCCAAAAATAGTATTTCTTTTGTAAAAGATTCTGCAAACACAGGATTTTATACTTTGTATTATAACACCAATTTTCTTGAATTATATTATTTTCAAAAACCTCTCCTCCCTACCTACCTTCAGTCATTCATCTATGTAATACGTATTGAGTGCTTACTATGAGCTTGGCAATAAAGAATACATCAGTCAGGCTGGGCTCAGTGGCTCATGCCTGTAATGCCAACACTTTGGGAGGCTGAGGAGGGTGGGTCACTTGAGGCCAGGAGTTTGAGACAAGCCTGGCCAACATGGCGAAACTCCATGTTTACAAAAAATACAAAAATTAGCCTGGTGTGGTGGCACGTGCCTGTAGTCCCAGCTACCTGGGAGGCTGAGGCACAAGAATCGCTTGAACCCGGGAGGCAGAGGTTGCAGTGAGCCGAGATCACGCCACTGCATTACAGCATGTAACAGAGTAAGACTCTGTCTCAAAAAAAAAAAAAAAAATAGCTTTAGAGAAGAGAGTGATTGACTGTATCAAATGCAGCAGGTAGGTCAAATAAAATGAGGACTGAGGAGTGCCTGTTCAATAGAGCAACACAGGCATCACTGGTAACTTTGACAAGAGTAGTTAGTCCTGTGGAATGTGGGCGTGAAAGCCTATTTAGAGTACGTTCATGAATGAATGGATGGAAATGTAAAGTTATAATGCAAAGTAGGGGAGAAAAAAATGGGGCCATGGGGGAAGGGATGAGGTCAAGAAAGAGATTTTCTTTGCAATAACTGCATGTTTGTATGCTGATGGCAGTGTTCCAGTAGGGAGGGAAAATTGCTGATAGAGGAATAAAGAGGAATATTTGAATTGTTGGAGCCATGTCCTTGAAGGCAAAAAAAAGGATAAAATCTAGTGCACAAGTGTGCGCCTGTAATCCCAGCTCCCTGGGAAGCTGAGGCAGGAGGATCACTTGAGGACTTTTGAGGTCGTAGTGCACTATAATCCTGCCTGTGATTAGCAACTGCACTGTTGCTGGTGCAACATAGTAAGACCCCCATCGCTAAAAAAAAGTTTTTTTTTAATCTAGTGCACAAGTGGAGGGGTTGAGCTTTGATAAGAGCCATAGACCATTCATCTATGGCAAAAGAAGGGAAGGCAGAGTTCTTGGCTATAGACACTGGTAGATGGATATTTGTGGTGGTGGGAACTTGTGTAAATTCCTTTCTAATCATTCTCCCTTTCTCCAGTCCAATCTATGTCTCCCACTGTTTCTAGGACAATCTTCCTAAAATGCAAATTTAATTATACAGCTCTCCTACTTACCGCTTCTTAACATCCGCCCGTTACCCACAGGATAAAATCTCAAGAAGCATGGCATATAACATTCATTATGATTTGGCACCTATTAAATTGTCCAATCAATTCTACTCTGCCATGTAGCCATGGGCACCTTGTAATGGCAGCATAGAGAACTACAGGAATTTTGCAAATATTCCAAGGTCTCTCTTGACTTCATGACTTTGCATACATTATTTTACTTCTCTTCAAAGACCTTCCCCATGTTCTACCTGGCCAATTCCTATCTGGCTTCAAAAGTCAATAATCTAAGCCTCTCTTCCCCGTCCCATAGCACATTATCATAGCACTCATTATATTGTTATTCAAGTTTTTCTTGCCTATCCTCTCCCATAGCTTAGTGGGCTGTGTCTTGTTAATTTGAGGACGAGAAGAGAGAACCAAATAGTTAGTAGATACCTGACAAAAAGCACTTGTCTGACCCTTTCCTATCCCACTCCCAAGCTTTAGCACCTCAGAGACAGAAATTTTGTCCTGTCTGTGTACCCGTGGTGCCTCCTACAATTCTTCATATAGTAATAGGGGCTTAAATATTTCCGCTTTCTTTTCTCAGTCTATATTTTTATTGGGTGATGGCATTTACCTCCATGACTTAATTTCTATCTGTATGTTTTTGACTTCCTATATCTTTGACCCCAGATATCTCTCCTGGCCTCAAGACCTACACAAACAACTGCCTAGTGTCTTCACCTGGGTGTCCCATAAGTTAAAGCTAAACTTATTACGGTCAGCAGTTGCCTCTCCATATATGCAGACTTCAACCTGCACTTGGTTGAATCTGCAGATATGCAACCCAAGGATACAGAAAACCGGCTGTATCTCATCTTCAAACCTGCTTTTTTTCCTATGGTCCCTATGTCAGTGAACCAGATCAACCTCCCTCCAGTGACCCAAAATGTAAAATTAGGAATTGACCTTAAGCTAGGTGTGGTGGCTCACGCCTGTAATTCCAGCACTTTGGGAGGCCCAGGAGGGCAGATCACCTGAGGTCAGGAGTTGAAGACTGGCCTGGCCAACATGGCGAAACCCCGGCTCTAATAAATATACAAAATTTAGCCGGATGTGGTGGCAGGCACCTGTAATCCCAGCTACTCGGGAGGCTGAGGCAGGGAGAATTGCTCGAACCCAGGAGGCAGAGGTTGCAGTGAGCTGAGATCGAGCCGCTGCTATCCAGCCTGGGCGACAGAGGGAAACTAGCTCAAAAAAAAAAAAAAAGAATTGACCTTGAGTTTTTCCCATTCTTCACTTGTTTCAATCAGTCATTAGATCCTGTCAATCTCGTAATCAATTGTTTAATATCCCTAGAATCCATCAGTCTCTCTCATTCCCACTGTCACTCTCTTAATTCATACCTAAGAATGCTCACTTGAATTATTCTAACTGGGTTCCCTCCACACCTCCAGCCTTGCTCCTTCTTCATTCTGTACTCTAGTCTATTATTTATTTTATTTTATTTTATTTTATTTTGTTTTATTTTTTAGAGACAGAGTCTTTCTCTGTCTCATAGGCTGGAGAACAGTAGTGCCATGATAGCTAACTGCAGCCTGAAAATCCTGGGTTCAAGCAATCACCCACCTCAGCCTCCCAAGTAGCTGGGACTACAGAGTTCACACCACCACATCTACCTAATTTTTTAGTTTGTTTTGTAGACACAGTATTTCATGTTACCCAGGCTGGTCTCGAACTTCTGGCCTCAAACAATCCTCCTGCCTCGGCCTCCCAAAGTGTTGGGATTACAGGGCCAAACCACCATGGCTAGCCAGAGATTTTTATTCAAAATATTTATTTAGCATTAACATTGTAATTAGTCAGTCTTTGAAGTGGTATTATTTTTCTTTCTTAGTAAAAGCAGCCTAAAAAACTTACTAATTTTCATCTGTTTATAATTCCATCATTATTCCTGAATTCTCATTTTTGCATATTACTTCATTTATTTTTGTACAGACAGCAGGGCTCTTGCTTTGTTGCCTAAGCTGGTCTTGAACTCCTGGCCTCAAGAAGTCCTCCTGTTTGAGGCCTCTCAAAGTGCTAGGATTATAGGCATGAACCACCACATCAGGCATTTGCATATTATTTCTAATTCTTGTCCATTTTATGTTTGCTACTATATGCGGTGTATGAATAATTTTGTATGTAATGTAGAACTTAACTTTGCCTAAATAATTTTCCATGCCTAAACATTTAAAGCTGGTCACCTCAATAATTCCCCATTTCTAAAATGTCTTCATAATTATTATTTTATACATAACATTTATTAAACAAGAACACATAATTGTTTGCATGTATAATTACAAATTTTGATAAATGCTGTGCTTTGAAAGAGAATAATAAACAGAATCTAATTTAGATAGGGAGCTAGGGAAGTGTTCCAGGAATTAAAAGAAAGCCTCTGAGACTGACCAGAGTAAGCTGGAGGGCCAGTGGCCTGAATTATGTTGGAGAGGCAGATAGAGGCCTGACTCTTCAGGGTCTTAAAGGATGTGTGATGTGCACATAAAAGCAATTTAAATATTTTAAGCCGAGGAGTAATATGAATTTATTGAATTTTTAAACTTTTCATTTCAAATAATTTCAAATTTAGAGAAGAGTTGCAAGAAGTCCTACTTGCAGCTGGGCACAATGGCTCACACCTGTAATCCCAGCACTTTGAGTAGCTAAGGCAAGAAGATTGCTTGAACCCAGGAGTTTGAGACCAGCCTAGGCAACATAGCAAAACATTTAAAAAACTAGCTGGATGTGGTGGCATGTGCCTGTAGCTCCAGCTACTCGGGAGGCTGAGTTGGAAGGATCACTTGAGCCCAGGAGGTTGAGGCTGCAGTGAGCCCTGATCCTACTACTGCACTCCAGCCTGGATGACAAAGTGAGACCCTGAAAACAAGTGTCCTTTTTTGCAGTCTATTTAGTGCCATGTGCTTCATATTTTTGTCTCACAAAAAATAAATACTACTTACAACTCTCATATATCCTTCACCCAGGTTCACTAATGTTTAACATTTTGATTTGTTTTACCATTTGCTCTTGCTCTCTCTTTCCATGTGTATATATGTGTTTGTGTGTACGTGTATACACACACACAAACACACAATTTTGGTCCTCATTATTTGCAGATTCTGTATTTGTGAATTTGTCTACTTGCCAAAATGTATTCATAACCGCCAAATCAATCATCAATCAAAGGACTTTTGCTGTCTTTTATAGATATGCACAGAGCAGCACAAATTTGAGTTGCCTGATCCGCATATTTCCAGCTGAGACTGAAAAAGGTGACACTCTGCCTCTTATTTTCACTCTTATACTGTAAACAAGCGTCCTTTTTCTGTAGTCTAGTTAGTGCCATGTTTTTCATATTTTTGTGCTTTCTGTTGGTGATTTTGCTGTTTAAAACAGCCCCCAGGCAAAGTGTTGAAGAGCTGTTTAGTGTTCCTAAGTGCAAGGAAGCTGCACTTACAGAGAAATAATACACACGTTAGAGAAGCTTCTTCAAGCGTGAGTTGTAGTGCTGTTGACTGTTAGTTCAATGTTAATGAATCAACAATCTACATTGAATAAGATGTCTTTAAATAGAAACACACATGAAATAAGGTCATGTATTGGTCAGTGGTCAAAAATGTCATGACTAGAGGCTCGAAGGAGCTTAACTATATTTCCTCTAGGAGCAGCAATTCGGTGCTTGCTAATTCAGTGTTGGTTGTGCCTTTACAGAACATAACTACCTTAAATAATAAGAACCAATTTTATACACACCTTTTATCCTGAACTACTTTTAAATAAGTTGTGACATGCCCCTTCCCTTACCCCTAAATACTTCAATATATACATCTTTTTTTATTTTATATTTTGTATATATATATATATATTTTTTTTTTATGGAGTTTCGCTCTGTCACCCAGGCTGAAGTGCAGCAGCACAATCTCAGCTCACTGCAACCTCCGCCTCCTGTGTTCAAGTGATTCTCCTGCCCCAGCCTTCTGAGTAGCTGGGATTACAGGAGTGCACCACAACACCCAGCTAATGTTTTATATTTTTGGTAGAGATGGGGTTTCACCATGTTGGACAGGCTGATCTCGAACTCCTGACCTCAGGTTATCTGCCCACCTCAGTCTCCCAAAGTGCTGGGATTTACAGGCATAAGCCACCCGCCTGGCCAATTTTTTTTTTTTTTAAGAGACAGGATCTCGCTCGCTCTATCTTTCAGGCTGGAGTAGAGTGGCACAATAATGGCTTACTGCAGCATTGACCTCCCAGGTTCGAGCAATCCTCCTACCTCAGCCACCCAACTAGCTGGGACCATGCTTGTGCACCACCATGCCCAGCTAATCTTTTTTTTTTTTTTTTTTTTTTTTGAGATGGGGTTTTGCTATGTTGTGCAGGCTGTTCCCAAACTCCTGGGCTCAAGTTATCCTCCTGCCTCAGCCTCCTAAGGTGCTGGGATTATTGGCATAAGCCACCATGCCCAGCTGAGGTTATGCATTTTGACAGGATACTATATAAATGATGTTGTGACTTTTGTATTACATTAGGAGACATAAGATGTAGGTCTGTCTTACCATTGTTTACGCTAAATGTGGCCATTTGTTTATGATGATATCTGCCAGGATTTTTATGTAAAGTTATTATTTTTCCTCTCTGTAATTAATAATAAACATGTGAAACATATTTGCAATTATGTAAATATCCTGTTCTCCATTAAGATTTTACCTATTAATTTTAGCATCCATTCATGACTCTTGGCTGAATTAATTATCACTATGATGGCTGCAAAATAGTGATTTTTCTAACTCATTTCTTTTACATTGTCAGTTACCATTCTACTAGAAGAAATGGTTTTCAGCAGAGTGCGGTGGCTCATGCCTGCATTCTCAGCACTTTAGGAGGCCAAGGTGGCGGATCACTTGAGCTCAGGAGTTCGAGACCAGCCTGGGCAACATGGTAAAACCCCATCTCTACAAAAAATTTTAAGAAGTTAGCCAGGTGTGGTGGCATGTGCCTGTAGTCCCAACTACTGAGGAAGCTGAGGCAGGAGGATCGTTTGAGTCAGGGAAGTTGAGGCTTCAGTGAGCCAAGATCACACCACTGCACTCCAGCCTGGGCAACAGGGTGAGAATCTGACTCAAAAACAAAATTTTTTTTTTTTTTTGAGATGGAGTCTTGCTCTGTCATCCAGGCTGGAGTGCAGTGGCATGATCTCGGCTCACTGCAATCTCCGCCTCCCAGGTTCAAGTGATTCTCCTGTCTCAGCCTCCCGAGTAGCTGAGATTACAGGCATGCATCACCACGCCTGGCTAATTTTTGTATTTTTAGTAGAGATGGGATTTTGCCATGTTGTTCAGGCTGGTCTCAAACTCCTGGCCTCAAGTGATTCGCCAGCCTCAGCTTCCCAAAGTGCTGGGATTACAGGTGTGAGCCACCGCACCTGACTCAGATGGCAAATTTCAACAATGCAAAACCACAGTGCCAAAAGCACAATCCATAGAGGTAAAACCTATGGATCTTAGCAGTAGATTAAATAAAGTAGCCGAGGGAGTGAATGGTTATGAATGTCTCCAACATTTCTAGCTTAAGAACTTGGGTGGAGGGTGATTTCATGATTTTATTCACAGTGATAGGGAAGACTAGAGGTGAAACAGCTCTGACGGGAAAGATCAAACGGAACTTGAAAGTGAAATGCAGTCTAGGTTTTACGTTACCCCAGTGCCTGCACTTCCTGGCACAGTATAGATGTTACTTGAAGTGATGGGACTGAATGTTATCACTAACAAAGAGAAGGTACGGGGAAGAGAGAAGAACCCACATCAAACCTCAGCATTTAGCAGTAACATAAAAAAAGAAGTCAATAAAGGGAACTGGTAAAGTAGAAGAGGCTGCAGCGGCGGGTGAAAACAAGCAAAAGGAGTGAAGTCAGGAAGCCAAGATGAAAGTGTTTTACTAGATAAAATGCTGACAGACCAGTAGGATTTCAACTTTTTCTCTTCCAGAATGATTCTTTCTGAAGCTAGGGATCTTCTTACTGTTTTTCATTGCTGTATTCTTACAGTGCCTGTCCCATAGTAAGTGCTTAATAAATATTTGCTGACTGACTGAATTTTTTTTTTTTTTGAGATGAAGTTTCTCCCTTTTTCCCCAGGCTGGAGTGCAATGGTGCCATTTCAGCTCACTGCAACCTCCACCTCCTGGGACCAAGTGATTCTCCTGCCTCAGCCTCTGGAGTAACTGGGATTACAGGCATGTGCCAACACACCCGGCTAATTTTGTATTTTCAGTAGAGATGGGGTTTCGCCATGTTGGTCAGGCTGGTCTCGAACTCCTGACCTCAGGTGATCCACCCGCCTCGGCCTCCCAAAATGCTGAGATTACAGGCATGAGCCACCACGCCCAGCCTTGAATGAATAAATTTGTAGATCATGTGTTTTTGTAGTATTATTGCATTGATTATAGCTCCAGAAAAATGTTGAATAATAACAATATCATGCTTTCTAGTCTTGTTCTTGATACATTAGTTTCTCAAGTGGTTTAATTGTTTGTTTGCCTCTCTAAAAAGAAACATTTAATTGTTCTTCCATAGGTAAAAACTTTCTGGCCAGGCATCATTGTGCATGCCTGTAATTCTAGCACTTTGGGAGGCCGAGGCAGAAGGATTACTTGAGCCCGGGAGTTGGAGACCAGCCTGGGCAACATAGCAAGACCCCATCTCTACAAAGAAAAAAACCTTTCTATGGCCCCCTCAGACACCCTACCACACCCTCCCAATGCCTCAAGAGTAAAATCCTAATATAGAATAGAAGTTCCGTCCTGAGATGCGACCTCTGCTTGGCATCACTCTAGCTACCCCTGTCTTCCCACACTGATCTCCTCGTGACACCATGCTCCTCCTGCCAGGCAAGGAGGTAGCTGAAGAGATTTTCCCAAGGAAGTCTTCCTTGACCCTCTTCCCAACAAATGTCCTTCATTGTGCTTCTCTTTTCCTCCTGGTATATTCATTACTTCCCTGTCTTCCCAGAACACTTTAAGTTCCTTAACAAAAGGGCCTGGGTTATTTTACTGTTTAACTTGCAGTTTCTGACACACTACTGTGAGATTTTGTTGTAACTGGGCTAAAACCTCTCAGCTACCATCACCTCTCTTTTATTTTTTCCCAGGTACTGCTCTCCAGAGACACTTCATCTTCTAAGTATCAACAAGTGTTCCATTATATCTTCCCTTTACTGTCAACTAATTCCAGCAAATATACTACATTTTAATTACTTTGTTAGTTGATAAGGTGTGATATCTTTCTTCTATTTTTTAAAGAGGAACTTCTGAATAAGGAAAAAGAAATATTTCAAGTTTTCAAGACTTAAAAGTTGTCAACCTCCCTGCCTCCTACAGCTTTATTATATATTAGACTTAGGTTTAAATTCAGATTTGCAATGTGCTTTAGTGTATCAAAGACTTGCAGAAGACTTGCAGTAAAGCAGCAGTTCTCAACATTTTTATTTATTATTATTATTTTTAATAGAGACAAGGTCTCACCATGTTGCCCAGGCTGGTCTTGAACTCGTTGGCTTAAGTGAGACTCCCACCTTGGTTTCCCAAAGTGCTGGGATTACAGGCATGAGCCACTGGACCTGCCCCTCAAACCTTTTCATCTCGTGAAAATTTTACACTTTTATTTATTTATTTTTATACGTATTTATTTATTTTGAGGTGGAGTCTCGCTCTGTCACCCAGGCTGGAGTGCAGTGGCGTGATCTCGGCTCACTGCAACCTCCGCGTCCCAGGTTCAAGCAATTCTCCTGCTTCAGCCTCCCGAGTAGCTGGTATTATAGGCATGAGCCACCACGCCTGGCTATATTTTTTTTGTATTTTTAGTAGAGATGGGGTTTCACCATGGTGGCCCAGCTGGTCTGGAACTCCTGACCAAATCCACCTGTCTTGGCCTCCCAAAGTGCTGGGATTACAGGCATGAGCCACCACACCAGGCCTATTTTTACACTTTTAAAAGCGTTAACTATTTTCTTTATATGGACTATATCTACCACTATTTACTATGTTAGAAATTAAAACTGAGAAAAGTATAAATTTTTAATTAGTTCATTTTAAAATAACAATACAAGCCTCATTACATGTTCTATAGGTAGGATCCAGTCAGGAGACAGTTATTGCATTAGTTATCTAAAGAGTCATATTTTAACATAAAGAAGTGTTAGCTGGTGGCTGGGTGTGGTGGCTCATGCCTATAATCCCAGCACTTTGGGATGCCAAGGTGGGTTGATCACTTGAGGTCAGGAGTTCAAGACCAACCTGTCAAACATAGCCAAACCCCATCTCTACTAAAAATACAAAAATTAGCTGGGCATGGTGGCGCATACCTGTAATCCCAGCTACTCAGGAGGCTGAAGCACAAGAATCAGTTGAACCCAGGAGGTGGAGGTTGCAGTGAGCTGAGATCACACCACTACACTCCAGCCTGGGCAACAGAGTGAGACTTTGTATTTAAAAAGAAAAAAAAAAAAGATTGGCTAGTAGATGGCAGTTAACTCTAAAAAGGGTAGAAGAGGAGCCCCATGGCATCAAGAAGTGGCAGGTGCAAAAAGGCACATACTCCTTCCAGACAGACAGTGGACAATAAATAAAACCAAAGACTGGAAGAGGGCCATTCCCCAGGGCTGAGGCTTAGACCTCTCGAAGACAGCCTGGAACACTGGCTGGCTGGCTGAAGAAACTTGCCAGACATAATGGCCCATTGCGGGTCTATAAAGCCATTGAAGATGGAGAGAGCTGGCTGGAGGGAGTAAGTGGAGTTCATATGCACTAAATAATAAATAATAATGGAGTACCAGAATCCAGAAGCCAAGTACCAACCTACTGCTCTAGCTCTATGAAACACTTCAGTGACTTCTGTTGACGCAGCTTCACATTTCACCAGTGGGCAAAGAAATGTTTTCAGGACAGGGTCTAGGCTCCACTATCACAAAGGAGAGCAAAGGAAGGTGGCTTTATAGCTGACAGACAAGAAATTGAAAACTAGCACACACATTACCAATATTTTATAACATTTCAGAAAAAATACTTTTAAGCTTTTTTGTTTGTTTGTTTGTTTGTTTGTTTTTCAGATGGAGTCTCGCAGTGTCACCCAGGCTGGAGGGCAATGGCGTGATCTTGGTTCACTGCAACCTCCACCTCCTGGGTTCACCTGATTCTCCTGCCTCAGCCTCCAGAGTAGCTGGGATTACAGGCACACACCACCACACCCGGCTAATTTTTTGTAGTTTTAGTAGAGATGGGGTTTCACTATGCTGGCCAGACTGGTCTTGAACTCCTGACTTTGTGACCCACCCACCTTGGCCTCCCAAAGTGCTGGGATTACAGGTGTGAGCCACCGTGCCCAGCCTTATGTTTTTTTTCATCTGTTTTTTTTTTGTTTTTTGTTTTTGAGACAGGATCTTTACCTAGGCTGGAATGCAGTGGTGCAATCACAGTTTACTGCAGCCTCTAACTCCTGGGCTGAAGTGATTCTCCTTCCTCAGCCTCCCAAGTAGCTGGGACTACAGGTGTGTGCCACCACGCCTGACTAATTTTTTTCTTTTTTTTCGTATTTTTGTAGAGATGGGGGTTTCACCATGTTGCCCAGGCTGGTCTCAAACTACTGAACTGAAGCAATCCTCTCACCTCTGCCTCTCAAAGTGTTGAGATTACAGGCGTGAGCCACCACAACCAGCCTTATAAATATTTTAAATTAAATATGACTATAATTTTCAAAAAAACAGTGAAAGAGTGACATTGTTTTACATTGTTGCAAATATCTTTAATGTCTGGCTTAGTAGAAGACAGCTGGATTGTGTATCTTGATTCTGCATTCACTCTGTTGCAATATATTATTTTAGTTCAAGTATTTGAAGATAATATGGCCTCACACAAACAGGTAGTTGGAAAAAGGAAGAGTATTTTAATAGCCTTTTCAGATTGTTGTGGATGAAATTTTTCCTTATGTTACACCAAAGCTTGACAAGTGGTAGTTTCTTCAAGGTGAATTCCAGTGTAGAAATTGAAATCCTATCTATTAACTTTTCATACTTTGTCACATTGGAGTCCATTGATTACATTAGACCTCTGACTGGATCTTTTACTCATGCATGGTTTTATTGAATTGTGCATGTCTTTGGAAAATATTGATTCACTGAGTTATTCAGATCTTCCAAAGGTTGACATATTTCATTACACAATACCAAAAATTTATTTTTCTCAATAACACCATCAATCTCATCAGCTTTATGTATTGGGAAGCTGTCAGTCTCACAGTAGTATACGGAAGTCTCCCAAAATTCTAAATTTTGCTTAAAATCTTGAACCTTGTCATTGGCAATAAATGCCGTCAGTTGTTTTCTTAACAGTGACAGTTTTATTATTTTCATTTTTGAGTAAATGTTTGCCACATAACCAAGTCTGAGCAAAAATAGTTTGTTGGTTGTTCTTTCAAGTAAGAAACAGTGGTTCATGAAAAAGTGGTTAGTTCAGGTGGCAATTCACACAACCACACAAGGGCCTTTCCTTATATCAGTCATCTTATTGTGTTAAAGAGAACTATTTTATGTGTGCTCCCCACTATATTGCACAGAATATTTAAAATACATGATTTTTTTACTGCTTCATCAAGAATATTTTAAAGTAAAACTGCCTCTGTTTTTAAACTGTGAGTAGTTGGCAGTAAATAATACAATTACTACTATATATGTACAATATGCAGTACTACTCTAAAGTTTGGTGTCTGTATTAGGGTTCTGCAGAGAGAAAGAACAAATAGCATATAAACAGCTGGATAGATAGATAGATAGATAGATCATAGATAGATAGGAAGGGATTTATTAGGGGAATTGGCTCACACAACTATGAGAAGTCCCATGATAGCCACCTGCAAGCTGGCCTCAGAATGGGTTAACTCTCCATCTAAGGCTGAAGGCCTGAGAACCTGGGGAGGCTGCTGGTGCAAGTCCCAGGTCCAAAGACCCGATAACTGGGAATTCAGATGTCCAAGTCAGGAGGAGAAGAGTGTCCCAGTTCCAGATGAGAGTGAATTCGCCTTTCCTCTGCCTTTTTGTTTTATCTGATTTGCAGCTCATTGGTGTCCACCCACATTGGTGAGAGCAGATCTTCTTTACTCAATCCACTGATTCAAATGCTACTCTCTTTCCAGAAACAGCTCACAGACACACCCATAAAAAATGGTGTATCAGCTCTTTTGGCTTCCCTTCACCCAGCCAAATTGACATCTAAAATTAACCATTGCTGGGCACGGTGGCTCAAGCCTATAATCCCAGCACTTTGGGAGGCCTAGGTGGGAGGATCACTTGAGCCCAGGAGTTGAAGACCAGTCTGGGCAATATAATGAAACCCCGTCTCTACAAAAAATTTTTAAAAATTAGCTGGGTTTGGTGGCACACACCTGTAGTCACAGCTGTTGTTGAAGGTGGATGTGGGTGGGGGCAGTGGGCAGGTGGAGGTGCTGAGGCAGGAGGATCACTTGAGCCTAGGATGTCAAGGCTACAATGAGTCGTGAATGCGCCACTGCACTGCAGCCTGGACAACAAAGCAAGACTCTGTCTCAAAATAATAATAATAGGCCAGGCACAGTGGCTCACGCCTGTAATTCCAGCACTTTGGGAGGCCGAGGTGGGCGGATCATGAGGTCAGGAGATCAAGACCACGGTGAAACCCCGTCTCTACTAAAAATACAAAAAAAAAGTAGCCGGGCACGGTGGCAGGTGCTGTAGTCCCAGCTACTCAGGAGACTGAGGCCAGAGAATGGCGTGAACCCAGAAGGCGGAGCTTGCAGCGAGCCGAGATCGCGCCACTGCACTCCACTCCAACCTGGGGGTCAGAGCAAGACTCTGTCTCAAAATAATAATAATAATAATAATAATAATAATAATAATAATAATAATAATGATGATGAAACTAACCATCACATGTCATTGCCTTAACGTTCTAATGCTCCAGCAATATAAACCACTATTGCCTTTATACCATCAGTAGAAATGTAATGCCACATACTGTTTTTTCCACATAGTGAAAAAAGCAAACATCTTAGTATTGTATGAAAATAATTAAGACCCTCATGTACTTCATGAAATGGACTCAGATACCTGGGGGTAGACAGACCACATTTTGATAACCTCTACAGTAAAGAAAACTGCTTTACTTTGTTTGTTTTGTTTTTTGAGACAAGGTCTCACTCTGTGGACCAGGCTGGGTGACTTAGTGCAGCCTGGAACTCTTGGGCTCAAGCCACCTTCCCACTTTAGCCTTTAGAGTAGCTGGAACTAGAGGCGTGAGCTACCACACCCAGCCTGCTTTACTTTCTTTAAGACAATGTTTCACAAATTTCGCCAACCAGGAACATTTGATCAAATGACATTGCACAAGAAGTTTTAGGAAGATAAGCTTTGGGAAACTGCTGAGGCTGCTCCTTTGCCAAATAGCATACATTTTCCCACCAAAGCCAGTTTGTTTTGTTTGTTTTTTGAGACAGAGTCTCACTCTATTACCCAGGCTGGAGTGCAGTGGCATGATCTCAGTGCACTGCAACTTCCGTCTCCTGGGTTCAAGTGATTTGTCTACCTCAGCCTCCCAGGTAGCTGGGATTACAGGTGTGTGCCACCTCGCCCAGATAATCTTTGTATTTTAGTAGAGATGGGGTTTTGCCATGTTGGCCAGGCTGGTCTCCAACTCCTGACCTCAGGTGATCTGCCTGCCTTGGCCTCCCCAAGTGCTGAGATTACAAGCGTGAGCCACTGCGCCTGGCCAAAAAGACAGTTCTTAATAAGGATAACCTTTTTTTTTTTTTGAGACAGAGTAGTTTCACTCCTGTCACCCAGGCTGGAGTGCAATGGCACATTCTCAGCTAACTGCAACCTCCGATCCCCAGGTTCAAGCGATTCTCTTGCCTCAGCCTCCTGAGTAGCTGGGATTACAGGCTCGCCCCACCATGCCCAGCTGTTTTTTGTATTTTTAGTAGAGACAGGGTTTCTTCATGTTGGCTGGGCTGGTCTCGAATGCCTGACCTCAGGTGATCCACCCGCCTCAACCTCCCAAAGTGTTGGGATTACAGGCATGAACCACTGGGCCCGGCCAGGACAACCTTTTTAATGAGCTGCACACCTTTCCTGTCAAAAAGAATAATCCATCCCCACTCCCTTCTTTTTCTTCAGGGAGTGAATAACACTCCCTGCCTAACACTTAATCAAGTTAAAGCTTGCTTTTTCAGTAATCATTCACTGAGGCCCCGACTCTAAGATTACAGATCTGAGCGTGAGATGCTCACAATCTAACAGGAGATACAAATATGATAGGATTACTAGACAATGTGACACAGGTTACAACAAAGAGGTCAGGCCTCTAACTGAGCCTGAGAATAGGCACCTTGGAGGAGGATTATTGTGGTGAGTCATGAGACATTTCCACAGTCTGCTTCATAAAAAGGAAGAGAAAAAGAAGTCTTTTCAGGGTCAGGCATGGTGGCTCACTCCTGTAATCCCAGCACTTTGGGAGGCCAAGGCAGGAGGATCACCTGAGTCCAGGAGCTTGAGACGAGCCTGGGCAACATAGTGAAAACTTGTCTCTACAGAAAATAAACGAAATTAGCTGGGTGTGTGGTGCATGCCTGTAGTCCTAGTTATTTGAGAGGCTGAAGTGGGAGGATTGCTTGAGCCCAGGAGTTTGAGGTTGCAGTGATGTGTGATCGTGCCACTGCATTCCAACATGGGTGACATAGTGAGAACTTGTCTCAAAAAAAAAAAAAGTATTTTCAATGAGAGAAGCATGTGTGTGTTACACAAGTAAGTCATGATGCCTGCTCCATCCACAGTCCCTTGCAAAAGAACCGTTTTAGTGACACAAAGGACATCCCCAGCTGGGACCACTTGACCCTATACTGCTGTCACTGCTGTCTGGACAAACAATAGGATGCAGTCCCAAGGACAGCCAATCCTTTGACTGACCACAGTGACCCTGATACAAAAAATATCAGCCGGTCTAAGCACATTTACTCTTTGTAGAATTGGAACTGGAGACTTTGGAAAGAGGAGGAGAGTTAACTATGAAAGGTTGGCTGGGCTTAGTGGCTCACACCTGTAATCTCAGCAATTTGGGAGGCCGAGGTGGGTGGATCACCTGAGGTCAAGAGTTCCAGACCAGCCTGTCTAACAAGGTGAAACCCTGTCTCTACTAAGAATACAAAAGAACCAGCTGATGTGGTGGCAGGCGCCTGTAATCCTGGCTACTCAGGAGACTGAGGCAGGAGAATTGCTTGAATCTGGGAGGCAGAGGTTGCAGTGAGCCAAGATGGTGCCACTGCACTCCAGACTGGGCAACACAGTGAGATTCTGTCTCAAAAAAAAAAAAAAAAATGCTGAAGCTACATGATCAAAATTCAATAGAAGCTAAAGAGACCATGATGCATATGTATATGTTAGAAAGTTATAAAAAGAAGAAGCTATGAGTTGGCATAGGCAATAAGTTAAAGAAATAAAATGAGGCTGACAAAGTCAGATATGGTAAGGAAAGAAAAACAGAACAGATGTGTAGAAAGGAACTAATCCTGTTATTGCTTCAATATTACAGTTAAAATCCAAAAGCTCTTGATGCTGACATTTCTAAGGTTGCTAGGGTTGCCAGTTCCTAGCAGGCAAAACAATGCCACAGTTTACAGTTTTGTATTTCTTCACAAGAACCTTTATTTCCTTGTGTCCTTGAGGTCACTTGAGTTAACCTTTGTTTCTTTCAACCAAAAGATCTCAACTGAAATAGGCATAGAGAAAACATGATGCAGCAAAATGCAAGTACCATGCCTGAATTAGATGGTCTTGAATTGTCCCTGAATTCCTAGTGCAGCCAGGCCAACCTCATATGCATGATCGCTCACCTGTTTTATGTATTTCAAAGAAAGGATTGTACTTCACCAAATAAATGTTATTTGGGGAACTTTTTTTCAATAGAAAATGTGCTACTTTATTAAAATACTGAGTTTATTTCGCATGTATATTTTTGTCTCCCCACCATTTCTATGTCTGACCCCCACTACTACTATGTCCTATCATAATATTCCATACATACTTAAAACCAAGTAAAGGCTGGAGTTCCATCTTTAAAAACTAGGCTGGGCATGGTGGCTCATGCTTGTAATCCCAACACTTTGGGAGGCCGAGGCGGGCGGATCACGAGGTCAGGAGTTCGAGACCAGCTTTGCCAACATGGTGAAACCTTGTCTCTACTAAAAATACAAAAAGTAGCTGGATGTGGTGGTGAGTGCCTGTAATCCCAGCTACTCAGGAGGAGACTGAGGCAGGAGAATCATTTGAACCCGGGAGGCAGAGGTTGCAGTGAGCCGAGATGGCACCATTGCACTCCAGCCTGGGTGACAGGGCGAGACTCCGTCTCAAAAAACAAACAAACAAACAACAACAAAAAAAAACTAAACAGGCATTTTGGACAGCACATTATTGGCCATGGAACCTGGGCAACATTTATTAACGCAGTAGGGAAAGTTCTCATTCTGCATTATAAAAGGACAGCCAAATATCAACTATTACAGAAGTGAAATAAGACGGAAAACTTATAAAAAACTGTTTAAACTATTTTCTTCAAGAGGCTTCCTCCGCTGCCAGAGATCTTGAATAGCCTCCTGGTCAGTCTTCCGGAAGCAATTCTTCACATAATTGATGAACTTGGCTTCGACTTTGGAAAGAGAACCACGTTTTTCTGTACCTGCGTTTTTGCTTTAATGTCTTTTACAGAACTAGGTCTTTTGGTGTTTTAGGAGTTTTTTTCCTGTTTTTTGAAAGATTCTTGTCTTTTTTATCTTGGTGTTGATGGTTTTGAGTCTTTGCCATTCTGGTTTGAATTTTGGGTGTTCTCGGCAGAAGTGTCTCATATACATTTATTCACTGGCACTTTTTCTTCAGTTTCCTCATCATCAAAATCCTCTTCTTCCTCTTCCTCTTCCACCTCCTCCTCTTCCTCCTCATCCTCTTCCTCCTCCTCCTCTTCTTCTTCTCCTCCTTCTTCTTCTTTCTTCTTCCTTCTTTCCTCCTCCTCCTCTTTCTTCTTCCTCTTCAGCAGCAGCAAATTTTACTCTTTTTTGTGGAATCTTGCTTCCACCTCCAGGGCAGATTGCTTTCCAGATATACTTAAGAGTTTCACATCCTCCTCTTCTTCATCTTCTGACTCTGCATCTTCCTCCACAGATACTAAGTGCTGTCCACTAATATACACTGGCCCTGAACCACACTTCAACTGAAAGACCATGGCTGGGTTATTTCAAAGTCCATACTTCAACAGTAAGACCATGGAGGGGTGTTATTTCAAAGTCCACACTTCAACTGTAAGACCATGGAGGGGTGTTATTTCAAAGCTCCCAGGGGAAGCCGTTGGCTGTATATACACTTCAAGTTGCCGGTGTTACTTTAATGGGATTGCCTTCGAAATTCATTGCCTCAGGTTCAACAATGTGCAATTCAACCTTTGCACCAGCCCCGAAACTGACCATTCTTAAAGACAACTGGTGCTCATTTTCATCATTATCCACCTTAAAGTGATCACTTCGTCGGCCTTTAGTTCACAACTGAAAAGATAGTCCTGGGGCCTCAGGGGGCTTATGTCCATGTCCATCGAATTTCCCATGGGGTGGAGGCGTGCACTTAGTGGGGAGAGAAGATGGACAGAGATAAACGACTACTGCTCCAGAGAGCAGCTGCTCAGGATGGAATCACCTATTTGGGGAACTTTTCAAAACCTCTTTTCCTATTGTTTTCTCCATTATAAATAAATATAAGTGCTACAATAGATTAAAAAATAAATCTTCTTAGCCAGTAATTTCATATATTTTTTAAGTGAGAGGCATAAAGCAGCTGGCATCTGATTTTGAATTTTTATTTTTTTTAAGACGGAATCTTGCTCTGTCGCCCAGGCTGGAGTGTAGAGGCACAATCTTGGTTCACTGCAACCTCTGCCTCCTGGGTTCAAGCAATTCTCATGCCTCAGCCTCCCAAGTAGCTGGGATTACAGGCACCCACCACCACTCCTGGCTAATTTTTGTATTTTTAGTAGAGATGGGGTTTCACCATATTGGCCAGGTTGGTCTCAAACTCCTGACCTCAGGTGATCCACCCACCTTGGCCTCCAAAGTGCCAGGATTACAGGCGTGAGCCACCACACCCAGCCTGATTTTGAATTTTTTAAGTTTTAATCTAAATGAATGGTTTTCTGCTATTTATTCAATGAGTATCTATTAAGTGTCTACTATGTGCTAGGAGCTCTTCCAGGCACTGGCCATATACCAGTGAATAAAATGACATGGAACTTACAGTTGAAATGGGGGGAATAGTCAGTAAACACATGCATACATGTATTTCACAAACACATATTTCAGGTGTTATTAGGTATTGGGGATGCGAGGTCTATCTTATGTATTGTGGTCAGAAAAATCCTGTCTAATAAGGTGATATTTGTGCAACAAGTGAAAGAAAGTCATGCCAGTATGGGGTGAGGCAGAGTGATCCAAGCAGAGTAGACAGTGCCAAGGCCCTGGGGCAGGAGCATGCCTCAGGGAGCAGGGAACAGCAGGGAGGCCAGTGTGGCTGCAGCTGAGGGAGGGAGAGGAGGAATGGCAAGAGATAAACAAAGAGGTGTGTGTGTATCAAAGGGGTGGACAAGATCACAAAGGCCGAAGTACAGGCTGCATGTAGATTTATCCTAAATACTTAGCTAATGAGATCTAGTAAGTTTGCAGGTGATGCTAGTGCGTCCTTGGTATCATCCGGGAGCTTAACAGAAAAGACTATTGGATTACACTCCAGGTCTATAGAGTCAGAATCTGCATTTTAAACAAGATCCTCAGACATTTGTATATACATTAAAGTATAAAAAGCACTAGTTTAGATTATGTAAGTTAGCTTTCTTCTACAGAGAAATAGGAAGCCATAATTAGCATTTTTTCTTTTCTTTCTTTCTTTTTTTTTTTTTTGCCACAAGGTCTCACTCTGTCACCCAGGCAAGAGTGCAGTGGTATGATCTTGGCTCACTGCAACCTCCACCTCCCGGATTCAGGCGATTCTCCTGCCTCAGCCTCCTGAGTAGGTGGGATTACAGGCATGTGCCACCATGCCCAGCTAATTTTTATATTTTTAGTAGAGACGGGGTCTTGCCATGTTGCCAGCTGGTCTTGAACTCCTGACCTCAAGTGATCCGCCTGCCTTGGCCTCCCAAAGTGCTAGGATTACAGGCATGAGTCACATGCCCAGCCACTAAATTTGTTTTTAATTTTTATTTGAGACAAGTTCTCACTCTGTTGCCCAGGCTGGAGTGCAGTGGTGCAATCACAACTCACTGCAGCCTCAACCTCCCCGGGCTCAAGTGATCCTCCCACCTCATCCTCCCACCTCAGCTTCTCAAGTAGCTGGGACTACAGGTGCACTTCACCACACCCAGCTAATTTTTGTATTTTTTGTTGAGATAGGGTTTTGCCATGTTCCCCAGGCTGGTCTCAAACTCCTAGGCTCAGCAATTTGCCTGCTTTGGCCTCCCAAAGTGCTGGAATCACAGGCATGAGTCATCACGCTAGGCCAGCACTTTTTCTTAATTTTCAGATTAGAATGGATTTTTTGATTTTTGCAAAAACATCATTGGGATTTTGATAGGGGTGGTATTGAATCTACAGATTCAATACCTATGAACACAGAATGTCTTTCTGTGGGGAAAAGCAAGAGAGATCAGATTGTTACTGTGTCTGTGTAGAAAGAAGTAGACATAGGAGACTCCATTTTGTTCTGTACTAAGAAAAATTCTTCTGCCTTGAGATTCTGTTAATCTATGACCTTACGCCCAACCCCGTGCTCTCTGAAACATGTGCTGTGTCAAACTCAGGGTTAAATGGATTAAGGGCGGTGCAAGATGTGCTTTGTTAAACTGATGCTTGAAGGCAGCATGCTCCTTAAGAGTCATCACTGCTCCCTAATCTCAAGTACCCAGGGACACAAAAACTGTGGAAGGCTGCAGGGACCTCTGCCTAGGAAAGCCAGGTATTGTCCAAGGTTTCTCCCCATGTGATAGTCTGAAATATGGCCTCGTGGGAAGGGAAAGACCTGACCGTCCCCCAGCCCGACACCCATAAAGGGTCTGTGCTGAGGAGGATTAGTATAAGAGGAAGGCATGCCTCTTGCAGTTGAGACAAGAGGAAGGCATCTGTCTCCTGCCCGTCCCTGGGCAATGGAATGTCTTGGTAAAAACCCGATTGTACGTTCCATCTACTGAGATAGGGAAAAACCGCCTTAGGGCTGGAGGTGGGACATGCGGGCAGCAATACTGCTTTGTAAAGCGTTGAGATGTTTATGTGTATGCATATCTAAAAGCACAGCACTTGATTCTTTACCTTGTCTATGATGCAAAGACCTCTGTTCACGTGTTTGTCTGCTGACCCTCTCCCTACTGTTGTCTTGTGACCCTGACACATCCCCCTCTCAGAGAAACACCCACGAATGATCAATAAATACTAAGGGAACTCAGAGGCTGGCGGTATCCTCCATATGCTGAACGCTGGTTCCCTGGGCCCCCTTATTTCTTTCTCTATACTTTGTCTCTGTGTCTTTTTCTTTTCCAAGTCTCTCGTTCCACCTAACGAGAAACACCCACAGGTGTGGAGGGGCAACCCACCCCTTCATCTTTCTATTTATTTGTGGTTACTTTAATTTCTTTCAGCAATGTTTTGTATTTTTCAGTGGGTAAGTCTTTTGCTTCCTCGGTTAAGTTTATTCCTAAGTATTTTTTTATGCTATTATAAATGGAATTGCTTTTTTTTTTTTTTGACAGAATCTCTCTGTCACCCAGGCTGGAGTGCAGTGGCACAATCTAGGCTCACTGCAATCTCTGCCTCCCAGGTTCAAGTGATTCTCCTGCCTCAGCCTCCCAAGTAGGAATTGCTTTCTTAATTTCCTTTTTGGATTGGTCATCGTTAATGTATAGAAATGCAACTAATTTTTGCATGCTGATTTTGTATCCTGTCACTTTGCTGAATTTGTCTATTAGTACTAGAATTAATAAACAAATATCATCTGTAAATAATTTTACTTCCTACTTTCCAATTGGGATGTCTTTTATTTCTTTTCTTGCCTAATTACTTTGGCTAGAACTTACTATACTATTCATCATATACTATGACGAATAAAAGTGGCAAAAGCAGGCATCCTTTATTTTATAGGAAAAGTTTTTAGTTTTTCACCATTGAGTATGATGTTAGTTTTGGGCTTGCCAAAAATGTCCTTTATGATGTTGAGGAAGTTCCGTTCTCTCTTTAACTGACTGTTTTTGTTGTTGTTGTTGTTTGTTTGTTTTAAGTCACAATTGATCCTCCAAACTCTTTTCCTATCTGGTGGCTTAATACAGATAGACACAGAAATCTCATGAATGTTTGAAAATGGCAGAGCCACAGCAGAGCGCGATGGCTTATGCCTGTAATCCCAGCACTTTGGGAGGCCGAGGCAGGCAGATCACAAGGTCAGGAGATCGAGATCATCCTGGCTAACACAGTGAAACCGTGTCTCTACTAAAAATACAAAAAATTAGCCAGGCATGGTGGCGGGCACCTGTAGTACCAGCTATTCAGGAGGCTGAGGCAGGAGAATTGCTTGAACCCGGGAGGTGGGGGTTGCAGTGAGCCGAGATTGTGCCACTGCACTCCAGCCTGGGCAACAGAGCAAGACTCCATCTCAAAAAAAAAAAAAAAAGAAAAAAAAGAAAATGGCAGAGCCACAAAATGGAAGGGGAGCATTTCCTAGATTTTGGCTTAGAGGATTTCTCTCTACCAGCAATAGGATTTCATATTGAGAAATAAACTTCCATTGTGTAGGTTAATCTATTACAGTAGCTAGCATTACCTTAATACATAGGCAAAAGGGTAATTTCCCAAATAAATAAAAAGCTCCTACAAAGAAATGGATTTTTAAAAAAAGAAAAGAAAAAAGAAGCTCTTACAAATCAATAAGAAAAAAGACCAAAAACTCACAGGAAAATTAAACAAAGGATGTCAATCACTAACAGAAGGAGAATTCAAAGGCTTTCACACAAACATAAAGATGCTCAGCATCACCTATAGTAACAAAAATGAAAAGCAAAACCATATTGGGATTTTTTAATTTTTATTTTTGAGACAGAGATCTCATTCTGTCACCCGGGCTGCAGTGTAGTAATGAGATCTTGGCTCACTGCAGCCTTCATCTCTTGGGCTCAAGTGATCCTCCCACCTCAGCCTCTAAAGTAGGTGCTATGTGTCTGAATGCCTCCTGTTTCATTGTCAAATATTTGGTCTTCATCTCCCTTTCTGGGGTACAACTCCTAAAATCTTTGGAACCTCCACAGTGATATCTTTTTGTATGCTAATTATTAACTGATGGCTAGCAGCTCTTAGGCAGCTTCAGGATGGGAGCTGGTCACCAGAAAGACCTAGGCAGGATTAGAGGATCGGGACTTTCTGATCTACCACATGACCTCCAGGAAGGGGAGGGGGCTGAAGATTAAATTGATCACCAATGGCCAATCGTTTAATCAATCATGCCTATGTAATGAAGCCTCCATAAAAACCCAAAATAACAGGGTTTGGAGAGCTTCTGGGTAGCTGAACACATGGAGGTTCCTAGATGGTACACGCCCCTTCCCCCAGACCTCATCCTATGTGTCTCTCACTTTTTTTTTTTTTTTTGAGATGGAGTCCCGCTTTGTCATCCAGAGGAAGTGCAATCAATGGCACGATCTCTGCTCACTGCCGGGTTCAAGCGATTCTTCTGCCTCAGCCTCCCGAGTAGCTGAGATTACAGGTTCCCACCACCACGCCCAGCTAATTTTTGTATTCTTAGTAGAGACATGGTTGCATCATGTTGGTCAGGCTGGTCTCAAACTCCTGACCTCAGGTAATCCACCAGCCTCAGCCTCCCAAAGTGTTGGGATTACAGGAGTGATCCCCTGCACCCGGCCTTTTTTTTTTTTTGAGACAGTTTTGCTCTGTCGCCTAGGCTGGAGTGCAGTGGTGTGATCTCAGCTTACTGCAGCCTCGGCCTCCTGGGTTCAAGCGATTGTTGTGCCTCAGCATCCTCAGTAGCTGGGATTACAAGTGTGTGCTACCACACCCAGTTAATTTTTTGTATTTTCAGTAGAGATGGGGGTTTCCCTGTGTTGCCCAGGCTGGTCACCAACTCCTGACTTCAAGTGATCTGCCTGCCTCAGCCTCCCAAAGTGCTGGGATTACAGCTGTGAATCACTGTACCTAGCCCTCATCTTATGTATCTCTTCATCTGGTTATTTATCCTTTAAAATATACTTACATATACTTAAAATATACTTAGTAAAAAATCGGCAAATGTAAGGAAATGTTTCCCTGAGTTCTGTGAGCCACTCTAGCAAATTAATGGAACCCAAAGAGAGGGCTGCAGGAACCACAAACGACGGGTTGGTCAGAAGTTATGGAGGCCTGGACTTGCAACTGGTATCTGAATGGGGTGGGGGGCAGTCTTGGGAATTGAGCCCTTAACCTGTGGGATCTGACATTGTTTCCAGGTAGATAGTGTAGGAATGGAATTGCAGGATGCCTAACTGATGTTTGCTGTGGAATTGATTGCTTGATTGCTGGTGATGAGAAAATTCCCATATATTTGGGGATCACAAGGAGTCTTTTGTATTAACTGTTGTTGTGTTGTTGTGTGAGATAGTTTGCAAATTTCTGTAGGCTTACATATCTGGGAGCTGGATTGCTAGCTAAAAGGCACATACCTCTTTGACTTTGCTAGGTTTCACTCATATGCTGCCCAAAGCAGTTGTCTAGTCTACAATTCTAACAGCAGTAGATAAGAGTTCTTTTGGCTCCACATGCTCACAAACACTTTATACAGTCATTTTAATTTTTGTCAGTCTGATGGCTGTAAAAGAGTATCTCATCTTAGGTATAAATATACATTTCCTTTATTAGTCTGGTAGAACAACATTTAATATTTAATAGGATCCTTATAAGAGAAAATCATTTAGGTTTTTTCTTCTCCTGCCTTGGCCTCCAAACATGCTGGGATTACAGGTGTGAGCCACTGCACCTGGCCTTACCTATGCATTTAAAAGGATATTTGTTAGATCTTATCCAGCATTTCTATACCTGTAGTGAAAGTTTTTTCTACCTACTTAACCATAATCTAATGCTGGAAAGATGAGTTGTTAAGATAATTCCTAAAACCCAATATTTGTGATCATCTCACCTTGGGGATATGAGAGAGAAAAAACATAAAGTACTTGAGTATTGGGGATTTTTCTCTCAGTAAGATAAATAAAAGTAGCATTTTAAATAGGAATAATGTTTGAACTGTTAGAGGTGAACTGTTTACATGCATGATTCATTTTTCTGTTGTATGGTGTATTCCTTTCAATCAGCAGCTCTTTATAAATTCCAGACACACATCTTTTATCATTTATATGTATTACAAACATCTCCTATTTGTAGCCTGTCTTTTCACTTGTGTTATGGTCTCTTTTGATGTAGAAAAATTTACATTAATTTTCAGGTAGTTAAATTATCAATCTTTTCCTTAAGTATTGACACTTTTCATCTTGTCTAGACAATCTGTCCTTACCTCCAGGATCGTAAAGATATTTTTCTATATTGTCTTCTAAAGTTTTAAAGTTTAATTTTTTATATTTAGGTCTTTAATCTACCTGAAATTGATTTTTTAAAATAGTATTAAGTACAGGTTAAATTTTTTTTTTTTTTTTTGAGAGGGAGTCTCGCTCTGTAGCCCAGGCTGGAGTGCAGTGGCGCGGTCTCGGCTCACTGCAAGCTCCGCCTCCAGGGTTCACGCCATTCTCCTGCCTCAGCCCCCCAAATACCTGGGACTACAGGCGCCCGCCACCACGCCCAGCTAAATTTTTCGTATTTTTAGTAGAGACGGGGTTTCACCGCGTTAGCCAGGATGGTCTCGATCTCCTGACCTCATGATCTGCCCGCCTCGGTCTCCCAAAGTGCTGGGATTACATGCATCAGCCACCGCGCCCGGCCCTTTTCTTTCTTTCTTTCTTTCTTTTTTTTGAGACGGTCTCACTCTGTCGCCCAGGCTGGAGTGCAATGGCGCCATCTCGGCTCACTGCAACCTCCGCCTCCCAAGTTCAAGCGATTCCCCTGCCTCAGCCTTCCGAGTAGCTGGATTACAAGCACCTGCCACCAAGCCCAGCCAATTTTTGTAGTTTTAGTAGAGATGGGGTTTCGCCATGTTGGTCAGGCTGGTCTCGAACTCCTGACCTCAGGTGATCCGCCCGCCTACGCCTCCTAAAGTGCTGGGATTATAGGCATGAGCCACTGCACCTGGCCAGAGGTTCAATTTTCTTTCTTTTCAAATGAATAACCAGTCGTCCTATCATTGTGTATTGAAGAGCTTATCCTTTGCCCATTGATGCAATGCTAACTGCCATAAACCAAGTATCCAGTAAGCGTCTGGGTGTTTCTAGTCTCTATTATGCTTATTCCCTGTGCCAACACAACCGTATACACAGCAGAACCAGCATCTGCTCAGCTGCTTCTCTGATTTTCATAACTTTCTGTTTTCAGTCCCGGATTTCCCATCCCTTCTTGTGAGTTTACTTATGTACATATATATGTATGTACATCTGTATGTATTTACAATTTTTTTGAGACAGGGTGTCTCTCTGTTGCCCAGAACTGGAGTATAGTGGCAGGATCATGGCTCACTGCAGCCACTTCCTGGGCTCAAGTGATCCTCCTGTCTCAGCCTGCTAAGTAGCTGGAGCTACAGATGTGCACCACCACACCCAGCTAATTTTTAAATTTTTTGTGCAGATGGGAGTCTCACCATGTTGCCCAGGCTGGTCCCAAACTCCTGGCCTCAAGCGATCCTCTTGCCTTGGCCTCCCAAAGTGCTGGGATTACAGGTGTGAGCCACTGCACCTGGCCTTACCTATGCATTTAAAAGCATATTTGTTAGATGTTATCCAGCATTTCCATACCTATAGTGACAGATTTTTCTGTCTACCCACTTAACCGTAATCTAATGCTGGAAAGATAAGTTGTTTAGGTAATTCCTAAAATCAAGTATTTGTGATCATCTCACCGTGGTGACATGAGAGAGAAAAAACATAAAGCACTTGAATATTGGGGTTTTTTTCTCTCAATAAAATAAAAGTAACATTTCATTTAATTAATTAATTTATTTTTGAGACAGAGTCTCACTCTGTCGCCCAGGCTGGAGTGCAGTGGCACAATCTTGGCTCACTGCAACCTCTGCCTCCCGGGTTCAAGCAATTATCCTGCCTCAGCCTCCCGAGTAGCTGGGATTACAGGCACCCGCCACCGTGCCCAGCTAATTTTTTGAATTTTTAGTAGAGATGGGGTTTCACCATGTTGGCCAGGCTGGTCTTGAACTCCTGACCTCCGATGATCCACCTGTCTCAGTCTCCCAAAGTGCTGGATTACAGGTGTGAGCCACTGCACCCTATCTTATTTTATTTTATTTTTTTGAGACAGAGTCTCACTTTGTCACCCAGGCTGTAGTGCAGCGGCTCAATCTCGGTTCATTGCAACCTCCGCCTCCTGTGTTCAAGCAATTCTCCTGCCTCAGCTTCCTGAGTAGCTGGGACTACAGGCGTGCACCACCATGCCTGGCTGATTTTTTTGTATTTTTAGTAGAGATGAGGTTTCGCCATGTTGGTCAGGCTGGTCTTGAACTCCTGACCTCAAGCGATCCGCCCACCTCGGCCTCTCAAAGTGCTGGGATTATAGGCATGAGCCACTTTGCCTGGCCAGTAAAAGTAACTTTTTTTTTTTTTTGAGATGGAGTTTCTCTCATTGCCCAGACTGGAGTGCAGTGGTGCAATCTCAGCTCACTGCCACCTCTGCCTCCTGGGTTCAAGCGATTCTCCTGCCTCAGCCTCCTGAGTAGCTGGGATTACAGGCATGCGCCACCAGGTCTGGCTTTTTTTTTTTTTTTTTTTTTTGAGACGGAGTTTCACTCTTGTTGCCCAGGCTGGAGTGCAATGGCACGATCTTGGCTCACTGCAACCTCCGCCTCCCAGGTTCAAGCGATTCTCCTGCCTCACCCTCCCTAGTAGCTGGGATTACAGGTTTGTGCCACTACGCCCAGCTAATTTTGTATTTTTAGTAGAGACAGTAGAGAAGGGGTTTCTCCATATTGGTCAGGCTGGTCTCGAACTCCTGACCTCAGGTGATCCACCCGCCTCGGCCTCCCAAAGTGCTGGGATTACAGGCATGAGCCACTGCACCCGGCCAAGGCTAATTTTTTTTTTTGTATTTTTAGTAGAGACAGGGTTTCACCATGTTTGTCAGGCTGGTTGCGAACTCCTGACATCAGGTGATCCACCCGCCTTGGCCTCCCAAAATGCTGGGATTATAGGCGTGAGCCACCACGCCCAGCCAAAGTAACATTTTAAATAGCAATAACGTTTGAATTTTTTTTGGTTCAAACTTCACATTAGGGCTGGTCACAGTGGCTCATGCCTGTAATCCCAGCACTTTGGGAGGCCGAGTTGGGTGTATGTATCTCTTGACTTCAGGAGTTCGAGTCCAGCCTGTGCAACATGGTAAAACCCTGTCTCTGCTAAAAAATACAAAAAATTAACAGGGTGTGGTGGCGAGCAGCTGTAGTCCCAGCTACTCAGGAGCCTGAGGTGGGAGGATTGCTTGAACCTGGGAGGCAGAAGTTGCAGTGAGCCAAGGTGGCATCACTACTCCAGCCTGGGTGACAGAGGCCTCATCTAAAAACAAACAAACAAAAAACCAAACAAACAAAAGAACTTCACATTAAATAGAAAATCGTTTTGTATGGATCAGTGAAACCTGACCAAAATAATGCTATGATTTCCAAAGTAGAATAAATCAGTTGAGCTAAAACCAATTAGACTCTGATAACTAAGAAGAACTGAGTCACAGGAGTAATAAAGCTAGTGAGATTCAAAAAAACCTCTTGCCTCTCATGATACATCCTTGTGAGGGAGAGATTGGTGAGCAATGAGAAATGTTTCCATTCTGATGGACACTTGTGGTGGCAAAGCACTATAAGCATCAGCACCATGGGCATACATTATAAAACTTGTCTCAGAGTTGTTAAGATAATTAAATGTTAATATTTGCAAGTAATCTAAACAGTGTCTGGCATGCAGTGACTGTGGTATTGTATGAGTACTTGTCAAGTAAAAAAATAAGGGATGGAATTACAACCATATCCCTTAGATCGGGGGTCCCCAACCCCAGGGCCGTGGATCAGTACTGGCTTGTGGCCTGTTAGGAACCCGGCTGCACAGGAGGAGGTGAGTAGGGGGGTGGGGGGAGCGAGCATTACCACATGAGCTCTGTCACCTGTGAGATCAGTGGCGGCAGTAACAATTCTCATAGGAGGCCGGGCACGGTGGCTCACGCCTGTAATCCCAGCACTTTGGGAGGCCGAGGCAGGTGGTCACCTGAGGCCAGGAGTTCAAGACCAGCCTGGCCAACATGGCGAAACCCCGACTCTACTAAAAATACAAAAATTAGCTGGTCGTGATAGCACATGCCTGTAGTTCCAGCTGCTTGAGAGGCTATGGCAGGAGAATCACTTGAACCTGAGAGGCGGAGGTTGCAGGGAGCGAGATTGCGCCACTGCACTCCAGCCTGGGTGACACAGCGAGACTCGTCTCAAAAAAAAAAAAAAGATTCTCATCGGAGTGTGAAACCTGCTGTAAACTGCACATGCAAGGGATTGTGGGCTCCTTACGAGACTCGAATGCCTGATGATCTGAGGTGGAACAGTTTCATCCCAAAACCAACCCCACCCCACTCGGGGTTTCGCCATGTTGGCCAGCTGGTTCCGAACTCCTGGCCTCAAGTGGTCCGCCCATCTCAGCCTCCCAAAGTGCTGGGATTACAGGCATGAGCCACCACGCCTGGCCTTCCCCTACTATTTTCATTCCTCTGCAAAAACTGAACCTCTCCCCTCGTTTTCAAAAAAGAACATTAAGACCAGGTGCAGTGGCTCAGCCTGTAATCCCAGCACTTTGGGTGGTGGAGGTGGGAGGATTGCTTGAAGCCAGGAGTTTGAGACCAGCCTGGGCAACATAGTGAGACCTCATCTCTGAAATAAATAAACAATTAATTAAAACAACAGAAAGAATATTTACTAGCTTTTATTTTCAAAAATATAAACTCACTGTAGGAATTAAGCACATTCCTCTTGTGGACCATTTGGATTAAATCCTTTCCGTGGGCAGAGATCACTTTTTATATTTTTCTTGTTCCCCCAATAAGCCTTCCATAATACCAATCATAAAATACACACTCAGATATTTCATGGAATATGTAACAAACCGAACACACTGGACATACTTGAGATAAAATAAAAATCTAAACTAAAAGTGATATGTATTAATTTCTTTCCTTATTTTCATGTAGCATCCTGTTAAGATGCCCTTAGAAGCTCTTCCCATGCTTTAATTGCATGTTTGAATTCAGCCTATATTTGTTCCATGAACGAAACAATATATTGCAACTTGTAAAATGAAAAAGGTAAAATAAAAATAACGAAATATTGTAAAATGAAAAAGGTAAAATAAAAATAACAAAATATTGTAAAATGAAGAAGGCTCTGACAAAATTTTAAGAACTCATCAGTATAAGGATGCTTTTGTCATTCTTTGAGAAATGCAGCTCAATATTATATTTAGTTTATTTGGAATAGCTATGTCCTTAACTGACAGTCAATATTCAAACATCACCAAATTATTAAATTTTTTTAATTAAAAAATTTTTTAAAATTATATTTGCATATATGAAGGTAAGTAAGACACTGGACAAATTATAGAGTCTCAGGCTTATGTGGAATTATGACTGCTCTCAACAATTACTGAAATCCCCTTTCAAAGAAAATCTTCACATAAACCTATGTTTGACTATGTAATAGAATGAAGACAGCCACAGATCTGGCATTCTCAAAACATCACACAAGTACTGCATGTAATGCTGCAAAATAACTGTTTTCCTCTAAAATTTCACTAAACAACCTCAGGCAGTACAATAAAACAAAACATTAAGACCTCCCAGTGGTCATCCTAAGAATTAGACAGATTTCTTTGATTTTTTCTTCTCTGCTTCTTCCTTTTCCTTTTCTATTTCAGTTACATATAATTCAACTTCTTTTGCACTAAACATCTGAAAAGAGAAAAAAATTTAAAGATCAAATGTCAGTTATACGAATAATATGTAAATACAATATGAAGAATTCCAATATTTAATAAATTTATACTTTCTATGTACAACTTTATATTTTGTAACTTCAAATATACAATGAAGCATTTCAAGAGGTCTAAGAGCAATAACAATTATGGGCAAAACCAGATCTCTGACATTTCTACTATCACTGTGCTAAAAAAGAAAGCAGGACAAAAGGTGATATTGCGTTATATATCCTATATGTGCATATAACTCCAAAAACATTTTAATGCGAGGCTTAATTTTATTCATGAACAAAGACTCATTATTTAACTCTCCCAACTGCACCCTACTGTGTGATTCTCTGATAGGGTTTAATAATTTGATCAGTTTATAGAATAGCGAAATGAAATGGGAAAAGATAATTTATGCTACTTTATGTCTAAGTAGAAAGCAAAAAAGGTTTTATTTTTCTAAGAATTTGCAGTGTAGTTTGATTTTCTGTTGTACTGTTCACAAGTAGATCCAAGGTTACATGCTTGCGGCTATAAGACAGCAATTATTGGCCAAACCTGGTGACTCAGGCCTGTAATCCCAGCACTTTGGGAGGCCGAGGTGGGTGGATCAGTTGAGGTCAGGGGTTCGAGACCAGGCTGCCATTTTCTTTTTCTTTTTTTTTCAGACAGGGTCTCACCCTGTCGCCCAGGCTGGACTGCAGTGATGTGATTGCAACCTCTGCTGCCGGGTTCAAGCGATTCTCCCACCTCAGTCTCCTCAGTAGCTGGGACTACAGGTGTGTGCTACCACGCCTGACTGATTTTTGTTATTTTTAGTAGAGAGATTTGCATTTTCAGTACAGACAGGGTTTTGCCATGTTGGCCAGGCTGGTCTTGAACTCCTGACCTCAAGTGATCTGCCCGCCTCAGCCTCCCAAAGTGCTGGGATTACAGGCCTGAGCCACCGTGCCTGGCCAAGACAGCAATTATTAACTTCAGTGAAGTTAATACATTTATATACAAAAATCTAAATATAATGATCTTAATACTGAAAAGAGGTATCTATTAAATTGATAAATGAATGATCAACTTTATGGAAAGGCAAATTTTCAAAGATATTAGAGATGTAAAGGATTTTAGCTATTAGTCCATCACTAGAATTTACATATAAGAAAACATAGATTCACAAAGCTAAATTATATTTGGCCAAAGATTAAAGAAGGATTAAAGATTAGGTCTCTGATTCTTATTTCAACTCCAGAACTCTTTCCATTTCACCTATAAAGATGTGTGTCACAAAATCTGTATTTGTCAATAATCTACATAAAATATATTATTTGAACGTTTTATGAAATGAATTTACCCATCAAGCAATTACTAGGAGTTCCATGGGCTCTGAAAGTGGAAGAATATAATTCTTACCTGCTATTAAGGAGTCCACAGTTTAGTGGAAAAAAACTGGCATATAAATAGATCATTACAATACAAACCTGAATAAAGTGATGTGGTATTACTTGGGGAAGAAATAATTTCCTCCTTTGAAAAAGTGTCTTTCACTTTCTTTTTCCTTTTTGAGACCGGGTCTTGCTCTGCTGCCTACAGCTGAAGCACAGCGGCATGATCACAGCTCACTGCAACCTCTGCCTCCTGGGCTCAAGCCATCCTACCGCCTCAGCAACCGGAGTAGCTGGGGCTACAGATGTGAACCACCATGCCCAGCTAACTTTTGTATTTTTTGTAGAGACGGGGTTTCGCCATGTTGCCCAGGCTGGTCTCAAACTCCTGGGCTCAATCGATTTGCCTGTCTCGGCCTCCCAAAATGCTGGGATTACAGGCATGAGCCACTGCGCCCAGCCTCAAGAAGCCTTTTCAAAAAATTATTTTTAATTTTTATGAGTACATAGTAGGTATATATATTATGGGGTACATGAGATATTTTGATACAGGCATGTGATGCATAATAACCACATCATGGAGAATGGGGTATCCATCCCCTCAAGCATTTATCCTTTGTGTTACAAAAAATCCAATTATACTCTTTTAGTTATCTTAAAATGTACAATTAAATTGTTATTGACTATAGTTACCCTGTTGTGTTATCAAATACTAGGTCTTATAAATTCTATTTTTTTGTACCTATTAACCATCCCCACCTGCCCCTGCCCCCCACTACCCTTCCCAGCCTCTAGTAACCATCCTTCTACTCTGTATCTCCATGAGTTCAATTGTTTTGATTTTTAGATTCCACAAATGAGTAAAAACATGCAATGTCTGTCTTTCCATGCCTGCCTTATTTAACATAATGATCTCCAGTTCCATCCATGTTATTACAAATGACAGTATCTCATTATTTTTTTGGGGGCAGAACAGTACTTCATTGTGTGTAAGTATCACATTGTCTTCGTACATTCATCTGTTGATGGACCCTAAGGTTGCTTCCAAATCTTGGCTATTGTGAACAGTTCTGCAATTAACATGGGAGTGCAGCTATTTCTTCAATATACTGATTTCCTTTCTTTTGGGTATACACCCAGTAGTGGGATTGCTGGACCATATGTACTTTTATTTTATGTTTTTTGAGGAATCTCCAAACTATTCTTCATGGTGGTTGTACTAATTTACATTCCCACCAACAGTGTATGAGGGTTCCCTTTTCTCCATATCCTCACCAGCATTTGCTGTAGCTTGTCTATTAGATATAAGCCATTTTAACTGGGGTGAGATGATATTTTATTGTAGTTTTGATTTGCATTTCTCTGATGATCAATGATGTTGATCACCTTTTTTTTGGAGATGGGGTCTTGCTCTGTTGCCCAGGATGGAGTACAGTGGCACAATCATGGCTCACTGCAGCCTTGACCTCCCAGGTTCAAGTGATCCTCCCACCTCAGCTTCCCAAGTAGCTGGGACCACAGGAGCACACCACCACATCAGGCTAATTTTTAAATTATTATATTTGTAGAGACAAGGTCTCACTGTGTTGTCCAGGCTGGTCTGAAACTCCTAGGCTCAAGTGATCCTCCCGCCTTGGCCTCCCAAAGTGCTGGGATTACAAGCAAGAGCTCAGCCCAAGCACCTTTTTATATGCCTGTTTGCCATTTGTATGTCTTCTTTTGAGAAAAGAAGACATACAAATTCAAATCCTTCACCCATTTTTTGATCAGATTATTGTTTTTTCTCTTATAGAGTTGTCTGAGCTCCTTATACATTCTGGTTATTAAACCCTTGTCAGAAGGGTAAATTTGCAAATATTTTCTCCCATTCTGTGGGCTGTCACCTCACTTTGTTGATTGTTTCCTTTGCTGTGCAGAAGTTCTTTAACTTGATGTGATCCTATTTGTCCATTTTTGCTTTGGTTGCCTGTGTTTGTAGGGTACTACTCAAGAATATTTTGCGCAGACCAATGTCCTGGGGATTTTCTCCAATGTTTTTGTAGTAGTTTTATAGATTGAGGTCACAGGCTTAAGTCTTTAATCTATTCTTTTTTGATTTTTTATATATGGTGAGAGATAGGGGTTTAGTTTCATTCTTCTGCATATGGATATCCAGTTTTCCCAGCATCCTTTATTGAAGAAACTTTTTCCCAGTGTATGTTCTTAGCACCTCTGTCGAAAATGAGTTCACTATATATATGTGGATTTGTTTCTGGGATCTCCATTTTGTTTAATTAATCTATGTGTCTGTCTTTATGCCAGAACCATGCTGCTTTGGTTACCATAGCTCTGTAGCATAATTTGAAGTCAGGCAATATGATTCCTTCAGTTTTGTCCTTTTTGCTTAGGGCAGCTTTGGCTCTTCTGGGTCTTTTGAGGTTTTTATATAGATTTTATGATTTTTTTTTATATTTCTGTGAAGAATATCATTGGTATTTTGGCAGGGATTGCATTGAATCTGTAGATTACTTTGGGTAGTATGGACATTTTAAAAACATTGATTCTTCCAATCCATGAACATGGAACACCTTTCTATTTTTTTTTTTTTTGGTGTCCTTTTTTGATGTGGGCACTTATAGCTATAAACCTCCTTCTTTGTAATGCTTTCACTGTATTCCATATGTTTTGATATGTTAGGTTTTCATTATCACTTGTTTCAAGAAAATTTTCAATTTTTTTCTTAATTTCTTCATTGACTCACTGGTCATTCAGGAGCATATTGTTTAATTTCCATGTATTCGTATAGTTTCCAAAATTCCTCTAGTTACTGATTTCTAGTTTTTTTTTTCCACTGTGGTCAGAGATGATGCTTGATATTATTTCAATTTTTTGAATATTTTAAGGCTTATTTTGTGACCTAAATATGGTCTATCCTTGAAAATGGTCCATATGCTGAGGAGAATAATGCATATTCTGCAGCTGTTGGATGAAATGTTCTGTAAATATCTATTAGATACATTTGGTCTACAGTGCAGTTTAAGTCTGATGTTTCTTTGCTGATTTTCTGTCTGGAAGATCTGTCCAATGCTGAAAATGGGGTGTTGAAGACTCTAGCTATTATTGTATTGGAATCTATCTGGTTTTTTTTAGCTCTAATAATGTTTACTTTACATATCTAGGTTCTACAGTGTTGGGTGCATATATATTTAAGACTGTTATATCTTCTTGCTGAACTGACCCCTTTATCATTATATAGTGACCTTTTTTGTCTCTTCTTATAGTTTTTGCCTTGAAATCTATTTTGTCTGATATAAGTATAGTGACTCTGGCTCTTTTTTGGTTTCTATTGGCATGAAATATCTTTTTCCATCTCTTTTTTTCAGTCTATGTTTGTCTTTATAGGTGAAGTATGTTTTTCGTAGTCAACAGATCATTGGGTCTTTTTTTTTAAATCCATTCAGTCATTCTATATCTTTTGATTGGAGAGTTTAGTCCACTTACATTCAATGTTATTATTGATAAGTAAGAACTTATCCTCCTGCCTCAGTCTCCCCAAATGCTGGTATTACAGGTGTGAGCCACTGCTCAGACCTCACTTTTTTTGAAGCAGACTCTTGCTCTGTCGCCCAGGCTGGAGTGCAGTGGCATGATCTCAGCTCACTACGACCTCTGCCACCCTAGGCTCAAGTGATTCTCCTGCCTCAGCCCCCTGAGTAGCTGGGACAACAGGCGCACACCATCACACCCGGCTAATTTTTTGTATTTTTAGTAGAGATGGGTTTTCACCATGTTGGCCAGGCTAATCTCAAACTGCTGACCTCAGGTGATCTGGCCGCCTTGGCCTCCCAAAGTGCTGGGATTACAGGCATGAACCACGGTGCCCAGCCTGGTCCATCCTTTCATGGAAGAATCCTGGCATTAAATGAGAAAATGTTTTAAGTTCTACCTTTCTACTGATTCCTGGCCCCAAGTAGGTGTTTATATCTAACTTCCTAGGCTAGGGAGACAAGTATCCTTCTCCAGGGCAGTTTAATCCAAATGTTTACCTCTGGCTTTCAGTGTAGTATTCATTTTTGGTTCCTGGGGATTTTCTTTTAGTTCTTGCAGAAGCTCAGCTATGTCTTTAAAAAACTAGTTATATTTCATCTAGAATTGTCCTCATGTTTTACAGCAGAAGAGTTTTTATATTATCTAATCCAGCATAATGCCAGAAACTGAAGTTGTAGAAGTCTACTTATATACCTTAAGTCAAGCTATTTCCTGTCAAAGTGTTAAAATTTCAGCACATAGTCAGTGATTTAAGAAGTACATATGTAAAATTAAGAGATTTTATGTTTTTCATATTTAGTAAATACTATTTACTTCTTAGTAACTTAGATACAACTGGAATTGCCAAGGATAGGTCAGAGAATAACTAGAAAACCAGTCCACCTCTAAAATCAGCTTAAGAATAAGGGGTAGAGGCATCAAATAATAAAGGTTTACACTACTCAGTAAATTTCTTATATCTTATGTGTTTTTCTAATTTAATAATACAGTACTCATCATAACCATATGTGGAAAGGCTATTAATCCACAGATAAGAAAACAGAAACAGAGAAGTAATTTGTTTACACTGGGAAATGGTAGAGCTGGAATTTGAACTAGGGTAGCTCTAGAGCCTCACTTTGCGTTTTTTTTTTTTTTTTTTTTTTTTTTTTTGAGACAGAGTCTCCCTGTGTTGCCCAGGCTAGAGTGCAGTGGCGTGATCTCAGCTCACTGCAACCTCTGCCTCCCAGGTTCAAGTGATTCTCCTGCCTCAGCCTCCCAAGTAGCTGGGACTACAGGTGCCCTCCAACACACCCAGCTAATTTTTTTTTGTGTGTGTATTTTTAGTAGAGACGGGGTTTCACTATGTTGGCCAGGCTGATCTTGAACTCCTGACCTCGTGATCCACCCACTCGGTCTCCCAAAGGGCTGGGATTACAGGCATGAGCCACCATGCCCATCCAGAGCTCCATTTTTGATCACTTCACTGAACTGTATCCCACACAAAGATTTATCAAAATTGAGAATGCAATAGGATTTGTAATATTTTCATGTGGAGTCCATTAAAAATGAAAACAAATAAGTTATTCAAGATCCACAAATTAAAACTCTGTAAAGAAACAAAATTGAAACTATTTCTATATACATTGAAATTTGGCAAAACTGGTTTAAAACCAGACGCAAGTCTATTTTAAAATAATTTTCAATTAAGCAATTTCAGACTCTGAAGACATTTGAAAAACTTCCTAGAGAATACATTATGGTTGATTCCCCAAACATCCATTCTATATCAGTGCTTAACATTAGCCAACCAGCAAACAGAATCTTCTAGAGACTGTTCTAAGGATGTCTTCAGTCTTCCAATCAGATTGAAGGGAAGGACTTACATTCCAGAGTTAGGGAAGTTCTCCCTCTCCTATAAAAGGTTAACAGGAAAATAAATCATTCTGATTGCCTCTGGTGGTCATGAGAGGAATCAACCTTACTAGAACACACTAACTTTAGGATGAAGCCAATATTCAAAGTTGCAGAGTGGAGGGACAGGAAAAATCTAGATACATGAGAACATCGTTGTGTTGTTAAACACACTGTGTCTGGAGCAGGTTTATACTTTCATCTGTGAGAAAAAACGATTTCTTGTTCTTTAAGTCACTATGAGTTGGAGTTTTTTTGTTTTAACTTATAGACAAAAGCATTTGTTCTAACACATTAACCTCTGCTTAATTTCTCCTCAGGTCAATGGGAACTAATTTTTTTCCAAGGAGAATTTTCATTTTCAGTAGAAACAATTTTCAAATGTCTGCCAAAAACAACTTTTTTTTTTTTTTTTTTTTTGAGATGGAGTTTCGCTCTTGTTGCCCAGGCTGGAGTGCAATGGCATTATCTTGGCTCACTGTAACCTCTGTCTCCCGGTTCAAGCGATTCTCCTGCCTCAGCCCCCTGAATAGCTGAAATTACAGGCGCCAGCCACCACCCCTGGCTAATTTTTTGTATTTTTAGTAGAGATAGGGTTTTACCATGATGGCTAGGCTGGTCTCAAACTCCTAACCTCAGGTGATCCACCCGCCTTGGCCTCCCAAAGTACTGGGATTACATGCATGAGCCACTGTGCCCGGCTGCCAAAAACAACTTTTTTTTTTTTTTTTTTTGAGACAGAGTCTTGCTCTATCGCCTATGCTGGAGTGCAGTGGCGCTATCTCGACACATCGCAACCTTTGCTTCCTGAGTTCAAGTGATTCTCCTGCCTCAGCCTCCTGAGTAGCTGGGATTACAGGCACATGCCACCATGCCCGGCTAATTTTTTATATTTTTAGTGGAGATGGGGTTTCACTATGTTGGTCAGGCTGGTCTCGAACCCCTGACCTCAGGTGATCCACCCGCCTCAGCCTCCCAAAGTGCTGAGATTGCAAGCGTGAGCCACCGCGCCCGGCCAAAAACAACTTCTAATAGATCTTCAAAAACCAGGTGAGAAGGAATAGAGGAAGGAGAAAGAGTGCTTAGTATTACTACTGACAAACTCACTTCTCCTCATATTTTGGTGGCCTAAGATTACAGTGAAAGGTAAATTTTTTGTTTATAGTTGTAGAAAATGACAAGCTTTACATAACATTCTTTACGTTCTTTTTAAATTTTTCATCTAAGGTAAAAAGATACAGCTGCTTTAAGCCAGAATAAATGACTGAAACAGACTACATATTGATATTCTCTCTCTGTTTATGAATACACATACAGGCATACCTTGGAAAAATTGTGGATTTGGTTCAGGACCACAGCAGTAAGGCAAATATTGAGTCACATAAATGTTTTGGTTTCCCAGTGCATATTAAAGTTATGTTTACACTATACTGTAGTCTATTGAGTGTGCAATAGCCTTATGTCTAAAAAAATCAACATATCTTAATTTGAAAACACTTTATTGCTAAAAAATGCTAACAATCATGTAAGCCTCCAGCAAGTAGTAATCTTTTTGCTGGTGGGGTCTTGTCTTGATGATGGAGCTGACTCATCAGGGTAGTGGTTGCTGAAGGTTGAAGTGGCTGTGGGAATTTCTTAAAATAAGACAACAATGAGGTTTGCCACATTGATAGACTCTTCCTTTCCCAAAAGATTTCTCTATAGCATGAGATGCTGTTTGATAGCATTTTACTCACAATTGAACTTTTCAGAACTGGAGTCAATCCTCTCAAACCTTGTCACTGCTTTATTTATGTAACACTCTAAATGTTTTGTTGTTATTTCAACAATATTTACAGCATCATAACCAGGAGTAGATTTCATCCAAGAAACCACATTCTTTTCTCATCTTTAAGAAGCAACTCATCATCTGTTTTATCACAAGATTGCAGCAATTCAGTTGCATATTCAGGCTCCACTTCTAATTTTAGTTCTCTTGCTATTTGTACCACATCTGCAGTGACTTCCTCCACTAAAGTCTTGAACTCCTGAAAGTCATTCATAAGGGTTGGAATCAACTTATTCTAAACTCCTGTTAATGTTGATATTTTTGTTTGTTTGTTAATTTTTTTTTTTTTAGACGGAGTCTTGCTCTGTCACCCAGGCTGGACTGCAATGGTGCGATCTTGGCTCACGGCAACCTCTGCCTCCCAGGTTCAAGCGATTCTCCTGCCTTAGCCTCCTGAGTAGCTGGGATTACAGGTGCCCACCACCACGCCCAGCTAATTTTTGTATTTTCAGTAGAGACAGGGTTTCACCATATTGATCAGGCTGGTCTTAAACTCCTGACCTCAAGCAATCCACCCACCTTGGCCTCCCAAAGTGCTGGGATTACAAGCATGAGCCACCACGCCCGGCCTTTTTGTTTGTTTTTTTTGAGACAGAGTCTCGTTCTGCTGCCCTGTCTGGAGTGCGATAGCATGATCTTGGCTCATTGCAACCTCCAACTCCTGGGTTCAAGCAATTCTCCTGCCTCAGCCTCCTAAGTAGCTGGGATTACAGATTCCCCCCACCACACCCAGCTAATTTTTGTATTTGTGGTAGAGACGGGGTTTCACCATGTTGGCCAGGCTGGTCTTGAACTCCTGATCTCAAGTGATCCACCTGCCTCCGGCCTCCCAAAGTGCTGGGATTACAGGCATGAGCTACCGTGCCCAGCCAATGTTGGTAGAGACACAGTCTAACTATGTTGCCCAGGCTGATCTCAAACCTCTAGCCTCTAGCAATTCTTCTGCCTTGGCCTCCCAAAGTGTTGAGATTATAGGTGTGAGCCACTATGCCTGGCCATATTTCTTGAATAATAAGACTTGAAAGTCAAAATTACGCCTTGATGCATGTGCTGCAGAAAGATGTGTTAGCAGGCACGAAAACATTAATTTCCTTGTACATGTCCATCGGAGCTACTGGGTGACTAGGTGGACTGTGAATGAGCAGTAACATTTTGAAAGGAATCTTCTTTTTTTGAGTGTTAGGTCTCAGTAGTGGGCTTAAAATATTCAGTATACTATGCTATAAATAGATGTGCTGTCATCCATTGATTGTAAATGAGCACTGGCTTCTACTTAAAGTTACCAGCTGCATTATCCCCTAACAAGACAGTCCGTCCCTTGAAGCCAGGCAGTGAGGTGATTTCTCCTATCTCTAGCTATGAAAATTTTAGATGGTATCTTCTTCCAGCAGAAAGCTGTTTCATCTACATTGAAAATCTGTTGTTTAGTATAACCACCTTCACTGAAGATAAATGTCTTAGCTAGATCTTCTGGATAACTTGCTGCAGCTTCTCCATCAGTACTTGCTGCTTCACCTTGCACCTTTATGTTATGAAGGTGGCTTCTTTCCTTAAACCTCATGAACCAACCTCTGTTAGCTCCAGCCTTTTCTTCTTCCGCTTCCTCACCCCTCTCAGCCTTCACAGAATTGAAGAAAGTTAGGACTTTGCTCTGGATTAGGCTTTGGCTTAGAGGAATGTTGTGGCTGGTTTGATCTTCCAGCCAGGCCACTAAAACCTCCATATCAGTAACAAGACTGGTTTTTTTTTTTTTTTTCAGATGGCGTCTCACTCTGTTGCCCAGGCTGGAGTGCAGTGGTGCCATCTCAGCTCACTGCAACCTCCGCCTCTCAGGTTCAAGCGATTCTCCTGCCTCAGCCTGCCGAGTAGCTGGGATTACAGGTGCGTGCCACCACACGTGGCTAAATTTTGTATTTTTAGTAGAGACAGGTTTTGCCATGTTGGCCAGGTGCGTGCCACCACGCCTGGCCTGGCTGTTTCAGTTTCTTATCATTCACGTGTTCCCTTGCAGTAGCACTTTAAATTTCTTTAAGTACTTTTAATTTTCTTAAGTACTTTTCCTTTGCATTCACAATTTGAATAACTTGCACAAGAGGCCTAGCTTTCCACCTGTCTTGGCTTTTGACTGCCTTCCTCACTAAGCTTAACAATTCTAGTTTTTTTATTTAAAACTCATGTGACAGACATGAGACTCTTCCTTTCACTTGAACACTTAGAGGCCCTTATCGGGTTATTAATTGGCCTATTTTCAATATTGTTATGCCTCAGGCAATAGGAGGCCTGAGGAGAGGGAGAGACACAGGTAAATAGCTGGTCAGTGGAGCAGTCAGAACACATGCAACATTTATTGATTAAGTTCACTCAGTGTTTTTTATATGGATGCAGTTCATGGCACTCCAAAACAATTAGCACAGTAATATCAAAGATCATTGATCACAGATCACCGTTATATAATAATTACATTGTCACTATATTACACATATAATAATAATAATGAAAAAGTCTGAAATATTCTGAGAGTTATCAAAAATGTGACAGAGACACAAAGTAAGCACATGCTGTTGGACAAATGGAATTGACAGACTTGCTCAACACAGGGTTGCCACAAACCTGCAATCTGTAAAACACCATTTAACGAGCACTTACTATAAAAGGATACTACCATCTCACACCATTTCATTTACTTATCACAACGGCCCTTTGATGAAGGTATCGTTAGACTCATTTTATAGGGAAGAAAACTGAAAGCTGAAGATGAGAGCAATTTGCTCAAGGTCATGTTGTTAAACAAATGTATCTGCTGGAACTTAATCCTAGTCTACCAACTCCAAAGCATGTGTTCTATTCCCTACATAGCCTATCCTAAAGTATCATGTGGAAGACAGTATAACACTGCTGTCAGTAAGCATACCATTCTATCACTCAAAAGCAAAAATATGCATATAACTCTGTGTGTGTGTGTGTGTGTGTGTGTGTGTGTGTGTCTATTTTTATATGCATAGGTATATTATGGAGCAGAAGAGGCAAACTCTGGCCTCAGTGGTTTCTGTGCCCTTGTGGTGTTGCTGCATCTGTCCCTGGGCTCTTAGCAGCAGGGGTGACAAAAACCTGGATAATACCCATTTCCACACTCTGTGCTCAGCACTCTGTAATTTATGTGGGGCTCTGCAGGGGCAAGCTCCACTGTCTTGTCCCCATTTCTCTTATTTATTGAAACTTTGCTGCTGTCTTATCCTCATATCCCATCTGTTAGTTGAATAATAAAGGGTAGGAAATTGATGTCAAAGCAACCATGATGACAAAAACAAAAACAGAAACAAACAAACAAAAAACCCCAGTGCTCCAGATGGCACTAATTTTAACACTACTTGAAATATTTTCCTTAAAACCAAAGAAAAGATATATGTAAAACAATCTTCAAAATAATTTTTTTTGAGATGGAGTCTTGGTCTGTTGCCCAGATCACTGGCATAATCTCAGCTCACTGCAACTTCCGCCTCCCGGGTTGAAGTGATTCTCCTGCCTCAGCCTTCCAAGCAGCTGGGATCACAGGCGTCTGCCACCACGCCCAGCTATTTTTTTTGTATTTTTAGTAGAGACGGGGTTTCACTATGTTGGCCAGGCTAGTCTTGAACTCCTGACCTCAAGTGATCCATCCGCCTCAGCCTCCCAGAGTGCTGGGATTACAGGTGTGAGCCACCGCATCTGGCAACAATCCTTTTTTTTTTTTTAATTTAATTTTTAATTTTTTTTTTTCATAGAGATGGGGGTCTTGTTACCTTGCCAAGGCTGGTCTTGAACTCCTGACCTCAAGTGATCCTCCCACCTCAGTCTCTCGAGTAGCTGGGATTACAGGCGTACACTGCCATATTTGAGTATAAAACAATCCTTTAAGTATATTTCTTATATAGTTTCCCAAATTTTGAGTGCTTTTTTACAATCTCAGCTAAAGAGAGCTAGCTGGCAAACTATGTTGTACAGTTGGTTCTACCTAATGAACAATAGTGAACTACATTTCAAATGCTCTTTAGCCAGTGGGTCCTCTATCACAATATCCTGAACATTTTATTTTGTAGTCCAGCAGTTTTAACCCATAACGGCTGACAGACGTTATACATATAATAACATGAGACTTGCCACAAAGAAATATGGAAAGGTTATCGTGCTACGTATTAAAGTTTAAGTCTCACAAGACGCTCAAGGCACTTTCAAATGTAAAGTAATGGAAATACATAAAAATCAGTAGACAGGACGACTGCGGTGGCTCACAGTTGTAATCCCAGCACTGGAGGCCAAGGCGGGCTGATCGCTTGATTCTAGGAGTTAGAGGCCAGCCTGGGCAATGTGGTGAAATCCCGTCTCTATTTAAAAAAAAAAAAAAAACACAAAAAACAAACAAAAAACCGGTAGACGGTCAGAAATGAGTGGAGGTTATTTGACATTAATGAAGGATAACATTATATCGGAAGCCTAGAGGCCAACAACTTTTTAACTTTTGTCAAAATACTTTATACTACAGATACTTTTTCCTCTTTGGTTAATGACTTACCTTCAAAGGTTGATTTCTTCTTATTATAGCAAGTTCAATGTTTTTTCCACCAGACTGGACAACCTAATGTAGAACAAGTACACTATTAGAATTATTTCAGCAAATTTTGTGTTTAATAAACAAAAATGGATGAGGAAAAAAAATTCATGATTTCCTGAATATGCTTTATTAGATCACTTACTTCTAGCAAAGCTTTTATTGCTAACTTGATAGCTTCACTGTCACTTGCTATGGCATCTTCTGTGTAATTCTTTTCTAGAAATTCTCGAACAGTTTTAGCACTTCGGCCTATTGCATTTGCCTTGAAAAATAAAAGTTAATTTATTAATATCATTGCAGTAGGAATGAATTTATGGTTACTAAGTAAAGTTTAGAGGTTTGGAGTTTACTCCAGTATACCTTAATAAAATTACCAAATGAAAATTACAGATTTGAAAACATAGCAAACATTTCAGTAGCTCATTTGGTTACTATCAGAATAGTCTGTAATGGTGGCATGGTTTTTATTTTCCTTTTTTTGTTTGTTTTAGAGATGGGATCTCACTCTGTTGCCCAGGCTGGAGTGCAGTAGTGGCACAATTATAGCTCACTGCAGCTTTGATCTTCTGGGCTTAAGTGATTTTCCCACCTGAACCTCCTGAGTAGCTGGGACTACAGGTATGCATCACCACACTCAGCTGATTATTTTTTTGGTAGTCTTGCTATGTTGCCCAGGCTGTTCTCAAACTCCTGGCCTCAAGTGAGCCTCCTGTCTCAGCCTCTCAAAGTGTTGGGATTACAGGCGTGAGCCACAACATCTGGCCAACTTTTTCTTTTAAATATACCAATGCTTTGTCCTGGCTAACACTTTCTATTAATATAATGTCTCCCAAATCCTTGATAACCAGAAATTATTTTATTTATATATTCTTTTGAAACAGGGTCTCACTTTGTGGCCCAGGCTGGAGTGCAGTGGTATGATCACTGCTCACTGTAGCCTTGGCCTTCTGGGCTCAAGGTATCTTCCTACCTCAGACTCCCAAGTAGCTGGGACTATTGGTACGTGGCACCACACTTGGCTAATTTAAAAAAGAATTTTTTTTAGAGATAGGGTCTTGCTATGTTGCCCAGGTGGGTCTCGAACTCCTGGACTCATGTGATCCTCCCAGCTTGGCCTCCCAAAGTGCTGAGATTACAGGCATGAGCCACTGTGACTGGCTCAGAAAAGATTTTAAAAAGCTGAAACTTGAAAAGATGTGGAGAGGCAAGGAGCTATAACTTTACAATATGGCACAAAAAGAAGAAAGCAAAGAGAGGGGAAAAAAATGACATCAACATGAAGAAAGCTATTTACCTAAGTTGGGCTGAGCACTATTTTTGTAGATTTTAGAATAAGTATAGTGGTAACCTAATTGATTTGTTATCATCTTTGACTCTTAAGCAAGAAGGGCTTCTATTCCTTTCCTCTTTTCTTTGTTCTTTACACATTTTCATCAGATGAAGGAAAAATGCAAATGGATTTTCCTGGCTGCATGGCTATGGGTAGAAGGCAGCATATTCTTTTAATTCAGCCTAAATATCCAGATTAGTACTCCTGATGGTAATAAGATTTTAAATTTTATATTAACAGAACACTTATGTGTCAGGCACTAGGTTAGGCATTTTACATGGATTATCTCATCTAACCATCACAAAAATGATTAAATAGGTACTGTTACTAACCCCAATTCTTGGATGTAGAAATGGAGGTTTGGAAAGGTTAAAATAGGCTTTCTCAATATCATCACTGTTCACATTTTGGGCCAGCTAATCCTCTGTTGTGAGGGCTGTCCTGTGTATTGTGGGATTTTTAGCTGCCTCCACAAACTAAATGCCAGCAGCAACTCCCACCCCAGTTGTGACAACCAAACATATCTCTTGTCAAAGACATTGTCAAATGTCTTTTAGGTGGGACAAAATCAGCTGTTGGTGAATTACTGACTCAAGTAATCTTGGCCAAGATCATGCAGAGAGTAAGCAGAAGAGCTAAGCTTTGAAACCGTGGTCTGAATCAACAAGCCAAGCTTTTAACTTGATACACTATGCTGCCACATGCCCCTTTCCTAGGATGATTACAGAGTAAAAAGAACAAACACAAAGGTCTATCCTTTCACTGGCATTAAATGGGGGAATGTCTCAGTTATAACTGTTTAGTATTATTATTATTATTATTTTCTTTTTTGAGACTGTCTCACTCTGTCGCCCAGGCTGGAGTGCAATGGCGTGATTTCGTTTCACTGCAACCTCTGCCTCCTGGGCTCAGGCAATTCTCCTGCCTCAGCCTCCCGAGTAGCTGGGATTATAGGTGTCTGCCACCATGCCCAGCTAATATTTTTATTTTTAGTAGAGATGGGGTTTCACCCTGTTGGCCAGGCTGGTCTCAAACTCCCGACTTCAGGTGATCTGCCTGCCTCAGCCTCCCAAAGTGCTGAGATTACAGGTGTGAGCCACTGTGCCTGGCCAACTGTTTAGTATTATGATTATGGGAAAGAGATCTCAAAGGAGATTTTAGGACATAAACATGAAAACACACCATTTATATTACATTATATAACAATATACTATTCTGGTTAGCAAAAGATTATTTTTACTTTATATAATTTTTCTATGCCATTATATTTCAGAGGATTAATATAAGTAGCTGTTGAAACTTCTAAATTAAATTTTGTGGCCTTGAAATTTCACCAAGATCAAAGGTAAAGCCTTCAGCCTGGCATGACTTTGAAATCTATTTGCTACTAGGTTTGTTTGTTTGTTTTTTGGTAACTAGTTGCTACCCAGAGAGGAAGTACATAGTTAGTGGCTTCAGGTAGTGGTTTATCCAAAAACTTCACTGGGCCTTTAAAGTCACCCTGCACATTTCTGGTGACTTTCCTATCCACTTCTTCCAATTCTTAATGTCAAAATCTTTAACTCTTACCCACCTGACTTGTTTTCTAAAATCTATCCTGTTCTTGCCACACTCAGATCCCCACCCTCCCTTGCCCCATCACCCACCCCAGTCCACTTCAATAATGACTGGTAGTTTTGCAATGCTTTTCCTACCTGCCTCCTCAGATTAATGATGATTTTCTGCAGCAAAGACTATTAGCTGACAACCCTAATATCCATTCTTCCTTTGTGACAGAACTCTAGGCAATGTGACTACTGAAAAATGTCACTTCCTAGCTTCTCTTACAAATAGGTATACACAGGTGGAAGTCACTGGGTGAAGCTCCTAGGAACCTTTACTGCCTAGAATGCAGACATATTGGCTAGAGGTCTAGCAGCTATCTTGAGAGCATGGAAAAAGACTAAGACTAAAAGAGACAAATACCAGCATCTGCCTACTTTCAGACTTTTCATTATGTGAGAAAAATCAATCTTAAGTGTTAAGCATCATCAGGTCTTTGTTGTTAGGAGATAAAAACAATCTCACTTGACAGACCTCGGAAGTGCATCCTGTGACATACTGCCCCATACACCTCCAGAAACAAAAACCTTATTCCTGTGGCTACTGGAAGTGGTAATGGCAGACAGCCCTCAGCTCTTAACTCCCTTGGGAAGGTTCCCTGGTTAACAAGAGCTCCCTCAGGTAAGGTCATGTGCTCTTCCAGGGCCAGCCTACACTGACTCAGTGACGAAGAGTATCAATGTGCAGTCCCTTCACCCCAAGTTAGAACAGCTCTGATGAGCCACTACAGATCCAGAGCACTCCATGGTGTCAACTGAAGCCTTTATTGCGACTACAATGCAGCCCAATGTCTCCCTCTGCCCCATCCTGATCCCTTCCCTTCAACAAATGCTGATACCAATGGCACTTCCTAATATCTTATAAAATAATAATCTTCCCATGAGGCTATGTGACCCTAAGGAAGGACAAGGTCTCTGCTAACAAGTGCAAAGCAGCTTTTCTCATCTGAAGGCTTGCTAACTTCCAGAGTAAATCTTCAATGAGCTCTCCCACACTAAGAAAAAGAGATGTGGAAATGAGCAAAAAACTCTACTCACAATAAATAAATCACAATTTCCATTATTTTGAAGTATAAACAACAGAAGGCAAAACTGGTCAAGTGTTGTCAGAAACAATAAATTGGAGGATTATATTAAACAGCTTTTAAAGTCTTTTCAGCCCTGAGGTTCTTAGTTTTTATGGCAGCATTTTCCAAAGTGAATCCCACAAAACATCAGAGTAGAGAAAGGATTTATGATCAAAGGGCTCTACGTTCAAGTAATCTTGGGGACTACTATTTTACCTGCTTCTAGAAGATTTAAATGCTTTTTAGCAGATCCAGATGTACTTTGGTAACAAAACTTACTAAATTTCTTTAAATAGCTAACAAAATTACTTAGCTAGAGAGCTTGTTTACCTAATACCTGTTAACATGAAAAGAAATGCATTTTGAGAAACATTGCTCAGAAGTATACGACGTAGTTAACATTCTTACCATTTTGAAACATTATGGCCCATACTGACAAGAGCAAAACATGCCCCTTAATCATTAACATCATTAATCAGGGTGGGGCTTAAGTCTATGCAGGTGGGTCTCCTTAAAATAGTATAGAATAGCTTTTAAATTAAGTAACCACTTCAATGCACAGCATATTAGATGCCAGTTTTCATCAATGTTCTTTATGAGCTAATTTTATTTAAAAACTTTAAAAATGCAAGCTTTTCAAGAAATACACAGTAAACTGAAACAAAGTTTTGAATATAAAATTTGAGTGCTAATGGCCAGACTGGCATTCCTACAAATCTACAAGCTATATTGTAAGTGAAAGGAAGAATATTTTAAAAAATGTGTACAACTTCTTAGATACACACTTAAATACCAATATCTTAGAACTAATAAGCAAGAACATATTCAATTCCTGCCACTAAATGTCTATAAAATATTATTTTGAAAAATCAGTAAAATACGATTATAGTCAAAGTAGGCATTTAGAAGCATCATTTCATGATCCGAATGCTATAAATATTACGTTTTCACTCTAAAATATAGGATTAGTGTTTGCTGTAAAATGAAACTTGAATGCTTAAAACACAAACTTCCCTTACTAAATTGTCAACAGAAGAAATGAAACAATTTTAAAAAGCTGTAAGAATTACTAATGCTTCAAAAGTTCAAAGGGAGAGAATATTTCTAGCTGAGAATCAAGTAGACAGCATTATGTTATTATCTAGTATTCATTTATTTGTTAAATAACGTATGACCACCTTGTATATAAGGTTCAATTCTAAGCACTAGTGTGTCAACAGTATAAAAAGTAGACAAAAGGCCGGGCGTGATGGCTCACACTTGTAATCCCAGCACTTTGGGAGGCCGAGGCAGGTGGATCACCTGAGGTCAGGAGTTTGAGACCAGCCTGACCAACATGAAGAAACCCCATCTCTACTAAAAATACAAAATTAGCCAGGCGTGGTGGCACATGCCTGTAATCCCAGCTACTTGGGAGGCTGAGGCAGGAGAATCGCTTGAACCTGGGGGGTGGAGGTTGCAGTGAGCCCAGATCGTGCCATTGCACTCCAGCCCGGGCAACAAGAGCAAAACTCCATCTCAAAAAAAAAAAAAAGTAGACAAAAATCCCTGCACTCATAGACCTTAAAGCTTAGTGGGGGAGAGATAGATAATAAACAAGGTAAACAAGGAAATATGTAAAATAAACAGTACATTAGTTGTTATGAGAGAAGTAAAGCCAGGATAGGAAATAAAGAGCATTGAGAATGGGCTACAGTGCTAGAAAGGCCAGTTAGGAGGGGCTTCACTCAGAGGGTGAGGATGGTAGCCATGCAGATATCATGCAAGCTCTGGGCAGAGGAAACAATAAGGAAGAACAAAAGTTAAAAGCCCTGAGGAAAGTACACATCTGGCCTCTGAAGAACAGTAAAGAGGCCAGTGTGGCTGAGTAGGAAAGCAACGGAGGAGTTAATAAGCTTCGGGTTGGAGAGTTGAGGTGGGGGCCAGATAAGGTTAGACCACTGTAAGGGCTTTGGTTTTTACTCTGACTTACTTGGGAGGCAAGAGGGGATTTTGAACAGAGAGGTGACCTGATCTGACTTAAATTTTAACAGAATCACACTGTTCACAATTAGAGTGCACATTCTTTCTGGGTGTGCCAAGAACGCATGGCCTTGACCACTCTTGATGGGGCTATTCCTCAGGACTGTATTAGTGGCCAACAACCCTGAGGAATAAGGTCACGTCTTTCTGCAGAAAAAGAAGAAGCTTGTTCACTGCCTATTACAAAAGTGGTAGATTCCCCAAGTTCAGGGTTTCTTAGCTATTATTAAGAAGACCCATCATATCCACCTGCTTCCTCTGTGCCACCAATGGCACTTGGCAGGCATAAGGAACTGGCACCATCACGAAATGCATGCTGTTTGCTGCAAAATGAGGTGGTAGTTGGAAGCAATGTGTGACCAACAGAGGCTTTTCTTTTTTTTTTAAGAGAATGTAACTGTACTTTTTAAATTGATTTATTATTAAATAATAATGGATTGGATACCCCAAGTGGCATATGGCTTCTCAACTGGTCTCTAAGACCAATTACTTCCATATGCAGCTTAACCCTGTGCTCAGGAAACCTCCTCTATAAGGTTTGTATCACATTGCTACATACCTATAAACCAATGCTATATATAGTCTAGGGGTCAGAAAATTATAGCCTGCAAGTCAGTTCCCTGTTTTTGTAAACAAAGAATTATTGGTACATCACTATGCCCATTTATTTATGTAAATCTATTTCCAGTCTATTTCTAGTTTATGCTACTATGGTAAAGTTTAGTAGTTGCAACAGAGACTGCAATGCCTACATGGCTAAAATATTTACCATCTGGCCCTATAAGAAGTTTTCTGTTCCCTGCTACAGATCAGCAATTTATACTCTTAAAAATTATTGGGAACTCCAAAGTGCTTTTGTTTGTGTTATACTTTTTGGTATTTACTGTATTATTGTTGAGAGATATCATGTGCCTTGGGCTGTCAGACAAGGCTCTGTTTTTCAGGGTTGTCTATGCAGCTGGTAATCTTGAGATAAAGATGTCATTCCTCAGATAAAGGGCAGGCTACCTTATTGCTTGCTATAAAACAAGGAGACTCTCCATGCTTGGTGTTCCTTAGCTGTGAAGCAAACCAACTTTGTTCACAGCATTCAACCAGGCCATATTACATCAACTCTGTGGGTCTTGAGGATAAAGGGAATCTATGCAAATATGCTGATACTCATGCTGTTTGATGTGCCATGAGTAATAAAGTCTTTGTTTCTGACCCAGAGGGTCTTGTGTCTTCTGCCAGTATCCATGAAACAGCAACAGGCTAATTTTATTAGTATGTAAGTAGTGTAAAATCAAATTCCAGACCCAATAATGAGAAACTGAAACTAAGACTTTTTTTTTTTTTGAGACGGAGTCTCACTCTGTTGCCCAGGCTGGAGTGCAGTGGCACGATCTCAGCTCACTACAACCACCACTTTCCAGGTTCAAGCAATTCTCACGCCTCAGCCTCCCAAGTAGCTGGGATTATAGGCATTTGCCACCAAGCCCGGCTAATTTTGGTATTTTTAGTAGAGACGGGGTTTCGCCATGTTGGCCAGGCTGGTCTCAAACTCCTGACTTCAAGTGATCCACCCGCTTCGGCCTCCCAAAGTGCTGGGATTACAGGCGTGAGCCACTGCACCCGGCCGAAACTCAGAAAATTTTTTAAAAATTTAATTCATTTAAAAATAAGCCCATTACACGTTATATTAGTCTGCTTGGTATGTCATAACAAAATACCGACAATTTCGCGCCAAACTTGACCGCGCGTTCTGCTGTAACGAGCGGGCTCGGAGGTCCTCCCGCTGCTGTCATGGTTGGTTCGCTAAACTGCATCGTCGCTGTGTCCCAGAACATGGGCATCGGCAAGAACGGGGACCTGCCCTGGCCACCGCTCAGGAATGAATTCAGATATTTCCAGAGAATGACCACAACCTCTTCAGTAGAAGGTAAACAGAATCTGGTGATTATGGGTAAGAAGACCTGGTTCTCCATTCCTGAGAAGAATCGACCTTTAAAGGGTAGAATTAATTTAGTTCTCAGCAGAGAACTCAAGGAACCTCCACAAGGAGCTCATTTTCTTTCCAGAAGTCTAGATGATGCCTTAAAACTTACTGAACAACCAGAATTAGCAAATAAAGTAGACATGGTCTGGATAGTTGGTGGCAGTTCTGTTTATAAGGAAGCCATGAATCACCCAGGCCATCTTAAACTATTTGTGACAAGGATCATGCAAGACTTTGAAAGTGACACGTTTTTTCCAGAAATTGATTTGGAGAAATATAAACTTCTGCCAGAATACCCAGGTGTTCTCTCTGATGTCCAGGAGGAGAAAGGCATTAAGTACAAATTTGAAGTATATGAGAAGAATGATTAATATGAAGGTGTTTTCTAGTTTAAGTTGTTCCCCCTCCCTCTGAAAAAAGTATGTATTTTTACATTAGAAAAGGTTTTTTGTTGACTTTAGATCTATAATTATTTCTAAGCAACTAGTTTTTATTCCCCACTACTCTTGTCTCTATCAGATACCATTTATGAGACATTCTTGCTATAACTAAGTGCTTCTCCAAGACCCCAACTGAGTCCCCAGCACCTGCTATAGTGAGCTGCCATTCCACACCCATCACATGTGGCACTCTTGCCAGTCCTTGACATTGTCGGGCTTTTCACATGTTGGTAATATTTATTAAAGATGAAGATCCACATACCCTTCAACTGAGCAGTTTCACTAGTGGAAATACCAAAAGATTCCTACGTGTATATCCAGAGGTTTGTAGATAAATGTTGCCACCTTGTTTGTAACAGTGGAAAATTGAAAACAACCTGGAAGTCCAGTGATGGGAAAATGAGTATGTTTCTGTCTTAGATTGGGGAACCCAAAGCAGATTGCAAGACTGAAATTTCAGTGAAAGCAGTGTATTTGCTAGGTCATACCAGAAATCATCAATTGAGGTACGGAGAAACTGAACTGAGAAGGTAAGAAAAGCAATTTAAAGTCAGCGAGCAGGTTCTCATTGATAACAAGCTCCATACTGCTGAGATACAGGGAAATGGAGGGGGGAAAGCTGGAGTATTGATCCCGCCCCCCTCCTTGGTTGTCAGCTCCCTGTCCTGTGTGTGGGCGGAACATAGTCCAGCTGCTCTATAGCAAGTCTCAGGTGTTTGCAGTAAGAAGCTGCTGGCATGCACGGGAACAGTGAATGCCAAACACTTAAAGCAATTCGATGTTTAAGTATGTAAGTTCTTTTTTTTTTAGACAGCGTTTCGCTCTTGTTGCCCAGGCTAGCATGCAATGGTGTGACCTCGGCTTACTGCAACCTCCGCCTTCCCAGATTCAAGCGATTCTCCTGCCTCAGGCTCCCAAGTAGCTGGGACCGGGTGCGCGCCACCACGCCCGGCTAATTTTTGTATTTTGTATTTTTGGTAGAGATGGGGTTTCGCCATGTTGGTCAGGCTAGTCTCGAACTCGTGACCGCAAGCGATTCACCCACCTCAGCCTCCCAAAGTGCTGGGATTACCGGCTTGAGCCACCACACCCGGCACATCTTCATTCTTTTTATGTAGTAAAAAGTATAAGGCCACACATGGTTTATTTGAAGTATTTTACAATTTAAAAAAATACAGAAGCAGGAAAACCAATTATAAGTTCAAGTGAGGGATGATGGTTGCTTGAACCAAAGGGTTGCATGTAGTAAGAAATTGTGATTTAAGATATATTTTAAAGTTATAAGTAGCAGGATATTCTGATGGAGTTTGACTTTGGTTTTGGGCCCACGGAGTTTCAGATGCCTTTGAGAAATGAATGAAGTAGAGAGAAAATAAAAGAAAAACTAGCCAGGCACAGTGGCTCACGCCTGTAATCCCAGCGCTTTGGGAGGCTAAGGCAGGCAGATCACTTGAGACCAGCTTGGGCAACATGGCGAAGCCCCATCTCTACAAAAAACACAGAAATTAGCTGGGCATTGTGGCGCACACCTGTATTCCCATCTACTCAGGAAGCTGAGATGGAAGAATTAATTGAGCCCACGAGTTCAAGGCTGCAGTGAGTCGTGATTGTGCCACTGCACTCCAGCCGGGGTGACAGAAGAGACCTTGTCTCGAAAAGGAATCTGAAAACAATGGAACCATGCCTTCATAATTCTAGAAAGTTATTTTCAACTGATAAATCTATATTCACCCAAATAATCAAGGGTGAAGGTAAAATAATACATTTTTAGACAAGCAAAGACTCAGGGGTTACCTCCATGTGCCCTTTTTAGGGAAGCTGTTGGAGAAAATACTCCAGCAAAATGAAGGAGTACACAAACCAGAGAATGACATGAATCCAGCAAATAGGATCCAACACAGGCAATATTCCAGCTATGGAGCTAGCTTTAAAAAGGAACAGTAAAAATATTAATCGGTTAGCTGGGTGGAATGGCCCATGCCTGTAGTCCCAGCTACTCGGGAGGCTCAGCAGCAGGACGACTTGAGCCCAAGAGTTCCAGACCAGCCTGGCCACCTTAGTGAGATCCCTTCTCTTAAAAATAATAACTTATTGCCAGATTTGGGGCATTTGGAAAGAAGTTCATTGAAGATAAAGCAAAAGTAAAAAAAAAAAAAAAAAAAAAACAAGGGGAAAGGGTTGGTTAGGCAATCATTCTAGGGCAGAAAGAAGTACAGGATAGGAAGAGCATAATACACTGTTTTTCTCAACAAGGAGCAGTATGTACACAGTCATAATGATGTGACTGCTTAGCCCCTAAATATGGTAACTACTCTGGGACAATATGGGAGGAAAAGTGAAGATTGTGATGGTGTAAGAGCTAAATCCTCATCTGTCATATCCAGAAATCACTATATAATACATAATAATGAAATGACTAAGTTATGTGAGGAAAAAAACAGAAGACATTGCTAAAAGAGTTAAAAGTCATTGCTCTGGAGAATTAGGAGGGATGGGGCAGGGGACTGTTAGGATGCATTATAAACTGAAAAGCCTTTTTAAAATTTTATGTATTAATATATGCATTCACTTGAAAAACTAAAAAAAAACAATAATTTGGAAAAACCCATGAAGGTAACTAACGGAAGGAAAAACTAAGAGAATGAAAAGTATTTGCCTCTGGAAAGAACAACTGGCAGGACTGTTGTTTTCATTGTAAGACTTTTGGAGCCATTTAATTGTACTTAACCATTTTCATCTATTTCTTTAATAAGAACAATTCCATCTTAATAAAGAGTTACACTTGTTAATAAAAAAAAAAAAAAAAAATACCACAGACCAGGTGGCATAAACCACAGAAATTTATTTTCTCAAAGTTCTAGAGGCTAAAGTCCAAGCTCAAGGTGCTAGCAATTTTGGTTTGTGGTGAGGGCTCTCTTCCTGGCTTGCAGATGGCTGCTTTCTCATTGTGTCCTCACAAGGCCTTTCTTCTTGTGTGCACACATACATGTTCATGCAAAAGAGAGAGCTCTCTGGTGTCTCTGTCTCTTTTTATAAGGACATCGATCCTATGGAATTAGGGTCCTATCCTTACGACCTCATTTAACTTTAATTATCTCCCTACAGGCCCTATTTTTGGGGGTTAGGGGTTCAATGTATGCATTTTGGGGGACCCAATTCCATCTATAACACATGTTAATATAAACATGTTTTTATGAAATAATTATATTTTCTAAAAGAAAAACTATTTTTTTGAGAAGAGTGGTACAAATATACTTCCTGTCTACAATATATTTGTCTTGCAAATATATTTACTCTCTGGCTTCACAAGAGAAAGCTGAATTCTTTTATCTGTTTTGCATTCAACATATTGCAATATGTTATTATGGCTGAAGTATAACCTTACACAAACATGTAGTTAGAAAAGGGAGGAATATTTTAATGCCCTTCTCAGAAAAGTGTGGCTATTCCACTCAACAGGTGGTAGTTAATTGCAAATTAAAATCTGCAACCACATAAACTTTTTTACTGTTATATTAGTCTCTTGGCTTTTTATACATTAATATTTTAAAATTTCTCAGTTTTAATTTCTAATAGTCAATAGGGATTGGTAAAACCTACACAATGTTTGCTTTGAATAGGTATTTTATTTTGCAAGATTTTGTAATGTCATGCTTGCTCATTTGGAAAACTGGTTTACTGAATTATGCAGATCTTCTAAATGTTGACCCATGTGATTTCTAAAACATTAAATAATCATGCTTATTAATTTTTCGCAAAGAAACTGTCAGGCTCATTGTGGCAAATACATGTTTTCCAAAATTATAATTTTTGCTTGAAAACTTGAATTTTATCACTGGCAACAAATCATTGGAAACAACTGTCAGTTGTTTCCTTAAAGTAACAGGCTCAGTTTGCTCATCCTTGAGAATATGTCCTGCCAAATCTCCAAGTCCTAATAACCATGGTTATTTATTGTTTTGTCAAGTAAAAATGAAGTTCCGTAAAAGATGGGCTGTTTTAGCTTGCAATTCAAACAATCACAAAACTGCTTTTCCTCAAGACATTCACCATACCTGCAGCAAACATGTTTATGAGTACTTCCATTTCATCACACAGAATGTTAAAAAGATGTATACCTGAGTCAAGATTTAATAAAACTAACAATCTTTATGGTTTCATCAAAAAGAACTCATGTTAAAGTCAAATTTATTGAGTTTTTAATTGCAAATGTATGGTGGTAAAGAAAAAAATGAGAGCTAACACAGTTGTGTACCAAGATACCAGCAATTTTATCCATGATCACTTCTATGCCATCAGTGTATGTGTCCATGCAGTGAAAATGGGAAATATTGTCTCAGTATTATTAGGAAAATAGTTTTTACCTAATGGGTCAGGGATTTGCAGATCACATTTTGAAATCTGCCACTTTTTACTGTATATCATATTTGGCCAAATCCTTTAAGCGTATAAAGCCAAGCAACCCATGCACAATAAGGATTCCACACAGACCTACTTGAAAGTTCATAATGTTGCAGTTTTTCTTTTCTTTTCTTTTTTTCTTTTTCTTTTTGAGACAGAGTCTCACTCTGTTGCCCAGGCTGGAATGCAATGGCAGGACCTTGGCTCACTGCAACCTCTGCCTCCTGGGTTCAAGCAATTCTCCTGCCTCAGCCTCCCAAGTAGCTGGGATTACATGCATACACCACCAGGAACAGCTAATTTTTTGTATTTTTTTTTTAGTAGAGATGGGGTTTCACCATGTTGGCCAGGCTGGTCTCAAACTCCTGACCTCAGGTGATCCACCTGCCTCGGCCTCCCAAAGTGCTGGGATTACAGGTGTGAGCCACCACGCCTGGCCGTAGTTTTTCAAATTTAAACAATGAGTAGCAAATCTGGCAGGTCAAATGAATCATCTGGGTAGATTCTAATTCCATCTAAAGACCATATGTTTTGCTTATCTTTCTCTAATCTCTAAAAGGTAGAGATTTTTTTTTTTATCACTGCTATCCCCAGTGTCCAGAAGAGTACCTAGTACATAGTAAGAGCTTAATACTGTTGTTGAATGATGGAATCCTATAGCGTTGCCAATCTTGGGGGGGGAAAATTCCCTTGAACCTATATTCTCCTCTAGCTACTGTTCGTTTGTCTGCTCCTGTTTATAGCCAAATTTCTTAAAAGCAATATCTTTACTTCCTATTTCCTTTTCTTCAATTTTTTATTTTGGAAAAATTTAAACTTACGAAAAGTGTAAAGTACAACGAACAACTAACACCGCACTCTTTGCTTGGATTCATGAACTATTAACATTTTGAGGTATTTGTTTTACTTCTCTCAATTTAGATGCAGGCGTGGGTGCATGCGTGCGCACGCATACACACACATTTTAATGCTGAAGTTGCAGATGTCATTATATTTCATCCTTAACTATTTCAGCATCTACCTCTTTAAAACAAAGTTGTTCTCGGCCAGGTGTGGTGGCTCACCCTTGTAATCCCAGCACTTTCGGAAGCTGAGGTGGGTGGATTGCTTGAGGTCAGGAGTTCCAGAGCAGCCTGCCAACAGCGTGAAACCCCGTCTCTCCTAAAAATTAACTTGGCATGGTGGCAGGCACCTGTAATCCCAGCTACTTGGGAGGCTGAGGCAGAAGAATCGCTTGAACCTGGGAGGTGGAGGCTGCAGTAAGCCGAGATGGTACCATTGCACTCCAGCCTGGGTGACAGAGAGAGATTCCGTCTCAAAAAACAAAACAAAACAAAACAAAACAAAAAAACCAAAAACTCCAACAACCCTCCCCCCTCAACAAAAACCCACAAAGTTGTTCTCTTATATAATTACATTATAATAATCACATCCCGAAAATTTAAAACAGACACAACATTATCTAATATACAATCCATATTTAAGTGTCTCTGGTTGTCCTCAAAATGTCCTTTGCATCTGTTTTTCCCACATCCAGTATACAGTCAAAAATCTTGGATTGCATAAATTCTTTAGTGTCCTTTAAACTAGAAAAGTTTCCATGCCTTTATTTTGTTTTTCATTAACATTAACATTTTTGAAATATCCTGTAGAATGCTTTACAACTGAGATTTAGCTGATTGTTCCCTCAATCAGATTTAGGTTAAATCCAATGACAATAATACTACTAAGGTCATGTTATTTCTTTTCCATTGCATCACAGCAGGACGCATATAATGCCAGTTTATCCTCTTATAGGAGATGCTAAGTTTGATGGTGATGGTGGTGTCCGCCACAACTTTGTGATTAACAAGTAATATGTGGCACCACGTGAATATCCTTTTCCCAGCCATCTTTCACTTGATGGTTTTGGCACCCCTTAATGATTCTTGATCGTCCCTCTCCCCTTTTCTTTTATTATTTATCTATTTTTAATTTTGTAGAGACAAGGCCTCACTATGTTGCCCAGGCTGGTCTTGAGCTCCTGGCCTCAAGTGATCCTCCCACCTTGGCCTCCCAAAGTGCTGGGATTACAGGTATGAGCCTTTTTCTTCTAAATCCACTCCAGTCATGCTTTCATCACCATCACTCCATCCAAACTGTTCTTGTAAAGGTCACCAATGACCTGCACATTGCTAAATCCATTCATTTCACAGCCCTCTTTTTACTTGATGGAACTGAGTAAATTGATAACTCTTTCTTCAAACACTGTTTTCACTTGGGATCCAGAACACTTGTCTCCGAGTTCTCCTCCTTTGTAGACTATGCTGGGTCCTTCCCAACCTTTCCCTGGCCCAATGCCTCTAATCTAAATCAGGTCTTGCCTGGATTATTGAACATAGCCTGTAACTTATCTCCCTGCTTCTACCCTAAGTTCTCTACCATCTATTCTCAATATAGCAGCTAGAGAGACACATTAAAAGTATAAATCAGATTGTGTTATCCCAATATGTAAAAACTTCAAATGGCTTTCTACATCACTTTATTTAATATAATAATTTAAGTCCTATCCAAGGCTTTCTAGCCCTACAAGATCTAGCCCCACAAGATCTAGCCCCCTACCTCTGAATACTTCATTTCTTACCACTGTATTTCTTGTTGACTTGCTGTAGCGTAGTCACGTTGGTGCTCAAAAAGTTTGAGATTTTGAAGCATTTCAGATTTCTAATTTTTGGATTATAGATGCTTAGCCTGTATGCTCTAGCATAGAAATCTAGCTATAATAGCCTAGTTGCTATTTTTTATAAATATGGAACATGCTACTGCCTTGGGATTTTGCCCTTTTGTTTCTGTGTTTGGAACACCAAAGCAAATAACTGGCTGGCTTGCTCCTTCACTTTCTTCAGGTCTCTGTTCAAATGTCTCCTTTTCAAAGGGACCTTCCCTGACCACCTTGTGTATATCAGTCATTCTCTATCCTCCTAACCCTGTTGTCTCATTTTACTCACAGCATATATATATATATATATATATATATATATATATATATATATATATATACACACACACATAAACACACACCACCTTTTATATTGTTGTATTTAGATTTTTATATTGTCTGTCCTCCCTTTTTCATAGGGGCAGGAATTTTCATCTGTTGAGTTCACCTCTATATTCCCATAACCTAGAACAGTATTTAATATGTAATAAAAATTCAGTATTTATAGACTGAATACTTGTTAAATGATGGGCTGTTTATATATTTTATACTTTTGATGGTGAATAATCTTTGGGAATCCTGCACTATAACATCCCTAAGTACAGTTATCAACTCACATGCTTATTATTCTGGTATTCAATTCCTTATTTCTGGACCTTTAGGATTTTATTTTATTTTATTTCATTTTTGAGATGGAGTCTTGCTCTGTTGTCCAAGCTGGAGTGCAGTGGTGTGATCTCAGCTCACTGCAAGCTCCGCCTCCTGGGTTCACACCATTCTCCTGCCTCAGCCTCCTGAGTAGCTGGGACTACAGGTGCCTGCCACTGCGCCTGGCTAATTTTTTTGTATTTTTAGTAGAGATGGGGTTTCACCGTGTTAGCCAGGATGGTCTCAATCTCCTGACCTTGTGATCTGCCCACCTCGGCCTCCCAAAGTGCTGGGATTACAGGCATGAGACACCGCGCCCAGCCAGGATTTTATTTTTGTATTTAGCTATGCATTAAAAATGTTAATAATCATTCTAGCCCTGCAGATGTTTATAGAAGGAGAGTTTTTAGTTAATTTAATGTAATTGGCCAAATGCCAGAACCTGTTACTCCACTAAAAAATTTTCTTTTAAGCCAAGTACAGAAAGACAAATACTTTATGATCTCACTTATATGTGGAACCTAAAAAAAAAAAATGAACTCATAGAAGCAGAGAATAGAATGGTGGTTAACAGGGGAGGGCAGAGGAGGGAAAGGGGATGGAAAGTTGTTAGTTCAAGGGTACAAAGTTTCAGTCAGGAGAAATAAATTCTGGAGATCTACTGTACAGCATGGTGACTACAGTTATTAATAACGTACTGTATATTGAAAATTGCTTAAAGAGAGTAGATTTTAAATGTTCTCATCACAAAAATAAGTATGTGAGATGATGGGTATATTAATTAGCTTGATTTAAATCATGCCACAATGTACACACACATTGAAGCATCACATTTACAACCATAAATATATAGAATTTTTTCATCTGTCAAAAATTTTCTAAATATCTTCTTCAGTACAAAAATGTATAAAGAAAAAAATCTAAAAATGAGTGTTTCCTTACTGTACCCCTGTTTTTTTAATCTGGATACTGGCAGAGCTTCATGGCAACCTGACAACATGGCTGACTGAGTTTGTTGGACTTTTCTGCCATGGAAAGGGCAGCAGCTTGCCCTCAATGGAAGAGAAACTCACCCAGGATATAAGTTTCCCCTACTTGTGCCAACTGCTTCTGTCAGCTCTCCCACCTATGGACTTAACTGAATACTTCCTTGCATTTTTTTTAGAAACAGTCTATGTTGTCCAGGCTGCAGTGCAGTGGCTATTTGCAGGCATGATCATAGTGCACTACAGCCTGGAACTCCTGGGCTCAAGCCATTCTCCTGCCTCAGCTTCTCAAGTAGCTAGGACTACTGCCATGCACCACTTTAGCTGACCTGAATAGCTTTCTTCACCATCATAGTATTCTAGAAAACATAGCCTCTGAGCAAGGAACTGATTGTGAGGAAGTAGGGGAATTGGCTTATGTTCATGAGATTCATTGGTTTTACTATGTTCTCTCATCACCTTGAATTAGCCAGCCTGATAGTAATTCTAGAACAGGCTATGAAGACTCAGTAATAGCAGTAGCTGTGTGACATCTTACAGGGATAGGGTTCTGTTCTATAAGATCCTGTATGTACCCTGAGCCATAAACTAGTAATTCATTTTTCACATGCCTACAAATCTAGGAACTAAGGAATAGATGTGTCTCATGAATATCCTTAATGGCCCACTTGTAAATCTTTGTCTCTTGTCCCCACTTGGTTCTGCTAGTTTAAAGGTTCTAGTTCCCAAGAAAAAGAAGGGGAGATAAGTGGGGAGGATGTTTCTATCAGGGGACATAATAATTTCACGGAACTACAAGCTGAGATTGCCACTTGGCCATTTTGGACTCCTCATGTTATTGAACCAACAGGCAAATAAGGGGTTACTGTAATGACAGTATGATTTGTTTTCATCATCAATGGGAATAAAGTTACCATTATACAATAGGACCAGGGAGGAGGTATCTAAAATTCAAAGTATTTTCTGGAGGCTTCTCTTAGCATTCCCCTGTAAAATGAAATAACTTAATGGAAGGCACTATTACCCATTATGGCAGGATCATTAAAGGCCCAGTCCTCATAAATAAAATCTGTGTTACATGCCAGGTAGAGAACCTCAAAAAACCAAACTGCTGGTATTAGCTATTTCTATTCTCATTTCTGCAACAGGCCATGTGGCGACAGTTTATGTTCATAACTTCCTATTTCTCCTACCCATTCTATCTTTTCCTCTACCTATACCTCATAAGCCTACAAAATAGCATTGCAAAATATGCTCAGTACCATAGCTGTGTTCTCAATAGTCCATTGCAACATTTATCAGGTTACTTGGTATAGTATGTCAGAGTAAAAAACAAACAGACATAAAAAATAAAACACAGATCCAAACAAAACAAAAAAAGAAAAACTTGATCTCATAGCTAAAATGTTATAGTTCCCAGAAGTAGAAATCAAGTCAGAAGATTTTATTCTACCTTCCAAGAATGGATTTTAGAATTTATATAACATGCAGAGAAAATAATCTGGCCTAAAGGAAGTAGCATGATGTAATGCAAACAACATAGAATGAAATAAATAGAACATCTTGAGTTCTAATTCAGTATTGCTATTAACTAGGAATGTGAACTTTTTTGTTTTGAGACAGGGTCTCACTCTGTCACTCAGGTTGGAGTGCAGTGGTATGATCCTAGCTTACTGCAGCTTCAAACTCTTGGGCTGAAGTGATCCTTCCACATTAGCTTCCAAAGTAGCTGGGACTACAAGTGTGTACCACCAATGCCTGGCTAAGATTTAAATTGTTTTTGTAGAAGTGGGGTCTTATTACATTGCCCAGGGTGGTCTCGAACTCCTGCATTCAAGTAATCCTTTTGCCTTGGCTGCCCAAAGTGCTGGGACTACAGAAGTGAGCTACCACACCAGGTTGGGAAGGTAAACTTAACAACAGCAACAAAAATCACTTAACCCCTAAATCTCAGCTGCCAAATACATAAAATAAAAAAGGTTTTCAAATGTTTTTTGTTAAAGATGATTTTTTTTAAAAGCTGCGTAATATTTCCCTCAACCAAAATCCCACCAGAAAGTGCACTACATAAAATGTAATCAGTGGGGTATCCACGTGTATGCAAGCGAGTGCGCCGTGCTTATATCCTCCTGTCCCACCATGAGAACTGAAGACACCAGAGCAGAGCAGAGTTTCAGACCAAGATGATCAACAAAATTCTCAACAACTAAAAAATTCCATAATTTTCCTGACTGAGATAAAATAAAATACTTCTCTGTACGTCCCTAAGAAGCAATCAAATTAAAACCGAAAAATTATGTAAACCTGGAAAATGTTGTGTTACGATATAGAAACAAAGGGTAATGATGTAATGATAAATGCAAACAGAAGATGGCAGGCTTTAAAATATTTAAAGATTGAGTGTAGTAACTTGGTTTGTTTAGGGCACAGATTTAGGAGACAAGAAATCTAGTACAGGTAAGAGATCTCTAGTTGACAGGAAAAAATGGTCTGATATTTGCAGCATGTAAATCTATACCTTCTGATTACTAATTAGATTACTCAGGCAGATTAAAAAGATATGTGCCACTAACATAAGTATTCTGATATTTGTTGTAAGAATAATCCACTGCTTTACTGCCTGGTTAACGGTTTACAAAACAGTATCTTATGAGTATGGTCAGTGCAAATCAAATTCTTCATTTAACACAAGCATAAAGACCATGGCAATATTTCTCCATTAATTTATTTGGCTCTTAATAATAGTAAAATCAACTTTGTAGAAAACTATTTAAAATCTGGGTATTTAACTTTTAATAAAGTCAAAATCAGTTATATTGGATTCTGTAGTGTAGTCTTATTCTTATATACAGGAATATATAAAAATTCACTCCTGGAAGCTAGGTTTCTCTGGCATGTAGCAGTGTTTTTTGCGGGGGGCAGGGGGGCATTGTTTGGTTGGTGTTTTTCAGACAGGGTCTTGCTCTGTCACCTGGGCTGGAGTGCAGAGACATGATTATAACTCACTGTAACCTCAAAATTCTGGACTCAAGCAATCCCCCTGTCTCAGCCTCCCAAGTATCTGGAACCATGGGTGTGTACTACCGTGCCTGGCTGAGCCCTATACTTTTGTATTGGATTTGAGTGCACCATTAAACAAAGTCATTACTGTAGTTGGGTGTCAAAACAAGAATAACAGCTTATCCAGAAAACAAACTATATGCTAGGAATTATGTAGAGATCATTGCTACGTACTAGCACATGAGTATAGATTCATAGTTTAGGGTGCTCTGACTCTCCTAGAATGGAGAAGATGAATTAAATATTTCAGTATGAATTTAAATGTCCATCTAATTCTTTGTTAAAAGAAGAAGGACTATTTCTGCTTGAAGCAAGCGTCTATATAGTACAATATTAATTTGGAATAATAAATAAATAGGAACTGGATATTTCTCTTACTTGGCCATTTATAAACACTTACTTTGGTCACATCTTTTCAAAAGACCTTGTGCTTACAAAATTAAGGTGATTCTTTATCCAACCAAAATCATTGTAGTTTCTGACGAGCTGAATAGTTACATTTTACCAATATCAATATTTAATGCAACATAATTTTTCATGTCTCTCAAAGCAATAAAGCATTTACATTGAATATTTACTAAACTTCTAAAAAAGTATTAATAAATTCATGACTCACCTTCCAAGCATGATAAGTACCAGAAGGATCTGTCTGATACAATCTTGAGATACCATCATCATCAAAACCTACAATTAAGGCAGAAATACCAAAAGGTCTTCGTCCATTGCTTTGGGTATATTTCTAGAAAAATAAAACGTATTTTTAGAATAAAACTATTAGTTACAAAATAAAAATTCTAATAATAAAGCATTGCTGCCCAAATGATCCACTTCCCTAATTCTTATTCGACATATATTAATGATCTTTTTCCTAACCCTTTCTGGAGCAATCTCAATTCATGATGAAATTTTAAAAAATTATGCTATACAGTCTATACAATAAAATCAGAAGTTTATTTACATATAGTCTTAAAATCACTTTCTTGTTGCTTTGTATACGTTTGGTAACATCACTAGACTGTAATTTCTAATATAGCAGAGACCTGTTTCATGCATTTTGGTTCTTAGTAAAGTTGATTTCAATAAGCTGTGCTTTGGAAACATGTCCTCGGCTTACCTTGAGGGACGCTATAAATGTTACTATTATTATCAAGTATTCTTACTTGACACTATTTTTATCAAGGACATTCTGTTCACTATATACTAGGTTATCTCTAATTAAAAACCCAAGTAAAACATTTCTTTCATTCCCAAAACAAGAAAACCTTTGTTTATCCTGAAGAAGAGCATGCTGTTTCCTCACAGACAATGGGTCACTGGAAACCAATTGTATGTATTTCTACTTTAGTGGTAGGGAACTTCCTGGAATTTGTGCTCTAAGGAGTAGAATTCACACTGAGACTCGTGCCCCAAAAGTCGTGCAAAGAAGCATTCCTGACAGAAAGCTAAGGACTAATTTTTTTTTTTTTTTAAGAGACAGGGTTTCACCATGTTGGTTGGCCAGGCTGGTCTCGAACTCCTGACCTCAGGGGATCTGCCTGCCCTGGCCTCCCAAAGTGCTGGGATTATAGGTATGAGCCACCGCGCCCGGTCTAAGGACTAAATTTTTAGGCAACTTCATATACTATAAATAATTCTGTGGCTGTATATAACTGTATGTAACTGTGGCTTGAAATAGCTTTACATCAGCCTTCTTCCTGGTCTTGCCTATGTATCATATCTATTTTCTTATTTTCCAATTTTATTATATGTATTTTAAAATATATATATTTATTTTTAGGTTGGATGCAGTGGCTCACGCCTGTAATCCCACCACTTTGGGAGGGCAAGGCAGGCAGATCGCTTGAGCCCAGCAGTTCGTGACCAGCCTGGGCAACATAGGGAAACCCTGTCTCTACAAAAATAAAAAATTAGCCAGGCATGGTGGTGTGCATCTGTGGTACCAGCTACTGGGGAGGCTGAGGTAGGAGAATCACTTGAGCCTGGGAGGTTGAGGCTTCAGTGAGACGAGATCATGCCACTGCACTCCAGCCTGGGTGACAGAGTGAGATCCTGTCTCAAAAAAACAACAACAAAATCTATATAGAGTAGCATACTCTGTATGTGTATATATTATATACAATATATGCACACACACTGTATATATATTGTATATATATTTTATATATAATATATATAAAATATACACACACATTATTATATATATAAAATATATATACACACACAGTATGCTATTCTCTATTTCTACAAACACAACTTTTTTAGTGTCCACATATGAATAAGGACATGCAGTATTTGTCTTCCTCTGCATGACTTATTTTACATAACACAATGTCCTCCAGGCTCATTCACGTTATAACGAATGACAGAATTTCATTCTTTTTTATGGCTAAGTAGTATTCAATTGTGTATCTATACCACATTTTCTTTATCCATTTATCTGTTGATGAATGCTTAGGCTGGTTGTATATCTTCCCTATTGTGAATACTGCTGTGATAAACACAGGGGTGCATACATCTCTTGGATATACTGATTTCTTTACCTTTGGATGATGCATAACCAGTAGTGGGATTGTGGGATTAGAGGATAGTTCTACTTCTATAATAGTTTTCTGAGGAACCTCCATACTATTTTCCATAATGTCTGTATTAATTTACATTTCCACCAACAGCGTATGGGAGTTCCCCTTTCTCTGTATCCTTGCCAGCATTTGTTATTTTTTGTCTTTTTGATAATAGCCATTCTGAGGTGAGATGACATCACTGTGGTTTTGATTAGCATTTATCTGATGATTAGTGATGTTGAACATGTTTTCATATACATGTTGGCCATTTGTATTTCTTCTTTTGCAAAATGTCTATTCAGTTCATTTGCCCATTTTTTAGGAAGATTATTTGGGTTTGTTTGGTTTTCAGTTCTTTGAGTTCCTCGTACATTCCAGATATTAATCCCTTGTCAAATGAATATTTTGCAAATATTTTCTCTCATTTTGCAGATGGACTCTTCACTCTGTTGACTGTTTCTTTGGCTGTGCAGAAGCTTTTTAGTTTGATATAATCTCATTTGCCTAATTTTGCTTTTGGTGCCTGTGCTTTTAAAGTCTTATCCATAAAAATATTTGCCTAGCCCAAGGTCCTAAAGCATTTCCTCTATATTTTCTTCTAGTAGATTTATAGTTTTGGATCATACATTAAAGTCTTTAGTCCATTTTAAGTAGATTTTTGTATATGGTGAGAGAGAGACAGAGGTTTCATTTCATTTTTTCTGCATATCCAGTTTTCCCAGCTCCATTTATTGAAGTGGCTGTCCATTCTCCAATGTACGTTTCTGACATTTCTGCTGAAAATCAGTTGAATGTATGTAGATTTATTTCTGGGTTCTCTATTCTGTTCCATCGGCCTATGTGTCTGCTTTTTACAAAAGCACCATGCTATTTTGGTTACTGTATCTCTGAATATATTTTGATTTCAGGTAGTGTGATGGCACCAGCTTTGTTCTTTTTGTTCAAAATTGGTTTGACTATTTCCTAATGTCCTAGTTCACACCTAGGTATAAAGTAGCTGTTGTAAATATACCTTAGAGGGAAGACTCTTTTATTTTATTTCCTTAATGAGCCTTTTCTTTTTTTTTGACAGAGTCTCACTCTGTCGCCCAGGCTGGAGTATGGTGGTATGATCTTGGCTTACTGCAACCTCCGTCTCCTGGGTTCAAGCAATTCTCCTGCCTCAGCCTTCCAAGTAGCTGGGGTTACAGGTGCGCACCACCACATCCAGCTGTTTTTTTTATTTTTTGTAGAGATGAGGTTTCACCATTTTGCCCACGCTGGTCTTGAACTCCTGGGCTCTGGGCTCAAGTGATCTGCCCACCTTGGCCTCCCGAAGTGCTGGGATTACAGGCATAAGCCACCGTGCCTAGACTAATGAATCATTTTCTTAAGATAAAAAAGTAGGCTGGGTGTGGTGGCTCACGCCTGTAATCCCAGCACTTCGGAAGGCTGAGGCGGGTAGATCACGAGGTCAGGAAATCGAGACCATCCTGGCCAACATGGTGAAACTCCGTCTCTACTGAAAATACAAAAATTAGCTGGGCGTAGTGGCACGTGCCTGTAATCCCAGCTACTCAGGAGGCTGAGGCAGGAGAATCACTTGAACGAGGGAGTTGGAGGTTGCAGTGAGCCAAGAAGATTGCACCACTGCACTCCAGCCTGGTGACAGAGTGAGACTCCATCTCAAAACAAACAAAAAACAAATAAACAAACAAAAAACCCAAAACTACAAAAGGTGCATATGAGATATCGATCTTCTGCCGGAGAGCCCCAGGCCTTCTCGGTGGTAATTCCATTCTTATGACTATGTTTCCGTAAATACACTCTGCATAGCCTTGATATTTCTGGAAGAAAACCTAAAAACTACAATTGGGAATTTTGTGTATACAATGTTCTGTTCCTTGTATTTGGTGAATGTGTTTTTAATGATTAGGAAAATCGAAGCAAATAAAATAAGTAGAATAATGTAATGTTGGACTTCCTTGCAACCTGCATTAACAAATTTCAAGAAATCAAAATAGGGCAATTTTGTTATAAGCTAATCAGTTAAAACTTACATATATAGGATACATAATTAGTTTATTAAAAATCTCTATAAAAACAAATGGTAAAATTTGACTGGGCGCAGTGGCTCATGCCTGTAATCCCAGCACTTTGGGAGGCTGAGACGGGCAGATCACTTGAGCTCAGGAGTTCGAGACCAGCCTGGCCAACATGGTGAAACATCATCTGTACAAAAAATACAAAAGTTAGCCAGGTGTGGTGGCATGTGCCGGTAATCCCAGCTACTCAGGAGGCTGGGGTATAAGCATTGCTTGAACCTGTGCGGCAGAGGTTGCAGGGAGCTGAGATCAGGCCACTGCACTCCAGCCTGGGCAACAGAGCAAGAGTCTGTCTCAAAAAATAAAAAAATAAAAATAAAAATAAAACAAATGGTAAAACTCATGCCAAAAAGTGTTCTAAAAACCTAAAATGTCTTAAATCATTTACTCTATAATGCGAGCCAACGAAGTTCATATTATTGTGATGCTCATTTTACAAATTAAAAAAAAATTAAAGGCAAAGTAGGAAAATAGTTTGCCCAAGGCATTAACTAAGAAGTAGCAAAGCCAGGATTTAAACTCCAAAATTCTGGCTCCTGAAGGCACACTCTTAACCACTTGAGTACATGTCAAAAGATAGTTTACAAAAGGAGAAATGAAATCAGCAAACCAATAGGTGGAAAAAAAGTTCAACCTCATCACTAATTATAAGACACAAATTAAAACAACTATTATAGTACTGTGTGATACTTATTTGCAAAATAAAAGAACAATGAAAAACCTAATGTTGATGATTCTTCAAGGATACATTTATACATTGCTAGCTGTACAATAAAAATTGTTTCAATCTTTCTAAAGCAATTTAGCTACATATAAAAAGAATCTGAAAACCAATTACAATTTTTAATCTCATAATCCCATACTAAAAAATAAATTTAACAATATAATTCCAAAAATAAAAACAAAAGCTGTGGGAAAGAGTATTATCATTAGAGCAGCAGAGAGAGAATAAGAGAGAGAAGAAAAATGAAAGAAACCAGGAACAATGTAACTAAATTATGACATAGCAACTAGAAACAGTATTACATTGTTAGAATAATAACTAAAAAGACAATGTTGCATATATAAAATATACTTAAAATTAGTAAAAAAAAATAGTTGTAGACATCATGATTATACTTAATGTTAAGCTATGTATTTCTGCATGGATTGAGGAGAAATCATATCTGATCAGTTATGTTTAGGTTTTGCTTTAGTCCATTTTGTGCTGCTATTCCAGAATACCTGAGAGTAGGTAATGTATAAAGAACAGACATTTGCTTCTTACAGTTCTGGAAATTGAGTAGTCCAAGACTGACAAGGCTACATCTAGCCAGGGCTTTCATGCCATGCCATGTCATCCCATCACAGAAGGTGAAAGGGCAAGAGAGATGAGAGAGAGCAAGAGATTGAGCCCTTTTATAATTGGTATAATTATAAAAGATTAAGCCCTTTTATAATTGGTATTAATCCATTTATGACGGTGGAACCCTAAACTCCTCCCATTAGTCCCCACCTCTCAACACTGTGACATCAGGGATTAAGTTTCTAACCCAAACTTTTGGGGGACACATTCAAACCATAGCAATGTTGCAGGTAAAAGAATAATGCAGGCCAGGCACCGTGGCTCATGCCTATAATCCCAGAACTTTGGGAGGTCAAGGTGGGCGGACTGCTTGAGCTCAGGAGTTCAAGACCAACCTGGGCAATATAGCAAAACCCCATCTGTACAAAAAATACAAAAATTTGCTGGGCATGGTGGCTTATGCCTATGGTCACAGCTACTCAGGAGGCTGAGGTGGGAGGATTGCTTGAGCCCAGAAGGTCGAGGCTGCAGTGGGCCAAGATCATACCACTACACTCTAGCCTGGGCAACAAAGTGAGACCCTGTCTCAAAAAACACAAAAACAAAAACAAAAACAAAAAACAAAACAAAAAAGGTACTTCTCTGGAAAACTTCAAATAACTCTTTGTATTAATCTCCAGAAGTGTAGAAATCTCCTTAAAAGATCAGACTTACTGTTTTTTTAAATTTGAATGTAATTCCCAGAATTAATACTGATCCAGATTTCTAGTGATTAAATCAATCCATTTTACTGGAATAAAAATATGAATATAAAGTAAGTGTGAGAAATAAGAAATTTAATATATTTAATAGACTACATGGTTGGAGTAACTGTAGTACTTCTATGATAGGACTTATAATGATGAAAAAGGAGAAAGCTTAACAAAGTATGTTAGAATATTAGCTTACCTGCTTTAAAGTTGCTATGAAGCGAGTTATGTATTCTACAGTGACTGGGTCCTCAACCGTAAGCTTATGGCTCTGGCACTCCACACGGGCTCTGTTTATTACTACTCTAGCATCAGCAGTAAGTCCTATAAAAATTGTCAAAACTTCACAAAAACCACAAAAACATATTTTTTACAATACATTTTTCCTTGTCAAATGGGTTTTATTCACAATGAAATCTTTCTTATCCTTTTTTTCTCAATACATGCTCATTTTAAAAGACTTGTGAGATAAAGTGTCATTTGTCCTACATTCTGATTTATTTCAAGATTTAAGTTGATCCATTCTTATTTGTTTTTTATAGATGTTTTAAAGAATAATAGTTTAAACACTAATAGTAAACTTGATTTATTCTTATGAAAACAATAATATTACTTAATTATCAAATATATATTCACTGAATTCAAACTACATTAACAAAGCTGTGACATGTCACTTCTCAGTTTTTTGTCTAAAACCATGAGTTTGAAAATGAAGAATGCTAAAATAGAAAACACTTGACCTTGCTCTTGCAATAACAAACTATCATGTGATTAATTCTCAACACTTCTGTAAGGAGACAGAATGTGTTTCTATCAAAAGAGCAACAAACTGACCATGAACTTTAACTGATGCAATGGTTGCAAACATTTCTATTAAACTTTGGCATTTGACTTTTCCATGTCCACTTTGTTTCTTTCCCTCCTCTCTTAATACTAACTAAATTGCCAAGAAAGTGCACTCACAAAATCTTGGAAGCGTAGTCATTTCTAACAAAATCACTGGTCTTTTGCTGTCACAAATTCTTGTTTCCCTTCCACACCATTTCTAATCCTGTTTCTACAAACCTGGAAGAATCTTCAGTCCCTGAAGATAGTTAATATGAATATGCTACTCTTAACCATCACTCATAGTTGGGTAGAAATTGTAATCAGATACTCAGTTAAATGAAGAGAAACTGATTCTCTTTTTCCCTTTGCAAATGTTATCTATGAGAAAGAAATGGCAAGAAACTGATTTAGTCTTTCCTATGGATGAAAACATCACTCAATTTGAAATATGATCAAACAGAATATGTATTTATAGTCTTTCCTATGGATGAAAACGTCACTCAATCTGAAATATGATCAAACAAAGTATGTATTTCCCCTTTACAATGTAAATATCATCCAAGCCTGAGGAAACAAAAGTAACATACTTAGGAAAGTAGTAATATAATTGATTCGAGGAAAAAATAGTGATAAGTTTGTCAAAGTATATGAGCAACATAGTTATGTGTATGTCTGTTTTCAATAAGTAGCAAGATTATTATTAATTGGCTAGCAGAGAACAAATTCTATTTTAACAAATTACAATTAAAATTTACATTTAATGAGTCAGAAGACTTGCTTGAAGCCAGGTGTTTGCGACTAGCCTGAGCAACGCAGAGAGACCCCGGTTTCTACAAAAAAATAAAAAAGCTAGCAGGCCATGCTGGCACATGCCTGTAGTCCTAGCTACTTGGGAGGCTGCGGCGGGGGGATTGCTTGAGCCCAGGAGTTTAAGGCTGCAGTGAGCTATGATCGTGCCACTGTACTCCCACTGGGGGTGACAAAGTGAAAACCTGTCTCTGAAAAAAAAAAAAGGAATCAAATTAAAATTTAAGTTTAAAATTACAATTTCACTTTGCTTAAAAATAAACAATCTACAGAAAAAAATGAGTATTCAGTCAAGTGCTCTGAAATATGTACAGGTTGAGTATCCCTCATCGCTCATCTGAAAATGCTTGGGATCAGAAGTGTTTCAGATGTTTTTCCAGGTTTTGGAATATTTGCGTTATACTTACTGGTTGGGCATCCCTAATCTGAAAATCAAAAATCCAAAAGGCTCCAATGAGCATTTCCTTTGAGCATCATGTTGGTGCTCAAAAATTTTCAGATTTTGGAACATTTTGGATTTTCCAATTGGGTGTGTTCAACCTGTACCACAATTTTATATTGAGGATACAATCATAATGTAAAACTTCTGCTATTAAGTGGAATTCCACATGGTACATGAAATAATTTTTTTGTAGTCCAACTTATTTTTTCACCTGTACTTTTAGTGTCATATTCAAGAAATCATTTCCAAATCTAATCTCATGAAGCTTTCCCACTATGCTTTATATTTTCAGCTCTTATGTTTAGGTCTTTCATTCATTTTGAGTTAATTTTTGTATGTGATGTTAGGTAGAGTCCTACTTCATTCTTTTTATGTGAATATTCAGTTTCCCCTGCACCATTTGTTTAGAAGATTGTCTTTTCCCCTACTGAGTAGTCTTGGCATCCTTGATAAAAGTCATTTGACCATATCATACATGCAAGGATTTATTACTATGTTCTCTATTCAATTCCATTAGTTACATGTCTTTCATTAAGCCAGTCATGAAACTATTTTGCTTACTGTATCTTTGTAGTAGCTTTCAAAAACAAGACATGTGAGACCTCTAAGTTGGCTCTTCTCTTTCAAAATTGTTTTGTCATTCCATATGAATGTCATAATTCTTTTTTATTTAAAAAAATCATTGAAATTTTGTTAGGGATGACATTGAATCTAAATTGCTTTGGATAATATTGACATGTTAATAATCCTGAGTCTTCCAATCCATGAATGCGGGATGTCTTTCCATTTGTGTCTTTTTCAATTTCTTTCAGCAATGTTTTGCATTTTTCAGAGTACAAATCTTTTGCCTCCTTAAATTCATTCCCAATAAGTATTTTATTCTTTTTGATGCTATTGACATGGAATTGTTTTTCTTAATTTCCTTTCCTGACGGTTCATTGTCAGTACATAGAAATGATTTGGGGCTTGGTGTGGTGACTCACACCTTTATTGTAACACTTTGGGAGGCTGAGATGGGAGGATCACTTGAGGCCAAGAGTTTGAGACCAGCCTGGGCAACATAGTGAGATCCTGTCTCTACAAAAATAAAAATTAAAAAAAATTGCCAGGTGCAGTGGCACACACCTGCATTCAGGAGGCTGAGGTGGGAGGGTTGCTTGAGCCCTGGAGTTCAAGGCTGCAGTGAGCTATGGTGATGCCACTGTGCTTCAGGCTGAGTGATAGAGTGAGACCCTGTTTCAAATTAAAAAGAAAAAGAAAGAAATTACTCCGGGGTGTTGATTTTGTGTCCTACAACTTTGCTCAATTTGTTTATTATTTGTAACATTTTTGGTGGAATCTTTAGTATTCTATATAAGATCATGTCTTCTGTGAACAGAGATGATTTTTCTTCCCTCCCAATTTGGATACCTTTATTTATTTTTCTTTCCTAACTGCTCTGGCTAAGACTTTCATTACTATGTTGAATAGCAGCGGCAAAAGTGGGCATCTTTATCTTGTTCCTGGTTCTAGAGGGAAAGCTTTCAATCTTTCACCACTGAGTATGATGTCAGCTGTGAATTTTTTACATAGATAGCCTGAATTATGTTGTGGTGATTTCCTTTTATTTCTAGTTTGTTGGGTGCCATTACCAAGAAAGAGTGTTAAATTTTGTCAAATGCATTTTCTATATAATTTATATAATTATATAGTTTTTTTCTTTCCTTCTGTTAATGTGGTATATTACATTGATTGATCTTCATATGTTGAACCATGCTTGCACTCCAGGGATAGATCCAAATTGGTCATGATGTATTATTATTTTAAAGTTCTGAATTTGGTTTGCTACTAGTTTGTTGAGGATTTTTGCTCACTGCTCATAAGGGATATTTGTCTATAGTTTTCTTTTCTTGTAATGTCTTTGGCTTTGGCATTATGTTAATATTGGTCTTATAGATTAAACTTGGAAGTGTTTACTCCTTAACTTTTTGGAAGAGTTTCAGAAGGACTGCTATTAATTCTTCATTAAAATGTTTGGTAGGATTCACTGGTGAAGTCGTTAGATCCTAGACTTTCCTTTGTTGGGAGGTTTTTAATAACTCATTCAATGTCTTATTGTGTCTGTTCAGATTTTCTATTAATATATCTTATTGAGCAAGGTGTGTTTCAAGGAATTCTGTCTATGTACAATTGTTCACAGTACTCTCTTAAAATTGTTTTTAAGAATTAAAACTGTAAAACTGGCACTAATGTCCCCTTCTTCATTTCTCATTTTACTTGAGTCTTCTCTCTTTTTTTCTTAGTCAATCTAGCTAAAGAGTTGTCAGTTTTGTTGATCTTTTCAAAGAACCAACTCTTGGTTTTGTTATTTTTCTCTTTTGTTTTTCTATTCTGTTATTTATCTATGTTCTGATCTTTATACTTCTTTTTCTCAAATTTAGCACTACAATATTTTATAACAGTAGAAAGCTAAAAACACTACATGCTAACAAACAATATGATATACAATCTAGGGGAAAGAGTCATCAGGGATTTATTACTTCTTTCTACTAGCTTTAAACTTAGTTTATTCTTATTTTCCTAGTTTTAAGGTATAAAGGCAGGCTGTTGAATTGAGATCTTTCTTTTTTAATGTAAATGTTTATGGCTATAAATTTTCCTATTAGCACTACTTTCAATACATTCCCCAAGTTTTGATATGTTGTGCTTTTATTTGCCTTTCTCTCAAGATATCTGTTCATTTCCCTTGTGATTTTTTTCATTGCCCCATGGGTGATTTAGGAATATATTGCTTAACTCCACGTGTTTGTGGATTTTCACGTCTTCCTTCCACTACTAATTTCTAGTTCCATTCCATTTTGATCAGAAAAAAATACTCTGTATGGTTTCAATCTTTTTTTTTTTTTTTTTTTTTTGAGACAGGGTGATATGGTTTGGATCTCTGTACCCACCCAAATCTCATGTATAACTGTAATCCCCAAAGTTGGAGGTGGGGCCTGATATAAGGTGATTGGCTCATGGGGATGGTTTCTCATGACTAGCTTAGCACTATCCCCCAATGCTGTTCTTGTGATAGAGTTCTAACGAGATCTGATTGTTTAAGTGTATTTGGCACCTCTCCCTTCTCTCTCTCTTCTTCCTGCTCTGGCCATGTGAGATGTCTCACTCCCCCTTTGCCTTCTACCATGATTGAAAGCTTACTGAGGCCGCCCAAAAGCAGAAGCTGCTATGCTTCCTGTACAGCCTACGGAACTGTGAACCAATTAAATATCTTTTCTTTATAAGTTACCCAGTCTCAGGTATTTCTGTTTTGTTGTTGTTGTTTTTCAGGTGTTTCTTTATAGCAATGCAAGAATGGACTGATACATAGGGTCTCACTCTGTTGCCTGGACTGGAATGCAGTGGTGTGATCACAGCTCACTGCAGCCTCAACCTGCTGGGTTCAATGGATCTTCCCAGCCCAGCCTCCCAAGTAGCTGGGACTATAGGCACACGCCACCATCCCCAGCTAATTTTTGTATTTTTTTTGAGATGAAGTTTCACCATGTTGCTCAGACAGGCTCGAACTTTTGGGCTCAAATGATCTGCCTGCCTCAGCTTTCCAAGATCTTGGGATTACAGGTATGAGCCACTATGCCTGGATGCTTCAATGTTTTTATATTTATTAAGACTTGTTTTGTGAAAAGATAATTCCTTCTTAAAGACAGCACAATAAAGGCATTTTTGTTTTTCTGAATGAGGTTTTAATTTTTTTATTTTTTAAGAGATAGTATCTTGCTCAGTTGCCCAAGCTGAACTCAAACTTCTAAGCTCAAGTAATTCTCCTGCCTCGACCTCCTGAGTAGGTGCAATTACAGATGTGCACCATCATGTGTGGCTTGAATGAGATTGTTAAACTTCAATATAAAATTACAGTTAAAAAAAAAAAACCCAATCAGAAGATGAGGAAAAAAAAAAAGACAAGAGGCATGTCTTATTTGCTGTATAGGGGCAAATAAGCACATAAAAATAAGTTCAAAATTATTAGCCGTGAGGGAAATAAAAATTAAACTTACAATTAGATATCAGTACACATGTATAAGAATATAAAAAAATGAAGAAAAGCAACAATAGCAAATGCTGATAACACAGAGCAAATGAATCACTCATATATTGCTAGTTGGAATTTAAAATAGTATAACCACTCTGGACTGGCAGTGTTTCATAAAACTAAGCATGGATTATCATATAATCCAGCAACTATACTCTTAGGAATTTGTCCCAGAGAAATGAAATCCTACTTTCACTCAAAAATCTGTAAACAAATATTCATAGAGGCATTATTTACAATAGTCAAAAATTGGAAATAACCCAAATGTCCCTCAATAGGAGAGTTAACAAACCCACTGGTGCCTTTATTCCATGGAATACTACTCAGTAATAAAAAGGAATGGATATATGCAACAACTTGCATGAACTGCAAGGGAATTATGCTGAATAAAAAAGATTAATCTGAAAGGGTTATATATTATATAACTTTATCCATATAACATTCTCAAAATGACAAAATTATAGAGATACAGAATAGATAGCAGTTTCCAGAAAGTAGAGATGGTGAGAAGAAATAGCATGAGGTAGTCTTGTGGTGATGGAAGAGTTATGTATCTTGAGTGTGGTGATGACTACATGAATCTACATATGTGGTTAGTGTAATAAAACTGCACACAGAGGCCGGGCGCGGTGGCTCACACCTGTAATCCCAGCACTTTGGGAGACTGTGGCGGGTGGATCACCCGAGGTCAGGAGTTCAAGACCAGCCTGACCAACATGGAGAAACCCCGTCTCCACTAAAAATACAAAATTAGCCGGGTGTGGTGATGCATGCCTGTAATCCCAGCTACTCGGGAGGCTGAGGCAGGAGAATTGCTTGAACCCGGGAGGTGGAGGTTGCAGTGAGCAGAGATCGCGCCATTGCACTCCAGCCTGGGCAACAAGAGTGAAACTCTGTCTCAAAAATAAAAATAAAAACAAAAACAAAAAACTACATACATGTACATGAACATGCAAGTGAATGCATGTAAAACTGGCAAAATCTGAATACACTCTCAGCAAATGTCAATTTACTGGTTTTGAAGATGTTACCATTTAGGGAAACTGTGTAAAGGGGACTTTCTATGTTTTTGGTAGCTTCTTCTAAATCTGTAATTATTTAAAAATAAAAAGTTTTGAAAAGAAAATAGCTACCTAAATTTTGAAGTAAAGTAATATATATCTTTTAACATTTGTACTTTATCAAAAATCCTGGTTTACAAAGTTAGTATTTGCTTTAAAACGTAGGATATATTGTTTGTAGAACAACTCCACATGTTTTATAAATATAGCACAACTGCAGCACTGAGGTTAACTGTGTTGCCCTACTACAGTAAGACACTATGCATCATTATTGTAGGACCTTAAGTACCTGCAAAAGCCATGCAGACATGGTCATCAAGGGCACAAATTTTCCTCACAGTTCTTTCATCTTGAAGCTTGGCAACAGATTTTTTTTCTACCCCAAGAACAACTATATTGGTACCTCGAATTCCGACCTGTCAAGTCATTAAAATACATATATATTCAGATGTCAGTTTAAAATATAAAACCAAGTTATTCTAACATATGACTTAGGGGAAATGACTTCTCCTTAAGTATTCAATAAAAACAAGAAAAGTAACTTTCTAGAAAACAGCTTCATAGGTATAGGCTTACTGGAGATCCATTCCCCAGACTCAAAGCAAGGAAGACAAATAGGTAGAAATTGCAAAGAAAATACCACCAATGCTGAAATTATGAGTGTCCTAATCTCATACAATACACCTGAAAAAAGCACTATCTAAATACGGTAAGTTCTCAATGTCATTGACAGGTTCTTGAAAATTGCAACTATAAGCAAATGATGTATAATGAAACCAATTTTATCACACCCCAATTAATATAAACAGGAGTTAGGTTCATATGAAATATTTCTGGTCACAAAAACATCCCCAAACTTCTAAACAAATACCTAAAACACCTCTAATATTAAACACTGAAATAAATGTGAGCTGTATATATAACAAACACTAACAAAAACAAGTATGATAAGGCTGGGCACGGTGGCTCACAGCACTATAATCCTAGCACTTTGGGAGGCTGAGGCAGGAGGACGACTTGAGGTCTGGAGTTCGAGACCAGCCTGGCCAACATGGTGAAACCCCGTCTCTACTAAAAACACAAAAATTAGCCGGGCATAGTGGCAGGCACCTGTAGTCCCAGCAACTCAGGAGGCTGAGCCAGGAGAATCGCTGGAACCCAGGAAGCAGAGCTTGCAGTAAGCAGAGATTGCGCCACTGCACTCCAGCCTGGGCAACAGAGCGAGACTCAAGCTCAAAAAAAAAAGAAAGTATGATAATTATTTATCCAATTTTTGGTGAATCCATGAGTGACAGCAGTCATAGTGGTGGTGGGTTAAATCAAAGAATAAACGTTTGCAAAGCAAAAATTTTAAAGAGCATCTCCTACCACCATTCAGTTCAAAAACAAACAATAAGGTCTACGACAAGCTCACTAAGTGCTTTCATACCTCGTTGTTTACTGTTGTGCATCTGTATGATTATTATATACTTTATAAATTTTTATTTTATAATAATTTGTATTCATTCATTCATTTTCCAATCTGCCTATCCAAGTTCAGGATCACAGGTGGCTGCAGCCTATTGCAGCAGTTCAGGGTACAAGGCAGGAACCAACCATGGACAGGATGCCATTCCATCATAGGCTTTGCTCATACACACACACACTCACTCAGATTGGGACAATTTAGACACATCAATTAACCTAACGCACACATCTTTGGGATGTTGGAGGAAATTGGAGTACATGGAGAAAACCCATGCAGACACGGGGAAAACTAACAAACTCCATATAGAGTGGCCTTCGGTGGGAATCGATTTTTTTTCTCATCAATGTTATAACAAAAGAATGTTGAACAAAACAATGTTATTTGAGAATCTGCTATATAGTGCAAAATTAAGCAAAATGAAAGAAGATGCCGGGAATCCATGTGGATTCTTTATAAAGGCGGCAGTACTAGTGCTGGTAGTATTAATGGCAGTAAAGAAAGTTAAATAGATAAAATTCTGTAAAAGTTTTCCCATGTATTTCACAATTTGGAGGGATAGGGATTGAGTTGCTGTGGTTTGAATATTTATATTCCCCCCAAATTCGTATGTTGAAATCCTAACCCCTAAGGTGATACTATCAGGAGGTAGGGCCTTTGAGAGGTGATTAGGTCATGATGGTTGACTGGGATTCGTGCCCTTATTAAAGAGGCCTAAGAGAGCTTGTTTGCGCTTTCCACCATGTGAGGACACAGCAAGAAAGTTCTAACTATGAACTAGGAAATGGGTACTCTCCAGACACTGAATAGGCCTTGATCTTGGATTTCCCAGTCTTTAGAATTGTGAGAAATAAATTTCTGTTGTTTATAAAGTGCCCTGTCTATTGTCTTTTGTTTTAGCAGCTCAAATAATCTAAGTTAAGACAGGGGCCACAAGCAGCCAAGAGAAAGACCAAATGTCCTTATCCTACATTACTGATAAAGAAAGCCTCTATTCAAACAAGAAGAATACAAGTAGGGTGACTATTGCTCCTTTTTCTCTCCTCTTTTTTAGAGGAAAGTTTAGAATTTTGGTTCTGTATTACAGGGGTAATCTAAAAATTTTGACATAGGTATTGGTGTTTATAATTGCTTTGTAGTCAAGTGTGATATTAATACTGATTTATACAATATCACTGTATAAAAATATGTGTTATAAAGTAGCATTATTGGGGAGGCCGAGGTGGGTGGATCACGAGGTCAGGAGATAGAGACCATCCTGGCTAACACGGTGAAACCCCATCTCTACTAAAAATACAAAAAATCAGCCGGGCGTGGTGGCGGGCGCCTGTAGTCCCAGCTGCTGGGGAGGCTGAGGTAGGAGAATGGCGTGAACCTGGGAGGAGGAGTTTGCAGTGAGCCAAGATCGTGCCACTGCACTCCAGCCCAGGCGACAGAGAGAGACTCCATCTCAAAAAAAAAAAAAAAAAAAATTAGCATTATTGAAGTGAAAATACACAATAGATGAAATGTAGAACTAGGCCTGGCTGAGCATGGTGGCTCATGCCTGTAATCCCAGCATTTTGGAAGGCTGAGGTGGGAGGATTACTTGATTCCAAGAGTTTCAGACTAGCCTGGGCAACATAGTGGGATTATATCTCTACAAAATATAAAAAAATTAGCCGAGCATGGTGTGTGCACCTGTAGTTCCAGCTACTCAGGAGGCTGAGGTGGGAGAATCGCTTGAGCCTGGGAGTTCAAGGCAGTGAACCATGATCATGCCACTGCCTCTTTCTCAAAAAAAAAAAAAAAAAAAAGAAAAAAGAAAGAAACAGAAAAAAGAAAAAAAAGAACTACGCTTTTGTTCTTATTGTTCTTTCATTTCTTATCAGTTTATCCAAGTACCCTTTCTTAAACATTATATTTCAGATCAGCCATCCTCCCTCCCTATCCTATCCTCATCAAATGAACAAATGTTAAACTTTATAGGGAATATGCCTTCTCAACAAGCCATGGGATATTGTAACAATTTAACATATATTAGGACTAAAAGAAAAATCTCAAAATATTCTCACAATTGAAATAAATCAAGTTAAATTTATTGGTCACAAGACAACAATTTATAACTCTCATAAATAATTTTTGACTTAGTAAAGAAATTAAAAGTACCAATATAGACTAGAAAATGTTGATAATGAATATGTTAATATCAAAGTATTTTGAGTGTGGTCAAAATTATGTTCAGGAGAGAATTTATCATTTTATTTTTTTAATCAAGTAAGAAAAAATATTAAAAATGAATTAAGAAATCAGTAGGTACAAAAAGGGATAAAAATATTGCAGCTAAGCTTAAGGGGAAAAATAAGAAAAAAGCAAAAATTAATGGTTAGGGAGAAAACAACAAAACTGATAAATAATACCAAGATTTGGTTATTTTAAACAAATAATTAAAATGTATATCTCAGTTAATCTCATTAGGAAAGGGATAGAGTGAAAGAAATACATACAAGTGTGGAAAAGTAACAATTTTAAAAGTATAACCTTAAGTTAATAAATTTGAAAATCTGATTGAAAGATATTACGGAGTAGAAAAATTTAAAACTGGCCATGTTGATTCAAGAAAAGACAAAAAACTCTGTTTCACTAACAAACATGCAATAATTTCAGAAAAGAACTAATCCTCAAAAACAAGTGTCAGACCTAGAGGGTTCATGGATGAATTCTTGCTAATTTTGTTATGAGTAATTCCTGTGCTATTTAAATTATTCTATGATGCAGATGAAAGCGGGTATGTTCCTAACTCTTTAGTAAAATTATGTAATGATGTTAAAGTCTGGCAAATATAACATTTTCTAAATAAATAAAAGTACCAATAATTCCTCATTTATGAAAGCTGATGCCAAAATCTCAAAACAATATGACATCAGCAAGATGGCAGAATAGGAGTTTCCCATGCCCATGTCCCAGCAGAAATACCAATTTGTACTACTATGTGTGAAAATACTTCCTAAGAAAAGAATCCAGGTGAGAGACCAAAGCACAGAAATACGAAAAGACACTTTGAAGAGAGTGAGAAAGACAATTTGACATTATCCACATCACCTGTCCTTCAAGGCCCAGCAACACAGTGCAGAGAGAGATACCATCCATGTGTGGTAAGGAGAGTAACGTGGGTATCTGACTTTTCCATGGACCCCATGGATCCAAGCTCCAGGTCTGCTCCTGTGGACTCAGGTTCCAGGCCCACCCCAGTGAGCCCTGGTACAAGGCTGGCACCTGTGGTGCCAAGCCAGCCTGCCTGCTGACCTAGGCATCACGCCAGCCTGCCAAAGGACTCTAGTGGCAGGCCCACCCCAAATCTCTGGATGGGCTAACTGGTGAAGAACTTTTCCTGCTGAAGCTAATCTGAAGAGGTACTTACTTTTTCAAATGTGCAGACATCCATGCCAGGCCACAAGAATCGTGAACAATCAGAGAAACATGATACTACCAAAGGAAGAAAATAAAGTATGGAGATCTATGAATTTCTTGACAAAGAATTAAAAAGTAACAATCTTTTAAAAGCTCAGTAAGCTACAAGAGTACAGAGATAAACAAGCGAGATCAGGAAAACACTATGCGAACAAATTGAGAAGTTCAACGAACAGACAGAAACCTATGTTAGTCTCTTTTATCTTAATTTTAAGACCATTCCACTTTAATCCCACCTTTTTTCTTTCAAGCCCTTCAAGTCAAATATTGTCATCATCCCTCAGCCCACAACAACCTGGTTTCTATCCCTCTTCTCTCAGAGTTTAGTCAAGGTAATTACAAAGGTCATTAAGGTTCCTCAAGGTTCAGTTGTAGACTATCCTCGGCTTAGTCTATAGTCTATATTTAGTCTTATTGAACACAGAAGGGTACTCAAGAGTATGCATTTACTTGACCTTCAATATAGGTTTTTAACAGGGGAGAGAAACAATGCACTTCAAAATTATTATTTCCAGCCAAAATCAATCTCTTAAATTTCAAACATGTACTTTTCAGCTGCCTCACAGTCTCTGTTCAGGAATCGGGACACAGTTTAGCTAATTCCTCTGGCTCAGGGTCTCTCATAAGGCTGCAATCAAGTTGTCTACCAGTGCTGCATGCATCTCTAGGCTCAACTGGGGAAGGATCCATTTCCAAGCTCACTCGCATTGTTGTTGGCAAGATTCAGTTCCCCTGGGTTGTTGGACTAAGGATCTCAGTTCCCTACTAGATTTTGAACAAATGTTTCCCTCAGTTCCTTGCCTCATTGGGCCCTGCAGAGGGCAACTCAACACGGCAGCTGGGTTTCACCAGAGTAAGCAAGCAAAACAGCGAGTAAGGATGAATAAAATGAAGTCACCATTTCTTTGCAACCTAATCCCTGATGTGACATTCGTCATTTTCACCTATTCCATTCCTTAAAAGCAAGTCACTAAGTTCAGCCCACATCCAAGGGAGGAAGGTTATACAAGGGCATGACCACCACAAGGTGGGGATCACTGGAGGCCATTTTAAAGTCTGTCTGCTACAGTTTCCATAAGCATCTCAACCTCAGCAAGTCCAAAACAGTTATCTTCCCCCAAAACTTAGTGCTTACATTCTCTAAGTAAATGGCAGTACCATTTACTTAGCAGGCACATCCAGAAACAGGGACACCAACTTTTATTCCTCCTTCTTCTATACCTCTGTCAACACCATCCATATAACCATCAAATTGTAACAAGTATACTGCTTAATGTTTTTCTGGAATCCACCTTATTTTTACTTTCCCCCCAAGTCTAGTAAAAGCTAGTTATCATCTTTCATCTAGACTATTTCCACAGAATACTAACTGGTCTCCCTGTTTCTAGTCTTGATTTCATCCAATTCACTGACCATAGGTAGCCTGAGAAATATTTGGAAAATAAAATGAAGACCAAAAAAGAAGAAGAAGAAAATAAAGTCTGAATGTGGCATTCCTTTACTTAAAGCTTATAAAGGGACCATCTGTCACTAAGCAAATCAACACAGCACAGAGCTAGACATGAGACAAAAGGATCTAGGGACTTTAATATGTACTCTTTGCATATTGGCTTTTCACTTTCCTAATGTGGAAAGGCTTTCTCTGTACAGTAAAAACATGGCCACCAGGAACCTTGGACCCACATCCCAACAGTTCTCCCAGAGAATAAAAGCTACCTCTGTCTCTAGTCAGAAGAGTTGCTAAGGGTGAACTTATCATTGGCTAGATTTGAGTGACATGCTCATCACTGTGGCCAGGAAGATAGAAATTATGAATGATTCTACTTAGGTCATGTGAGTATCTCTGTTGTTGGACAAATGTAGTCTGTTAATAGAATGACAGAAGAGCAATAATCTGGAGACTGACAGTAGCCACATCAAAACACTTCAAGGTCTCTCATTCAGTATATCCTCACTTACATGGTTTAATGGCATTCCATGATCTGGCACCAGTTTCTAGCTTCATCTATTTCTATTTTTCCATTGCTTCAACAATTCTGAATGCCTTTCAGTTGACAGAACATAGCTGTCCTTTTCTACTTGCCTTCCCACAAGCTATTTCCTTTGTCAAAAATACTCTTCACTCTTTCCCCTTCCACTTCTTCACTTGACAGCCCCTCATCTTTCAGATGTCCACTTAAGTATTATTTCTTCAGAGGGACCTCCCCAACACCTGGGGTTCCTATAGTGCCTCATACTCTAATACTCATTCGGGTTTTCTTAGGACTATTTATGTAATTATCTAACTTTCCTGATAGATAGTAGGATCTCTAAGGACAGGGATCGAATCTATTTTGTATGTGATGCTATCTATCTTGTATGTGACCTAGCATCATGTTTAGCATATGTAAGTATTCAACAAAAATGTCTTGAAATAATAAATGAATGTGTGAGAAGCACCACAGACAAAATTTAAAAAAAAGAGAAAACAAAGAATAGTAAATAATAACTACAATTTGTTAAGTACTTTCTGTGAACTAGATTCTGTTTAAGATGCTTCACATGCATTATTACCTCATTCAACTTTCACATCAACTCTCTGAAGCAAGTGCAATTTTTTTTTGAGACAGATTCTCACTCTGTCACTCAGGCTGGAGTACACTGGTGCAATCTCAGCTCATGCAACCTCTGCTTCCTCGGTTCAAGCAATTCTCCTGCCTCAGTCTCCCAAGTAGCTGGGAATACAGGCACACACCACCATGCTCAGCTAATTTTTTGTATTTTTAGTAGAGATGGGGCATCACCATGTTGGCCAGGCTGGTCTCAAACTCCTGACCTCCAGTGATCCACTCACCTCAGCCTCCCAAAGTGCTAGCATTACAGGCATCAGCCACCACGCCCAGCCACAAGTGCTATTTTGATGCCTCTTTTACTATTACAGAAACTGAAGCTTAGTGAAGTTAATTGCCTTAAGTGATACATATCTGATTTCTACATTCATGATAATGGAAGCTAATTAATATACAAACATTTATTGAACAAATTTCATGCTACAATGCAAGGAGCAGGGGCTTTAGAACTAGAAAAAAATAATTATAAATATGGGTTCCATCACTCTCCAGCTGGGTACTTTCAGCAAGCTATAAATGCTTCTGAATCACAGTTTCACACATAATAAAAGGGGATTAAACACTGTCCCTAATGTTAGATAATATACACAAAATGCCTGGTTAAAGTATTTCTTAAATGTTAGTTACTGCCTTCCTAGCCCCTCTACTGTATATTGTGCAGTAGAAATAGAAAAATGAATTATACCATCTAGATCCTCAGAGATCTTACTATCCAGTTGGTGTGAGATTATTAAATATACCTGAAATTAAAGAAAATATCAGGTCAAATAGTAAATACTGTACAATATTCTGTGGTACAGATTATAAATTCAGAAAAGACAAAGATCCAAGATGACTGGAGTGGATCAGAGAAGGCTTCATTATAGAGGACAAGTGTGCAGAGATTGTTAAAGGATAAATAAGATGCAGAGCAGCAGAAAGAAAGGTGTTTTCCCCTTTCCTCTCTCCCCTTTCTGTAGGCAGAAACACATATTAGTGAAACCAAGAAGCTGCCTCCTAAATTAAGAGGGTGGATAGGATTATGGAAGACTTTGATGGCTACATTGTGGAGCTGAGATTTGATAAAGTAGGAAATACAGAGCTAATAACAGTTTGGGGTCACAGAAAGGACAAAATGAGGAATGATAATAAATCTTATCGTTTTCATGGGAATATTGTGAAGGATTCATTTCTTTTCCCTAAGAAGAAAGGTATTACTTCTCCAAAATGTTATTTAAACAAATTTGCATTTACAGAAAAGGGAACTGAAGCAAAAAGAAAACAAGCCTCTTGTCTCCTTTCATGCTATAAGATAATCATCAACAAGGAAGTAGAACACAAAGCCTTTAATTGTGGCCCATATAATTTTTATATTACTAAATAGTATCACATCTACATACTGGTCAAAACTGGTCAACCTTGGCTTATTTGTAACTCATAATATCAATTTTCACTTCTAGACAGAATATTTTGTGACATATTTTAATAATCAAGTGCCATTAAAAAACTTTACCCTATGTAAAAGGTCACAGCACCCTCAAGGAAACACAATGAATAACTCCATGCAAACATGCAAATTATAATTTCAGAATTCTGAGACAAAAGTGTCTCATTCTTCCAATGTATCTTTAAAAATGCCCACTATAGGTATTTTTATATCCTTACCCTTTTACCGCTTATTACAAAGGAACCATCAATCAGTTCTACAGCACTCTTAAAACATGTTAAATGAGCCAATGTGGTTTCTTATTACACCCTAGTCTTCTCCTATTACTCCCTTTATTTTAGGCTCTAAAACTTGGCCATTAGTTTCTAACCATATGCTACATGCTATGCTGGGGATTATATAACTTTTTGTTTTTATCAAAATGGTACCCTTTTGGTTTAAGCTACATCAGGCTTTCCTTAAATTTATAATTCTAAAAAAATTACTTGCAAAACAGAAGCAAAACTAGTGGGCCCAATTAAATAGAAAAATACTTTTAAAACGATTCTTCTTCTAGTGTTTTTTTTTTACCACTTACATCTGTTAGATTTATAATGAAAGTGAATTATTTCCTTCTTTAACAAAGAAAGTCAGAAAATATAGACACTGCTAGACTTAGAAACGTACTGTGTATTCTCATAGCTACTGTCTCAATTTCCAAAGTACACAACAAACATGCTCATGAAATTGAGAGAATAAAAATATCCGATCCTTTGAATTCATAGGCTAGGCCTTAGAAGATTTGGGGTAATAGATCTTGTGTCACTAGGGCACTTTTGTCCTCTTTAATTTTTATAAATCACTAAAATTATTGAACGTAGTTAAAACTTGGCAGCAGTATTACTCCTACCCTGAGTATTTTTTAAGTTTTTCAGTAATGTGGATACATAAATCTAAGGTAGGGTGTAATCTCTCAAGGAACTTCCAGCATTATTTTTTAAGTGGCCAAAAAAGTGGAAGTTCTTGGACTTTTGAGCCTCTACAAGGCTGGGAAATATTGGGACAATTTTGGGATTTTTTTTTTTTTTCCCGAGACGGAGTTTCGCTTTTGTTGCCCAGGCTGGAGTGCAATGGCACGATCTCGGCTCACCGCAACCTCTGCCTCCCAGGTTCAAGCGATTCTCCCGCCTCAGCCTCCCGAGTAGCTGGGATTACAGGCATGCGCCACCACGCCTGGCTAATTTTGTATTTTTAGTAGAGACGGAGTTTCTCCATGTTGGTCAGGCTGGTCTCAAACTCCCGACCTCAGGTGATCCGCCCTCCTGGGCCTTCCAAAGTGCTGGGATTACAGGTGTGAGCCACTGCGCCCAGCAATTTTGGGATATTTTTAACGCGTGTGTTTGAACTGTGTTTTTAATCATTTCTTCATCAACAAAAGTTTAATTTTATATTGATTTAGTCCGTATTTGGGGAGCAGGTGTGGCCAACTTTTATTTTTTATTGTAACTGTTATTAAAAAACAGTTCCCAACATGAAGCAACTGTTAACTTTTCCAGGGGTCTCTGAACTACCAAGGAACTGGACCACGAGCGTTCAATAGGTAGGCTGTTACAGATTAGAAGCTTTCCCTATTGTCAATCACATCATTAACGTCCCTACACACACACACACACACACAGAGACACACACACACACACACACACACCCACACACACACCCTAGTTTTGCGTCTGTAGCTACCATGAAACAGAGGCAGTTGAACAGCAGAGATAGGGGAAATCTACTAACTTTTACTCTGCCCACTTCCGGCCCAAATCTAGAAGTCTGTCTCCCTAAATAAAAAGAACAAAGTAATTTTCACAAGTGTGGGAATCTCCTCTCTTGAGCTCCTAGGATGGAAAGGTGGGCTGGGGCAGCAGGGTAACGATGGCCTGACAGGTCAGAGCGGGGAATAGTCCGGTAATAGTTGCTTCCTCACCGCGGTGGATCCTTTCTTCACCGCTTCCTGGGCATATTCAACTTGAAAAAGGTGTCCGTCTGGGGAGAAGACAGTGATCGCCCTGTCATATCGAGACGCCATCGCACAGGACTACAAGGGCTTGCCACCGAGCTTCCCGCTGCTGCAGCTGAGGCAAGCGGGGAGCCGCCGCCAACACAGCGTGCTACCGCCCGGAAGCGCTTCCACACGCGCCTCAAGCTGCCTCCCGGAAGTCCCCGCGCCCGCGCTTCGGCTGCTTCACGGAAGTCCTTGCTCCTTTGGCTGCCTGCGGATGTCCTCGCGCTTGCCAGCCTTTGTCACCCAAGCAGTGCCTGTGAGTTGACGGCATTCTTCCCTTACCCTTCATGTCTGACGCATAGCGCATATCTCCATTTCCCCACTACCGTGTTGCCCCAGGGATGGTGTCACGGCACTCGAGTTATAAAAATAATATCAAAGATTAGGGCTTAAAAATGAGGTCTTCAAATATCAGATATTTTTGTTATCGCATACATGTTGGAGAAACTGTGGTAAGTTAAATATCAGTCCCTTCCCTTTGGTTTCAAATTCTAAATTTCCTACTTTTTCTTTCTCTCTCTCAGGTTAACTCTTGTTATTTGAACCGAAGGAAAGAAAGCAAACTTCAAAATATTGTTGCTTCTGATATTTTCTGCCTTGTGAGCAAAATAGAGCAGATGAGCAAATGGTCCGTTAAATAAAGCAAATAGTCCATCAAACTAAGCTAATGATGAGAATTAAGATAATGTTCTTTTTTTTGTTTTGTTTTGTTTTTTGTTTTTTGAGACGGAGTCTCGCTCTGTCGCCCAGGCTGGAGTGCAGTGGTGCAATCTCGGCTCACTGCAAGCTCCACCTCCCGGGTTCACGCCATTCTCCTGCCTCAGCCTCCGGAGCAGCTGGGACTACAGGCGCCCGCCACCACGCCCGGCTAATTTTTTATATTTTTAGTAGAGACTGGGTTTCACCGTGTTAGCCAGGATGGTCTTGATCTCCTGACCTCGTGATCCGCCTGCCTCGGCCTCCCAAAGTGCTGGGATTACAGGCGTGAGCCACCGCGCCCGGCCCAGATAATATTCTTTTAATTGGAGAAATTTTGTAAAAGCCCAAAGTATGAGACTTAAAAGATGTCTGGAAATTTAGCTATAGCAGAAACTCTTTACAACTTGCTACATTACTAACTATGAAACAACTCTGTCGCTTTCTCCTTATCAATAAAATGGGAATATTAAAAAATCTGCAGCAGAGTATTCTGAGCTTAATATGTGTTTATGGGCATAATTACATAAAATGGTGCCTGGTGGGCAGTAATAGCCAGGTAAGTTTAGCTATTATTGCTTTCCATGTGTTGTTTAATATATGCAGTTTTCCACTGGGGAGGATCTTAAAGTTGGTGAAATCAACTTTAACCAAAAAAAAGAAAAAAAGAATAATTTCCTCAAAAGAGGAAAAATTTGATTCCCTGAATTCCAAATACTTAAATCAGAATTTTAATTGACTTAAACAATTTATTTAATTATTAATACTTTTTTTTTTAACGTAGGGACTTGGTTTCCCTATGTTGCCCAGGCTGGTCTCAAACTCCTGGTCTCAAGCAATCCTCCTGCCTTGGCATCCGAAAGTACTGCGATTACAGGTGTGAGCCACCACACCTGGCCTTTAGTTGACTCTTGAAGCAGTTTGTACTTATTGCCCCTCCATTGCTTTTCTTCAGTATTACAGTCTTGACAAGTTTGGTTTGACTGCAAAAAACCAGTAATTCCTAATGAAAACAATTCACTCTAACTGGTTACTTTACATTATTATGATAAACCAACATTTGTCCAAAGTGGTTTCTTGAGAAGTGTTTTGGTGTACTCGTTAAATTATGTTTCCTTTTTATTTTGAAATAGTTATAGATTGACAGGAAGTTTCAAATACGGTAAGAAGAGGTCTCCTATATCCTTCACCCCATTTCCTCCAATGGTAATATTTTATGTACGTATAATATGGTAACAAAACCAGGAAACTGACATTGGTGTAATGCACAGAGTTTTTTCAGATTTTGCCAGTTTTATATACACACCTGTGTGTATGTGGCGGGGAGGCCTATGCAATTTATCATGTATAGATTGGTATAATGACTATCATAATCAAGATACAGAGCTGTTTCACAACCACAAAGATCTGTGGCGTTGACTTGCAAGACATACCCATCTCTCTCTCCCTCTACCATCCCTGGCAACTACTAATCTGTTGTCCATCTCTATAATTTTGCCATTTCAAAAATTTTACATAAATGGAATCATACCTGATGTAAGTTTTTAGTGACTTTTTATTTTCTAAATAATTATAGACTCACAGAAATTTGACAGGACAGTACAGAATGGCCCCTCATACCCTACACTTAGTTTCTGCAATTTGTTACATCTGATACAGTAAAAAACCAGGAAACTGACTTTGGTATAGAGCATGTTTATACCATTAGAAGGCGTTTTGTAAATGTCACACTGTATGATAGTATACACTTCAGAAATATGATAGCGTTAAAATGTTGACAAAGTTTAATTAACACATTCAGATTTAACATCCTCACTAAAATATAACAACAGCTGTGTACCTTTGGGTAGGTATATTTCACTTCACTAAAACTCAGTTTTCTGACCTGCAAAATGGTGATAATACTTATCTTCACAAGATTGTAGTGAAGAACAAATGAAATAGTCCATTAATGCACCCATGGCTGTGCCTGACACAGAGTAACGACTTAAAAAAATGTTAACTATTGTTATTTATCATTAAGTTCATGAAAAAGTAAAGATTACTCTGTAAGAGAGAAATTAGGAAAAGTAAAAATGTAGCATGAACTCATTTATACTTTTAAAAATGTGTATTTTTAAAAATATGTGTATCCAAATGTATAAAGAGTGAAAGTACTTACCCCAAATTTATAAAAGTGCATTTCTTTGCAGGAGGCCAGGAATTAGAAAATGGGACGACATGGTAGGGACAGAGAAGTTACCATTTTAAACTTTGTATCTGTATTATTTTAATTTTTTTTTACCACAAGCATTGTTTATTTTTATAGTTAACAAAAACCATAAGAAACAGTTTAATGCCTAGAAGCTGCAAGCGATTGCAGTTTTGATAGTTTGGACCAAATCTCCCATTGAAAACAACTAGAAATACTTGTCTAAGATATATTTTTTAAATGTATATGCTGACTGTAAAGAACTAACAAGGAATGAGGGTTTGTGGTGCCAAGATAAAGAAAAGTAGGAAAACCCGGAAGGTTAAGTGAGGAGTAAAGCAGACCTTTCATAGACCTTTGGAATTCAAAGCCTATTATGGTATAGGGGTGATGGTAAATGTCTAAGTTTTTGTTTAGAACCCAAAGAGCCACAGCCCAGAAGTAGGATTGAACCAAAAATAGATCTATTCTACACTTGGCTGTGGTCTCTGCACAGATCAGCCTCTACTCACTTATGCACCTTGCTCTGCTTCTTCTCTGACCACGTGTGACAAACCCAGTATGGCTGAGATTGATAAATTCAGTAAGTAAAAATTGAAGAGAACAAAAACAAGACTAAAATCCACTGCCTTCCAAAGAAATGATTATACAGGAGAGACAATTATGCAAATAGTAATGAGGACTGTGCTGCCAATATACGCTACATCCCACAAGCATTGCCTTCTTATTTTACTCCTTTTAGCTGTTTTATTTTATAAGATGCAGAGAAGTGGGATTGAGTTTAAATGACTGTGCTACTACTCTTCACATCAAAGAATCAAGAACTATTGAAAACAAAGTCTATACCTGCCTCTCCTATCTGCCTGTCTGACTGGCAGGGAGCAAAATGAACTTCCTTCAGTATTGGTGAAGGAAGAAGCAGGGTGGGATGATGTTGAAATCTAGAGTAAAAACTGTCCAAGGTGTCCTGTAATGCTGAAAAATGCAGTTTAATCAGAGTGCCTTTAAAAAATGATTTTAGTTATTGGTATACACAATTTCTTAAATAAAATTTAGCCTCTTCGAAAAAAAAAATAGACCTATTCTCATGGGGACTAATAATACCCAGTTTTAAATAATCTCAATCCATAATTGGAATAAAGCCGTAGTTTTCAAACTGTGGCCCACACATTTTTGGAGGTACTCAAAAACCTTTCAAGGGATTGACAATGACAAAACTATAGTAAAAATATTAAGACGGTACTTGCCCTTTTCACTGTGCGGATATTTGCATTGACAGTGCAAAAGCAATGATGGGTAAAGCTACTGAAACCTTAATATAACTCAAGGCAGTAGCATTAAACTTATTCTATGGGTTCAGTATTCCTTATCCAAAATGCTTGGGACCAGAAATGTTTCAGATTTTGGATTTTTTACATATTTTGGAATAATTGTATATACATAATGAAATATATTGGGAATAAGACCCAAGTTTAAACACAAAATTCATTTTTTATTATGCTTTATAAACATAGCTTGAAGGTAATTTTATAAAATATTTTAAAATAATTTTGTGCATAAAACAAATGTTGTGTATATTGAGCCATAAGAAAGCAAAGATGTCATTATTTCAGACTGGACAATCTGGTTGTTTGACACCCCCAGCATTCCTGACTGAATTTATATGCTACTGATGAGCAATCATTTTCTTACACGTATTCACATAAAAGTAATTAACAATAAACAATATGACATACCATTAATACAGTGAAAAAATAATGCTTTCAGGGCAATGAATCAGCACAGTATCATTACCAGAATGCCCATTAGTTGTCAAACAACAGCAACAACAAACAACAACAGGCTTTCAATCTCCACCTGCTATGCTCTGATTTGACTGAAAGGTTACAGTGCACTATAATTTTTTTTTTTTAAGTGAGAAGAAACGTCAGAAGCAGTTCAGGGACCAGGAAGTGGGTCCTCTAGGAATAAGGAGGCATTCTGCTGGATGCTTTTTAAAAAGGTTTCCTCCAGAGTCATCTGCCTCATTAATAACTGTTTTTGTGTTAGAAGTCTCTCTTTGATTTTATAAACGGACATGACTTCTTGTTCTGTTATGAATGCATCTGCTTTAGTTCTTCAATAAGCCCATTACACATTTTCACCATGTTGTCTACAGGCACTTTTTCTTTAGTGTTAACGACATCACCTTCTTCGTCACTGTTATCACAGTCACCTTGATTCAGAACCATTTAGCATTTATCATTAGCCAATGAATGAATATCTGGAGCCTCGTTATCAATGTTAAAAACTTCTTTGATATCCACTTCTTCCAGCTAAGTGACTGTATTAGGCTGTTCTTGCATTGCTATAAAGAAATACCCGAGCAGGATAATTTATAAAGAAAAGAGGTTTAATTGGCCTAGGTTCTGTGTAGGAAACTGTATTAGGATTCTCTAGAGGGACAGAACTAATACATATATATTATATATATATATATATATATATATATATATATATATATATATATATAAAACATATATATGTATATGTGTATATATATGTATATATGAGTTTATTAAGTATTAACTCACATGATCACAAGGTCCCACAATAGGCCATCTGCAGGCTGACGAGCAAGGAGAGCCAGTATGAGTTCCAGAACTGAAGAACTTGAAGTCTGATGTTCAAGAACAGGAGGCATCCAGCATGGGAGAAAGATGTAGGCTGGGAGGCTAGGCCAGTTCCTCTTTTCACATTTTTCTGCCTGCTTAGCTTATATTCTAGCCACGCTGGCAGGTGATTAGATTGTACCCATCCAGATTAAGGGTGGGTCTGCCTTTCCCAACCCACTGACTCAAATGTTAACCTCCTTTGGCAACACCCTCACAGACACACCCAGGATCAATACTTTGTATCCTTCAATCCAATTAAGTTGACACTCAGTATTAACCATCACAGAAGCATAACAGCTTCTGCTTCTGGGGAGGCCTGAGGAAGCTTCCAATCATGGTGACAGGCAGAGGAGGAGCAGGCGTCTCACATAAGAAGAGCAGGGGCAAGAGAGAGTGAGGAGGGAGGTGCCACACACTTTTAAATGACTAGATCTCGTGAGAACTCGCTGTCATGAGAGCAGCACCTAGGGGATGGTGCTAAACTATTCATGAAGGAGCCACCCTCATGATTCAGTCGCCTCCCACCAGGCCCCACCTCCAAATTACGATTTGACATGAGATTTGGCTGGGACACAGATCCAAACCATACCAGTGATGGACTCTGAAGTTGTATTTTTGCATATCTAAGGAGGGCAGATGTCATTTTTTTCCTCACTTGACATATGAAATCCTTCAAAGTCACTATTTTGTTCATCATCATGACTGAACATAGCCACAGGCCACAGGTTGTGCCAGGCATGCACAACTGTGTCTTCAGTTACTGTTCCTAGCATCGGCAACAGCGTGTATGGCATCCTTTATGCTAAACTCCTTTGAAAACCTTCCTAACCCATGACTCTGTTCACTGCTGCTGGCATGCTGCTCAAGTAAGTGTTTTTAAAATATGTATATTTCACTGGTCTAAGGATACCCTGGTCAAATGGCTGAATTAATGAAGTCACATTTGCAGGAAAATACATAGCATAAATACTATTATTATTACTATGTTTTTTGAGACAGAGTCTCTGTTGTCCAGGCTGGAGTGAAGTGGCGCAATTTCAGCTCACTGCAACCTCCACCTCCCGGGTTCAAGTGATTCTCCTGCTGCCTCAGCCTCTCAGATAGCTGTGATTACAGGCATGCACCACTATGCCGGGCTAATTTTTGTATTTTTAGTAGAGACGAGGTTTCGCCATATTGGCCAGGCTGGTCTTGATCTCCTGACCTCAGGCGATCTACCTGCCTTGGCCTCTCAAACTGCTGGGATTACAGGTGTGAGCCACTGCGCCTGGCTATACATATTTTTTAAGAGAATTTCAACTGGAGGATGAGCAGAACTGTTGTCAAAGAGTAAAAAAACTTTCAGTTGTCATTCAGTGTAGTTTGCCTGCAGTGAGCATGAGCTGCTGGTACAAAATGTTTGTAAAACCAATCTGAAGAGATGTCTCTGGTGATCCATGACTTTTTCTTAGCATAATAATGGACTGGTAAGAGTTCACTCCTTGAAAACAGCAAGAATGCAAGTTTTTGTCTATCACGTCAAGTTTATATTTATATATGTCTGCTACATTAGCACATCCCAACACAGTTATTCGTCCTTGACATCCTTAATTCTTTTAGGGGCTGTTTCATCAGCTATAGTCAGGTTCTTTCTGGTGCAGTAATGCCAAAACAATGATGTTTTATCAGCATTATAGACTTGTTCTGGGATAAGATTTTCATCAGCAGTAACTCTGGGATAAGATTTTTATCAGCAATGACTTTGGCAAAGTTGTGAATGATTTTTTCCACTGCTTTGTGGTCATCAGATACTTTATCACCACAGAGCTTTAAAATTTTAATGCCATGTTGTTTCTTAAATTTCTGCAACCAGCTTGTTGAGTATTCACAGTCCTCCTCAGTTTTCAGTTCATCATGATAGATCTTTGCTTGTTTCCTGATCAGTATACCATTAAGAGGCATGTGTTTACTGCCACACCAGTGGATCCACTCTTTCAATACATAATTGTGATCCTCATTTTTAGCTTTATGTAGCGTTTTTCTATTTTTGTTTAACTTCTGTTAATCATTTTCAGCATAAAACCTCAACAGTTTATTTTTCTGTTTCTTCAGGTTATAGATAGTGGTCATTCCAACACCATACTCTTGTAATTCATTTAACACTTACACAGCTGTCCAGTTTTTCCAACGGTTTGACTTTTTATGCTATAGATAAACATAAATGCTTTCTTTTCTTTAATCACTGTTACCCATAGGGGTAGCTGTAGGCTTTTTTTTTTTTTTTGACATTTTCTGTAATATTTTTGTACCACAGAGGAGAGAATTAAGCAAAAAACAAAAACAAAAACCAGTGGGTAATACACATAGATCTTGGCCCATGTAGAGCACGGTGGGGTACCTGGTATTGGTGCATCTGGCCTGCATATGTGCAATTTTATTATTATTTGTGATCATGCTTGGGTGGGGAATCTGGGCGTGTGTGGAAAAAATATAGCTGAAGGGGGCTGAGAGGAATTTTTTCCATTGGAAACACTGAATAAACTGTATTGTGCACTGTGTTTTGATTGCAACTTGTCATATGAAGCCAGGTGTGGAATTTTCCGCTGTGGCATCACATCAGTACTCAAAATGTTTCAGATTTTGGAGCACTTCAGATTTTGTATTTTTGGATTAGGGTATTCCACCTTTAATACACATTATATTCTTTACCACTTTTTCATTTTCATGAAAAAAATCCAGTTTAATTCTAGAAGGTCATTGTATACATAGTAAATTATTATATTCGGTTTTGACTTTGAGTAACTATTTTTTTTGATATTCAGAATGACAAAATGAGAAGTACACATAAAGCACTTCTGCTGCTGCCTTCAAAGTAAGATGGTTAGCTTGAAGAAAAAGTAGTTGTGTGAATCTTTGCGTTGCTAGCTGAACCATCTCCCTTTCTCATGGAACACTATTTGTACTTTAAAGAATGATGGACAGGCTGTTCATGGTGGCTCACGCCTGTAATCCCAGCATCTTGGGAGGCCAGGGTGGAGGATTTCCTGAAGCCAGGAGTTTAAGGCCAGCTTGGGCAACAAAGTGAGACCTCATCTCTACATAAAATTTTTTAAAAATTAGGTATGCATCTGTAGTTGCAGCTACTTGGAAAGATTGCTTGATCCCAGGAGTTCAAGGCTGCAGTAAGCTATGATTGTGCCACTGCACTGTAGCCTGTCTGAGAGAGTGAAACCCTATCTCTAAAAAAAAATTAATAGTTTAAAAAATGAACAAATTTTGATTATTTAGAGTTAGATACTTATGCAGACATTTGAAAATGAACAAAGTGAGCTTGTCACTTAAAAAAAAAACAAAACAGGTCTTATCAGTTTCCTAGGATAAAATTCAAGTTTTTAGTAAGAAAGTTTTGAAGAGTTTTATTCATCACGATGAGGCTTGACAACTTCTGAATACTTACTTTACTTTAGAGATGAGATTGATACTGATATTTATAAATGTGATTTTCGATGTAGTACATTTAGAAGATATGCATAACTCTGTGAATCAGTATTTTCCAATAACCAAAGCATGATACACACTTATGCATCATAAGTTAAAGAGACATTCACATAGATAGAACAATGTATTTTAATTTTTTTTTTTTTTTTTGAGATAGAGTCTCACTCTATTGCCCAGGATGGAATGCAGTGGCGTGATCTCGGCTCGCTGCAACCTCTGCTTCCCAGGTTCAAGCAATTCTCCTGCCTCAGCCTCCCAAGTAGCTGGGATTACAGGCACATGCCACCACACCTGGCTAATTTTTGTATTATTTAGTAGAGATGGGGTTTCACTGTGTTGGACAGGCTGGTCTTGAACTCCTGACCTCAGGTAATCTGCCTGCCTTGGCCTCCCAAAGTGCTGGGATTAGAGGCGTGAGTCATCGCACCCAGCCAGAACAATGTATTTTAATGTAAAAAAGTACTAAAAGTTCATAGATATCCTTTCACATTACACATTTCTTTGTATTTCCAACTTTTATTTTAAGTTCAGGGGTATGTGTGCTGGATGTGCAGATTTGTTACCTAGGTAAATGTGTGCCATGGTGGTTTGCTGCACAGATCATCCCATCACCCACATATTAAGCCCAGCATCCACTAGCTGTTCTGATTTTCTCATGATCCTCTCCCTCCTCCCAACTCTCAACCTTCCAATAGGCCCCAGTGTATGTTGTTCCCCGCAATGTGTCCATGTGTTCTCATCATTTAGCTCCCACTTATAAGTGAGAACATGTGGTATTTGGTTTTCTGTTCCTGCATTAGTTTGCTAAGGATAATGGCCTCTGGCTCCATCCATGTCCCTGTAAAGGACATGATCTCATTCCTTTTTATGGCTGCATAGTATTCCATAGTGTATATATATCACATTTTCTTTATTCAATCTATTATTGTTGGGCATTAGGTTGATTCCATGCCTTTGCTATTGTGAATAGTGCTGCAATGAACATACACATGCTTGTGTCTTTATGATAGAATGATTTACATTTCTTTGGGCATATACCCAGTAATGGGATTGCTGGGTTGAATACTATTTCTGTCTCTAGATCTTTGAGGAATTGCCACACTGTCTTCCACAGTGGTTGAATTAATTTACATGTCCCAACAACAGTGTAAAAACATTCCTTTTTCTAGCTAGCAGTCTATTTTATTAATTTTTTCAAAAAACTAGCTCCTGGATTTCTTGATTTTTTGAAGGTTTTTTTGTGTCTGGATCTCCATCAGTTCAGCTCTTACCTTGATTTTTTTTTTTAATCTTCTGCTAGCTTTGGGGTTTGTTTGCTCTTGGTTATCTAGTTTTTTTAGTTGCAATGTTAGGTTATCAACTTGAGATCTTTTTAACTTTTTGATGTGGGCATTTAGTCCTATACATTTCCCTCTTAACACTGCTTTAGCTGCGTCCCAGAGATTCTGATACATTGTGTCTTTGTTCTTATTAGTTTCAAAGAACTTGATTTCTGCCTTAATTTCATTACTTACCCAAAAGTCATTCAGGAGCAGCTTGTTTAATTTCCATGTAGTTGTAAGGTTTTGAGTGAATTTCTTAATCTTGGGTTCTAATTTGATTCTGGTGTGGTCCAAGAGACTGTTTGTTATGATTTCGGTTCTTTTACATTTGCTGAGGAGTGTTTTATTTCCGATTATGTGATCAATTTTAGAGTAAGTGCCATATGCTGATGAGAAGAATGTATATTCTGTTGTTTTGGGTTAGAGAGTCCTCCAGATATCTATCAGGTCCATTTGATCCAGAGCTGAGATCAGGACCTGAATATCTTTGTAAATTTTCTGTCTTGTTGATCTGTCTAATATTGTCAGTGGGGTGTTAAAGTGTCCCACTATTATTGTGTGGGAGATAAAGTCTCTGAAGGTCTCTAAGAACTTGCTTTATGAATCTGGGTGCTGTTGTATTAGGTGCATATATATATTTAGGATAGTTAGGTCTTCTTGTTGAATTGAGCCATTTATCATTATGTAATGCCGTTGTTTATCTTGTTTGATCTCTAAAGTCTGTTTTGTGAGAAACTAGGATTGCAACCCCTGCTCTTTTTTTTTTTTCTTTTTTTTTCTTGTCATCATGATGCTAGCTGGTTATTTTGCAGACTTCTTCATGCGGTTGCCTCATGGTGTCACTGGTCTGTGTACTTCAGTATGTTTTTGTAGTGGCTGATAACAGGTTTTCCCTTCCATATTTAGTCCTTCGGGGCCTCTTGTAAGGCAGGTCTGGTGGTAATAAATTCCCTCAGCATTTGGTTGTCTGAAAAGGATCTTATTTCTCCTTTGCTTCTAAAGCTTAGTTCGGTCAGATATGAAATTCTGGGCTGGAGTTTTTTTTTGGAGACAGGGTCTCGCTGTGTTGCCCAGGCTAGAGTGCAGTGGCGCAATCTCAGCTCACTGCAACCTCCGCCTCCCAGGTTCAAGCAATTCTCCCACTTCAGCCTCCCGAGTAGCTGGGAGTACAGGCAGTGTGCCACCATGCCCGGCTAATTTTTGTATTTTTTGGTAGAGACAGGCTTTCACCATTTTGGCCAGATTGGTCTCAAACTCCTGGCCTCAAGTGATCTGCCCGCCTCAGCTTCCCAAAGTGCTGGGATTACAGATGTAAGCCACCTCACCTGGCCTGGAATTTCTTTTCTTTAAGAATGTTGAATATTTGCCCCCAATCCCTTCTGGCTTGTAGGATTTGTGCTAAGAGAGGTCCACTGTTAGTCTGATGGGCTTCCCTTTGTAGATGACTCAGCCTTTCTCTCTGGCTGCCCTTAACATTTTTTCTTTCATTTTGACCTTGGAGAATCTGACGATTGTGTACCTTGGGGATGATCTTCTCATGGAATATCTTACTGGGGTTCTCTGGATTTCCTGAATTTGAATTTTGGCCTGTCTAGCTAGGTTGGGGGAAGTTCTCCTGGATGATATCATAAAATAGGTTTTCCATATTGATTCCATTCTTCCCATCTCTTTCAGGTACCCCAGTCAGTTGTAGATTTGGTCTCTTTACAAGCCCATATTTCTTGGAGGTTTTGTTCATTGCTTTTTATTCTTTTTTCTCTATTCTTGTCTACCTGTCATTTCAGAAAGACAGTCTTCAAGCTCTGAGATTCTTTTCTCCACTTGGTCTATTCTGCTGTTAATGCTTGTAATTGCATTGTGAAGTTCTTGTAGTGTGTTTTTCAGCTCTATCAGGTCAGTTATGTTCCTCTCTATTCTGGCTATTTTGGCTGTCAGCTCTTGCATTGTTTTATCATGATTCTTGGCTTCCTTGCCTTCGGTTGCAACATGCTCCTTTAGCTCACTGAAGTTCATTTTTATCCACATTCTGAAGCCTGTTTCTGTCATTTCAGCCATCTCAGCCTCAGCCCAGTTCAGAACCCTTGCTGGGGAGGTGTTGTGGTCATTTGGATGAAAGAGGGCACTCTGGCTTTTTGAGTTTTAAGTGTGTTTTATGCTGATTCTTTCTCATCTTTGTGGGCTTATTGACTTTCAATATTTAAGGTTGTTGACTTTTGGATGGGATTCTTGTGTTGTTGTTGTTGTTTGTTTATTTTTCTTTTAATAGTCTAGCCCCTTTTCTGTAGGGCTGCTGCAATTTACTGGGGGTCTGCTCCAGACCCTAGTCACCTTGGTTTTTCCAGTACCTGGAGGTATCACCAGTGAAGGCTATGAAACCATTGAGGTAGCAGCCTACCCCTTCCCTCTGGAAGCTCCATTGTAGAGGGGATACTGACCTGTTGTCCGCCCAAATGCACCTGTAGGAGGTTGCTGGAGACCCCAGTTGGGAGATCTCACCCAGCCAGGAGGAACGAGATCTAGGATCTGTTTAAAGAAGCAGTCTGGCTGCATTTTGGTAGAACAGTTGTGCTGTGTTGGGGGATCCCTTCAGCCGCTGATCAGTTTGGGCTCTCTAAGAACTGCAGGCTGGATCAGCTGAGGTGTATAGCAGCAAAGGTAATGGCCCTCCTTGCCCTCCAGGCACTCCATCCCAGGGAGAAATTAAAACCTCTGTTCACTGTAGAACACTGGTGGGGGATAGCTGGAGGCCCCAGCTGGGAGGACCTGCCCAGTGAGGAAGAATGGATCAGGGTTTTACTTAAAGAACCAGTCTGGCCATGCACTGAAAAAACAGCTGTGCTGTGCTGGGGAACCACCTATGCCTCAGTTGACTTGGACCCTCCAAATCCTGCAGGCTGGAATAGCCAAGTTGCCCAAACAGCTAAGGTGGCAGCCTGCCCCGCCTCCCAGGTACTCCGTCCCAGGGAGAAATCAAAACTCTGTCCATAGAATATGGGCAAGGGAGGCTGGAGGCCCCAGCTATGAGATCTTACCCAATGGGGAGGAATGGATCGGGGTCCCACTTAAGGAAGCAGCCTGGCTATACTTTGGGAAAACAGTTGTGCTGTGCTTGGGAGTCCCTTCCTGTCTGGACCATTTGGATGCCCCAAAGTTGGCAGGCTGGAATGGCTGTGTGGTCCAATCAACAAAGGTGGTGGCCCACCTCTTCCCCCAGGCACTCCATCCTAGCGAGAGATCAGAGCACTGTCTATAGAATATGGGTGGGGGTGGCTGAAGGCCCTGGCTAGGAGATCCTGCCCCATGAGGAGGAATTGGATCGGGGTCCTGCTTAAATAAGCAGTCTGGCCATGTTTTGGTAAAGCAGCTGTGCTATGTTGGGGGATCCCTTTCTTGTCTGGACCATTTGGACTCTCCAAAGCCCATAGGCATGCTGGAACGGTTGAGTCTCCAACAGCAAAGATGGCAGTCCGTCCCCAACCCCCTACCTCCGCCCCCACCCAGTCCCGGCTCTGTTCTGTCTCAGGCAGGGGCTACCCTGTTGCCAGTGGCTGGCTGGAATTCCAAGCCAGTCAGTCATATGAAGTGCTGTGGAAGTGAGGGCCCCTGGATTCAGCCCTCTTCCTAGGGGTATATACCGACCTCCTACCTTGCCTGAGTTGCAGTCATTTTTGCTGGAGATCCCAGGGCTGGAATATGTAAAGCTCCTGGGTCTTTGTGAGTGCCTGAGCAGTTGCTTTGCTGAGGCTCTAGACAGCTTTGTGTGTTGGACCCCCAGGCCCTAGTGGAGTGGGTTTATGAGGGGGTCTCCTCATCCAAGGGTTGCAAAGATCCATGAAAGAAGTGTGGTTTCCTGGGTCACACATTCACTCACCGCTTCCCTTGGCTGAGGCCAGGGGTTCACTTGGCTCTGTGTAGCTCCTGGGTAGGCTGTCACCTTGCCCTGCTTTTCTCTGTTCTCTGTGGGTCGAGTTGTTTCCCTGATCAGTCCCAATGTGAGTACCTGGATGTTTCAGTTGAAGGTGCTGTATTTACTCACCCCTTTCATTCTTCTCTGACACAGCAGGAGCACTGCCATCTTGGACAAACAGCACCATTTTAAGTTCCCTTTGATTAAAAAACTGCCTAAATCCGGCCCCAAACACATCAGCCTAATGGCTAATGTCAGCATGACCATAAACCACAGAGACATCTCCGACCAAAAACATTCCAACCCCGAGATAAATTCCCTTCCACCCAGAAACATTCCAAGCCTGCGATAAGCTCTTCCTCCTTAAACCCTTAAATACACTTAGTCTGTAAGAGAGATGCTCCTGACCTAAATCAGCCGGAAGCCCCTCTCAGGTTTATTCTCCAAAAGAAATCTGTCTTTGTCTGTTGAGCCATTTTCATGTTTCTTTCTGCTTTCTCTGACCCTGGTACTCTCCATGAGTGCCAAGCACGGTAGCTGCTTCTAATTGACTATCTTGACCCCACTGAAACTAGGTTATACATTTTAACTTAAAGAAACTACCACTTTTTGAGTGTTGGTCTAGTATCAAGGAATATCCAGTGATTTGAAATCATTGAATGATTGATCTGAAGTTATCTAAAAAGGCTATTTAAATAATACTCCTCTCTTTCCTAATATATATCTTTGTGAGGCTAGATTTTTTCCCCATATTTCAACTAAAGTAACATTTTAGCCATTTGAATATAGAAGCAGATATGAGAATTCAGCTGTATTCTATTAAGCTAGACATTGAAGAGATTTGCAATGTCACTCTTTTCACTATTTTTTTGATTTGGAAAATATAGATTTTTTAATAGAAATATATTAAATATGCCAATATATAATGAGTTTATTTTTTCATTAATTAATAAGTAAGATATCAGGCTGTGCGTGGTGGCTCACGCCTGTAATCTCAGCACTTTGGGAGGCTGAGGCAGACATTCAGACTGAGGTCTGACTTGAGGTCAGGAGTTCAAGACCACCTGAGCAAGATGGTGAAACCCTGTCTCTACTAAAAATACAAAAATTAGCTGGGTGTGGTGACAGACGCCTGTAATCCCAGCTACTCAGAAAGCTGAGGCAGGAGAATCGCTTCAAAGTGGCATGCAAAGGTTGCAGTGAGCTGAGATCACGCCACTGCACCCCAGCCTGGGTGACAGAGCAAGACTCTGTCTCAAAATAAAAAAATAAATAAAGTATCTTTTAATTTCTATTTTGGTAATATGATAGAACCCATGAGGGAAAAAAAAAGCTACTTGAGGTCTTCAATAATTTTAAAGAGGCAAAGTGTTCTTGAGACCAAAAGCTTTAAAGCACTAGGATAAAGCATTGCTAGTGTCCCTGGATGACTAACTGCCTTCCAGAAGCAAAAGTAAATCCTCTGTACAGGAAAATAATATCATGCAGAGTCTCAAATAATTGTTGCAATTTTTCATATGCAATATGTTCTGCTCCATCAAAAATAGCCATGCACACAAAAGACGTGTTATCACCAAACAACAAGAGAAACAATAGACGATAGAAAGAGATGAATATAAAGTTCAGATAATGAATTTATCAGGTATATATTTGTAAAACAATTAAGATAATTATATTCAAGGGATTAAAGACAAGATAGAGATTTTCAGCAGGGACTAAAAGTGTCAATAAACAGTCCATTGGAAATTGTAGAAGTGAAAACTACATTAATGGAAATTGAGAGCTCAATGAATGGATTTTAAAATGGGTCAACCTAGTTGAAGAGAGAAGTGAAGAGCTAGATGATAGTTAAAAAAAAAACTTTATCAAAGCGGCCAGAGATAAAATGATAACACTGAAAAAAAAACCATATTGGATATGTTGAAAAATCTAATGTATGTATAGTTGGGGTACCAGAAGAATAGAGATTTTAAAATAGAGTAGAAACAACATTAAAAGATACTTGGTTTAGAATTTTTTCAAAACTGACAAAAGAATAAAGCAACAGATTCAGGAAAAACTGTTACCACCAAGCAGAATAAAATTCACACTTAGAAAAACCACAATAAATCTGCTGTAAACCAAAGACAATGAGAAAATCTTAACACTATCCAAAGGAAAAAAATAGACATATTTCCAAAAAAGGAGCCACAATAGGGCTGTCAGATGATATCCAGGTGGTTACAATGGAATTCTATCTTCAACTTGCTAAAATGAAATAAATGCAAACATGATATTCTGTATTTAATAATGTTCCAAATTACAAGGCAAAATTAAGGTATTTTTCAAAAGCAGAAACCAGTCACCGACAGACACTCAGTAAAGGAAACACAAAAGAATCTTCTTTAGACAGAAAAAAATGATCAAAGATGGAAGTTTGGAGATGCAAGAAGAAATGAAGAGCATTAAGGATAATGTACATGCACAAATTCAAATAAACATTAAATAAACTCATGGGTTTATAAGAGTATTAACATTTGTGACAAAATAATATGTAAATTTGGTAAGGGGGCAAATGGAGTTAAAATATTCTAACCTCCTTTCATTATTGCAGTAAGTAGTAAAACTTCTAATTTATATTCAACTCAAGTGGTCCAGAAGGCATGTTGTAATCTCTGGGAAAACCACTAAGAGAATCATATAAGAACGTTGGCTGGGCGTGGTGGCTCACGATTGTAATCCCAGCACTTTGGGAGGCCGAGGCAGGCGGGTCACTTGAGGTGAGGAGTTCAAGACCAGCCTGGCCAATATGGTCAAACCCTGTCCTTACTAAAAATACAAAAATTAGCAGGGCGCAGTGGTGTGCGCCTATAGTCCCGACTACTCAGGAGGCTGAGACAGGAGAATCACTTGAACCCAGGAGGCGGAGGTTGCAGTGAGCTGAGATCATGCCATTGCACTCCAGCCTGGGCATCTCAGCGAGACTCTGTCTCAAAAAAAAAAAAAAAAAAAAAGAAAAGAAAAAAAATGGGCCCAGTAGCTCACGCCTGTAATCCCAGCACTTAGGGAGGCTGAGGCGGGCAGATCACAAGGTCAGGAGTTCAATACCAGCCTGACCAACATGGTGAAACCCCTTCTCTACTAAAAATACAAAAAATTAGCCAGGCATGGTGGTGCACAATTGTAATCCCAGCTACTTAGGCTGAGGCAGGAGAATCACTTGAACCCGAGAGGCGAGGTTGCATGAACTGAGATTGCGCCACTGCATTCCAGCCTGGGTGACAGATCGAGACTCCATCTCAAAAAAAAAAAAAAAAAAGAATCGTATAGGAATGTATAATCATAAATAATAAAATAATCTAAAGAACACATGAGAAGAAAGATAAAGGAACAATAAGAGACTTGGATAATAGCCAATAGTATTATAGTGGATTTAAAGATGCTACATTAATATTTATATTCTCTATAATGGAATGAGTTTTTTTAAACTTATAAGTTCAGGGATACATGTGCAGGTTTGTTAAATAGGTAAACTCAAGTCATGGGGGGTTTTGTTGTAAGGTTATTTCATCACCCAGGTATTAAGCCTAGTACTCATTAGTTATTTTTCCAGATCTTCTCCCTCCTCCCACCCTTTACCCTCTGGTAGGCTCCAGTGTCATTCCCCTCTATGTGTGTATGTGTTCTCATCATTTAGCTTCCACTTATAAGCTTCCACTTATAAGTATTATAAATACATGTGGTATTTGGCTTTGTTGCTGCAAAGGGCATAATCTCATTCTTTTTTATGGCTCCATAGTATTTCATGGTGTATGTGTTTCACATTATCTTTCTTCTATCTGTCATTGTTGGGCATTTAGGTTGATTCCCTGTCATTTCTACTGTGACTTCTGCTGCTATGAATATATATGTGCACATGTCTTTATGATTTATATTCCTTTAGGTATATAGCCATTCATGGGATTGCTGGGTCTAATGGTAGCTCTGTTCTTAGCTCTTTGATGAATTGCCACATTACTTTCCACAATGGTTGAACTAATTTCTACTCCCACCAACAGTGTATAAGCTCTCCTTTTTCTCCACAGCCTTGCCAGCACCTGTTATTTTTGACATTTTCACCATAGTCATTCTCACTGGTGTGAGATGGGATCTTATTGTGGTTTTGGTTTCCATTTCTCTAATGATCAGCAATGTTGAACTTTTTTAAATTAAATTAAATTAATTAATTTATTTATCTATTTATTTTTGAGATGGAGTCTCGCTCTGCTGCCCAGACTGGAGTGCAGTGGCGGGATCTCGGCTCACTGCAAGCTCTGCCTCCCAGGTTCATGCCCTTCTCCTGCCTCAGCCTCCCAAGTAGCTGGGACTACAGGTGCCCACCACCACGCCCGGCTAATTTTTTGTATTTTTTTAGTAGAGAGGAGGATTCACCGTGTTAGCCAGGATGGTCTCGATCTCCTGACCTTATGATCTGCCTGCCTCGGCCTCCCAAAGTGCTGGGATTACAGGTGTGAGCCACTGCACCTGGCCAGCGGTGAGCTTTTTTATACACTTGTTGGCTGCGTGTATGTCTCCTTTTGAAAACTGTCTGTTCATGTCCTTTGCCCACTTTTTAATGGGGTTGTTTTTTTTCTTGTAAATTTAAGTTCCTCATAGATGCTGGATATTAGACTTTTGTCAGATGTGTTTATTGAACAGATATTTCTTTCCCCATTGTTTATTTTTGTCAGCTGTTGAAGACCAGATGGATGTTAGGTATGAGGCTTATTTCTGGGCTCTCTATTCTGTTTTATTGGTCCATGTGTCTGTTTTTGTACCAGTACTGTGCTATTTTGGTTACTGTAGCCCTGTGGTATAGGTTGAAGTTGGGTAGCATGATGCCTCCAGCTTTCAACAGTCAAGCTGAGAGCCAAATCAGGAATGCAATCCCATTCACAATTGCTATAAAAAGAATAAAATACCTAGGAATACCCCTAACCAAGTGTATTAGTCCATTTTCACATTGCTATAAAGAGCTACCTTGACTGGGTAGTTTATAATGAAAAGAGGTTTAATTGACTCACAGTTTTTCAGGCTATAGAGGAGGCAAGACTGGGTGAGGCCTTGGGAAACTTACAGTCACGACAGAAGGCAAAGGGGGAAGCACACACGTATTCATGTGACAGGAGAGAGAGAGAGAGAAGGGGGGGATGCCACACATTTTTAAACCATGAGATCTCATGAGAACTCACTCACTATCACAAGAACAGCAAGGGGGAAATCCGCCCCCATGATCCAGTCACCTCTGACCAAGTCCTTCCTCCAAAAGTGGGAATTACAAATCAATATGAGATTTAGTTGGGGATACAGAGCCAAACCATATCATTCCACCCCAGCCCCCCTTAAACCTCATGTCCTTCTCATGTTTCAGAACACAATCATGCCTTCCCAACAGTTCCTCAATGTCTTAACTCATTCCAGCATGAATTCAAAAGTCCAAGTCCAAAGTCTCATATGAGACAAGGCAAGTCCCTTCCACTTATGAGCCTGTAAAATCAAAAACAATTTAGTTACTTCCAAGATACAATGGGAGTACAGGCATTGGGTAAATGCTCCCATTTCAAATGGGAGAATTGGCCAATATAAAGGGGCTACAGTCTCCATGGAAGTCTGAAACCCAGCAGGGCAGTCATTAAATCTTAAAGCTCTGAAATAATCTCCTTTGACTCCATGTCTGACATGCAAGGCATGCTGATACAAGGGGTGGGCTCCCAAGGCCTTGGGCAGCTCCACAAGCCTAGGTGACAGAGCAAGACTCCGTCTCAAACAAAACAAAACAACATTAAAGAGTAAAGAAACTTTGAAAGTAAAATGATGAAAAAGATACATCATGCAAACACTAAACAAAGAAAGCTAGTATAACAAAGTAGACGTTGGATCAAGATGCATAGCAAGAGAAACTGAAGGACATTTTGTAATGATAAAAGGTTTAGTTTACTGGGATACCTAACAATTCCTAATTTGTACCTAGTTCCAATCCTTGTTGTAGGAGATTTTAACAAAGTGGTTTTTTTTGGTAATTGATAAAATAAGCAGACAAAAAATTAAAACCATATAGAATATTTAAACAACCCAACTAATAAACTTGGCATCTCTTTCACTTCTGTCTATCTCTCTGTCTCACACACATACCCCAAACAACTGTGGACTAAAAATACATTTTGAACAAATGTGGAACATTTACAAAAATTGGATATATGGTAGACCATGAGGCAAGTTTTGCAAATTGTAAAGCATTAAATGCATATAGAATTTTTGCATCCCTTCCCCTAGTGCAGTTAAGCCAGGAATCAGTTACCAGCACCATAACTAGAAATTGTTTCGTAACATTTATTTTTGAGACAGGGCCTTACTCTGCCACCCAGGCTGGAGTGCAGTGGTACAGTCAGATCTCACCATAGCCTCGAACTCTTGGGCATAAGTGATCCTCCCACCTCAGCCTCCCAAGTAGCTGGGACCACAGGCACATGCCACCATGCCCACTTAGTTGAAAAAAATGCTCATGGGCCCAAGCAATCCTCCTGTCTTGGCCTCCCAAAGTGATTATAGGCATGAGTCACCATGCCCAGCCCACAACATTTTCAAAGTGTATTTGAAAAATTTGTAATGTATTTTGAAATAACCAAGGGTCAAAGAAGAATTCACAATGGAAATTAGAAAATATTTTGAACTGGATCATAACAAAAATATAATGTATTAAAACTTGTGTGATGCAGCCAAAGCAATGATCAGGAAGAAGATGATTGCATTAAGTGCACACATTAGAAAAGAAGAAAAACTAAAAATCAATTACCTCAGTATCAATTTGAAGATGTTATATTAAACAATAAGATACTTGAGATTCAGGAAAATGTCAAAACCCATTTCAAGGAAGCTAAGAATCACAATAAAATGATGCAAGTGCTCATAGATGAAATAGTTATTATAAAAAAGAACCAAACTGATCTGATAGAGCTGAAAAACAGACTATAAAAATTGCATAATGTATTGTAAGTACTAACAGCAGAATAGACCAAGCTGAAAAAAGAATCTCCAAGCTCAAAGACTGGCTCTCTGAAATAATTCACTCAGTTAAAAATAAAGGAAAAAGAGTAAAAGAGAATGAACAAAACCTCCAAGAAATACATGTTTATGTAATGAGACCAATTCTATGACTGATTGGCATCCCTGAAAGAGATGAGGAGAAAGCAAACTTGCTTGCAGCTTGGAAAACATATATTAGGATTTCATTTATGAAAACTCCCCCAACCTTTCTAGAGAGGCCAGCATTCAAATCCAGGAAGTGAAGAGAACACCCGAGTTATTACACAAGAAGACCATTCCCAAGACACATGATCATCAGATTCTCCAAGACTGAAATACAAGAAAAAAATGTTAAAGGCAGCTAAAGAGAAGGAGCGAGTTACTTACAAAGGGAACCCCATCAGGCTAACAGTGGACCTTTCACCAGAAACACCACACCACAAGCCAGAAGAGATTAGTAGCCTATATTCAAAATTCTTAAAAAAAAAAAAACAACAACAATAATTTTGTATCCAGCCAAACTATGCTTCATAAGTGAAGGAGAAATAAGATCCTTTTCATTCAAGTAGATGCTGAGGGAACTTGTTACCACCAGACCTGCCTTACAAGAAGTCCTGAAAGGAGCACCAAATATTGAAACGAATGACCATTACCAGCCACTACAAAAATACACTGAAGTACACAGACCAGTGACACTATAATGCACAAACAAGTCTATATAATATTACCAGTTAACAACACAAGTGCCTTTTAATTGGGGCTTTTAGCCCATTTATATTCAAGATTAGTATTGATATGCATAGATTGAGCCTGCAGATTTGATCCTGTGGGCAGATTGCTTGAGCTTAGGAGTTCAAGACCAGTCTGGGCAACATGGTGAAACACCATCCCTACAAAAAAAATAGAAAAATTAAGCTGGGCATTGTGGCATGTGCCTGTGGTCCCAGCTATTTGGGGGGCTGAGGGAGGAGCCTGGGAAGTCGAGGCTGCAGTGAGCTGTGATCTTACCACTGCATTCCAGCCTGGGTGGCAGAGCAAGACCCTCTCTCAAAAACAGACAAACAAACAACAAAAAAGGAAGACCCAATGGTATACTCTCTGCAAGAGACCTGTCTCACACACAATGATATCCCATTGGCTCAAAATAAAGGGATGGAGAAAAACTACCAAGAAAATGGAAATCATAAAAAAAGCAGGAGTTGCAACCGTAGTTTCAGACAAAATAGACTTTAAACCAAACATATCAAAGAAGACTAAGAAAGACATTACATAATGGTAAAGCATTCAATTCAACAAGAAGACCTAACTATCCTAAATATATATGCACCCAACACAGGAGTGACCAGATTCATAAAGCAAGTTCTTGGAGACCTACAAAGAGACTTTGATTCCCACACAAAAATGTTGGGAGACGTCAACACCCAACTGACAGTATTAGATCATTGAGTCAGAAAATTAAGAAAGATATTGAGGACCTGAAGTGAACACTTGATGAAATTGACCTAATAGACAGCTATAGAACTCTCCACCCCAAAACAACAGAATATACATTCTTCTCATTGCCACATAGGACATATTCTAAAATTGGCCACACAATTGTACGTAAAATAATACTCAGCAAATTCAAAAAAACTGAAATCATCCCAACCACACTCTTGGACGACAGCACAATAAAAACAGAAATTAATACTAAGAAAATGACTCAAAACCATACAATTATATGGAAATTAAACAACCTCCTCCTGAGTGAGTTTTGACTGAACAATTAAGGCATAAATCAAGACATTCTTTGAAACTAATGAGAACAAAGATAAAGTATATCAGAATCTCTTGGACACAGCTAAGTCAGTGTTAAGAGAGAAGTTTATAGCACTAAATGCCCACATCAATCGGTTAGAAAGATCTCAAATTGGCAACCTAACATCACAACTAGAAGAACTAGAGAAGCAAGAGCAAACCAATGCCAAAGCTAGCAGAATATAAGAAATCACTAAAGTCAGAGCTGAACTGAAGCAAATTGATATATGAAAAACCACAGAAAAGATCAATGAATCCAGGAATTGGGTGTTTGAAAAAATTAGTAAGATCAATAGACTGCTGGGTAGACTGATGAAGAAAACAAGAGGGAAGATACAAATAAACACAATTAGAAATGATAAAGGGGACATTACCATTCATCCTACAGAAATACAAAAAGCATCAGACACTACTATGAACACCTCTAAACACACAAACTAGAAAACTTAGAAGAAATGGATAAATTCCTGGACACATACAATCTTCCAAGAATGGACCAGTAAAAAATTGAATCCCTGAACAGGTCAATAATAAGTTCCAAAATTGAATCAGTAATAAAAAGCCTATCAACAATAAAAAAAAAAAGCCCAAGATCAGAAGGATTCACAGCCAAATTCTACCTAATGTTTAATGAAGAGCTGGTGCCTTTACTACTGAAACTATTCCAAAAAATTGAGGAGGAAGGACTCCTCCCCAACTCACCGTATGAAGCCAGCATTATCCTAAATACTAAAACCTGGCAGAGACATGGCAAAACAAAACAAAACAAACTTCAGGCCAATATCCTTGATGAAAATTCATGCAAATATCCTTAACAGAATACTAGCAAACCAAATCCAACAACACATCAAAAAACTAATCCATCACAATGAATTAGGCTTAATCCCTGGGATGCAAGGTTGGTTCAACATATGCAAATTGATAAATTTGATGAACCACAGAAAAAGAATTAAAAACAGTCAAGGCATGGTGGCTCATGCCTGTAATCCCAGCACTTTGGGAGGCTGAGGCGGATGGATTACCTAAGGTCAGGAGTTCAAGACCAGCCTGGCCAACATGGTGAAATCCCATCTCTTCTAAAAATACAAAAAATTAGCTGGGTATGGTAGCAGACACCTGTAATCCCAGCTCTCAGAGGCTGAGGCAGGAGAATTGCTTGAACCTGGGAGGTGGAGTTTGCAGTGAGCTGAGATTGTGCCATTGCACTCCAGCCTGGGCAACAAGAGTGAAACTCTGTCTCAAAAAATAAAATAAAATAAAAATAAAAAAAGAATTAAAAACAAATCATGATTAATCGATGCAGGAAAGGCTTTCTATAAAATTCATTATTACTTTATGTCAAAAATCCTCAATAAGGTAGGTAGTAAAGGAACATACTTAAAAACAATAGCCATCTTGAGAACTCCACAGTGAACTGAATGGGCAAAAGCTGGAAATATTTCCCCCTGAAAACCAGCAAAAGACAAGGATGCCCTCTTTTACCACTCCTGTTCAACATAGTATTGGAAGTCCTGGCCAGTGCAATCAGATAAGAGAAAGAAATAATAGGCATCCAAATAGGAAGAGAGGAAGTCAGAATACTCTTGTTTGTAGATGACATAATTTTTTTTTTTTCTTTTTGTGATGGAGTCTCACTCTCTTGCACAGGGCGGAATGCAGTGGCGCGATCTCGGCTCACTGCAACCTCTGCCTCCTGGTTTCAAGCGATTCTTCTGCCTCAGCTTCCCGAGTAGCTGGGACTACAGGTGTACACCACCATGCCCAGCTAATTTTTCTGTTTTTAGTATATTTGGGGTTTCACTATGTTGGCCAGACTGGTCCTGAACTCCTGACCTCGTGATCTGCCCACTTCGGCCTCCCTAAGTGCTGGGATTACAGGCGTGAGCTACCACACCTGGCCACATGATTCTATATCTGGAAAACCCCATATTCTCTGCCCAAAACCTACTTGATCTGATAAACAACTTCAGCAAACTTTCAGGATACAAAATCAACATAGAAAAATCAGTAGCATTTCTCCCAACAACATCCCAGCTGACAGCCAGATCAGAAGTGTAATCCCAGTTACAATTGCCACAAACAGAATAAAATACCTAGGAATACAGCTAACCAGGGAGGTAAAAGATCTCTACAATGAGAATTAAAAAACACTACTGAAATCAGAAATGACACAAACAAATGGAAAAACATTTTGTGCTTATGGATTAGAAGAATCAATATTGTGAAAATGGCCATATTGCCAAAGCAATTTAGAGGATTCAGTGCTATTTCTTTCAAACTACCAGTGACATTCTTCACAGAATTAGAAAACAGATGGTGGCTCACACCTGTAATTCCAGCACTTTGGGAGGCCAAAGCCAGTGGGTTACTTGAGCTCAGGAGTTTGAGAGCCTACCTGGGCAACATGGTGAAACCCTGTTTCTAAAAAAAAAAAAAAACCCACTATTTAAAAATTCAGATGGAACCAAAAAAGAACTCAAATAGCTAAGCCAATTGTAAGCAACAAGAGCAAAGCTGAGTTATCACATTATCCAACTTCAAACTATACTAAAGGGCCACGGTAACCAAAACAGCATGGTAGTGGTACAAAAACAGACACATAAACCAATGGAACAGAATAGAGAGCTCAGAAATAAGGTCACACACATACAACAATTTGGTCTTTGACAAAGCTGACAAAAACAAACAATGGGGAAAAAAGAGTCCCTAGTCAATAAATGTTGCTGGGATAACTGACTAGCCATATGGAGAAAATTGAAACTGGCCCTCTATCTTACATCACATACAAAAATCAACTCAAAATGGATTAAAGACTTAAATGTAAAACCTAAAACTTTAAAAATTCTGGCAGATAACCTAGAAAATACCATTCTGGACATAGGAATGGGGCAAAGATTTCATGATGAAGATGCCAAAAGCAATTGCAACAAAAACAAAGATTCACAATTAGGATCTAATTAAACTAAAGAGCTTCTTCACATGGAAAGAAACTATCAACAGTGTAAACAGACAACCTACAGAATGGGAGAAAATGTTTGCAAACTATGCATCCAATGAAGGACTAAGATCCAACATCTGTAAGGAACTTAAACTAATTTACAAGAAAACAACAAACAACCCGATTAACAAGTAGGCAAAGGACATGAACAGACACTTTTCAAAGGAAGAGATACATGTGACCAATAAGTGTATGAAAAATGCCCAAAATCACTAATCATTAGATAAATGCAAATCAAAACCGCAATGAGATACCATTTCACAACAACCAGAATGGCTGTTGTGACAAAGTAAAAAATAAGAGGTACTGGCAAGTTGGTGGAGAAAAGGGAATGCTTATACACTGTTGTGGGAGTGTAAATTGGTTCAGCCATTGTGGAAAGCAGTATGGTGATTCCTCAAAGAACTTCAAACAGAACTGTCATTCAACCCAGCAATCCCATTATTGATTGTATACCCAATGGAATCTAAATTATTCTATCAGAAGGACACATGCAGATGTATATTCACTGTAGCACATCTTTTACAATAGCAAAGACATGGAAATGCTAATTAATGATAAATGCTCATTAGTGATAAACTGGATAAAGAAAATGTGGTACATGTAGACCATGGAATACTCTGTAGTCATAAAAAAGAATGAGATTATGTCCTTTGCAGTAATGTGGATGGAGCTGGAGGCCATTATCTTGAGCAATGTAACACAGGAACAGAAAACCAAATACCACATGTTCTCACTTATTAGTGGGAGCTATACAATGAGAACACATGGATACTAGGATGGGAACAACAGACACTGGGGCCTACCAGAGTATGAAAAGTGGGAGGAGGGAGACGGAATAGAAAGAAAAAATACCTATTGGATACTATGTTTATTACCCAGGTGATGAAATTATTTGCACACCAAACCACCATGATACACAGTTTACCTACATATCAAACCTGCACATGTACCTAAACAAAAGTTAAAAAAAAAAAAGGAAGATACATTTGAAAGGACAAAAAACAAACTAAAAAACAAAAACCTCCCCAAACCCAGGATACTAAACCCAAGAAAAGTGGAAGAAATGAAATAATAAACATAAGGATCGGCTGGGCGTGGTGGCTCATGCCTGTAATCCCAGCACTTTGGGAGGCTGAGGCGGGTGGATCACCTGAGGTCAGGAGTTCAAGACCAGCTTGGCCAGCATTGTGAAACTCTGTCTCTACTAAAAATACAAAAATTAGCTCAGTGTGGGTGTGGCTGCATGTGTAATCCCAGCTACTCGGGAGGCTGAGGCAGGAGAATCGCTTGAACCTGGGAGGCAGATGTTGCAGTGAGCCAAGATCACGCCGTTGCACTCCAGCCTGGGTGACAATTTTATGGCTGACTACTACTTAACTGTTTATACACGTCACACATTTTTTGAGACTCTGTCTCAGAAAAACAAACAAATAAAGATAAGGGTAGATAAAATGAAATAAAAAGTGTACAATAGAGAATGATAAGAAAGCTGAAGTTTGGATTGTTGAAGTCTAGTCTTGAACTCCTGGGCTCAAGCCATCTGCCCACATCGGCCTCCCAATGTGGGAGCCTGATGGAATTACAGGTGTGAGCCACCATACCTGGCCAATTTTAGCTCTTAAATATAGGTCTTTGTTTATATTTACATATGGTATTAGGTAAAAGTCACCTTCATTCTTGTGTACATGGGTATTCAGTTGCCCAGGACCATTTCTTGACAAGACTGTTCTTTCTCAATGGAATTATGTACAAGTGGTGGCTTTTTAAAAGGTGTATTCTGGTATGTAATCTGAAACCTTATCAGTGATTTTTTTGTGTGTGTATTCTGTTACATTAAAGTTCATTGGTCTGTTTTGTACTTGAAATAGAGTGGTATTCATCTTTGTTTTTATTTTCTGAAGTTGTTCAGGTGATTTTAGGTCCCTTAACAGCTGCCAAATAACTCATAATAAGTTTGTTGATTTTTACAAAATAAAGCTTGCACTCTATCTCTACTATCTGACACGTGAGAACACAGCAAAAAGATGGCCATCTGTGAACCAGGAAGAGGGCTCTCTCCAGAATTCCATCATGCTGGATCTCAAAACTTCCAGCCTTCAGATTGTGAGAAATAAATTTCTAGTGTTTAAACTATATAGTCTATGGTATTCTGTTATAGTAACCTGAACTGAGAGAGAAATTTTCTACTGTGCCATTTAACCCTCTGTTGTTTCTTTAATATATTTTAAAAAGTCATTTTCTTTATGGTTTCCTTGGGAATAACAAATAACCTCTTAATTTATAAGAATCTAGTTTGGCTTACTACCAACTAAGTTTCAAAGCACACCTATGTGTGCTCCAGTGTAGCTTGTCTTTCTCCACTTCTTTGTACTCTTTTTATCATACACATTACATCATTATACTTTATCAGCCCATCAGCATAGCTTTATAATTGTTGCTTCATGTAGTTGTCTTTTAATATGAGAAGAGGAGAGAGTTACAAACAAAAATATATTTATACTGCCTCTTATATTTATCTATGTAGTTATCTTTGCCAGTACTCTTTATTTCTTTGTATAGATTCAAGTTACTTTCTAGTATCATTTTAGTTTAGCATGAAGGGTTCCCTTTAGTATTTCTTTCATGACAGGTCTGCTAGTGATAAATCCTCACAGTTTTTGTTTATATGGAAATATCTTAATTTCTCCCTTTTTTTGAAGGATAGTTTTGCTGCGTATCAAATTCTTTGTTAACATTTTCTCTTTTTTTTGAGAAATATTGATTTTGATGAAACATAATTTAAACTCTAGGCATCCACCATCTTTCAGCCTAACATTAGCAAAATTGTTGATATAAGGCACAGTTTTTTCCCCATACTTGTTACCTGCCTCTAGCTTTTTTAAAAAAAGGTTTATGGAAATCTTAAAGATGAAAATAGAAGTCCAAGGCTGGGTGCAGTGGCTCATACCTGTAATTCCAGCACTTTGCAAGTCTGAGGTGGTAGAATCACTTGAGGCCAGGAGTTCAAGAGCAGTTTGGACAACATAGTGAGGCCTCATCTCTATTTTATTAAAAAAAAAAAAAGAAGTTCAAGATTTTAAAATGTGTTTTAAAACTCCTACAAAACTTGTCAAAGTTGTTCCTTATTTTACAAAATAGCAACCAGTAAGGACAATAAAGGATATTAAAAACCATTACAACAGCATTTAAAACATGCAGTTTGTTTGATGTTTACCTTAAAAACATAAGTTGTTTTAAATAAAAAAGGAATTTAAAAGCTCTAGAAAGAGGCTTCACATTTTATGGCAATTTTTCTTCTGCCATCTTTTAGTTGACGGTAAAGAATGAGGAATTTGCTTCTGCTCCTACTGTCACTGTTTCTCAGTTTATAAAAGGGATTTTTTTTGCTCCTAATCTGTCTGGGGACATCTGGCTGGGTAGGGAGTCATAGGGGGTGGGTTGTATCATTTGGAGGAGGGGCCTTGCTTAAATTTTCTTTACTCCCCTCACATGGGGAGATGGGGGAAGATATTGAGAACCTGTACTTGTCTATATAATGTATGAGAGTTTATAACATCATTTCCTGATCTTCCCTGAGGACTCTACTGCAATCACTGGGAGGGATTTAGTGAAGTGTGGTCCTGTCCTTAAGTGTTAGTAATATTAGCCCTGACTATAATGATGACATCATCCCTACTAATATCATCATCATTGTGGAAAATACTCTAAAAGGACCCTGGCAGCAGACTCTAGCCCTTAATTGAGGCAAGAGAAATGTGTTTAGTAAATGTAAGTGTTACCAGTGGAGGGTCTTGACTATGAGTCATCCAGGTTCTTGGTGTGTTGGACAAAGAATTGGACAAAATACCAAACAGAGCAATGGGAGACGAAAGCATAGATTTATTGAAGTGAAAGTACACTCCATAGGGTGGGAGCAGGCTTGAACAAGCCAAGAGCCCCAGTTGCAAATCTTCTGGGGTTTAAGTACCCGTTAGAGATTTGCTATTTTTTACTAAGTAATGAAGACTTGGCCCATGACCAGTCGGACTCTGAAGTGAAGTTATACCTTACGCAAATGAAAACTTGGCCCTCAACCAATCTGAGGCTGATGTGAAGGCTTGGCCCTGGACCAGTCAGAGACTGAAGTGAAGTTACGCCCTCTGCAGGTGAAGACTTGGCCTGCGACCAATTGGAGGCTGAAGTAAAGGCTTCCTGTCTCTAGACCCTATTCTCCTGCCTCACAAGAACATTTGTGTGTGTGTGTGTGTGTGTGTGTGTGTGGCACACACACATAATGTCATGTATATACATAATATATATTATATATATACACTATATATATATATATATGATTCCCTCTTATGCTAGTGCTAGAAGAAGCATCCTAGGTCCTTAAAATGTCCCTTAGCTACATGTCTGCCTACAACTGCATGCTCCTATAAACATGGAATAGCAGACATTTTGAAACCTAAAGTTTTGGAATAACTGTCCTGGGTGATCTTTCAGCATTAACCCAAATATTGGAGAGCTGTTGGCAGTTTTGTTCTGTCCCCTGAGATTTCTGATGAGAAGTCAGTTGTTAATCTTATTAAGAATCCTGGCCGGGCACGGTGGCTCATGCCTGTAATCCCAGCACTTTGGGAGGCCCAAGCGGGTGGATCACGAGGTCAGGAGATCAAGACCATCCTGGCTAACACGGTGAAACCCCGTCTTTACTAAAAATACAAAAGGAAATTAGCCGAGCATGCTGGTGGGCGCCTGTAGTCCCAGCTACTTGAGGCTGAGGCAGGAGAATGGCGTGAACCCAGGAAGCAGAGCTTGCAGTGAGCCGAGATTGCACCACTGCACTCCAGCCTGGATGACAGAGTGAGACTCCATCTCAAAAAATATATATATATATTTGTGTATGTAATGAGCTCTTTTCTTGCTTTCAAGGCTATTTCTTTGTCTTTCAACAGTTTGACCATGTTTAGGCATGGATCTCTTTTGGGTTTATTTTACTTGGAATTTGTTGCGCTTCTTGAATACACAGTTTAATTTTTAAAAATCAAATTTAGAAATTATGGGAATTATTTGTTCAAATAATCTTTCTTTTTCTCTTCTTTTTTCTTCTGGAACTCCCATAATGTGTATGCTGGTGGGCTTGATGGTGTCCTGCAGGTCTCTAAGGTTCTAAATACGGTTAATTTTTAAAAATTGATACATAATGATTGCCCATATTTCTGGTTTACATATGGTATTTTGACACATGCATACAATGTATAATGATCAAATCTGGGTAAGTGGGATATCTATCACCTCAAGCATTTATCATTTCTTGTGTTGGGAACATTCCAAATCTCTTCTAGCTACTTTGAAATATACAATAAGCTATTGTTAAATGTATTAACCCTACTGTGTTATAGAACACTAGAACGTCTTCCTTTCCACTGTAATTTTGTACTCATTAGCCAACTTCTCTTCATTTTCCTCTATTTTCTTTTTTTAATTTTTTTTTTGAGTTGGAGTCTCACTCTCTCCCCCCAGACTGGAGTGCAGTGGCGCGATCTTGGCTCACGGCAAGCTCTGCCTCCCGGGTTCACGCCATTCTCCTGCCTCAGCCTCCTGAGTAGCTGGGACTACAGGTGCCCGCCACCATGCCCTGCTAATTTTTTGTATTTTTAGTGGAGACGGAATTTCATCATGTTAGCAAGGATGGTCTCGATCTCCTGACCTCGTGATCCACCCGCCTGGGCCTCCCAAAGTGCTGGGATTACAGGCGTGAGCCACCACGCCCGGCCATTTTCCTCTCTTTTCTATGCTTCCCGGACCCTTGTAACTGGCATTCTACTCTGTACCTCTATGATATTAATTTTTGTTTGTTTGTTTAGCTCTTACATGTGAATGAGAACAAGTGATACTTGTCTTTCTGTGCCTGGCTTATTTTATTTATTATAATGTCCTCCAATTCTATTCATGTTGTGTCAAAGGATAGGATTTCATTTTTTTATGGCTGAATACTGCTTGATTGTTTATACACACCACACTTTTTTTTTATCCATTCATCCATTGATGGACACTTACATTGATTTCATATCTCAACTATTGTGAATAGTGCTGCAATAAATGTGGGAGTGCAGATATCTCCTCAACATACTGATTTTCTTTCTTTTGGAAATATACCCAGCAATAGGATTGGTGGATCAGATGGTAGTACTGTTTTTAGGTTTTTTTCGAGGAGCCGCCATACGTTTTTTCATAATGGCTGTACTAATTTACATTTCCCTCAGCAGTGTGTAAGTTTCCTTTCTCCACATCTTTACCACAATTATCTTTTGTCTTTTTGAAAATAGCCATTCTAACTGGGGTGAGATAATATCTCACTGTGATTCTGATTTACATTTCTTCAGTGATTAGTGGAGTTGATCAATTGCGTGTATTCTTTTGAGAAATGCCTATCAGATCATTTGTTCATTTAAAAATTGGATTGTATTTGCTTTTTTGCTATTGAGTTCCTTATATATTCTGGTTATTAATCCCTTATCAGATGAATAGTTTGCAAATATTTTCTCCCATTCCTTAGGTTGACTCTTCACTCTTGATTGTTTTCTTTGCTGTGCAGAAGTTTTTTAGCTTGATATAATCCAATTTGTCTATTTTTGCTTTTGTTGCCTGTGTTTCAGGGGTCTTATCCAAAAAATCTTGGCCCGGCCGGGCGTGGTGGCTCATGCCTGTAATCCCAGCACTTTGGAAGGCTGAGGTGGGCGGATCATGAGGTCAGGAGTTTGAGACCAGCCTGGCAAACATGGTGAAACCCTGTCTCTACAAAAATTAGCTGGGCGTGGTGGTGCATGTACCAGTAATCCCAGGTACTTGGGAGGCTGAGGCAGGAGAATTGCTTGAACCTGGGAGGCGGAGGTTGCAGTGAGCCGAGATCATGCCACTGCAATGTAGCCTGGGTAACAGAGCAAGATTCTGTCTCAAAAAAAAAAAATTAAAAAAAAAATCTTGCCCAGATCAGTGTTCTGAAGCGTTCCCCAATGTTTTCTTCTAGTAGTTTCATGTCTTACATTTAACTCTTTAATCCATTTTGATTTGACTTTGTATATGGTGAGAGATTGGGGTCTAGTTTCATTTTGCATGTGGTTATCCCGTTTTCCTAGCACATTTTATTCAAGATAATGTCCTTTTCCCAATGTATGTTTTTGGCACCTTTGTTGAAAATGAGTTCACTGTAGATATGTGGATTTATTTCTGGCTTCTCTATTCTGTTCCATCGGTCTATGCATCTGTTTTTATGTTAGTACCATGTCTCTTTTTATGTTAGTACCATGTTGTTTTGGCTACTATAGCTTTGTATTAATAGTATATTTTGTATTAATAGTATTAATAATACATTTTGTATTAATAGTATATTTTGAAGTCAGATAGTGGGATGCCTCCAGCTTTGGTTTTCTTTCTTTCGTTTCTTTCTTTTGGTTTCTTTCTTTGGTTTTCTTTCTTTTCTTTTCTTTCAAAGCTTAAGATTGCTTTGAGTATTAAGGATCTTTTTGTGGTTTCATACAGTTTTTTTTCTATTTCTGTAAAGAATGTCACTGGTATTTTAATGGGGATTGCATTGAATCTATAGATCACTTTGGATAGTATGGACATTTTGACAGTATTAATTCTTCTAATTCATTAGCATGGAATATCTTTTCATTTTTTGGTGTTCTCTTCAATTTCTTTCATCAGTGTTTTACAGTTTTCTTTGTAGATTTTTTTACTTCTTTGCTTAAATTTATTCTTATATTTTGTTTTGTTTGGTAACTATTGTGAATGGGATTGTTTTCTTGATTTCTTTTTCAGATTGTTCACTGCATATATAAATGCTACTTTTTTGTATGTTGATTTTGTATCCTGCAACTTTACTGTATTCGATCTTATATGTTTCTAAATATAAAATCATGGTTCTGCAAACAAGTATAATTTGACTTTTTCCTTTCCAATTTGGATGCCCTGTCTTTCTTTCTCTTGTGTAACTGCTCTGGCTAGGGTTTCCAGTACTATCTTGAATAGGAGTAGTGGAAGTGGACATCCTTGTCTTTTTCCAGATTGTAGAGGAAAGGCTTTCAATTTTTCCCTGTTTAGTATGATGTTAGCTGCAGGTTGGTCATATATGGCCTTTATTGTTTTGAGGTATGTTTCTTCTATACCCAGTTTGTTGGGTTTTTTTTTTTTCATGAAGGAAGGGATGTTGAATTTTATCACATGCTTTTTTAGTATCTATTGAAATGATAATATGGTTTTTGTCTTTGTTCTGTTAATGTGATATATCACATTTATTGACTCATGTATGTTGAACCATACCTGCATCCCTGGCTAAATGAAGTTAACTTTTTCCTAATTATTTTTTCTGTTTCTCACACTATATAATCTCATTTGACATATCTGCAGTTTACTGATGTTTTTTCTTCTAGTTCTAATCTGCTTTTGAACCTTTCTCATGAATTTTTTATTTTAGATTTTGTGCATTTCAATGATTTTTTTGTTTTTTGTGGTTTTTAATAATATTTATCTTAATATTTTTGGGGGTGAGAAACATTGTTTTCATGTTTTTCTTTAATTCTTAAGTTTTTTTCAGTTTATTAATCCTTTTGTGAAAAATCTATGCAGTCAGCACAGATGAAGTCATTAGTCATTGCAGAATCCATACTCCTACTGTTACCCAATCTCTAGCTCACTTTTTGCTGGCACCATTGGCCTTTGCAGTCCACCTGACTTTCTTCATTCTGTTCTTGCATTTCTTTTGCTGTTTTCTTAAGGTCTTTTTCTTCTCATACAGGCCATGTCTTGTAAGTCTATATTTGCGTTCATTTTTCTTTGCATAATCCAAAGAATTATAAAATCATGCCAAAGCCAGTTGTCTTGCCACCACTAAAATAGGTTCTGAATCCAAATTCAAAGATGACATCCAGTGTGGTATTGTACATTTTGGCTAGTTTCCCCCAAATTTCTGTCTTAGGTACTGTTGCCTTCCCAGGGTGAAGGACACTGATGCCCATTTGTTTCCTCTGAAGTAGTTGGTAGGTCATGAACTTCCTCGTTGAAATAGTTACTGTTTTGTTTGTGATGGCAGTCGATCCTTAGGCAGCCAGGAAGTAGGGGAAAAGTTTCTTTAATTCTTGAAACATCATTTCTTTTAGTTCTTTGAATATATTTACTATGGGTGATTTAAAGCCTTTGTATAGCAAGTCTAATATCTGGGCTTCCTCAAGGGCAGTTTCTATTGATTGCTTTTTCCCCTTGTTTACAAGCCACACTTTCCTGATTTTTTTTGCCTGACAATTTTTTTGTTGACAAGCGTACATTTTCATGGTACCATTAATATGGCAACTCATAGTCTTCCCTTTCCATCGTTTGTTGTTGCTCTTCGATTAGGACTTTGCTGTGATAATTATCTAAAGTCTATATGAAATTTCTACTTCATTAGCTAGTTATCAGGTGATGTGTGGGTTAAGACTTCTTTTTAAATGCCTTGAACCAATATATCTCTTTCCCTTTGCCAGGGCTTTATGTATATGTTGGGGCATAATTTCAATTCTCCATCAGTTAAAAACTCTGCTTTCATTTTAACTTCCTGCTTTCTCAGATCCTCAGGGTCAAACAAAAGTGAGAGATTAGGGCCTTTGCAGGTTGTACCTGGGCATGTGCACAATTCTGCATATGCATGTGGCCTTTTACAGCTCCAAGAATATGACAGAACTTTTCAAAGCAAGTCTCCTGTGTACATCTCATTTCCCTAATTTTCCTTTTCAGTTTTTTTTTTAACTTATTATTATTTTTTTGAGACAAGGTCTTGCTCTGTTGCTCAGGCTGGAGTGCAGTGGTGCAATCCCAGCTCACTGCAGCTTTGATCACCTGGGCTCAAGAAGCCTTAGGCTCCTGAGTAGCTGGGACTACAGGCACATGCCCCCATGCCCAGCTAATTTTATTTTTTATTTTTAGTAGAGATAAGGTCTCACTCTGTTGCCCAGGCTGGTCTTGAACTCCCGCGCTCAAGCAGTCATCCCACCTTGTCCTCCCAAAGTGCTAGGATTATAGGCGTGAGTCACCACACCTGGCCTCTTTTTCAGTTTTTGGACCAGTCTCTTGTTTACTCCAAATGGGATCTCTGTCTCAGGCAGCTTCAATGTTAAGCAATTGCCACTGTATATTCTTAGGTCAAGTAAAGACATGTCCTACGAATCTAGTTTTGTCAGAGACCTGCCTGACAGGTCAACTAGTGACAGATCTCTGGGGATGCAGCTTTCTTGTTATTAATTCCAACACTGTTCTGTCCCCTCCAGTGACTGGTATACCGCTGATTTTTACAAGTACCATGGTTGTGAGTCTGCTGGTTTTCAAGTATGCCATGGAGCTTGGCAGAGATGGATGAGTATAAGGCAAGTTAAAAAGTTACAAAGCTCACCATTCTTACTGAGATTCAGCCATTTTCTTAAATATACACTAGGCTTTGCAAGACTTTGGTTAATTTAGGATTTCCGCAAAAGTTTATAAAGACCTTTTTTTCCCCGTTTTCCTGTTGTTTTATGGAGGATTGGATTTACTGAGGCAAAGTTCTAACTTCAACATTTAGGAAGTGAGGCAGGAGAATAGGGTTTGGAAACAGGGAGCCTTCAGCCTCTGATTGGTCACAGGCCAAGTCTTCATTTGCAATAGGGTGTAACTTCACTTCAGCCTCTGATTGGTCAGAAGCTGAACCTTCACTTCAGCCTCTGATTGATCATGAGCCAAGTCTTCATTTACATAGGGTGTAACCTATAGGAAACCTCTAAAGGGTATTTAAACCCCAGAAGATTTGCAACCAGGGCTCTTAAGCTGCTTGCTCAAGCCTGCTCCCACTCTGTAGAGTGTACTTTCACTTCAATAAATCTGTGCTTTTGTTGTTTCAGTCTTTCATTGCTTTGTTTGTGCATTTTGTTCAATTCTTTGTTCAACATGACAAGAACCTGGACAACTCCTAGTCAAGACCCTCCACCAGTATCAGAAGTGCTTCTCCCAATGTCTGCCTTTTTTTTTTTTTTTTTTGAGATGGAGCCTCGCTCTGTCACCCAGGTTGGACTGCAGTGGTGTGATCTCTGCTCACTGCAACCTCTGCCTCCCAGGTTCAAGCGAGTCTCCTGCCTCAGCCTCCTGAGTAGCTGGGACTATAGGCGCATGCCACCATACGTGGCTAATTTTTTGTATTTTTAGTAGAGATGGGGTTTCACTGTGTTGGCCAGAATGGTCTCATCCCTGGACTTCGTGATCCACCCACCTCAGCCTCCCAAAGTGCTGGGATTACAGGCATGCGCCACTGTGCCCAGCCATGTCTGCCTTTTAACTGGAGTCTTTTGACTATTTATTTTTAGTATATCAATAGCTTGGCTTGAAATCTATTATCTTACTTTTTTTGTATTTGTTTCATAAAAGTTTTTTTCCTATCCTTTCTTGAGTTATTTGAATACTTCTTAGTATTGTTTTGTCTTCCTTATTGACTTAATAGTTATACCAGTTTTGTTTGTAAATATGATTATTTTAAAGTTTATTGATGCTAGGAAGTATCATGTTGGGGTCCCTGGAGGTCCTCTGTATCCTTTTAGAGGTCCAAGGGGTTAAAAATATTTTTGTAATGACAATAGAGGTTTTTTGTCTTTTAAAATTCATTTTCTCTTATGAGTGTACAATAGTTTTTCCAGAGTATACATGATGTGTGATGATCTCATTCCCCTGACAGCTAATGGAGTCTCTGCTTATGTTTAAAAGTTTCCAAGTTTTAATTTTTAATTAGGTAAATATTAAGAGATATTACCCAGCTAAACAAAAGGGCTTTGAGGCACATGATAATTTTTAAAGATGCAAAGTATTTCTGAGACCATAGAGTTTGAGAACCACTGTTCCTGGGTTTGCAATGTGCATATTGAACTTATTATAGTGTACTTATAAATAAAATTGTACCCAACAGTGCAATTTTATTTTCCTCTATGTTTTGTACTGGCTTTAGCATGAGTTTTATCTCTATAGGGTATAATCTCCACAATATTATATTATTTTTCTTTTAAGGAAAACATATAATAAATATAACTGTTAGGTTAGTTTAAGACACCATATTTTGTAATATATTTAATAATTTATCAATTTTTACTGCATAATGTCTAATTCAAACATAAATGTTATATTGGAAAACAACATTGTATTGGCTTCCTATTGCTCATCTAACAAATTATGACAAATTTAGTGGTTTAAAACAACACATATTTATTAATATCATAGTTTTGGAGGTCACATGTCTGAAATAGGCCTCACTGGGCGAAAGTCACGGTGTCAGCAAAGCCAGGAATGGCCGATTTAATCTTTCTCTCAAGAAACCCTCTCTCTAATTCTGACTCTTCAGCCTCACAGATTCCCATTTAAGGACACTTATGATTTCACTGGGCTCACCTGGATAATCGCAGTATCTCAAAGTCAGTTGATTAACCATCTTAATTCCATCTAAAACCTTAATTCCACTTTGCCATGGAACCTAACATAATCACAGGTTCTGGATTAGGAGGTCGTCATTTTTAAGGTGATGAAATTATTCTGCCTACTACACGCATTCGTAGCGAAATTAGTTAACAGATAGTATATTATAATCCTCTCTATAAATTGTGAACTAGTTCAAGAACAGTAATATTCTTTTACTAAGTGCAGAATAACCGCATATCATGCCCAAGGGCACAGAACATGCTAAATGTGAAAAAAGAACATTTGATATTTAAGGTCAGCAGATTTCCCAAGGGTAGACTGCCCTATCAAGTACTTTGGATTATAGTCCTAAAATGTCCATTTTTCCTAATTATATTATTACATTGCAAATCTTGTCCTTGTTTAGTAATTTACAATATCCCATTAATTTTTACACACTTTATATGTTAAAATTGAGACAGTCTTAAAGGATCTAATGGAAGGTAATCGTTTAATTAAGGGATCTAATGTAAGGCACAGAGGCTAGTGCATAATAAATGCTAAATAAAAAAACATTATTTGTAATAGCTTTTTAGATATGGCAGCTGTTTTTCAGGAAGTCCAGTGAGATACAGAAATGACCTGTCCAGTATTATGCCATGGGTAGAAGAATTGGGAACTCCAAACCTATGCATCTTTCACAAAGAGTGAAAGCTTTCCATAGGAACTAATTTTTTTAAAAAGCAATACTTTTCTATATCATTAAACCCAAAAATATAATTGATTCAGTTCATAATTAATTCTATATTTGGCACTATAAGAGGAGATGAAAATGCCTCCAATAGGCTTTGTTATAGTCTACTTTGAATGAAATCTTCCATAGTATCAAAAATAAAAGTCCTTTACGGAGAATTGGGAAAGGTGATTTGTTCTTGCCTGAATAATGATTATATAAATATATAGATGTATGCTTCTTTCTTTACAGTCTTGAAATCTGTGGGAGCCACAACTCAAATTGACTCATCAAATGCCACAGGGACTGTGAACAGAAATATTTTGAAAGATATTACCTGAAGGGTTTTGCTCTGAGCCCAGTTATGAGCAGACAGGCTTGGTCTATGCCTTCTCAATGTATTCTAAGAATTTATGACAGCTCAGGGGCTTAAAATATCAGCACATTTGGTAGTGCAGATACTCTATTAATTCTAAAACAATACATATTAAAGAAATGCTTGTATGAAAGCAAGATTATTTTAGTTACCTATTCGTACATATTTTTTGTGGATTAAGATAATTTTTAATGCCATGATTATATAGTTTCACCAAATATTGAACATATTACAGGAGCACTTCACTTTGTCAATTCATAAAAATATATTTAAGGAATACACGGTCAGGTGTGGTAGCTCATGTCTGTTCTCCTAGCACTTTGGGAGGCCAAGGTGGGTGGATCGAGACCAGGAGTAAAGCAGTTCAAGAACAGCCTGAAAAAAATGGTGAAACCCTGTCTCTATCAAAAAATACAAAAATTACCCAGGCATGGCGGTGCATGCCTGTAGTCCCAGCTACTCGGGAGGCTGAGGTGAGAGGATCGTTTCAGCCTGGGAAGTCGAGGCTGCAATGAGCTGAAATTGTGCCACACTCCAGCCTGGGTGACAGAGTGACACCCTGCCTCAAATATATATGTGTGCGTGTGTATGGGGGGCGGGGTGTATTTTAAGGAGTACAAATTTATATAAAAATTGAAACAAAAAATCAAACATGAACAATTTTTTTTAATCTTTGTTAAATCTGCCTACTTCATATTCATTAGTGTGAGTAATCAAGAATTAACTGTTCACACAGATTATTTTTCTTATTCTGACCCACTCTATATGTTCTTCAATTTAGGATTATTCCAAACTCCTTCTACCTCTTGGTTATGTGAGTTGGATTCCTTCTTTAGATGTCTCTCATTCAAGAGCAGTTTAAATAGTGGGACTGATTTTTTTGGTTGGGGAGATGGTTGCCTGAGTATCTTACCTTTAAGTCCTTAGAGTCCTTTCCCAGTCTTAGGCCAACTTCCCATATTTGTTCTCCTTTTCTTCGTAACTAAATGCTAGGGACTGTTTATTCTCCTTCTACCAACTCTGCTGCCACTCAGTCTACCTTGGGATTCCTCTTAAAACTAGTGGTCAGGTGAGATGGGACTTATTATGTTCCCCTAAGTATCCCCTAGCTCAGGACTCTTACATTACAAAGGCCCCAAAATTTTAAGAAAGATCTTCCAGGCTTCAGTCTCAATCTTTCCTCTTTCCGAATTTTCTATTTTTCCAGGTCAGGCTAACTGATTGGATTGATTGGGTTTTAGCAAGGAAGCTTGAGGGTGAAGTAGTTCTTTTTAAGTATCCTCTCTCAAGGAGATCATTTGTATTTCTGGCTGGACTTATAGAACAATGCTTTTCAACTGATTTCATGTGATCAGACACAGAAAATAATGGTATCTTTATGGCATACATGGTGTCACAGAAAAGACTGTGGCTATCCATGCCTGCAGGCTATGGGTTCTCTGGGCCCTACCCTGCTACTCTGAAGAAATAAACATCTCAGGCCAACTGTAACCTGTTTTCAGTGGATTTCCCTTTCTCACCTTTGGGGAGCTGTAATTTAAATAAAGAAGGTAACTAGCTCCAGGTGCCTCCCTGGAATAGAAGCCCCCTTGGACTACTTATTTTTTTGCTGGGATATGGAAATTAGACAAGTGTTCCTACTGGTTCATGTTGCCCTTTGAAGTTTCAGTGCTATCTGCCAAATGCACAGAACTGGAGCAGTAGGACTATTTACGATTCATGTTTCCTATTGAAATACTGTTCTTAGCTACTAAGTACTAAGGTACTTTTGTGTAAAGCATTGAGACATGACTCTGCATGCTAGGTGTTGAGTGCACAGTGATAGTGGTAGACAAGTATTGGTTTCCAAATTTGACAGTTTTCCAATTTGGTGTGATTACCTTAAGTCCAGCTATACCAGAGTGTTTTCTTCAAGGCTTACAATAGTGAAAGATAACAATTAAATTTTTAAGAGTAATTACTGTCAGTAGCAGCATAAACTTTCTTCCCTTTATTCTTATGACAGCTTGAGTCTTCATCCTTTAGGTCCCAGTTTAAATATAATCGGGAAGACTTTTCACACTAACTCATGTAAGTGTTCCTGTCATTCTGTTAGTTCCTCCCCCTTTTTTTTGGCTAGTTTTTCTTGGGACTTTGCATATATACATATTTGTTTGTTTCTGGTCTGTTAGTCCCATTAGTGTATAAGCTCCTTGAGAGGAGGTTCCATGTCCAGCTTATTCACAATCGTACCCTAGGTTTCCAGTATAAAGCCTAACAAACAATGCATTTAATCAATGACATTCTTGACATTTTTGTGAAGAGCATTTATTTGATACTTAATTTTTCTTTTTTTTTTTTTGAGACAGGGTCTTGCTGTGTCACCCAGGGTGGAGTGTGGTGGGGCAGTCATGGCTTACTGCAGTCTCCACCCCCTTGGCTCAAGTGATTCTTCCACCTCAGCCTCCTTAGTAGCTGGAACTACAGGTGCACACCACCATACCCAGCCAATTTTTAAAATTCTTGTAGAGACAGAGGTCTCACTTTGTTGCCCAGGCTGGTCTCAAACTCCTGGCCTCAAGTGATTAAATTTTTAAAATAATGTATTTTTTCTTTATTTTTCCAATTTATATAAAAATGGAAATATTTTTTATTATTCATTAACGTTGGGTAACACTTTATATAAACTTTCCCTTTGTGTTATATGGAAGTCTAAATTTACAGAATACTTTAAAACCCCACGGCAACACAAAACCCACATTTGTCCGTGTTCCTTCCATAATTTGAAAACTTTGCCTTTTTCCCTTACACTGACTTGAAGCCTGGCAGCTTGGGCCTAATTTACAAGGCACTAAGTAAGTACTCTCTTAAAAAACAGAGAGTGAGGATGCCCTGTTTCACAACTTAATTCCAAAAAGCCAAGTCAGACGAAATCGACCCACTTTCCTGCTAAGGGTTTGTCCCAAGAGGCGAGCTCTTCTCTGTCCGCTCCAGCCAAGCTGGCCGATTGCCCCTGAGCACTGGACACAACCTTGGTGTCCCGGTTTCGGGTCAGGGTTACTTTCCAATTGTTAGGCACGACTTTGTGCGTGCGTGCGAGACTGTGGACTCGGAGGTGCGCATTTGGGGCGTAGCCGAGCCATTTAAACCAGCGAATCCGCGTTCACCTTGTCCTTCCACCTCTGCCCTATCTCGGCAGATGCTCCACGGATTTGCACGAACTCCCGAGTCTTGACCTCCCTCCCCTCTCCGGGCTGCCGGGACAACTCGGGGCGGCCACTCTTGCCAGGAGGCGTAAGTAAGGATGAAGTTGGAAAAACTGAACTAGGTCTAGGGCACGCTCTGCAACACAGTCGGGGAGACGCTTCAGAGGGCCGGAGAGGGAGGCAAGTTGCCACGGCGCGAAGGGGGCGGGCCGGCTTGGGCCGCTCGCATTTCCTGTGACAGGGGCTGCCCCAGCCTCTCCTTCTCCCGCGGCGGCGGGACCATTTCCTGAATCGCTGAAGCGGAGGGAGGACTAGGGCGCGACTCTACCATTAGCGCAAAGGGCCAGGGGGTGCCCATAAGGAGAGCTCGGGGGATGCAGGGACGGTCAAGAAAGTTCGGCCAGGGCTAGGGGTCCCCCAGAGTGCGCAGAAGCGAGACATCCCTGGCCAGAGTGCCTCCTTCAGGCCTGCCCCGCCGCCCGTCCGCTTGGCCCCGGAGCATCCCCCCTCCCCGCATTCCCGAGGTGGTTCAGCCCGAGAGGCCGGCGTCTCTCCCCCAGTTTGCCGTTCACCCGGAGCGCTCGGGACTTGCCGATAGTGGTGACGGCGGCAACATGTCTGTGGCTTTCGCGGCCCCGAGGCAGCGAGGCAAGGGGGAGATCACTCCCGCTGCGATTCAGAAGGTGAAACCGCGCGGGGTTGCGGATGCCAGGCCCTTACCGCCTCTGGGAGAGACAGACGCGGGGGGAAGGGCCGGGCCCGGAGTCGACCGGGCCGAGGCGGAGGCGGGCCTGCTGGGAATCAGCAGTGTTTGGGAACACGGACTGCTGGCTGTGCCTGAGTGGGTGGCGGAAGAGGGTGAACCGGTTTTTCTCGGAGTCTTTCACGCATTTACGCGTTTTTCTACAGACACAAAAGCCCAAACAGCCGCCGCCTGATTTCTCTAGGGATGGGGCGGCGTTCGGGCTGCGGGGCGCGTGCGCCCGGCGGCGGCCGCTCAGGGAAGGGCGTGTGTCGGACCGGCGGCCCCGCGCGTTGCTCCGGAGTTACTTTGGCGTCGCCCCGCCCCGCGTGCCGCGGCTGCTTCGTGCGGACCCCACCGCGGGTCGCGGCAGGCAGAGGGGAAGTCGGTGCGCTGGTCGCCGCCCTGCAAACTCAGCCGAGTTTGGGAGCTCGCAGGAGGACTTGGGGAACGCTGGAGGGAACCTTAGTATAGAGTTTGAGGAGCGGGCAAGGAAGGTCCCCATGGACTCTGGGGTTGTCCCCAGAGCCTCTTCTTCCCTTCTGCATCGCCGCCTATTCATTTATTCTGCAGCAAATATTTATTGAGCGCCTATTTTAGGCGCTGAGGCTACTGTGGTGAGTCATGGTCCTTGCCTTCCTGGAGCTTACAGTCTAATGGTGGAGACTGTCGTGACCAGTTAATGTAAGTCGTGATAAATACACAGGGAGCTGCCTCCTTTTTAAAGGATAGAGCTGCTGCAGTCGCTGCTGTGTTACTGCCAGTCGGAACACAAAGGTTCTTTATTGTCCTCTACCCCTTGTTGCCTGCAAGCAAGGCAGCATTCTAAATTTTACTGACCTAGACTTTCAGAAGTTGCTGCTGTATTTAGCAGTTTACTTTAAATATTTTTGTTTTGTTTTATGCTGTGTAGCAAAGATCAAAATAGAAAAAAAGGTCAAGTTTTAGTACCACTCAGACCACGTAGATTATGCTAATCGGTTTCTGTTTACTGTCAGGTTCTTCGTAGTGTGGCTTTTGACATTTGCCCAACTGTTGCTTTATTTTATGAACAAACGGGCTTGGCAGTGCCTGGAAATGCAGTGCTTTCATATAGTGCTCTGAGTTAAGTCTGCAGCCTGGCAAACAGCTCCAAGTACGCACTCACGCAAAACTGCGTTTCTGGAGGGCTCACCTTTTTTATTTTTGTACACAGGAAAAGTCCAGAGTTTTTCTTTTTTTTTTATAGTTTCTGTTACATAAGTCTGAAGATATTTATCATGGATAATGATTAATTCGGAGGATGCTGATCAATTATTTTCCATTCTCAGCTGAACAGAAAAATGGGCTCTAAATTAATTGCCTTATTCTACAATGGGAGAGATTGATATTAGATGTGAGACAGATATTTTAATGGTGAAGTTCAATAGTTTGAGGAATATACTGGAGATAATAAGTTGTGAAATCATTAGGTTGAGGACTGGATTCGTGCTTTTTAAGGACTTTTTTTGGTCATCCAATGGTTCTATTTAAGAAATAACTGCATTTATTAGCAGATCATGTTAGTGGTTTTTTTTTTCCCCCAGTAAGTGAAGATTATGATTCACGTGCATAAAAAAGTGACAGTTAATGTTAAATGGATGTTCCTTTTATTTAGATTGCGTGATTATGGTATTGTGCTAATACTTTTGAATACTGGTAGGGTGGGGCAGGTTCTGGAGGAGCATATCCTGAGTCCCTTGATCTTACAGCTGAATCAGCCCCTGAAAACTTAAGTGACTTGCTCAAAATGGCAAAACTGGCACTGAAACTAACTGGCCTTTTAATTGCTACAATCAGTACTCTTTCTTCAGCTCCACTTTACTTAGATGAATTATTTAACCCTCAAAGCCAAGATTGCTTGGAATGTTAAAAGATGATAGAATGATAAATCGGTATGTTTTTCCTCTTAAACTTTTGAGACAGCATAATTATGAAGTAAACTCATAAAGTCTGTAACAAATATACATGCATAGAAATTATTATGTTTAATTATTATCTCATAATTGGAGAGTCACAAAACCATGCTGTTATAAAACTTGGAAACTAACCAGCTACCTCATCAAGACTCCTGGGCTGAAGTTTTCATGTATTTATTTCATTCTGGAGAAGGACAGAATTTTTCTTTACTGTTCCAAAGCATTAGAATGATGAAAAACCAACTCGGACTCTTAACTTTTAGTCTTAATTGGCTAAAGCTTCTATTACAGATAGCAGAGGTAATTAAATGTTTGATATAAAAGAATTCAGATTTTCCCTTCTGGGCTTGTTTATTCAGAGGGAGAATAATTGGAATATTAAAACATTATTGATTAAACACGATATCATTCCAAAGGTGTAAAAGTAAGATTTTTTTGCGGTGAGCTGTCATATATATTAAAAGGACCCAAGGGGATTCAATTTCTGTATAGATGAAACATTTCTAGAAATCTGAAGGGAAAAAACTCAGTTATTGAAAAGATTGTCCGTATGAACTGTGCATGGCATATTTTTACAAGAGATTTAAACAGTACGTAATGAAATTTTATGCAAGAGAGCTGCTGATACACTAATGTTGCTTTAAATTATATTTGTTATTAAAATGAATTTTAAAATAATTTGTAACAGCGGGTAGCAACATTAACAAAGTCATTTTAAGGAAATTTTGTTTTTTTTGTGTTTCCATGTTTGCTTAATGATTTATGATAGTAATGATTGTTTGCAGGGGACAGTATTTTGTTAAGGGATACGCTTTAGAGTTCTTGTACAAGCAGTATTTACTAATGCCCTCCCTTTCTGAATTTTCTAGTTTTTTATTTTACTTGATGCACTAGTTTTATGCTAAACCTTTTCTAATTCTGTTTCAGATGTTGGATGACAATAACCATCTTATTCAGTGTATAATGGACTCTCAGAATAAAGGAAAGACCTCAGAGTGTTCTCAGTAAGATTGATAAGAAACTTTTTTTTTATTCAGTTTTTTGTATTGGTTAATTTTTTACTTTTTACTAACAGCTTTATTGAGATATAATTCACATACCATACAATTCACCTATTTTAATGTGTACAATTCAATGTTTTTTAGTATATTCATAGAGTTGTGCTGGTATTACGTGAGTCAGTTTTACAGCATCTTTAACATCCCCAAAAGACACTGGGTATCCTTTGGCAGTCACTATCCCCCACCCCTCAACCCGTGACAACCACTAATCTACTCTCTGTGTGAATTTGCCTGTTGTGACATTTCATATAAATGGATTGATATACTATGTGGTCGGTTTTGACTCACATTTTTCACTTAGTGTAATACTTCCGAGGTTCATCCATGTTGAACCATGTTTCAGTACCTCATTCCTTTTTATAGGCAAGTATTTTTTTCCGTTATGCAGCTGTACCACATTTTATTTATCCATCGGTGATGGCCATTTGTGTTGTTTGTACTTTTGACTAATTTTGAATAATACTGCTATGAACATTTGTGTACAAGCTTTTGTATGACTTGTTAATTTATAAAAGAAAACTTTCTTTGGGAGGAGATTGGGTATCACTTCGTTTCTTATACTTCTTACCCTGCATTATACAATAATGACTTCAAATATATGTATAGTCTTATCTGTGGGAAAGTTAGATCTTCATTTATATAGGGTATTGAGTTGCATCCATGTATGTGGTGAAAACAAAGCTTATATCTAATAAATAGAGAACTGATTGTCATTCATAAGGGCCAAACTTTCTTACTTTGAAGTGATGTATCTGAAGTAAATAATATGCCCTAATAGAATCTGATGTGGTAGAATAAGTTGAATATATTATCAAAAGTAATTAGAATAGAACAGCACTGTCCATTAGAAATATAAATGGGAGCCACATGTGTGATTTTAAATTTTCTAGTAGACACAGTAAATGAGTAAAAAGCAGATGACATTAGTATTAGTAATACATTTTATTTAACCTATTATTTCCAAAATAGTATCATTTCAATATACAATTAGCATAAAGATATTGAGATATATTGCATTCTTTTCTTTGTTGTTCTAAATCTTGGAAACCTATTGTGTATCTTGCTTTAATAACACATCTCATTTTGGATTAGCCATATTTTACTGTGTGTAGTGGCTGCTATATTGGTCAACACAGCTGTAGAATACAGTTGACCCTTGGTAGCCATGGTGAATCGATTCCAGGACTCCCCATGGATACCAAAGTCCCAGATGCCCGTGTCCCTGATATAAAATGGTGTAGGATTTGCATATCACCTACTCACGTCCTCCTGTAAACTTTAAATATTCTCTAGATTGCTCATAATACCTAATACAATGTAAATACTTGTTATACTATATTGTTTAGGGAATAATAAGAAAAAAGCCTACATGTTCAGTAACAACCATCCATTTTTTTTTTTCAGAATATTTTCAATGCATGGTTGGTTAAAGGATGTGGAATCTGTGGATACTGAGGGCTGACTATTTTATTCTCACCCTTGTTTTGGGATGCATCTGTCTTTCCTAGAGACTTCACTGGTGTATCCTCAGGCAGATAATTCCCACCAACCTTGGCCCTTGCTTTGTTTGGTTTTCACATTGTATTGGTCTCTTGCTGTCATTTGATTTACCCTCTATTTAATTCCAAGTTTCCATTACTTTTTCCCCTTTGTTTAAAAGTATTTTTAAATGTAAAAAGTCATATATGGTTATCATAAAAAAAATTATAAAGTATAAGTTTGTGGAGATAAGTCACCTTTTACATGCCACTGTCTTATCTCCTTCCCCTCCATAGGGGTAACTGCTTCTAGTGCTTTAGTATGTATCCTTCCAAACATTTTTCTGTGTATTTACATATATGCATTCATATTTATGCATACACGTTTATAGATATTGTTGTTTTTAATATTTATGTAGGTTCAGTTTTAGAAATGGAATTACTGGGTTAAAGACCATACTAAGTTGCCAAATTAGCCAGCAAAAAGATTGTATTGGTTTGCTTTCTCCCAGCCAGGTTTTTAGAGTCCTAGCTTTCAGCTACCCCTGTGAGCAGTAGATATTAGACATCTTTAAAATATTTTTGCATATCCAGTTGCTGAAAAGTGGTGTCTTAAAGAACTTTTTGTTTTGGCCAGGCACGATGGTTCATGCCTGAAATCCCAGCACTTTGGGAGGCTGAGGTGGGAGGATTGCTTTGACGACATGAGTTTGAGAACAGCCTGGGCAACAGTGATAACTGTTTCTACTTAACGCCGCCAACAAGAAAAAACAAAAAGCCTTTTTGTTTTGAAATAATTTCACACTTACAAAAATGTTTCAAAGATAGTACAAAGAATTCCTGTATGTGCTGCATTGAATTTTTCAAACGATTACATAGCCCACTTGGTTTTTTATTCATTTCTCCCCCATATTGTTTTTTAGAAACATTTGAGAGTAATTGCAGATATGAATCCCTCTTACTTTTAATAACCTCAGTGTGTATTTCCTAAAAACAAGCACATATTCTTAAATTACCAGAGTATAATTGTTAAAATCAAGAATGCAATACTATTATCTAATATTTAGGGCTTTTTTGAATTTTGCCAGTTGTCCTATTAGTGCATATTTTCTGGTCCAGGGTCCAGTACAGGATCTGGTGTTGTATTTGTCTTGTCTCCTAAGTATACTTTAATCTGGGGGTCTTTTAAAAATATTCCATGATTTTGACATTATTGAATAGTATAGACCAGTAGTTTTGTGGAATGTCCCTCATTTAGGATATGACTGGTGTTTCCCATGATTAAATTCACACTATACACTTTTAGCAGAAGTACCACTGACGTGATATTGTGTCCTTCACAGTGCATCCTCAGTAGCCATATGTTAGTAGTTTGTCCCAATATTGGTGATAACTTTGATGACTTAGTTAAGGTGGTATCTTAACTAAGGTGGTATCATAACTTTATGGTTTGTTCACCATAAAGTTGCTATTTCTTGTAATTCATATGTATCTAATACCTTGAGGCACATTTACATTGTTTCTCATCATACTTCAACACACTAATTTTAGCATCCACTAAAAATCCAATGATTTGCCTAAAATAGTTATCACTTTAAGTGGTTACCAAATGATGACTAAATCTATCATTCCTTTTACTTTTACTTAAGTCCTACTGTGAGGAAGAAATTTGTTCTTTTCCTATTCCTTCATTCTTCACTTATTTATCTCTAAATGGACTTAAACATTATTACTGTATTCTCTAGGTTATAATCTCTTACTTTATTATTTATTTTCTTTAATTCTTCCAGATCTGGCCAGTGGGAGCCCCTCAAGCTGGCTTCTTGATATGTCTTCATTATTTTTTGAACATTTACTTATTTTCTTATACCACAAAATGTTCTAGGCTCATCCTGGTTTTTTTTTCCTGTGCAGGTGGGTAGTCACCCGTTTCTCCAAGCCCTGGTTCTTTTTTTGGAGAATGATGTTTAGAAACTAAGATCTGAGTGCTAGGTTATCTTACTGTTCAATCTCTTGTATGTTTTGCATTTTATATGATTGTTTCCATTACATATATTATTGCTTAGATGAATCTTGTGCATATATTTGAGAATGTTCTTTAAAAAATTAACTAGCTGATCTACTTCTTTGGTTTAACTGTGGATAGTAAGGAGATCAATTCCTCAAGTCAGCCATGGAATGTTAAAGCTTAGAGGCACTTATTAGAATACAATCATGCGCTACCTAATGCTCTTTTGGTCAACAATAGACCGAAAGATTATAATACCATATTTGTACTATAATACCCATAAGATTATAATACCATCTTCCTACTGCACCTTTTCTATTTGGATAATTGTAGATAAACAAATACTTACCATTCAGTTCAGTACAGCCAACAGTATTCAGTATAGTAAAAGGCTTTTCAGGTTTGTAGCCTAGGAGCAATAAGCTATACTGTATAGCCTAGGTGTGTAGTAAGCTATACCATCTAGGTTTGTGTGAGTACTCTTGATGATGTTTGCACAACAACGATGAAATCACCTAACAACACATTTATCAGAATGTATCCCCATTGTTAAGTGATGAATAACTGAAATTATTTTTGCCTTTGGTTTTTAAGAACTCCACACAGAGCCAAGGGTAGTATATGTCACGGATAGTGTATGTTTAGGTCTAGAACCAACTGAGTCAGCAAAATTTTCAACTTTTTCAGATATATATATATGATCATTTCCCTCATTCTCTACATATTGGATTAGATCTCATTTTCTCACATATACTTGGTGAACAATTTAAGCAAATAGGGCTTAAACTGACTTAGGGAGAATCTTAAATTCTGCCGTTTTTGGTGGATTTAATTTTATTCTTTTGTTCTTCAGATATTCTTTCTTTCTCAAGTTGTCAGTATTGGTTTGTGAATAAAGAGAAAAACAACTCCTCCTCTCGACCTTAACAGGTGTTCTTGTTTCTCATTGTAGGAGAAGCAAAAGGAAAATAAAGAGAAACGTTAATACATGACAGCCATCTGGGAATTGATACTCCAATTTTAAATTAACAACTCCTTAAGATGTGATAACTTTGCCTGAAACTGTGTTTTTTTTTAAATTAAAAATAACTATGTATTTTATGAAAGCAGTATGTGCAAATTAGAAAACAAAAATGTGTAAAAATAAGAGAATGAATACCATATTCTTACTACCCAAAGACTTTTCAGTGGTAGTACCTTTGTGTATGTTGCTTTATCAACGCTCTCTGCAGACACACACAAATTCAAATATTACACTCATGAGTCAGTGGTCTGAATCACTTGTGGAGCGCATGTGCCTGGACCATCTTCCTTTAAATTCTGGTAACACACGTGAGAATGTGTTACTGATTCACTGTGATGTTTAATTTGAGCATTTTCTAAATCAACCTATGTTTGCTTAAATCATTTCTTATTTTTTGCATTTTAGGGTGAGTCCAAACTATTCCAGAGTTGCATAAATTTCAAACAACAAAAAAAATTAGTGTCGATCATTCATCGTAATTTAAAAGAGTTGTTTAAATCTGTAGTTTGGAAGATAACTTTTATTCTATAAAGTGCATTCCCGTTGTCTAATAAATATTCATAGCTTCTAGGTAAGGTTTATTTTATAAAATGAAATTACTTCCAGCTTAATTTTGTAATTATGTCAACAAATAGAGTGTCCATTTTACTTTATTCAAAGTAATTGATGAGTTACTCTTAGTGGCCTCTGTGGGAGGTGAACTGGCTCTTTTAATAGGTTAATAATCATGAGTATTTGAGAATATTTGTCATATTTACCAGGACAGTACCATCATCAAAAATAAAATACTAAATATATTTTATAACAGCCCTTAGCTTATATACTCCTTTTTTTCCTCATATCAACATATACTCTTTTTTTTTGTTTTGTTTTTCAAGACATAATCTCACTCTTTTGCCCAGGCTGGAGTGCAAGTGGTATGATAATGGCTCACTGCAGCCTCAACCTCCTGTTCTCAAGTGATCCTCCCACCTTAGCCTCCTAAGTAGCAGGGACTACAGGTGCGTGCCACCATGCTCAGCTAATTTTTCACTTTTTCGTAGGGATAGGGTCTCACTTTGTTGCCCAGGCTTGTCTTGAACTCCTAGGCTTAAGCGATCCTCCTGCCTCAGCCTCCCAAAGTGCTGGGATTACAGGTGTGAGCCACTGTGCCCAGCACAACATATACTGTTTTAGGAATAAAACATTAAGAAAGTAAACTGTTTCAGTGAGAAACGTAACTATATATAGAATAAAAATATTCAAAGTTTCTGAGGAAAATATATTTAATATCATTTTTATTATCATTTCAATATTGTCACCTGAGTCCAGATTCTCCTAGAGTATTTGCTGATTGCTTTTTAGGTGACCTATATACAAAGTTATAAAATAATATGAGTATTTACTACTTTTTTGTTAATGTTCATCTTTGAACCTTGAGTCATCTTAGAATATGTTTAATTGGGCTGAGTGTGGTGACTCACGCCTGTAATCCCAGCACTTTGAGAGGCCGAGGCGGGCAGATCACCTGAGATCAGGAGTTCAAGACCAGCCTGGCCAACATGGTGAAACCCCATCTCTACTAAAAGTACAAAAATTGGCTGGACGTGGTGGTGGATACCTGTAATCCCAACTGCTTGGGAGGCTGAGGCAGGAGAATCACTTGAACCTGGGAGGCGGAGATTACAAGTGAGCCAAGATCGCACCACTGCACTCCAGCCTAGCTGACAGTGAGATTCTGTCTCAAAAGAAAAAAGAATATACTTATTTGATGAATGCTATAAAATAATGCAATTTTACAGAAAATAAACATACTGAAGTTAGAAAAGGCCAATTAAAATTTTTTTTTTTTTTTTTTTTTTTTTTGAGACGGAGTCTCGCTCTGTCGCCCAGGCCGGACTGCGGACTGAAAATTTTTCATTTTTACCTACCTCCTTATACGAGGGAAAATGATTTGGAGGTATTAGGGCAATTGGAGAAATTTGAATGAGTTCTGTGGATTAAATAGTAATGATATATCAATGTTAATTTCCCCATGATGGTTGTCCTGTTATATGAGGGAATAGCCTTGTTTTGGAAAGCCAGTACTGAAGTATTAGGAGTAATGTATTACTGACTCACAAATGGTTTTGGAAAAAAGTGAGTGCATATGTATGTCTGTGTGTGTTGGTGTGTGTATTTAGAGATGATAGGAAAAATGTGGTAAAATACTAATCATTAGAGAATCTGGGAGAAAAAATATACAAGACTTTGCTATTGAAACTTTTCTGTAAGTTTAAAATTATTTCACAATTAAAAATTGAAAAGATTTGACAGTTGAGAGAAGGTTGGGCAAATGTCTTAAAATGAAACTACTTCATAAAAGATCCTGGGTTTATAGATTTTAAAACTGCAGGCAACTTCAGTGTCCTGCTTTAACTCCATTATTTTACATATGAGACCTTAAGAGTGTGGCAGATTAGATGTAATAGTAGTTTCACACTGGCTTTGTCAAGTACTAATCAACATGATACTAAAATTTTTTCTTAAAGGGTCATGAATAAACCACATCTGTTAGTATGGTTTGGTCAGTGGTCCTCAGAAAATCTCATGTCGTGCAACCATACTAATACTCAAGCAAAGGAAAACTTGAAGGCCTAGACTGAAACAGGTTATGTGTTCTAATTAAAAATGGCTGGTTGGTTTTTTAAAAAATGGCAAGATATGGAACACTATATTTTAAGTTCCTTCCTAGATCTCTACAGAATAATGAAATAGTTCCAGCTAGTGGTCCCTGTTAGTGCTGCTTGAAGAATTTCAACAACACAATTAACCATTATGTATAATTTAGTACAATATAATTATTACTTTGTCCATTTAGTGTAAAGTTCACTATCAAAGATGTATCATGTCTCATTGGGCAACATAGTGTCCATGTGACGCAAAGCATTAAAAGCATGGCCTTGTTTGTGAAAGCGTTATTTTAAGGTCAGCAAGAAATAGTGTTTTTTCCTTTCTTATTAAAAAAAAAAAAGCTGTGAAACCTGTTGTTTGTAACAGGAGAAAAATAAGTAGCAAAGAATATGCTAGGATTCGGCTGGGTACAGTGGCTCACGCCTGTAATCCCAGCACTTTGAGAGTCTGAGGCTGGCTGATTGCTTGAGCTCAGGAGTTTGAGAGCAGCCTGGGCAACATGGTGAAACCCTGTCTATTAAAAATGCAAAATTTAGCACCGTGTGGTGGTATGTGCCTGTGGGCCCAGCTACTTGGGAGGCTGAGGTGGGAGGATTGCTTGAGCCCAGGAGATCAAGGCTGCAGTGAGCCATGATTACGCCACTGCACGCTCCAGCCTGGGTGACAGAGTGAGACCTTGTCTCAAAAAAACAAACAAAACCAAAAACGAACAAAAGAAAAACTCGGATTCCTTTTATGGTGTCTATTTTAGAAAATGAATTAATTTGGAATCTGAATTAGAGAACTTTAGCTGAAAAAACTTATTTTTATTATTTTAATTTGTATTTAGCATTTTTAGTAAATGAAATATTTAAGAAAGCCTAACAATTTGATGCAGGTTTTAAGTTTGTACTCATGGGGCTTGTATGGCTGCACTGAGACAAAACACTAGTGATTGGATCACTGCTAATTTTAATATGGCTTTGTCAGTTAATTTGTTAAAATTGTGAAGAGAAGCTTAGCTAAACTAATTCATAGGTAAGATTACAATAAGCATGTTTAACCACGTAATGCTGATAATGAATTTGCTTTATTTTCTTAAAGTTAATCTTGAGTGTTGTTGGTGTTATAACATTTCTTCCATCTTTTGTTTTAGCATATCTCTTTTTTTCTGTAGTTGGAGATTGCCTATTCATTGCCTTCTCTATATGCTGTGTCCTGATAGATGGGTAGTATAAACACAGTGGGCCTAAGTTGTTGGTCATTGCTACAGTAGTGAAAAGGAAAAAAAGGTGTGGTTCCCACCTCCTTTCCTAAATTTTAGCAGAACATATTGACTGTACTTGGGTTTGAGGTTTTTAGCAAAATGAAAATGGCAGAAGGAAAGGGATAAGCATATTTCTTTTTTTTCTTTTTGAGATGGAGTCTCACTCTGTTGCCCAGGCTGGAGTGCAGTGGCATGATCTCGGCTCACTGCAACCTTTGCCTCCTGGGTTCAGGCAGTTGTCCTGCCTCAGCCTCCTGAGTAGCTGGAATTACAGGCGTGTGCCACCATGCCCAGCTAATTTTTGTATTTTTAGGAGAGACGGGGGTTTCACCGTGTTGGCCAGGCTGGTCTTGAACTCCTGACCTCAAGTGATCTGCCCACCTTGGGCTCCTAAAGGGCTGGGATTACAGGTGTGAGCCACTGTGCCCAGCTGAGATAAGCACATTTCACTGGATTCCTTTATTTAGTTCTTTTTAAAAAAACTCAGTGTACTAGTATGGGCCTATTACATATGTCAGTTATTCCATCTACTAGCTATGCAATCATGTACAAGTTATCAACCTCTCTAAACATTAGTTTCTCATCTGTAAAATGGAGAAAAGAGCTCCTGCCTCGTAGTATTGGTTTGTGGATTGAAACATATATGCATATAAAAAATTATAACACTATTTAGCATACATGGCAAGATCTCTGAGCTCATTATATTTAAATATTTATTATTTGGAACTTTTGCAGTGTAGGAAAAATTGAAGTGCTATTGATGTTCGGGTAACAAATTTTTAATGAAACTTTAGAAATGATTATAGTGCTGTTTGTACTTAGGCAGGTAGGAAGAAAATTATTTTTTAATACTGATACTTGTTTTGTTTTAATAGGTATCAGCAGATGTTGCACACAAACTTGGTATACCTTGCTACAATAGCAGATTCTAATCAAAATATGCAGTCTCTTTTACCAGCAGTAAGTATCTTTAAAATCATGTGAAGTAGACAATCTTTATAGTTACATATGGTATGGCACATTTTTGTTGAATGATTTTTAAGTTTTGTTTAGTAAATCCTGCTTTACTCTGAGAACATGAAAGTATTCTATGTTATCTAAAAGCTTTGTTTTGCTTTTATATTTAATTTGAATTCACCTAAAATTGATTCTGTCCCTGAGAAGGTTATATTCGTTTACCTGTTTACCTACCTACCTATTTTAATTTTTAATTGCACAAGTAATTTGTTAATCTGAAATGTTTCACAGCAAGTCCCAGACATCTTACAGTTTGACCAGTAAATACTGTATTTCCATATGCATCTCTGTCAGACAGGACTATTCTCATACCCAACTAAGTTAACCATAATTTCTTTCTGTCTTACAATATTCAATTTATTTTCAATTTTTATCCGTTATCTAAAACAAACCTAAATGTTTTACACGTGATCTTAGCCAAAAGGCCGAGCAGCGATTAAAAACTCTAAATTTTTAAACAGTTGTTTGCCTCAGAATCCAAACAAGGTACACGTAGTGCATTGGTTGATATGTGTCTTAGTCTCTTTTAATCTGTATCATTTTATCTTTTTAAATCTTCATTTATTTGTTAAAGGAACTGGGTCATATATTGTGTAGAATTTTTAACATTCTGCATTTGGCTAATTGTATTCTCATGGTCCTTTAACGTGTTCCTTTGTTTCTCTTATTTCATGTAAACTGGTAATTAGAGAGGCTTAATTAGTGAGGTTTAGATTTTTGGTAAGAGTATTTTGTTGGCGGTGCTTTGTATTTCCCATAATATCAGATCAGGAAGAACATGTTTGGTTGTTCCATTTTTAGTAATGTTAAGATTGATCAATGGGTATACTTGATACCAGCCTGATCAATCCATTATAAAGTTCCCTGTCTACCTATCACTTAATGGTTTTAATGGTCATTGATGCTTGTGGACCAGATCCTGTATTTCACTTTGGGATCACAGAATGGTGAATTTCTAATTCTATAATCCCTCTTGCATTTATTAGCTGTAATTATTTTAAAAAGATAAACTTCCTTTCATTAAATATTTGGTTATCCTGAAACTAGAGAGTCCCCATAGGAAAGTCATGATAAATGCTTGATTCTGTCCCTTTATCAATTTTCAGAATGAGTTGGTCTCTAGCAACCTGTGTAGGTTACCATTTTAATATTTTTGTTTTTATTATCTGAATTTAATACATTTTTGGATTTTTAATGTTTAAATCCCTTGCAGTCATTCTTTGTTATGTTGAAATTTTGTTTCTCTGATCAATGGAAGCCTCTTCATTTGGCTCCTGTGTTCCTCTGACATGACTCAAGTATTTCATAGCTTCTTTGTTTTTGTGATTTGCTGTATGCTACTTTATATAAAACATATAACAATGTAATGGTACCAAAACTAACACTAACAATAAGATGCTTGTCCCTAAGATACATCCCACTGGGGATATTTTAATCAGTATATTTAGTTTTGAAGTTGAAATAGTTCTTCATGTGGCAGTTGTCATCAACTTGACTACCAGCTAGGTAGAATTTATTTTCGTGAATAATGTGAGGAATAGGTTCAGTTTCATTTGTTTCCATGTGGATGGTTTTTTGTCCCATTATTATTTCTTGGAAAAACAAGATATTTTGTCATGCAATCTATGTTGTATCAGGTGTCCGTTTATATGTGGGTCTGTGTCTGATCTGTTTATATCGTTTCCTTGGTCTGTTTTTATGAATTCCACTCTCTTGTTATACTTAATCTTATTCCTTTTTTTTTTTTCCAAGAATATCTTGGCTGTTGGTTCTTTGCATTTCCATATACACTTAAACATCAGTATGTCAGGTTATATACACATATACGTAATCCTGTAGGGATTTTCATTCAGATTACCTTGACTGTAAATCAATTTGGGAAGACTTGATATCTTTACAAAATTGAGTTTTCCAAATCGTGAGCATTGCATATATTTTCATTTATTTAGTTCTTTAATGTCTGTCAATGAAGTTTTATGATTTTTCCCTGTAGATGGTTTGCACATCTCTCATTGGGCTTATTGCTAGATATTTAATACTTTATATTTTTTGAGGCCATTTTAAATCGAATCTTTGTCTTTTAAGTTTTATTTTCTAGCTGCATTTGCTGTTTACATGGAAATGCAATTAATTTGAATCTCACATTCTTGTTCAGCTCTTGCTTCTGAGTTTTTCTGTAGATGCTTTCAGTTTTCTGTATTCATGATCATATCATTTGTGAATAATCAGTTTTGTTTCTTTCTTGTCAATCCTTACACCTTTTATTTCTTTTTCTTGCCTTACTTCTCTGGCTATGACCTCCATTACATTCCTGAATAGAAGTGGTGATAGAGGACATCCTTGTCTTGTTCCTGATCTCAAAGGGAAAGCTTTCACTGTTTGACCATTAAGTATGATGTTTGCTGTAGTGTTTCATAGATAACTTGTCAGATTAAGGAAGCTCCTTTCTGTTTCTGATGTGCTAAGTAAAAATTTATATGTTGAATGGATGTTAAATTTTATCAAGTACTTTTATTGCATCGAATGAGATGATTATAAGACTTTTTCTTCTTTAATCTGTTAATGTGGTAAAATATACTGATATACTTTTAATGCTCAGTCAGTCTTGCATTCTTGTAATTAACCTACTTGTTGATGACCCACTTGGTCATGATGTTTTTAAAGAAATTGCGATATTCAGTTTGTTAAAATTTTGGTTAGGATTTTTGCATCTTTGTTTGTGAGTGTGATTGACCTGTAATTTTTCTTTCTTATAATGCCTTCGTCTGGTTTTTATTTTGAGGCTATGCTAGCTTTATAAAAGGAGCTGGAGAATTTTCTACTTTTTCTTATCCAGAAGAATTTACATAATATTTCTATTTCTTTGTTAAATGATTGGTACAATTCTTTAGAAAAGCCATCTGAATCTGAAGTTTTCTTTGCAAGGAAGTTTTTATTTACTTACTTCTTTAATTGTTATAGGACAATTTCTATATTTTATAAATTGCCTATTTTGGTAAGTTGTGGTTTTTAGCATTTTAATAAATTTGAACATTAATTAGCATGAAAATAAAGTAAAAGCTCTTGAAATAATCTTATTTTCCTAATGTCAACACTGTCTGTAGTGATAATTTTCTTTTTAATGTCATTATTTGTGACTTCTGCTTTGAAATATTTTTTGATCATTCTTGCCAGATGTTTATTATGGGTTTTTTAAGTCTTTTCAAAGAATCAACTTTTGGTTTTGATTGTGCTCTGTTGCAGCATTTTTCAAACCTTTTGGTCTCAGAACCCTGTTACATTCTTAAAAATTACTGAGGACTTAAAAGAACTTGATGTAGGTTATATTGTTAATATAAATTATAAATTTTTCTCAGTTGTGAAATTAAAACAAATCTAAAAAATTTGTTAAAAATAATAAACTTATTGCATGTTAATATAAATAACATTCTTTAAAGGAAAAATAACTATCTTTGTGAGATGAATGGCATCATGTTACGTTTTTGCAAGTTTCTGTTAAATGTCTGGCTTAATAGAAGACACTATATTTTCACATCTACTTCTGCATTCAGTCTATTGTAGTATCTTGTTTCGGTTGTAGCAGAAAATGCAGTCTCACACAGACATGTAGTTAGAAAGGGGAAGAATATTTTAATAGCCTTTTCAGATTTTTGGGGATAACCTTGTTTGATATTACAGCAGAACTCAGTAAGTTTTTTTTTTTTTTTAAGGTTAGTTGTGGTGTGGAATCTTAAATTGTATCATTACATTTTTCTTACTCTGGTACATTTAAGCCCATTGGTCTTTATTACACTTTGAATAGATTTTTACTCATGTATAATTTTATAACATCATGCTTTGGTGATTTGGAAAGTATAAGTTTACTGAGTTAAACAGTTCTTCCAAACATTAACATTTTTCTGTGTGATACCAAAGACTACATTGGTTAAAATCACCTCTAATCTCATCAGAAAAGTGCCTAAGTATGGGGATGCTGTCAAGCTCAAGGTCGTAGATAAGTTTGCACATTCCAAGTTCTTGCTTGGAAATTCAAATGTGATCTTGGCAACAAATGTTATTAGTTGATTTTCTTGCTCACTATGTTTGTTTTTGAGAAAATGTCTGCCAAATACCCATGCCTAGATAAATACAGTTAACAATTGTTCTTTCAAGTAAAAATGGTATTCAGTGAAAACGGTGCCTAGTTCAGCTGGCAACTCAATCACAAACTGCTTTTTCTTGATTATTTTACTTTGTGACAGATAATGTTTATTATTTTCCCATTTTGTCACTGAATATTTATTTACAAGACATGGAGAATTTACAAAATAATTTTTACTGCTTCATCAAGCACATTTTTAACTGAAACTATCTTTTTCTTTCTTCAACTGCAAGTGTGTGGCAGCCAGTAATACATTGACTAATAATAGTTTGATGTCATTGCCTTGATTCATAATGAGGTTCCAGCAATTATATCCACTATTGCTTTTGTACCATCATTATAAATGTGCACTTAGCATAAAAGGCAAACATCATCTTATGGAAATAGTTTTGCCCTTGGGCACCTCATGTATGTTTTTGTTTATGATTAATTTCTGATCTTTATGATTTTCTCCCTTTTACTTTCTTTTGGTATATTTTTTTCTGTTCTTCTGAGTTTTAGATGAATGCCTCTTTCATCAATTTTCACCTTTCTAAGGATGCATTTAAAATGGACATAAGTTTTCCTCTAATCATAGTTCTGATATGTAGTATATTCATATTTATTTAATTCCAAATATTTTCTAATTTTCATAATTATTTTTTAATGCATTGGTTGATAAAAATACATTTCTTAATTTCCAAACATGGATATTTTATTTTCTTGATTTCTGGCTTTATTGCATTGTGGTTAAATAACATTTTACGATTTGAGTTCTTTGGAATTCCTTGAGATTTGTTTCAAGGTCCAGCATATGGTCAGTTTTTACAGATGTTTCATGTGTATTTAAAAAAAATATGTATTGTTTAGCCACTGAGAGCAGAGTTCTATATATGTCTATTAGGTTAGGTCAAGTGTGTTAATCTTGTTTGAATCCTCTGTAGCCTTAATGATTGTTGTTTTTTTAGTCTTTCCAATGTTTTGTTTGTTTGTTCTATCGATTACTGAGAGATGTATGTTTAAAATGTACAAGTCAAATTGTGGACTGACTGATTTTCCTTTTAGCTCTTTTAAGGTTTTTTTTTTTTTTTTTTTTTTTTTTGAGACGGAGTCTCGCTCTGTTGCCCAGGCTGGAGTGCAGTGGTGTGATCTCGGCTCACTGCAAGCTCCTCCTCTTGGGTTCACACCATTCTTCTACTTCAGCCTCCCTAGTAGCTGGGACTACAGGCGCCCGCCACTACGCCTGGCTAATTTTTTGTATTTTTAACAGAGAAGGGGTTTCACCTTGTCAGCCAGGATGGTCTCGATCTCCTGACCTCGTGATCCGTCTGCCTTGGCCTCCCAAAGTGCTGCGCGCCGCCTGCAACATCATTGTGAATTATCCCTTCTTATCTTTAGTAATGCTTTTAAAGTCTACTTTATCTGATATTAGCATAGCTAAATAAGCTTTCTTTGGTGTTTGCATGGTATTATCCTCCTTTCTGTTTTCTTGTGTTAGAGATAACGATATTATGAGTAGGATGTAGATTTTTTTTTTTTTTTTTAACTCAGTCTAGCAATCAAAGTGCTGGGATTACAGGTGTGAGCCACTGTGCCCGGCCAATAATTAATTTGTTTTTTATTATTCCTTTTTTTTCTTTCTAGTTGGGAAATCTTACATATTTACTATTCTTTTAGTGGTTACTGTATAGATTATAATATACATCCCAATCAAAGGACCATAAAATACTTCATTTCTGTTCCTTCCCTCAATGACCTTTTCGTTGTTGTTGTAATGTATTTTAAGTCTCTATATGTTTCCACAAGTGGTTGTTATTACTGTCTTTTTTTTGAAGTCAGTGTTCATTAGATCATCCACATAGTTACTTACCATTTCTGATGCTTTCTGTTCCTCCTTTCATTTATGACCTTCTAGCTTAGATCACTTTTTTTTTCACCTCCTAAAGAACATTCCTTAGTATTTCCTTTAGCACTGCTTTGCTGGTGAGACATACCTTCAGTATTTTTGTTTTGTTTTGGTCTGGGTCTGAAAATGCCTTTATTTCACCATCATTCTTTTTTTTTTCCTCTGGAGACAGTGTTTCACTCCGTCACCCAGGCCAGAGCATAGGGGCATGATCATAGCTCACTGCAGCTTCGAACTTTTGGGCTCAAGAAATCTTCCTGCCATAGCCTCCTGAGAAGCTAGGACCACAGGCATACACCATCATGCCTGGCTGATTTTTGTATTTTTTGGAGAAATGGGGTCTTATATCGCCCGGGCTAGTCTTAAACTCCTGGCCTCGAGTGATTCTCCTGCCTTGGCCTCCCAAAGTTCTGGGATTGTAGGCATGAGCCACCACACCTGGCTCACCATGATTCTTAGAAGATATTTTCCAAGGACAGATACTAGGTTAGTTGTTGTTTACTTAGCACATTACATTTATCCTTGCGTTGTTTTCTGTCTTGTATCTATTGAAAATTCAGATATCAATGTAATTGTTGATATTTTGAACATAATCTGCTTATTTGACTGCATTTAAGAGTTTTGCTTTGTCTAGGATTTTTAGTGGTTTTAGTATGTTTAGGTGTGGATTTCTGTTTTCTTAAATTTATTTTTTCTCACACTGTAGTTAGATATTGGAAGATTTCTTTCTAATTATCTTGCTTGGTGCCTGTTGGGATTTCTGACATCTGTAGGTTCATGTCTTTCATCAGTTTTGGGAGTTTTCAGTCATTATCTCTTCAAGCAAATAATTCTTCCATAAGACTCCAGTTAAACTTAGACTAGACCTTGTAACTGTATCTTTATGTTTCTTAATCCCTTCAGACTTTTCCAACCATTTATCATTCTAAGTATATTTTTTTCTGACCAGTTTTCCAGTTCATTTTTCACTGGGCCTAATCTGTTATACCTATCCCTTGAGTTCCTAATATATATTTTTCTATTTCTAGAATTTCTATAAGTTCTTTTTTAGATCTGCTCTGGCATTTTAAAAATATTTTCTGCTCTTTGCTGAGAGGATGTTACTAACTATAGTTTGAGATACTTGAGTCTGAAAAAACTATTATGTTTTAGGATGATTTTACTTAAGTTTTCTAGAATGGGGTTTTTCACTTCATTTCAGTTGAATGGGGTGGGAATTAGAAATGTGTTCATAATTATATATAAGTTTAACTTTCAGTTTTTTCCCATGTCATCTCAAGAGAAGAATTATTTATTTATAGTTCTATTTCGTGTGTTTGGAACTGGCCAAGATCGAGCACTAGCTAGAATCTAAAAGTCAAGAATCTAAACACTGAGAATAAAAGGAGAAAAATAACTTCTAATGCCAGTGCACTAACACTTAGGCATTTTACTTCTTAGTTTCAGCCTTGTGTCTTTTTTCTTAATGCCAAAGCATTATAACTTTATAAGGGAACTACTCTTCACCTTACACATATTTTAACAGACTTGTTTTCTTAATTTTAAGCCAGGAGACAGCAAATAGCAAAAATGGGAGAAGTTGTTCTATAAGCAGACATATATACATGCAGTGTTACCTGACAGCCAAGATGGCATAGAAATAGACATAAAATTTATAAAAAGCTGACAATTCAAAATGTGCACTACTCTGGCTCCATTTAGTGTAGATAGATAGGGCCCTATCTTGGTAAACCTTGCAGGCATCATTTAAATGTTGGTTCTCAGTTGGTGTTTACTTTCTGAAACAACAAACTATTGACATACTTATTTTCATAATTAGGAACCATTTTTAATTTATTTTTATAGGTTTGTGGGTACAAGTGCAGTTTTGTTACGTGGATTTCTTGTGTGGTGGTGAAGGCTGAGCTTTTAGTGTACCCATTACCCCCAGTAAGGAACACTGTACCCAATAGGTCATTTTTCAATCCTCATCCCCTCCCCGCACCTAGGAACAATTTTACCAGTAGAAAGTGTGACTATTTTTTTGTGTATGCAGATTTTTCCTTCTCAAACATACTTTGAAGAAATGGCATTTCTATGTTTTAATTTCATATTAGTTACTGTTAATTTATTTTTTATCATCTGCTAGTATTAGCATATACAAAGTGGTAGGCACCATTTGTTTAGAAAAGAATTATGAGAGAACAATTTCATTCAAGAAAAGTTTTTATTCATTAATGTTTCTTTGAGAAAAACTTGGGGAGAAAATAGTTCTTTCTATTGTGGTAGTTCATTTTAAGGCTCACAGTCTGAAAATATTTCTGTATAATCAAACATTTTTAAGCTAGAAAGAACCTAGATAATCATATAGTCTAGTGTTTCTTAGCCTTGGCTACACATTAGAATTATGTGGAAAACTTTAAAAAACTTCCAGTAACTTAAATCGATCTGGGCTGAGGGCCCTGTCACAGTATTTCTTTCTTTTTCTTTTTTTTTTTTTTTTTTTACTTTGGTAGGTCTTTGTGGCAGACCTGTCACAGTATTTCAAAAGCTTCTTAGGTAATTCTAATGTACAGTTAAGTATAAAGAACCTTAAATTTATCTGCCTTTCAAATGGATTATCCAATGACATTTTGAGAATTTCAGAAAAATATTCTGAAAAAAATTCCTGTTCCTGTGGTGTCAGCTTCATTTGATACTGTTTAACATGAATGATTTTTATAATATGAGAAAGATAATACTTATTATATATTTTATTAGAATGCTGTAAAACAGTTCATGGTGTCCAACATGTAAAGGTACTCAGTGAATATTGGCGATGATGACGATAATAAAGATATAGGTACACATTGGAGGATATCAATGGAAAGGGGCATTAGATTCTGGAGTATTTGAAGTAGAACTAACAGGATTCAGTTACTGAGTAGATATAAAGTGTAGAAGAGAGTGTTTGGAGACTCAACTGATGGTGATGCCATCCACTAAGTTGAGTACATAAAAGCATGTCTTCATTTTAAAAGGCTGAAAGCTGATTGGAATTCCTTATCTTGTTTTTACTTAATTCATTGTGAGTACTGCGTTTGAAATATCCCCAGTTTAGCCAAATATACTTCGTGAATTTTAAATTTATTTAAATATATACTTAAAATTTTTGTAAGTATCTTTACAAAGATATCTGTACAAAAAATAAAAGTCTGACCTGTTAAATAAAAATTGATTGAGGCTATGTAGTCTTACATTTTATATATTGTTTGAAATTAAGTTGCATTTTTTTTGGTAACATCATATTTGACATTCTGAGCAGAGCCCTTGGGTAGCATGTGATTAGCTGTTTCTTCCACACGCTTTAGTAAAGATGATAATATTAGTCTTCAGGTTCAGCAACTGTCCTGGCAAAGCATCTGTTAAGGTACTTCTCTGACTAACATTTGGTCTTACAGAGTTTCCTTTTTACAGGTGTGATTCAAGTAAGGTGAAGGAACACATGCTTAGAGCTGTGGAACATTTTGAAGATTAGCAGGTTGTATTACATTTGTAACATTTACTAAATTTTTAGCATAGGTAACTTTGTTATGGTTAGAACACCAAGGACTACAAAAAGCCATACAAAAACCTACTGTCACTTCTGTCTTCTACCTGCTTTTTATGCAATAAAAGCCAATATAAATATATACCTTGCTGTTTTCTACACAAGTAGAACTTGCCGTGTACCCTGTTCTGTACCTTGTTTTTTAATTACAGTAAAAAAAAGAAAGCATCTATATTCTCATTTAAAGTTATAGAAATAACTTTTCTTAAAATTTCGTATTTTAATAATGTTTTCAGTGTTTGATAAACAGGATAATGTTGTCTTATTTCAGGGGTCCCCAAACCCTAGGCCATGGACTGATACGGGTCTGTGGCCTGTTAGGAACCGGGCTGCAAAGCAGGAGGTTAGCAGCAGGTGAGAGAGCATTACCGCCTGAGCTCTGCCTTCTTTCAGATCAGTGGCAGCATTAGATTCTCAGGAAGGTGAACCCTATTGTGAACTGTGCATGCAAGGGATCTAAGTTGCATGCTCCTTATGATAATCTAATGCCTGATGATCTGAGGTGGAACAGTTTTATCCCGAAATCATCCCTCGCCTGCCCCTCCCACCATCCGGCCACCATCAGTGGAAAAATTGCCTTCTACAAAATCAGTCCCTGGTGCCAAAAAGGTTGGGGACCACTGGTCTTTTTGGTAAGCATGATAATACTATTTTCTCCTTTGAAACTTATTCTTTAGCTTCCATGATAGTTATCTTTTTCTCTCTCTGGCTGCGCAGCTCGTCGTCTTTACCACGCCCATTAAATGCTGCTACTCCATTCTTGAACATTTTCTCGTTATATGCACTCTTCCTGGGAGATTTTATCCATACTCATGGATTCCTATATTCTTGACTTCAGGTGTTCCATCTAAACATTGATGGTTGCCAAATACAGATCTTTTTTATGAGTATGAGCCATGAATCCAGCTTCCAATAGACATACCCATTTGGACATTCCACAGGCCTCTCAAAACAATATGGACAAAACTCATTTCTCCTCAGTTCCCCCTCTGTTGTTCCCTGCTGTAAAAAGGGGGAAAAAGTTCACAGCCAGTATTTTCATATTTTCTGTCTCAAGCAAGTAGTATTAAAAACACTTAGTTCTCTTAGTCAGAAGCTTGGTGGTCATCTCAGAGTTCTTCCCTTTCTTTCACCTGCCATAGCTTGGTGTCCAAGTGTTTTTCTTTCACTGGTACCTAGCATGGTGCTGCACAATTAAAGGTGTCTAGTTAAAACATTTTGATATTTAAAAACAGGAAGCAAGACTGTGGGTGAAATGTCTCTGAAGTGTTTATTTTTGTGAGTTTTAGTACAAATTAAGACATCAGTATCTTTCTGATATTGAGGTGAGGAAGGCTGTGTTGAGAATAAAAAGCAAAAGAGAAAACTATAAAGAAAAATAATTGATTCCTTTAAGAATGTATAACAAAACTTTTTATATACCAAAAAATTCTATAATTGAAAGACAACTCAATAGTTATTTTACAGTATAACCTGCTGTTTTAGAAATACTTTGTATTCAGAGTACATTTGAAACAGCAGAAGATGTGATTACTTCTGCCGTTAAGGATTATGGAAAGTTCCACAAAGGCAGTATTCCTGTATTTCATAGATAATTTGTCTATGGGGGCACATTTTTCTGAATTGATACTATACGGAGCATTTTACCAACATCATTGCCTACCTTCTTTTTCAAATATCTTAGGAAAAAAAATCATGTTTACTGTTTGCTGGACAGTATATATAAAATTCAGAAGACTAATTGAGTCCAGATAGGTAAAGAGATTGGATATATCTTACTGTGAAGAACAGAAATGTGTGTGTGTGTGTGTGTGTGTGTGTGTGCACAAATTTCCAGAACTATATTAAAATCAGCGAAAGTAACTTGCAAAAATGCTAGGGAACTGAAAGACTGTCCCTTTGACATTAGGGATGACTCCATGGTTTTCAGAAGGGCAACTGGAAAGATGGAATTACCGTCACTGAAACTACGGATAAGGCGGCTTGAGGGTGAAGGGAAATATCAGAGATTTCATGTCTGATAGACTTCAAATGGAGATGTGAAGGTGGAGTAGGCAATTTTGATAATTAAAAAACATGAAAGTTGGCAGAATGATACTGCCTCCTGATTTAATTCTCAAAGTGTTCATACTGCACAATCATTTTTCATTCAACAAATATTTATCGAGTACCTCTATTTGCTACTAGATGATTGGGGGCTCCAGTAATAAGCAAATATAATCATGGGCGCAGTCCTTAAAGAACTTAAACCTGTAATGGGGAAGACATACCTTAAATCATTACACAAACACATTTGAAATTACAGCCGTAGTAAGTGTTATGAAGGAAGAATATCTGAAAATGTTGGAGCAGACAGTGGGGACCTTATAATTCTGGTGCTCAGGGAAAAAGTGACATGAGGTGTAATTCACATGCAATAGAATTCATTCATTTTAAGTATATAGATAGATTAGTTTTGACAAATCCACGTAATCACCACTATAATCAAGATAACAATGTTTATCCCCAAGAGGTTTTCCAAATATCCCTTTTCTGCCCATTTTTAAATTAAGTTCTGTGTATGTAGACTGAAAAAAAGGGCTTAAAATTTTAAAATGATCATATATATATATATATATATATATGGATTTGTAGGCATTCTTTATATATTCTGGAACAAGTCTTTTGTTGGCTATATATATTGCAGATATCTTCTCCCAGTTTGAAAATTGTCTTTTTATTCTCTGTGGTGTCTGATGAACAGTTTCTAATTTAAATGAAGTCCAACTTGCCAATATTTTGAAGGGATAATTCTGTATCCTGTTAAAGAAATATTTTCCTGTGTCATAGTCATGATAATATGAAGATACATGTATATTTTCTTGTATAAGTTAGTTTATTCATGATCCATTGCAAATTAAATTTGTATATAATCTGAGATAGGACTCAAGTTTCTTCTTTTCGCCATGTGATAGTTAGTTGATCCAGCACCATTTATTGGAAAGATCATTCTTTAACGATTAGATGTAAGTTGTTTCGTTGTGACAGTATATGTGGGTTGTTTCTTAATTCTCTGTTCTGTTGGTCTGTTTGTCTGTCGTTGTATTAATTATGTCTTATTTATTGTAGCTTGTGATAAATCTTTGTATATTCTAGTGTTCTTCCCCAAGATTTTCCTGGCCATTCTGGGTCCTTTGCATTTTCATGCAAAGTTTAGAATTGGCTTGTGAGTCTGCAAAAAGTCTGTGGAATTTTTATTGGGATTGCATGGAATCTTGAGGTCAACATCAGGGAATTTGATTATCCTCTACAATATTATTAATAAATCTTCCAGTCAACAAAGATGGCATATCCTTCCATTTTGTGAACTCTTTCTCTCAACAGTATTTCAGTGTAGAGGTATTGCACATTTGTTAGATTTATTCCTAGTGTTTTGAGTTTTTTTGGATGCTATTATGCCATCAGTTTTTAAATTTCACTTTCTAATTGTTTTTTGGAAATATATAGAAATATAGTTGATCTTTATATATTGACCTTAGTTATTATATTCACTTATTCTAATGGTTTATTATAGGTTCTCTTGGGTTTTCTATGCACTTAATTATGTCATCAGCAAATAATGACAATTGTAAGTCTTCTTTTTAAATCATTATTTCTTTTTACTTTGTTTTCTATTTTCTTTTAGTCTTTATACCATTGATTTGTGTTGGTTTATTTATTTTGTTGAATAGAAATGGTGATGTATATTCTTGTCTTATTCCTGAATTCAAGGGGAAAGAATCCAGTATTTCATTAGTAAGATGACATTGGCTGTAAAATTTTTGTTTTAAGAGTGCTCCTTTTATTCTTAGTTTCTGAAAGATTTTATTGTGAGTAGGTATTGAATTTCATTAAATTCTTTTCTTTATCTGTTGAGATGATTATATGGATTTTACTTTGATGATTTGGTGAATTACACTGATTAATTTTCAAAAGTTAAATCAACTTACATTCCTGTAATAAATTTCATTGGTTATAATGTATTATCTTTTTAATAAGTCTGGATTTGATTTGCTAAAATTTTGTTTAACATTTTTGTGTCTGTGTTCATGAGAGATGTTTTGACCTGTCATTTTCCTTATGTCCTTGTCAGGTTTTGGTAGTTTCATAAAGAATTGGGAACTGATGCCCTTCTTTTTGTTTTCTGGAACAAAAAATTGGTGTGAGGTATTATTTATTCTTAATGGTTTAGAAGAATTCTCTATTGAAGGTATCTGAGTCAGGAGATTACTTCAGGGAAAATTTTAAATGATGGATTCAGTTTCTCTAATAAATAGAGGATTGTTTCAGTTTTCTATTTCCTGTGTCAGTTTCTATAAGCTATGTTTTTCAAAGAAGTTGTCCATTTTACCTAAATTATTAAATACATTATCATAAAGTTGTTCTTAATATCTCATTTTCCTTTTACTGCCCATATTAATATCCCCTTATTTTCCTTTTACTGTCCATAGCATATGTACTGATGCCCCCCCTTTTAATTTTTCTAAAATTGGAATTTCTGTCTTTTCTTGATTATTTCTGCTAAGGGTTATTAATTATTAATATTCTCAAACAGCCAGCTTTTGGCTTAATTTTCTCTTAATGCTTTTTATTTCATTGAGTTTTGTTCTTGTTTACATTATTTCCTCCTTTGTACTACTTTGGGTTTGATTTGCCATCTTTAGCTACTGAAAATAAAGGATGATAGTGTTATTTTTCAACTTTCCTTCTTGTAAATATGCATTTTAAAGCTATAAATGGTCCTGTAAGCATAGCTTAAACTGCATCTCACAAATTTTGATATTACATTTTCATTACCAATTAAAAATATTTTAAAATTTCCATTGTGATTTCTTCTTTTATGAATAATTTTGTTACTGATTTCTTATTATTATTATTTTTTTCTTTTTGGAGATGGAGTCTCGCTCTGTCGCCCAGGCTGAAGTGCAGTGGCATGGTCGGCTCACTGCCAGCTCCACCTCCCGGGTTCACACCATTGTCCTGCCTCAGCCTCCTGAGTAGCTGGGACTACAGGCGCCCGCCACCACGCCTGGCTAATTTTTTGTATTTTTAGTAGAGGCAGGGTTTCACCTTGTTAGCCAGGATGGTCTCGATCTCCTGACCTCGTGATCCACCCGCCTTGGCCTCCCAAAGTGCTGGGATTACAGGCATGAACCACCGCACCCGGCCTACTGATTTCTAATTTAATTCCACTGTGCCCGGCCTACTGATTTCTAATTTAATTCCACTGTGCTCAGAAAATATATTTTATATGATTTCAATCTTTTGATATTTATTGACTTGCTTTATGGCCCAGTATGTGATTCAGTTCAGTCAACATTCCTTGAGTACTTGAGAACAATGTGTATTGAACAGTTATTGGATTCTGTAAATACAAATTAGGTCAAACAAATTGGTTACTAGTAATGTCAAAATTTTTTTATATTCATAGGGTTTTTTTTCTTCTATACATTACTGAGAGAAGTATCTTAAAATCTCCAACTGTTATTTTGGATTATTCTGTTTTTCCTTTTAGTTCTGTCAACTTTTACTTTATAAATTTTTGAAGCAGTGTTGTGAGATGTATACACATTTATGATTGTTAAACATTCCTGTTGAACTTTTATCGTAATAAAGCATCTCTGTTTATCCCTAATAATTTAAGCCAGCTATTCAGTATTAACGTAGCAACATCATCATACTTTTAATTAGTATTTGCATGATATCTTTTTCCATTTTTTTCTTTTAATATATCTGTTCCCTTGACTTTAAAGTAGTTGTGTTGTACACAGAATATAGTTGTGTGTTTTGAAATCCAATCTAATGTATTTGTTATTTAATTGGAATGATGGGTCCATTTACATTTAATGTAGAACATGATATAGTAGGATTTGTGTCTTACAAGGCAGGTATTTTTTTTCTATTTGTTCCTTTCTTTAATCAAGCATAATTTTTTCTATTTGATTTTACATATAATTTTACAGTGTACATCTTTAATATGTGTGCATGTATTTTTAAGTAGTTGCCCTAGAGATTAAAATATTCTTCATTAAAATATTAAAATATTAGTTTATCAGGTTGTCTAAATTTATACTTTTAACACTTGTTGAAAAATACAAGAACCTTATAACGGTTTAATTTCATTTATCTCGCTGTCTTTTTCTTTTTTTAGACAGTCTTGCTCTGTTGCCCAGGGTGGAGTGTAGTGGTGTGATCTTAGCTCACTGCAACCTCCGTTTCCTGTGCTCAAGCAACTCTCCTGTCTCAGCCTCTCGAGTTAGCTGGGATTACAGGTGCCCGCCACCATGCCTGCTAATTTTTGTATTTTTAGTACAGATTGGGTTTCATCATGTTGGCCAGGCTAGCCTCGATCTCCTGGCCTCAAGGGATTCCCCCACCTCGGCCTTCCAAAGTGCTAGGATTACAGGCATGACCCACCTCACCCGGCCTAACCTAGTCTTTTGTGTGTCTTGTCCTATACTTTCTTTTTCTACATTTGTTTAAACCAGTAGAGTCATTATTACTGTTATTTTAAATGTTAATATGTATTTATCCACATATACTTTTCCATTCCTCTTAACTAACTCCTCTAGTTCTATGCTTCCATGTGGGGCCATTTTCTTTTAGCTTGATATATTTTGTTCTCTTATAACAAGTGTTTTCTTAACTTTTGTTCATCTAAACTTATTTTTATTTCATCTTCATGTTAGAAGGTATTTTTTTCTTAGTGTGGAATTCTGGGCTGGTTGGTTGATTTTCTTTTTTTTTTGTCTTAGCACTTTACAGATGTCATTTTGTCATCTTCATTTTCTATTATTTCTGATGAAAAATTAGTTGTTAGTTTTATTGCTGTTCCCTTCCAGGTGATATGTCTTATTTTCACTGACTGCTTTTAAGATTTTTTCTGACTTTAGTTTTTAATACTTTGATATATCTGGGTTCAATTCATTACTTCATTAAATCTCTGTTTTGCTGTTTCTAAACTAATGATTTCTTAATTTCAGTGATTATATTTTCCTTTTCTGGAATTGTCATTTGACTTTCTTACAGAATTACAGGGCTTTGCTGAAATTCTCCGTCTGTCCTGTGTTTGTTTATTTATTTATTTATTTTTTGAGACGGAGTCTCGCTCTGTGGCCCAGGCTGGAGTGCAGTGGCACGATCTCGGCTCACTGCAGCCTTCGCCTCCTGAGTTCTAGCAATTCTCCTGTCTCAGCCTCTCTAATAGCTGGGCCTACAGGTGCACGCCACCATGTCTGGCTAATTTTTTGTATTTTTAGTAGAGACAGGGTTTCACCGTGTTAGCCAGGATGGTCTCGATCTCCTGACCTCGTGATCCACCTGCCTCAGCCTCCCAAAGTGCTGGGATTACAGGCGTGGGCCACCGTGTCCAGCCTTATTTATTTCTTGAACATACCAATCACAGTTATTTTAAGTCTTTAGTAACTCCATAATCTGTTTTTTTTTTTTTTGAGACAAAGTTTTGCTCTGTCTCCCAGGCTGGAGTGCAGTGATGCGATCTCAGCTCACTGCAGCCTCCACCTCCCAGGTGCAAGCGATTCTCGTTTCTCAGCCTCCCAAGTATCAGGGACTACAGGCACGTGCCACTGCGCCTGGCTGATTTTTTTTTTTTTTTTTTTTTTTTTTTTTTTTTTTGGTATTTTTAGTAGAGACAGAGTTTCACCATGTTGGCCAGGCAGGTCTTGAGCTTCTGGCTTCGAGTGATCTGCCTGCCTTGGCCTCCCAAAGTGCTAGGATTACAGGCATGAGCCACCACATCTGGCCTGGAACTCCAAAATCTGAATGACTTAGGTGTCTTTTTAAATTTTCTGTTATTTCTCTTGGTTGTCCATTCTTTTTTTAATTGAGATACAGTTTATATAAGATTTACCATTTTAACCATTTTAAAGTACAGAATTCAGTGGTTTTTAGTATATTCACAATTATGTAAGCATCATAACTATCTAATTTCAGAATGTTTTCACTACCCTAATAAAGTGAAAACTGTTGGCAGTCAATCTCAATTCTCCCCCTCTCCCCATCCCCTGGCAACAGCAAATCTACTTTCTGTCTCTCTGAATTTGCCTAGTCTGGACATTTCTTATGAATAGAATCATACAATTTATGTGGCCTTTTGTGTCCATCTTCTTTCACTTGGCATAATGTTTTCAAGGTTCATCCATGTTGTAGCATGTATAAGTATTTCTTCTTTGTGGCTGAATAATATTCCGTTGTATTCATATGCCACGTTTTGTTTATCCATTCATCAGTAGGTGGACATTTGAGTTTTTTCCAGTTTTTAACTATTATGAATAATGCCACTGTGAACATTTGTGTAGAAATTTTGCGTGAATGTGTGTTTTCAATTCTTTTTAGTATGTACCAGGAATGGAGTTGCTAGATCATATGGTAACTGTTTAAGTTCTTGAGGAACTGTCAAACTGTTTTCCACAGTGGCTGTACCCTTTTACATTTCCACCAGCATATATGAGAGTTGCAATTTCTATACATTGTTCACAACACTTGTTATTTTTCTGGACTTTTAATTTTTATGTTATTGCAGCTATCAAAGTGGGTGTTGGTCATTTATTTTTGTTTTTTAGAAAGCCTTGCAATTTTTAAGAGTGTTAGACCTTGTGGTTGAACAATTATAGAAGCTCTAGTTTGTGTTACTTTGCTCCAAAGAGAATTAAGTTTTCCTTTGGTATGTGAAGTACTAGGAGGTTACCTTGAATCTATTAAAGGTTGGTTATAAGACTTTTTAGGGCTGATCTATTTCAATTTCGACCTTACTCTTAAGGAGTAGCTGGCCCTTCTGTAGTCTCAACAGAGAGTTGGAGTTATTTATGAAGGCTCCTCTAACTTGGTGGGGCCTACACTCCAGTCTTTGTCTCCATATCAGTGAGCAGCAGCTGGAATCTCTGCTGAGCTCTTTAGCCTCCTACCTGCTATTTCGACTAGTTTTCTTGAATGTTTCCCCTCTTGTGGTCCTTTCTCTCTGGAAATTTATTCTTTAGTTTCCAGCTCTTTGATAGTCAAAAATTCTGACTCTTTTTTTTCCTTAGTCCAATTGGACTGCACTTTCTACTTGAGCTGTATTTCCCTGTTACTCAGCAAACTCAAGGAAAAAGCCAAGATAATTGTGGAGCTGGTCTTATATGCTTCCGTTCTTTCAGGAGTTGTAGCCCCTTCTGTTCCTCTTTGTGTAAGTCACTCTTTAGTGGCTTCAAACAGTTTTTACTTTTTGTCTAGATTTTATGAGTTTTATTTAGCTGAGGGTTAGTTTGATACAAGTTATTCTAGCATGGTGGTAACAGTAATGATGTTTTATTAGTTGAATTACAAGAAAATGACCTCACTATTAAGAGTGAGAACATGAATTTTTAACAGAAAATTTGGACAAGAATAGAGGAAGGAGGATTTCTGTTTTCAGACAGAAGAGGGTTAAGGTAGCCAGGTTTGAAGGATGATAAATAAGGATGATTAAAAGTTAGATAATATGACTCAAATTAGTGTTTTTTGTTTGTTTTTTTGTTTGTTTTGGTGAAAACTGAACAAGGTTTTTAAGTGTTTAAAGAATACAAGTTGGAGAAATAATATGAGAATTTAAGAGAAAATAAGAGCATTCATCTGGATTTAGTTGTGAAGAAATTAAAATTCTGATTTTAAAATGTGTGCTATTAGAGTAGACTTGTTTATTTCTGTAAATGTTAGTGATTATTAACTGTTTGGAGGTTTGAGTATTTAAATGTGATGGCCAAATAACAATGTGTATCTATTAAGTGTGCCAAAGAGAATTGTGTTCACAAAATGGAAAGGCATACAGTAACTGGCCATTTTTAAATGTAGGAGGAAGAGAACAACTGATAATACAGGAATGGACATTACATTTAGAACATCGAAGTAAAGAATAATGCCTCCCTCTCCTCCTACAAGATTAAAAATGGGGGATTGGAGCGAAACTAACCGTTTGCTTTCTCCACCAAAATATCCCTAAGAAGGGACCCAGGTGTGGCAGACCACCTCATATCTGTTTTTCCTTTTGCCCTTTTGTGAACTCTGAAGGTTAGTCAGTGGTTTTCTTCAAAATTGCATTAGGAAATTTGCCAAGGGCATCCTTTTGAGGCAGCTGTCTCTGTACCCTTGGAGGCCATCAGTAATGTTTCCAATCTATAGCAGTAGTCGGCACAAAAATGTTGAACTGTTGTCTTCATGTTTTAAAACATTCCTCTGCTGCCACTATCCTCCACCCCGAAATAGTGTAAAATATGGCACATTTTGGGACTTAGAGTCCTTTCATCATTTTTTGTTACTGTACATTTTTAGGTAAAATCCATCATTAATAAGTGTATCCAATACATCAATAATGAAAGGACATTTAATTTTTTTCACATAATTTAGATAATAATAGACACATTAGAAATGCTTAATATATAAATAAATGAGAATTTTTTGTATAGAATGTTAACATTTTAATTTTCACTACTGAGATTTTATAAAGTAAATATGCTTTAAAGTTTTGGGGGTTATTAACTATGTTCATGATGAAAATGCATTAGAAGAATTCGAAATGCATTTGTGTTTTTGTTCTTACTGCAATTTAGTAACATAAGCAACTCTTTTACCCTATGCATCTTTCGTATATTAGTCTGTTTCTCTTGTTTTACTAAACTGTCTTCTTTCAGCCACCCACACAGAATATGCCTATGGGTCCTGGAGGGATGAATCAGAGCGGCCCTCCCCCACCTCCACGCTCTCACAACATGCCTTCAGATGGAATGGTAGGTGGGGGTCCTCCTGCACCGCACATGCAGAACCAGATGAACGGCCAGATGCCTGGTAAGTTTTTCTCCTCTAAGACATTAACACCAGAGTTGCTTAGCAACTGAAACGACATGGGGGCTCAAGGGATACTAGATTGTTGATGACAAAACTGCTTTGAATGCCCCCGAGTACAAGCTCTCTTAGAGTTTGTTAGCTACAGAGCTACGTGACCTGTATTCAGTGTTTATCAGGCTGCCCTTGGGCTTTGATGTAGCTGACACACACCATTCCTCTGATGAACAGAACTGGCTAAATTTAGTCTGTCTGAAACTGCAATACAGTTGGCTTTAGAAGCTTTTTGGAAAAAAAGGCGTTGCACCATGGCTTAAGAATTAAAGTCTGTTTAAAAAAGATATTATAACATTTCCCTGAGTTTTTATTTACTTAAATATTGATTGATCTCAGAAACAGTATCACTGGGAAAAACACATGGGGAAAGAAAACAGTCTCTGAAGTGCTGGTGTATTTAGTATTTCCTTATTGATATTGAAGCTGAATCTAAATTTTTTTAATACATAGGTTTATAGCATAACATAAATATTGGAATTGATTTTAAAGCAAAAATTAAAGGCTGAAAAATAATGTAAACTTCCTTACATTATTTATACACTGAGCCATTCTCTTTTCTATTTGTCAATTTTAAGTGTAGGGTCACTAGGTTGATATGTTTTAAGACATTGGATGCTGATTTAGTTACCTTTGGCTGGTTTGAAATTTTAATCATACAAGTATCTTTACACTATTTTGTTTTTGTAACAGTAGCATCAACCCATGGCCGTAATTTTTGGTAGAATATTATCTACATTAGGTATCAGAATATTTTTACCTTCTAAGACAAAAGTTATTTTCATTGATAAAGAAGACATTATACAACTAGCAGTAATGGAAATAAAATAACAGAACAATTATTAAAATTAGTAATTGGCATCTTTAGGATACTGTTTTCTGTAGCCGATTGTGTTGATTGATAGCATTGGTGTCCAAGGATGATGGGTGCAGTAAGGAAACAAGAGAGCACAGAGCAAAAGAGGTAAGGTAGCCTGGCTTATAGAAGATTGAGGTGTGACTGATCATATAGGAGGGCAGTGGTGTTTCAGTGGCTGTCTCCTATTTCCTGCTAAGGCTTGCAACATATATGGCACACATCCAGTATGGAGGTAGGAATAAAGACATCACTGCTTTTCAGTTTGTAGTCATATTGTAGTCAAGAGAAAGCTTCTTGCCAAGTCCACATTTAGTTCACCAGGACACACTGTTTTTAGAACTGGAAAGGTAGTGATAGTGCAGGTTAGCTAGTTAGGAGTTTTGTGACTTTTTATGATGGTACTTTGAATTAGGATTTTGACTTAAATTCTCTGTGTAACATTGAAGCCTAAGGCCAAAGAAGCATTTGAGCAGCAGTACAGTTATGGTTAACATGACATTTTGGTTTTGTGTAAGGCCTTCTGAAGTATATTCTTTTATAAGCTAGTTATTATCAACCACTTATGACCTGGGTTGTTCAGAATACTATAGAGCTTCCGAAACAATAGTTAAGAATTTCTCCAGGCCAGGCGCGGTGGCTCACGCCTGTAATCCCAGCACTTTGGGAGGCCAAGGCGGGTGGATCACGAGGTCAAGAGATTGAGACCATCCTGGCCAACATGATGAAATCCCGTCTCTACTAAAAATACAAAAAATTAGCTGGACGTGGTATTGCACGTCTGTAATCCCAGCTACTCAGGAGGCTGAGGCAGGAGAATCACTTGAACCCAGGAGGCGGAGGTTGCAGTGAGCCGAAATCACGCCACTGCACCCCAGCCTGGCGACAGAGTGAGACTCCATCAAAAAAAAAAAACAAAAAAAAAAAAAACAGAAAGAATTTCTCCTAACAATAGTTACGGAGTTACAGTTAAGTGTAGGAGAAATTGGAAGGCCAGTAACTTATATTTTCTTTATTTGTTCCTTATAGCATTTAGCCAACCTGTTTATGCACACAAATTTGCATCTTGGCTGTTTCCTATTTCAGTTTGGTTTTTAATGTATATTTCATTATGTAGACTCAGTTTTAGAGCTACTTATGTTCTCATTGATCTGGGTCAAATCACTACTCAGTCTCAGGTTCCCTTTTTTAAAAATTACTATTTTTTTCTTTTTGAGACAGAGTTTTGCTCTTGTCGCCTAGGTTGGGGTGCAGTGGCACAATCTCGGCTCACTGCAACCTCTGCCTCCCGGGTTCAAGCGATTCTCCTGCCTCATCCTCCCGAGTAGCTGGGATTACAGGCGCACACCACCACACCTGGCTAATTTTCGTATTTTTAATAGAGATGGGGTTTCACCATGTTGGCCAGGCTGGTCTCAAATTCCTGACATCAGGTGATCCACCCGCTTCAGCCTCCCAAAGTGCTGGGATTGCAGGCATGAGCCACCGAGTCCAGCCTAAAAAATTAATTGATTTTTTAAAAGCTAGGTAATACATGCCTATGGGACCAAAATCAAAGGATACCAAAGGATGCCTAGCCGCCACCTCTCCAGACAGTTCTAGAGAGGCATTGGTTTCTAGTTGTCCTTCAAGAGATATTCTCTCGCTGGGCATGGTGGCTCAAGCCTGTAATCCCAGCACTTTGGGAGGCTGAGGTGGGTGGATCAGTTGAGGTCAGGAGTTCAAGACCAGCCTGACCAGTGAGGTTAAACCTCATCTCTACTAAAAATACAAAATTAGCTGGCGTGGTGGCACACACTTGTAATCCCAGCTACTTGGGAAGCTGAGACAGGAGAATCGCTTGAACCCGGGAAGTGGAGGTTGCAGTAAACCAAGATTGCACCATTGCACTCTAGCCTGGGCAACAAGAATGAGACTCCGTCTCAAAAAAAAAAAAAAGAGAGAGAGATTTTCTCTATATAAAATAATGCATGTGTATTTCCTTTATTTTTACTCTTTTTTTTTAAAGTACAAATGATAGCACTCATTAAATACTATTATGTATCTTTTCTTTCTCAAAGATATATCTTGGAGACCATTATTTTATTCCATATGTAAATAGATGCCTTATTCTTTTTGGTCTCTATCATGTTCTTTTTTACAAGTTTAATTTATTCGAACATTTAGGATGGAAACATAGGCTTCTAGTCTTTTGTTATTATGAATTATACTGTCATGAATTTGCTGTAAAAATATATATACACATATATATGTGTTCTGTGTGTCAATACGCATGCACACAAAAATTTGTATATCTCTAGCATAAATTCCTGGAACTGAAATTGCTGGGTTAAAGGTATATATATTTTAAAATTTGACAGTTAGTGCCAAATTGCTTTGTGTAAAAATAGTAATATCCATCAGTTCTGCATTTATGAATTTCACATCCATGGATTTAACCAACAGTGGATTGAAAATACTTGGAAAAACAAATTGTGACTGTATTGAACATGTACATACTTTTTTTTTCTTGTCATTATTCCCTAAACAACACAGTATAGTGACTATGTACATAGCATTTACATTGTGTTAGGCAGTACATGTAATGTAGAGATGATTTAAAGTATATGAGAGGATGTACATAGGTTATGTGGAAATACTGTGTCATTTTATGTCAGGGACATGAGCATTTACGGATTTTGAAATCTGTGGGTGGTTCTGGAACCAATCTCCCACAGATACTGAGGGACAACTACTTTATTTGAATTGTTGTTTGTCATCACAAATTTCCTCAAGCTTGATCCCACCCTTGATTCCACAAGCTTGATTCCCCATGAAATATAAGTAAGATTTCTGTTCCTTCAACAATGGATGAAAGTGCTTCTTTCTTCACAATATAGTTAGATCGAACTTTTGATTTTTGAGAATCTGAGAGGTGAAAGTTCGGTCTCATAGTTTTAATTTGCCTTCCTATTTTAAGTGAAGCAATCAATCTTTTAATGTTGATGAACCTTTTTGTAGTTTTTGTGTGAACTAGTCATTCCCTCATTATGTCCTTTGCCCATTCTTTTACTGGTGGTGGTCTTTTACTTACTTCATATGTTAAGTAATTAATTTGGTCTGGGTCTGCGATCTATCTTATAAATAATATTTTCTTATTTACCTTTTTATTATTTAATTTTGAGTTTTTTATGTCGTGCAAATTTTTAAATTTTGTATAGTCTAATTTATCAATGTTTTATGGCTCAGGGTTTTCTGGCATACTTAAGAAGGTCCTTCCATTATTATTTTTAAAATTCTCCTTTTTGAAATTCTTTTATGGTTTCTTCTTTTTAAATGTTTAAGTTTTCTATTCATCTAGAATTAGTTAGTGGAACAAATGAGATAGTGATCCAACTTGTTTTTTCCAGATGGCTCCCCAGTTGTCACAATACCATTTACTGAATTAGTTTTCTATTGCTCACTAATACTTAATATTACTGTGATTATTTACTCAGCTATGTATTTGGGTCTACTTTTAGACTCTGTTCTGTTCAATCGATCTGTTAGTCTATTCATTTATGTTCATAGTTAATTACTCCAACCTTATGATATGTTTTGCTCTTTTATGAAGAAGCTAGTCCTTCCTTCTTTTTCAGAGTGCTCCTGACTTCAAAAGCATCAATTTCTTAATCCAAAAATGGGAATAACTACTTCACAGTATTTGCTGTCTTTTCCTATAAACCATTTACTTTGCTATCGATTAATTATTGTTTGGTATTACTATAATAATGCAAAAAAAAAATTATTTCCAGGTACTTTTGTATGGACCATCTGTTTAACTTTCATATTTTGCTTCTGATCATTTTTCTTCAAAGGGCCTAACCATATGCCTATGCAGGGACCTGGACCCAATCAACTCAATATGACAAACAGTTCCATGAATATGCCTTCAAGTAGCCATGGATCCATGGGAGGTTACAACCATTCTGTGCCATCATCACAGAGCATGCCAGTACAGAATCAGATGACAATGAGTCAGGGACAACCAATGGGAAACTATGGTCCCAGACCAAATATGAGTATGCAGCCAAACCAAGGTAACTAAGCTTTATGTCCTTCTTGACTAGAGTGCTCTATTAGCCTTTGAAAAGTAAAATGATTGTTGTCAGGTTCTTAGCTGGTTCATAAAAATAAAAGTTTAAAGTGAGTGACAGTCATGCCCATAAAAAGGAGATGTTGAGTTTGAAGCTAGTTTAAATCTCTTTGCTCAATGTAGCTTTTTAAGCTTATTTATTTTTATGTCTTTTGGACAGTTTGTTTGAGGTTCTGTATTGTTGAGAATTGTTTTTTAAAGCCAGTCAATGAAGAACCAAACATTTGGTTTAGCTAGAAAGTTGAGAAAATAAACACCTGCTCCTTCATTTTACTTATTAAGGATGTATTAATTTATATGAATTCCCCTTGATTTATATGGATGTTTTCTGATGCTGTGTTTCAGCATTAAAAGGTAATTCTAAAATAATTTGCCATTAGAATGTTCAGTGGAGGTGCTGCTGTACTTGTCTTAGAGTGGTGTAAGTCCATTAAAGTTTATTACCAATCTCAGAATGAAATTGTACCATGTTTCTCTTTTAAGTATTCTGTGAATAATAACTAAAAGCCAGTAAGTGGCGCTCTGTTCTGCTAATTGACTGTTAAAACATTTGGCTTATTTCCAGGTTAATGCTATTTCAGTTACAAAATGTAATGAAGTTAAGACTGTAAGATAGAATTAAATGTATTTGGAATAAAATTTTCTAGATTTTGATTTATAAAATAAACAGAGCACTAAAATGTACCCAGATAAAAGAAGTTAGTGTTAATCTGTTGATAATTCCTTATGATGAAATAATATAATTTTAAAATAATACAGATTTTTAATAATTTTCATGAGATATACTGAAAGCAAAAGGAGATAATAGAAAAAATTGCCAATCATTGTAGCTTCACAAAACTGGCACTTGCTACATTTTTTTCCCCCAAAGTTACTTAATGCTTATGGTAGAATTATTTTTTTGTTTTTATTAGGTCAATTAAAAGTCCAAACAACAGCAAGATCCAGTCAGTGCTAGATCAGAAGGGAGTTCATGTGTTTCTCTATACAGTTTGGTTACCAGGAGAGAGAACAGGAAAATTGATGATTCTGACAGCAACTCCATTAATGATGGCACACTTCTTAACTTCTTAGAAACCTATAGTTAAGAAAAGGTATGGTGTGCACAAAAAATGGATGTTGCTGCAGCATGGTTTGATATGACATAATAAGATTCGAAGAAAAAAATAATGCATATAGCAATGTGCATATTGACTTTTTGGAGAAAAGTATTGAGGTGTTTTTAGAAATTTTTTGTTCTTAGGGACCAACTTTTATTTTTAAAAATGTCGTATTTTGTAAGTATGTGTAGGTCTTCCTTTTACTATAGTACAGTAGTTATATCACTTTTTGCCTTGTTCTCATAGTTATAAATTTCTTCTTTTTTATTTTTATTTTTTGTATTTTGTTAAAAGAATAGAAACAATGTCTTGGTATGTTGCCCAGGCTGGTCTTGAACACCTGGGCTTAAGTGATCACCTGCCTTGGCCTCCCAAAGTCCTGGGATTACAGGCATGAGCCACTGCACCTGGTCAGTTTATGAACTTCTTAATAGAAAATAGGCTGTACAGAAATGACCAGGTAGAGATCTGAAGAGATTAAAGACAATTTTCAAAAAGAAAATATGGTTAAAATCATTGAGGAAATTTTTATTTGTTTATTTATTTATTTATTTATTTTGAGACGGCGTCTGGCTCTGTTGCCCAGGCTGGAGTGCAGTGGCACAATCTCTGCTCTCTGCAAGCTCCGCCTCCCGGGTTCACACCATTCTCCTGCCTCAGCCTCCCAAGTAGCTGGGAGTACAGGCACCCACCACTACGCCCGGCTAATTTTTTTTTTGTATTTTTAGTAGAGACAGGGTTTCACCGGAAATCTTTATTGTTTTAAAAATCTCTTTAGGACAAATAAAAAACTTCATTTAAATTTTGATATTTCAGAATCAAAAGAACACAAAATTACAGTTACCAAAAAAGAAAGTTATACAGTGTTCTGGCAGCACCTAGTTTTTTAATCATATGAGTTTCTTATAAAAGCATTTTAATTATATGTTACCTTTTAATAAAGAAGTTCATGGTGAGTTTTATTAATGAATTTTTTTACTAGATGCTAGAGGATGATTGAAGAGTTTTATTAATGAAGTTTTAATATTCATTTCATTATAAAACATTTTCTTAGTTTTTATAAAAATAAGCTGCATATTTTACATTGAAAGTTTTTCTGTTTATTATTATTTATTTTTATTTGTTTTAATTCAGCAACTAAGCTAGTATTGCAAAATGTTTTTCTCTGTGTTCTCTTAGAGGGTCTATTGCTTCCAGGTGAGCACTTTAGCACAAATTTTTTTTTTTTTTTGAGGTGGAGTCTCACTTTTTGTCGCCCAGGCTGGAGTGCAGAAGTGCAGTCTCGGCTCACTGCTGCTTCCGCCTCCTGGGTTCAAGCAATTCTTCTGCCTCAGCCTTCCTAGGGGCTGGGATGACAGGTGCCTGCCATCACGCCCAGCTAATTTTTGTATTTTAGTAGAGACATGTTGGCCAGGTTGGTCTTGAACTCCTGACCTCAAGCCATCCATCCACCTCAGCCTCCCGAAGTGTTGGGATTACAGGCGCAAGCCACTGCGCTGGGCCCAATTTTTATGTTAATTTGTTTCTTAAACTGCTGGCAAAATGTTGCTTAAGTATAATAGTCAATCCAACATATATTTTCCCATGTTATTGTCACTGTTACCCAGATAAAGTTTATTTTTTTGTCATTTTGAACCTTAAGAGAAAGATCTGGCTGGGCGTTGGTGCCCTTGCTTGTAACCTCAACACTTTGGGAGGCTGAAATGGGAGGATCACTTGACCCCAGGAGTTGAAGACCAGCCTGGGCAAGATGGCAAGACTTGCATTTTTTACAAAAAGAAATGTGAAAATTAGCTGGGCGTGGTAGCTTGTGCCTGCAGTCCCAGCTACTTGGAGGTGGAGGCAGGAGGTTCACTTGAGCACAGGACTTCGAGGCTGTAGTGAGTTTGCTGGTGTCACTGCACTCCAGCTTGGGTGACAGAGCAAGACCGTCTCTAAAAAAACAAAAAGAGTAACTCCAGTTTTCAGAGTAAACCACCATCTTCCTACATAAACTTATTTGCATATAGAGCATAAACTTCACTAGAATTCAACAAGCTCTATAAAAGCAGGAAGTGTGTTCTCTGCTGTATCCCAGGTGCCTAGAAAAATGCCTGAGGATGGACACACAAAATCTTATTTATTTCTTTCATTTCTTCAGTAAAAAGCAAGTGTTATATGATCACCTGTCTGAAAAATGTTTATTTAATCAACAAGTACATTCAGTGTATGAAAAGGCAAATTGTGTAGAAGGGATTTCTGAAGATGTTATATTGGACAGATACCTGTGTATTTTTCATTATCAGGCATTAGTAATTATAGCTTTCCACATTTAACAGAATTTTACTAATTATATATTCAAATATAAAGAATTTTACAAATTGCAGTGCTTGTGTTAAAGAATATGTTTTGTAAGTTCCATGTGTGTAATTCTTCAGATTTGGATATGTCTTGGCCCCCTGTAGCTTACTGTATGTGGGACCTTTGACTAAATTACTTAATTTCTCTAAGTAAGATTAAGTGAAATGATGCATGTAAAAATCCTGACTTGGTAATCATTTGCATAATTTTTATAAAATCAGTTGGCTAATCATCAAGCTTTTTTAAAAAGGTGAACACAAAAACATTTGAGATTGGTTTATCAGCTACTGTCTTATTTTAGCCACAGCATCTAATTTATTTCTGGGTGTTTTAATAGTATTAAGAAAGTGTTGATTCACGTGGCTAAGTTGCAAATGACAATATCTTCAAAACACTGTGCTTTCTGTCAGTGTACTCTTTGGTTAGACTGACCCAGAGGCTTGACATGAAAGTAGAAGGAGATTTTTCTTTCAGTACCTAAACTGTTCACATTCGTTATATAAGTATGAAGGGCAAAGAGCATGTATTGCCACAGCTGAGATTGTTTTCTCTTATTATTATCTTATTATCTCTTACTATTACACAATGGATTATTAAGAGATAGACGAAAAGGAGGTGCTTGAGATAGGCCTAGCATTTACTTTTACATATGTATTTTTACATGGTAGTTTATTTCCTTTACCTCCGCTATTCGTATATATAGATCTTTCTCATTTTTTAAATGGCAACATTCTTTGTATGGATGTATTATAATACAACAAAGCCATTTTCACTTTTGATAGATGTGTCTAGTCTTTTACAAATACTTCTGGAAAAAATGTCTTTGTAGCTATGTCTTTGATTACTTGTACAAGATTTTTGTAGGATAAATTCTAGAAATAGAATTATTAAAATATATGAATACTTGAACTACTTGAGAGACATTGCCAAATTGTTTTCAATAAAGGTTGCATGAGGCCACATTCACATTCCTACAGCATATAAAATGCTTACTTTACTACATACCCAGTGACAGTCTTCCTATTTGCTAAATATATAGCGGAAAACTGTAAACTTAATTTCTTCAATTATTAGTCAGGTTGCATAACTTTGTATGTTTATTTGCTGTTTGCATGTTTTCTATGAATTGCCTGTTCATGTCATATATTCTGTGGTTTGTCTGTTATTGAAGGAGTTGTTTATAGGTTAAGTCTGTTTGCCTTATGTGAATTTCACATGTAAAAACATTTTGTTAGTTTTAAGAGGTAGGAATTTAACCTTTATTTGTTGTTGTTTTTTGAGACGGAGTCTCACTCTGTCGCCTCACTCTGAGGCTGGAGTGCAGTGGCATGATCTCGGTTCACTGCAAGCTCTGCCTCCTGGGTTCATGCCATTCTCCTGCCTCAGTGTCCCAGGTAGCTGGGACTACAGGTGCCCGCCACCATGCCCGGCTAATTTTTTTTGTATTTTTGGTAGAGACGGGGTTTCACCGTGTTAGCCAGGATGGTCTCAATCTCCTGACCTTGTGATCTGCCCGCCTTGGCCTCCCAAAGTGCTGGGATTACAGACAGGCATGAGCCACCACGCCCGGCTGGAATTTAACTTTTTAAAATAGTTTGTTTTAGTGATAGGATTCTGAAATGGTAATATTCATGAAAAAATGTGATTTTTCCCAATTATATCAGAACTTTGACCCAGCATTTGCTAAGTTATGGTATTAATAGATTTACTAATTACTAGTAAAATACTTTGGAAGGTTCAGCATGCTTATTAGACTATTAAAAGGCCTGAGAAGATTTTTATTAAAGAAACTGATTTGATTTCAGTTAACATGAGTATATTACCATGGAGCTTTTCTTCTTCTTCTTTTTTTTTTTTTTTTTTTTTTTGGCATATTACTTTCCAAAGGTAACAGCTAATATTCAGTAAGTACCTGTTAGTGCCAGGCGCTAACAGAAACAAAACTATCAAAATCCTTTGCATGTCTTCTTTAATTCTCACATCCTTGAGGTAGTAGGTAAGGTACTATTACTATCATTCTGTGCATGAGGAAACAGACATCCTATGGAAATACAGGCAGGCCTTGCTGTATGCAATTCTGATATACATGAATATCAGTTACTGCAGTTAAGCTAAATAACACCTGTTCCCCCAGCACCACCATTTGAATTTCAGTTACCATAGCACATTAAGAGTAATTGTATAAAGTATGAACTCTTAGCTGCTCTTTCTTCAGTCTACAAATCACTACATAAATAACAGATGCCTGTCATGATAAGTGATGGATGTTACTTTTAGATTTTGTCAGTGATTGGTCACTGTGCATCTGTCAGTTCATGCACATACAGCAAAGCTTGTTGTTGTGTTGCTTCCTTGGCTCCCAGCAGTAAACCTATATGAGATTTTACAAACCTGGATAATTGAAAGAGGGACTTGGCCAACATAGATAAAAGTGCAACAAAGAAATGAAAAATGATAATGCTAGAAATGAAACCCAAATTCAGTGTAAATGGAGTACTGAAGAAATTGCTGACTGTGGAAATGCTGACATTGCTGCCATTTCAGAGAATCTGGATATGCACTGCAGGTGCTTAAAGAAGGAGAACTCATTGATACAAATGAGAGAAGTAGTTGTGATGAAAAGGATGAAAATGTCCCAGAGGAAGCAAGACTGGCAAAATATTTCACATTAAAGAAATTCTTGGAAATATTTCACAACTTTGAAAGTGTAAAGGATAAAATGTTGGATGCCAATCCAAACTTAGAAAGGAGTGTGACAATTTGCTAAGCCGTGGAAAAGAGACTTACTCTAAATCGTCATATATACCATTAGGAGAAGGGAACTACTTTTTAAATTATTCTTGACAGGATTTTTACAAAGAAGTGAAACACTTTAATTCTCAGTGTTTCTTTTTTTTTCCTTTTTTTTTCTACTTCTTTTTTTTTTTTTTTTTTTTGAGACGGAGTCTTCCTCTGTCACCCAGGCTGGAGTGCAGTGGTGCAATCTTGGCTCATTGCAACCTCCACTTCCCAGGTTCAAGTGTTTCGATTCTCCTGCCTCAGCTTCCCGAGTAGCTGGGATTACAGGCACATGCTACCATGTCCAGCACATTTTTATATTTTTAGTAGAGATGGGGTTTCACTATATTGGCCAGGCTGGTCTTGAACTCCTGACCTCAAGTGATCCACCCACCTAGGCCTCCCAAAGTACTGGGAGTACATACAGGCGTGAGCCACTGCATCTGGCCAATTCTCAATGTTTCTAATGTTTAAAATTACAGTGAATTAAATATTTTCTCATTTCCCTATGTATTTTTAACTGACAGTAATAGAGTTTTCAGTGTTTTGACCAAAATTTTAAAGGCCATGGAATAATTATGATTTTTTTCCCTACTGATTATTAAGATCGTTTTGCATGATTTCTGCTTGCATGGTCATTGATATGGTCTGATCCTACTATGCAAAGTGAACACTATAAGGTTTTATAGACACTTTGGGAAATGCTAGTAAGTTCCTAACAATATGAATGTTATAAGGTTAAAAGCTACTCATTTATCTTAAGGATTCAGATACAAATATGTCAGATGATATGTGTTATGAAGAGAAATATGCAAAGTAAAAGGAAAAAGAAAAATAAGCATGTATGCCATTTTAGGGTGGTGAGCAGATACCTAGAAAAAGAATGTGGCACAGGCAGATGGAACAGCAAGTATGCACTGGAGCATACTTGGTGTGTTTGAAGTATAGCAAGGAGACCCGTCGAACTGGAGCGGAGTGAGTGAAAGTGGGAAGTCATAAGAAATAAGGTCCAAGAGATAGTTGAAGGCTAGGCCTTGAAAGTCTTTCAGTCCATAAGGATTTTAGATTTTATTCTGTGGAAGGAGATATACTGCTGGAAAGTTTTGAGCACTGGAATAACATGATCTGAATATATGGTTTTCAAAAAATGCCTTTGGGCAGCTATATAGAAAATGGGCTGTAATTGGGCAAGGGTGAAATAGGGAGACCTGTTAAGAGGCTCTTGTTGTATTTAAGAGATGATCGTGGCTTTAAATAGTATGATAGCTATGGAGGTAATCAGAAGTAGTCAATTGTGGGATATTTACCATGTATTTTGAAGGTAGAGCGGATTTGCTGACTGATCAAATGTGGAGGACAAATGCAAAGTTTGTGTTGTCCTCTCCTTGAACAGTCACTATGTGTTGTGTTCCTCTCACAGATGTGTGATAATACACACAGGGTATATTGCTGACCAGGGGAGTTTCCCTTAGCCTTAGTGTTCAGAGTTTTTATTGGGACTGTATTATGTAGATTTGATTAATCGCTTGTCCATGTGGTTGATCTCAGTCTCCAATCTCGATCCTTTACCCCCCTGCTTGGCCCAAAACCCCCATCCAGGATGAAAGGAGCTACAGGAAATCCCAATTAAGTAAATTTACTAAATTTTTCTGATTTTTTTCTGATTTTAGTAATCAGTAAATATTTCTGATTATTAAAATAACTGATGTTAAATTTGAAAAATCTTGGCCAGGTGTGGTGGCTCATGCTTGTAATCCCAGCACTTTGGGATGCCGAGGTGGGTGGATCACCTGAGGTCAGGAGTTTGAGACCAACCTGGCCAACATAATGAAACCCTGTCTCTACTAAAAATACAAAAATTAGCCGGACGTGGTGGTGTGCAACTGCAGTCTCAGCTTCTCGGGTGGCTGAGGCAGGAGAATCGCTTGAACCTGGGAGGCGGAGGTTGCAGTCAGCCGAGATTGTACCATGCACTCCAGCCTGGGTGACAGAGCAAGACTCCGTCTCAAAAAAAAAAAAAATCTAAAAAAATATGAAAAGCATACAACATAAAATAAAAAACACGTCTTACTTCACTATATTTTAAATTATTAGGCAAATTCACTTAAGTATAGTAGCCTATACTTAGAATCCTTTAAGCAGTACTACTTATAATTACATAATTTTAAAAAATATGTGTTTAATTATTTTTCTTTAGACTCTGAGTTCTATGAAGTGAAGAACTGTGTCTTATTCTGTTCACTGCTTTATCCTATTTGTTGACTGATTAGCTAGATAGGTATCCTCTTGCTGTAAGTGTCCCCTGAGGGACAAAACTGCCCACAGTTGAGAATAACCAGCTTGAAGAAATGGTTAGTATGAATAACTGTGTGTAAAGATGGTCTGTGTCACTAAAGAAACAAATGACAATAACAAAATTGTTATTGATATTATTTTTAATACCTTTTAAAACTTTTATGAGATTTTTTCTAAAGTTCTAATGTTATGAAAGATTTTGTATCTTTTAATGAGCTGTTGTTCTCTTTACTTGCTAGAATCATGTTTCCATTTTTTCATTGGTTGCTGGAAACTCAGCTAAATTTGTGCTTGGCTGCAGTGACCTTACTGAACTGGGCTAGTCATCCTACATTTTCTTACTTGCTCTTGTTCTTTTATCCTTGATATTGTATCTAAACATCTTATTAACTACTAAAAATTCTTGATGTGGACAGGTGTATAATTTAGGTAAGTAAAGAATCCTATTCTTTTTAAGCAGCTATTTAAGCAGATAGTAAGTTAGCTAATTGAGTTTTTTGGAATACAGGGATTCTTGCAAATAAATTATTAGAAATAACTCCAAATAAGAGCTATAATTGGGTTAGAGATTAAATGGTTAAGGAACAAATAGTAAAATGTAAGCAGTAAATGATGAAATATGAATGTGAAAATAGGCCTGAGGAGGGTATTATCTATGGAGTTTCATGGTCTTAAGATAGGTGGGGTGAAGAAATTTCTTATATTTTAAGGTTTTTATATTACAGTGATAGAGATATATTATACAGAACTCTTTTCATGGGAGATAGTGGCATGGGAAAAGTACAATTTGAATTTGGAGAGGAAGTACACATAGTGATTAAGAGCACGGGCTTTGGACCATTTAGTAGCTATGCTACTTTAGAGCCTTTCGTAGCAGTACAGCTTTGGGTAAGGTCCTTGATGTTTGTGAGCCTTAAAATGTTGTTGTCTGTGAAGAAGTCGATAATAATACTACCCGTTTCATAGGGCTTTGGGGAAGAGAAATAATACAGGTAAAGCTATTAGCTTAGTGCCTGGCTAATAATAAGTGTTCATTAAATGTTAGCTGTCATTTTAAACAATATTATTTAAAATAATTTGTAGATTAATGATACAATTTTTATAAAATTTTAGTGTATTGGTTTGTATCTGAGGATGTGAAATACATGTGTATATGTATGAATGTTCTATATATATAGAATATTTGTAAAATTACATTATTCAGAATTGACAGATTAAAACAATGTTTTCCTTATAGTTAAGTATTTAAAAATTATTTTTTTCAGTCTACCTAATTGTGTGTCACTATAGACAGTGACAGTGCTCATCACATCTCTATATTACCATGGCTCCTAGCCTGGGGTGTTGTACCTAATAAGTACTCAATAAATTTGATCCTTGACTTACTCTTCAAAAGAAAATTCTTTTTTTTTTTTTTTGACCACTGACTTAAGATAAAATTAAGTATTAACCATCTCATTGGAGAAAAGAATGCCAATAATATAAAATATGGTAATTTGGGAGGTTTTTACATGTGTTTAAAATAAAGGATGTTATTTTCATAGAATATCTATTAGAATATAAAACTCAAAATGGGAAGAAATAATGTGCTAATGATAAGTGTTTGTTATATGCCCTTGCAAAACACTTGCAAAAATATATTCTAGGTAATTAAGACATCAGTAGGGTCTTTGCATATGTATTATCACGCTTTGTAGTGCGTCTTAACATCAAAATTGTTTATGTAAAAGATGAAGAATAACCTTAAAGTCTGTAGTAATGTATGATACCATTGTTTGCAGAAAATGGTTGTAGAAGATGCATTTTATAATGCTATTTCACTCTGCAGTACAAATTTTTAGAACATATTTTGGGGTAACCTTTTGAGTTTGCTTCTCTTAGTTTCATTAGTATCTCAAGAGATAATATACATTGCCAGTGTAGCATAATTTCATTATCCTAAGAAGGAAAATAATATACTTCCTAAACAATCAGAATTGAAGTCATAGTCATAATTTTTTTTTTCTTTAATGGATAAGGCTTCGAGGAAAATTATGAAATGTATTGTGCTTTAGTAGTGTTAGCTGACTGCATTCTCTCTGTGGTTTAGGCTTGATCATGAATGATGTTGGGATCCTCTGAGGGAGAGAAGTGACAGTAAAAGAAGGGTAGTAATTGAGCTCTTTGGGATTGGAACTGCTCACAGTCCCAAAAGATAAAGCACAAGTGGCATGGTCTTTTCTATCTAGGGCTTAAGCTACAATTACTTTGCTTTCCTTTAGAGCAAGGTTTAGTGTTTTGTTATGTATCTTTTTGGATTTTTTTTTCTTTTGGCTATTGTGGTTTTGCTTTCTTTTTGTTTCTAATATTATAGGTTTTAGTTATATAGTTACCTTCTGTTAAGACAAGAGGTCTTTAGACAGTGTTGGAGAAGAAAAGGCAAAACCTTCATTTACTGAAAATGAATTACATAAATGTCCGATCAGGTTACCTATTAAATTATGAATGTTAGTGTTTAATAGTTTAGTATATGCAACATATATTTGAAAATTATAACTGCTATTAAACTAGTGTTTTGGAACTTTTTTGTTGCAAATTATTTGCTTCGGAACTACTGAATTTGTTTCGTGTTTTGTTTTGTTTTGGTTTTTGAGGCAGAGTTTCACACTTGTCGCCCAGGCTGGGGTGCAGTTACATGATCTCAGCTTACTGCAACCTCTGCCTCCCGGGTTCAAGTGATTCTCCTGCCTCAGCCTCCCCAATAGCTGGGATTACAGGTGTGCACCACCATGCCTGGCTAATTTTTGTACATTTTAGTAGAGTTGGGGTTTCACCATGTTGGCCAGGCTGGTCTCGAACTCCTGACCTCAGGTGATCCACCCACCTTAGCCTCCCAAAGTGCTGGGATTACAGGTGTGAGCCACCACTCCTGGCTTACGAATTTGTTATAGCTTATGTTTTAATAGAGGCAATGAAAAATAGAACAAACATGTGCTTCAAAATAAAATTTGAGGTTTGTCTTATTCTCAGTTTTTATCTATTAGCTGTGTAATCTTGATTTTTAGATTCCTTGGCTAAAAAAATTGAGAATTAGGGTCCTTACCTCTGGTAATTGTTAGGAGTTTGTAGGAAATGACTGTGAAACCATGTAACTGGCAGTGTTGTAGGGTACCTTCAGTATTAAGTTCTCTTCGCCTCTACTCTCACCCAGCCAGTTTGTCTCTACTAAGACTGTATTTCCTTGTTGAAAGAAAGGTCCCAGAGTTTTTGAGAGGCTTACATTCACATTTATGAGAATAAAATTGAAAAGGAGGAAAAAAGAAACAGAAGCACGGAAGGCAAATAGGAGAAAAACAGTTATCTCTGATAAAGTACTCCTTCAGATAAAACAGTTCTTCTGATTGGAAATGTGAAGTCTTTCTGCTTACATCATTGCTGCTGTTGTAAGTCAGTAATATATTTGAAGAGGTGGGCTTGTTTTGTTTTTAATTGTTTGTTAAGTAATTTAATAGTGAACTTTTGGCTCATTTGGGCAGTTTCATCTGTGAAACCTTTCCAGGCTGTCTAGTACTTTGCCTTTTGTACTTAAATTTTCTCCATGTCACTCAAGGGGGAGGAGGAGTATGTAGCTATATAAGCAGCAAGTTGGGAAAAGACTCATCCATACTTCTGAGACAGTAATGTTATAATGGCAAAATGATGAGTTCCCCATACCGTAACTTGGCCCAGTAAACCTCTCAGGAGCTGCTTAACATTGTTAGATGGCAATGTGGGACTTTATGGCCATTGTTTATTGTTTCCTGTGATACATTTTTACTGTTGCCAGTGTGATACTATAGCAGTGGTAGTTTGGCTACCCCAGTATTGCTCACTTTGGAAACTCTGTAGTTCAGATTTCTTAGCCTACAGCTTGTTGCATGTCTCTGCCTGTTTTTAGAGGTGTGAGAGTCTTTATGTAATGTATGTGTCTTTTAACATATTAAGCAGTATAGCCATTTGATTTGAAGGAGGCCTTTTTAGGTTATAAATCTTGTAGTTGGGAAAGGGAAAGAAGACTTTTTAAGATTTTGTCCTAAATTAAAGCTTATGAAATTATATTCGGTGTTTGTATAGTTTTCCTGTCTACCATTATATAATGAGTGAGTATTGAAAAAGAGAACAAAGTAAAAATCTAGAGATTTGGTTTCTTTTCCTTAGTTTGACCACTGTTTTGCTGTGTGATTTTGTAAAGTTTACTTTTGGTATATTTTCCAGTGTAGCATAAGGATGATATCTTCTCAAGAAAGATGGTATAGATAAATATTAGATAGTGTGTAATGGAAAATACACACATTCAGGATGTTCATATATTATATGCATTTTATTTTAAAAAATGACTAAGAATCATCTTCCAGTGGATTTCAAGTTAACCACCATGGATTGGTTATTTTCTTTTGTTTGCACATTATTTTAGGCATGTGAATTTTAATTCAAAGACTTATTTTTATTATTTGAAATCAGTTTTTACTGCATTTAATTATATATTTTTGGGACTATATGATAAAAGATTATCTTATTTCTCTTGAGATGTTAAAGTTATATACAAAAAATTATGTGTATAATGTTGTGTCTTGTTTCAGGTCCAATGATGCATCAGCAGCCTCCTTCTCAGCAATACAATATGCCACAGGGAGGCGGACAGCATTACCAAGGACAGCAGCCACCTATGGGAATGATGGGTCAAGTTAACCAAGGCAATCATATGATGGGTCAGAGACAGATTCCTCCCTATAGACCTCCTCAACAGGGTAAGATTCCATTTGGAAAATTTGCTACTTAATGTAATTGAAAGGCTTTAAATTTTAATGACCTTTTAATCTAGACAAAGTCAGGGCGTTTTCTTTTTTTTTTTTTTTTTTTTTTTTTTTGACAAAAGGTAGGGTTCTAGTAAGTACAAAGGGGTCACGAAGAAGATAGGAACTTCTTATCTGTTATTTTCTGGAATAAGTTATACCATACAATTTTATATCGAAAGCTCACTAATTCACAGCAGAAAATACTGTTTTGTTTTTGAAAAGTTATAAAGGGTCAGGAATAAACCCAATTTTACTTCACAGCACTGTAGTATCAAAATTAAAAGGAAATAAATTTGCTACTAGTTTGAACCTATTTTTAAGAAGTTAGCATTTGTTTTTCTGAGTTGGTATTTTTTGATACTGCATGTATGGTCTTAACATTGATTTTAGTAAATGTGGTATGTGGAGCTGCTGTGTATGTATGCATATGTATATGAATAGCTAAAAGTATCTGAAATGCCAAATTATGAGATGGGAATCTATAGTTGAGAAATAATCTTTCATAATATCAAATTAGAAAGAAAGCCTTTGATGACATAGAGAACACATTATTTATATCTTGACTGGTTGTGGTTTTTCAGGCCCACCACAGCAGTACTCAGGCCAGGAAGACTATTACGGGGACCAATACAGTCATGGTGGACAAGGTCCTCCAGAAGGCATGAACCAGCAATATTACCCTGATGGTAATCTCTCCTGATGTTAACTTTCCCATTTTCTATCCCTGCCTAATATTAATGTAGAGAGTTATTTAAAACATTTCAGTGAGGACGAAGAAACTAACAATTTGTTTCCTCTAAATTTTGAAACACTTCAGTACTCTAAAGTACCAATGATAGCATTAGTTTATAATCTAATTCAAAGTATATTTTAGGTGTTCCATTAGTACCATCAGGAATCACAGTCTGTCATTGGAATCCTTATGTAAAAGGATCTTTTTGTAATATGTTTAGGGTTGTTTGATTTCAGCCAAAGCTTATGTTTATTGATTTACTTTTTTTTAATAAGAGCTTCATTAAGATATAATTCACCTGCCATAAAGTTCACCCATTAGTTGACTTGTATTAATTGTACAAATACATAGAGTATATAGTTCTCAAGTTATTTTTCCAAGTCTCATCATTTTAATTAATGTTTCATACTTCTCAACAAACTAAGGTTTACATTAGTGCTTGCCTTTGAGAAAAATTTGGGAGACTAAATTATATCCATAATATAGCCATATAGAGATTGAGTAGAATGGGAAAGGCAATTTGGAAATAAGATTTTTAGTTAGGGTTTTTTGTTTTTTGTTTTTTTGTAGAAAGTGGCTTGTGAAAAATTGGTTAGTAAGATGCACTGTACTTCAGGAAAATTTGAATAGCAATAATCCAAGCATACAAGTAGGTTTTCACAGTACAGTTTCATCAATTTTTCTGTATGCTTGAAAATTTTATAATACAGTGTAGAAGAAAAAATAATTCAGAAATACATTACAAAATGATGTGGGTTGTTAGGGTTTGCCAAAAGCCTTATTCATGTATATGATCCTTTGATGTAAATATAAATTACTGAACAGAGAAACTAAGAAACTTAAAGCTAAAGTATTAGCAGCCATTGACTAGCAGCCCATGTAAGCTAGCAAGAAGATACAATTTAGGATATTTGAAAAAACATCTCACCTGTCATTTTTTGTTAATACATAAAACATAAAGGTACATTTGTACTTAAGGACATTGGTTTTTGTTTTGTTTTTTCTTTTCATATGTAAACATGGTATTAAGATTTTTTTAAATTAAAAACTTTAGTAAGATTGTTGTAGACTCTACGTATTTTAAAGACGTGAAATCTACTTTGTTAAATTATATGTATTAAGAAGTCTGCTGAAAATAAATGATTGTTTCTATTTTTTAATTTTTAATTACATTTTAAAGAATTAAATTTGACATTGTTGTTTTGATCCTGGGTATCTCTTGAAATGTGACATGTGTATTGTTATAACCTTTCTGTTCAAAATATATTGGTTTGTTATTTTGTAAATATCAAAACATTAAGGTTACTTTAATTCATTTTATTAGTGGATTTTAATTTGAAGGGTATCATTTTTGCATAGGTGTATATTACTTTATATCTGACATTTACATAGAGTATTCTATTTATGTCGACAATTAATATTTGTAAACAACATTGGCTCTTTTCTCTCATGTCCGGATATTTATGTTAGTAAATATATAGATTAGGAATTGGCAAACTTTTTCTGTAAAGGGCCAGATAATAAATACTTTAGTCTTTGTGGGCCATATGGTTTTGGTCTCAGCTACTGAACTCTTATTGTAGCATGAAAGCAGCTATGGACAATACTGAAATGAATAGGCATGACTGTATTCCAATAAAATTTTATTTACAAAAACTTGCCACTGGCCATATTAAGACTGCAGGCCATAGTTTGCCAACCCTTCATGTAGGTATTTATGAGGTGGCTTGGGAACATTAGAATACTAGAGCACTGAGTATAATGTTCATTTGTAATTTTATTCCTGTGTCCTTAATTAGGCATTTTTGTAAAATTGAGTTTAGATTTTAGGTAACTAAAAGGTTATTTCCTACATTTTCTTAGTGAAACTTTAAAAAAAAGAGTGAGAGTATTTTTCACTAGAGTCCAATTATCTCGCAGGTAAAATTTATTGTGCTTTAAAACTAAAGATATACTCTGTCAACACAATATTAATTTTATGAAGATGTATGTTTATGATACTTGAAATATTTTCTAAAGATTTCCAAAATGGCAGCATTAAGATATATAATTTTGCATCTGAAGATACTTTGAGATACTTAACTTTATGCAAGTAAATGTTAGAACTTGAAAATTTTTCAGTTTCTTTCAGGGGAAAAACTTATGGAACTCTTTTATATTTTGCATTGTTTTTAGCATATGCTGTGGAATTGGAGACCAGCAGAACAGGTGTTTGACAAAATATGATAATTGCTTCCTTTGTTCATTCTAATTTAATTTAGGTTATTTACATGTGAAAGACTTTTATTCTCTTTGTTTTTTTAAATGGGAGATAGTTTTTTTTCCCTCAATGAGGATTATCAGATTTAAGACAATAAGTGTAATGTTTCTAAAACTACTGCTTTTTGCTTTTAAAAAAATTTGCACGTTATCTCAATATGAAAACAATCACATTGGTAAATCTTTGGCTAATGCAATTGAAATTATTTTTTATGTTCCATTTCTTTTTCTTTTTTTTCAATTTTATCTGAAAGTTTAAATATTTTTAGGGTTTTCACTCAGTGGCCATTAACGTTTCTTCCTGTCTCTTGTCGAATTGATGTAGGTCATAATGATTACGGTTATCAGCAACCGTCGTATCCTGAACAAGGCTACGATAGGCCTTATGAGGATTCCTCACAACATTACTACGAAGGAGGTATCTATATACCTTCACACACATACACATATATATCCCCTTCTACAGGAATGAAAATTCTTGCATAAGACAACTTCTACCCATGCAAAGCTCTTGTAGAATACTAGTTGCTGGCTTTCTTGAAAGTTGCAGGGAGCCCAAAACAATCAAAATAATTTCCTTACAAATATTTAAAATGTATAACCATGACTTGCCATTTCTAACAATAATAAAAAGACTAAAACATTAAAGATAATTTTTTCCTCAGTGGAAATTTTCTATTTGAACATAAATCCATCAAACTTTTTTTTCTCGTGTGTGTTTACATATGTATAATTTTACATATAAGTATAGTGCCTTTAGGAAACAGCTTGCTGATCTCGTGTAGCTAGTGTGTGCTCTTGTAGCTGTCTTTAATTTTGTCTTTTTTATTTTATTTAGCATAGTCATGATCTTATGACTGTGATGTTCCAGTAAATGTAATGCTCGTATGGCAGAGACGCTGAAAATGCTGCAGTTCAACCTTGCAAAATTGGCTTTAACTGCAGTTTGTTTGGCCGAAATCCTTCTGTTTGGTTTGAGTTTTTTCTTTGTTTTGTTAACTTCTAAAAATCAATATGGCATTTCATTTTGTTCTTGTGTTGTTGGCTATGCATCTTAGAGGGAAAAAAGTTACTTAAGCAGACTTCTCAGTTTTTTTTCCTCTTCTCCAATTATCCTGTAGGAAATTCACAGTATGGCCAACAGCAAGATGCATACCAGGGACCACCTCCACAACAGGGATATCCACCCCAGCAGCAGCAGTACCCAGGGCAGCAAGGTTACCCAGGACAGCAGCAGGGCTACGGTAAAGCTTTGTACAGTGTATTTTTATCACCAAAAAAATGTGCTGATTGTTTTAAAATATGGAAGTGGATATTTAATACTTATTTTTACAAGAATTATCACTTGAAAATTCAGTTTTAGACTAGTCTACTGTTAAAATGTTGGTTTAAAATGTTGCTCTTAGATAAACTAGTAATCCATTTAAAAAGAACAACAAACTGGAGATGGTTCATGACCAAAGGTAATGTGTGGAGTCATTTAAAAGACAAGAAAAATGAATTATCAGATGTATTTGTCATGCCTAGCCCTGTGTGTGCTGGGAAAACTGATGATTGGGTAATTATTGACCATATGTATATAATCTGCTTAGCAAATTTATTTTGAAAAACTAGTGGCCAATACAGTTTTTTTTAAGACATACTGATTTTTTTTTTTTTTGAGTACAAATGAGATCTATTCAGAATGCATAAAGAAAATGTTTTTGTCATTCCCTAAATAGCAATATACGTATCCATCGGGATGAATTATTGCAGCTGTGTATCATACAGAATTTGGGGGAAGTGTAGCAATATTTTCCTATTATATACTCACTTATAATACCTGCTACCTGGATATCTGACTTTAACTTCTTAGATAGGGAGTGGGGAATGACGAGGACCTGATATTTCAGTCTTAACTCTCAGGCTACTATAACCACTTTAGATACAACTCTGTTGAAAGAAAAGTAGCTGCTTATGAATACTGACTCCTTCTCTTCCTAACAGGGTCTCTTTCACGTCGGTAATATCTTATTATTTTTATTCATTGACTTAAGCTCTGCCATTGCTGTGGACATCTTTGTCTACCTGTGATAGCAAATCTTAGAACTCAGGTCAGACTGAAATTCTCTTGCCCCCTCAGCATACGTGTTGAAACTCAGTCAGATATTGGGAGTCAGGTATTTTTCTAAAAATGTCAAGTTCTGATTTCCAGATTCTAGATGTGACTTTAGAAATATTCCATGGATTTTTTTTCTTTCATAAAGGAACTTTCTTGCCCTTCCCAAATGGCCTTTTCATTTTGTGACTACTTAGTATTTATACTTTGAATAAATACAATATTCTGGTTTTATTGCCTTTGGATGAAAACAGATGTAATGCAGCTAAATCAGGTAAATTCATTGACTTAAGATAAATACCTTCAATGGTAAGAGAGGGTGAAAGAAAGCTTAATTTTTGTTGAAGTATTATAGTTAAATGCTGTTTTGTTAGACATCAGGAATCCTAAGAGAAATTTCTATTTTGTTTATCCATAGGCTTGTGTTGTCCAAAAAAAACTTTATTTCCACTAGAAATAAAGTTTTAATAATTGAATATATAATAAATAATAGGCTGATATAATTTATTTAAGCTTGAAAACTTGTTCTCTTTTGACACTTTTCTCTGAAATCAGTGTTTTTATGGCAGGTTTTGAATGGCTACGATAGAAAACATTTAAGTGTCAAAGCTTTTCAGCTTATGCTTTTTTTTTTTTTTTGGACGGAGTTTCACTCTTGTTGCCTAACCTGGAGTGCAGTGGTGCGATCTCTGCTCACTGCAACCTCTGCTTCCCGGGTTCAAGCGATTCTCCTGTCAACCTCCCGAGTAGCTGGGATTACAGTCGCATGCTACCATACCCGGCTAATTTTTGTACTTTTAGTAGAGATGGGGTTTCATCATATTGGTCAGGCTGGTCTCAAACTCCTGACCTCAGGTGATCCTCCCACCTCAGCCTCCCAGAGTGCTGGGATTACAGGCGTAAGCCACTGCGCCAAGCCCAACTAGTAGAGTTTATAAAACAGACATATTGTTTAGCAAGCCAAGTCAGTCCCTTGCCATCTCTGGAATTTGTAATCATTTTTATGGGTAAAGTATTAAAGGTGATTAATTCTCAGTGTGACTTTTGAATCAAGTTTTTTCACATGTAACCTGTGGGTTTTCATGTTTTTAGTTTCTGTTTTAAAATATTTTGGTAACAAATTTGTCAATGCATAGTATAGACATATACTTTTGGTGATTGCAAATATAAATCTAGAGTCATACAGTTGTAAATATCGTTTATTCCTCCACTTTATTCAGAAGTTATTTCAGTATTTTTCTTTGAATCTGCCTCTTGCTTTCTCTTTTTCCTCTTGCTTGTGCTGGTTAACGCTATCAGACGTATTGATTAATTTTCTTATCATCATGGAGTTAACCTGCTTTACAACTCCCTGAGTCTTTTTTACCCATTTTGAAATATATTTTGTAATGGCTAGGGCATAGTACGATAATTATAGTGAAGTAACATTACAGTATTTTTACTCTTATTATTACCATCCAGATTTATTTCAGAAAGCATTTGAGGAAATCAAGGTACCAAACTATCTTTTTTTAGCTTAGATAGAAAAATACAGTAACATCTCTGTAGTTCACATCCTTCCCTGAGTTCTAGGGACTTACCTTTTTATGTGGGTTTTTGTTGTGTACATTATTTTCAGGTCCTTCACAGGGTGGTCCAGGTCCTCAGTATCCTAACTACCCACAGGGACAAGGTCAGCAGTATGGAGGATATAGACCAACACAGCCTGGACCACCACAGCCACCCCAGCAGAGGCCTTATGGATATGACCAGGTAAGTAGTTTGACCGGCTGCAGAATTGCCACATTGTTTCTTCACTCTCGATTAGGTGAACTTTTTTTTAAAATTTATTTAACTTGAAGCCTCATGTTTCCCTCATGAGGGAATGTTTATGGTACATTTGTTAACAAAAAGTGTATCACTTTTGAGATTCATGCTGTTTAATAACACAGTTGATCATAGTTACTCTATCATATAAAACATGGCCTTATCATAAGACAACAACATATATATTCTGTCTCTCTCTCTCCCCCTCTTGCTCTGTGGTCTTTACCCTCAGGCATACTTTGTTTACTGAGGTAAAGTATAGATAGAGAGTTTATCATATTTACCATTTTTGAGTGTACATACAGTTCAACGTTAATAAATTCATTTGGTTCCCCCTCCGTGATCCCTTCTCATCCCTTTTCTTCCCAACCTCTGGTAACCTTAGTGATTTCTGTGATCCTCCCTGATGTTTATTGCTGAGACTTTGCCTTAACCTACTGAGATGTGGAGTCCATCTGTGTTGATGCTTTCATGAGCACTCCACTTCACTCCAGCATATCCACTACACTTCCTTCACACCCATAATATCCCATCTCTTTAAATTAAAACTTTCCGCCCTCTGTTGCCTCCTTCCACACACGTAACTATTATTTCAACTGTTATTTCTCCCCTGTCATTCTTCTTTCAGATATGTAGAAGTGTATCTCATCCTAGGATGACTGTATTCCCTTGAACCCAGTGTTCATTTAACTGCCTTATTTTTGTCATTAAACTCCTCAGACTTGTACCACAGTCATCGTTTTATGAATGTACTCATATATACTCTGAATTATTATGGAAATGATTTATTATTATGGCAGTTCCTTTAGGCTGGTTTCAGGTTTGTCTGCACTTTTCAGTGAAGGTGGTCTGGTTTGTTCACCACTTAAGCTATCTAAAATAAGTTATTTTTTAACAAGGAACTGTCTTTAATATGCAGTTTAGGCTTTCAGGGCCAACATCAGTATCTGGTTTGAGGAAAAACTCAGATGCAGTGGTAACTAGAATTTGAGGCATGAGCAGTTCTTTGATCAGCCCTCTCTCATGCCTACAACCCTCTTGTATTGACACTTCTTATTTAAGGCAAAGGAGATACAAAAAGCATAAGAACAGATAAGTAATATTTTTCAAAAATATCCTCAAACAAAACAAAAGGATCAGTTGGAGGTTTTATTAAGTTTTAGAAGTGAAATAAGTCGTGGCTAGTGAGTATTTAAAGGCAGGATTCCTGAGCAGATAAAATTTAGGCTCATTGTAATCTGCAGGTAAACTTTTTAAAAAGTGAGATTCTGTCCATGTATTCCATCACTCAACAAATATTTATTCTCCATGTGTTTGATACTGCAGTAGGTCCTACGGAGGTAAAATAGTCAACCAGCTGTCTTGATCTTCCTTGACCTCACTTTAGCTATTGGCACATTTTCCTTTTTCATTTTTAGATGGTCTTCTTTAGTTTCTATATTTCTGAAACATTTTGTTCCTCTCGCGTTTACATTGATTCATTCTTTATTGTTTTTATTGGTTTTCCTTTTTATTTTACCCTAATATCAATTCTTGACTCTGTATTTTTTTTTCTAGCCTCTGAATCATACTGCCCTCTATTTTCAGTATTCTTAGCTCTTACTTCTCAACCCAGTTTCAGCTCCTTTTTATCCAAATGTACAGAACATCTCTTGTCTTTGGATTCCCTCAGCTTTAGCATGTTGTAGACTAAACTGATCATTTTCCTTTCTAAGTCAATATATTTCCAAATCTCCTAAACTTCAAGCCATTCATTAAGCAAATGTTTATTGAGCAACCATTATATGCCAAGTGCCATGCTAAGATTGGGAACATATTGGGAAATAAGATAGACGTGGACTCAGTCTTTATGAACTTAAGTGTAGATGGCATACAGGTGGGTAAACATATGATATGATACAGTGTGATAAGTACTTAGATAAGGAAAGCTAAGATTTATGTGGAAGGAGCTTCTAACTCAGATCTTGAGAAATATTCCTTCGGAAATATTATATATAAGTGTGAAGTACCAAGGATGAGCCAATATTAGCCAGGTAGATGTGGATGATGAAAGAAGAGCATTCACAAAGGGACTAGTGTTAAACCGTGTGTAGTTCAGTAAAGCAGAAGCATGGGGAAGAAGAGACAAGACTGGAGAGAGGTGTTGGAGTTAGCTTAGGAAGGCTCTTACAAGCCGTATTAGGGGACTTGAACTTTATCCTGACATCAGTGTGGAGCTTGAAAAGCAGTGTATATAAAGTGTGTAGCAGTGGCTAGCACTTGGTAGCTATGATAGATACATGATTTACTTCTTTTATCATCATAATTATTCCACTCTCTAAAGTTCTCAGGAATTTGGGACTATACTGTGTGGATAAAGACTCATGGTGTTTGAGTAGTTGCCAACCACTTCTCCTTCCCCACTAGAAAAGAATATGAGGGGGGGACCATTTTAGCTATTTTAGTGCCAGTAGTGTTTCTACATTAACCTAATGTTTAACCTTATCTTTAGCCCCCACCCAAAGACCTATTGATCTCTTTATTTTAGGAAAAATAGTTCGTTCACGTCTTGATGGTTGAGGCAATGGAAAACTAACGAAGATTCTGAAACCCAATACTAACATAATTATAGTTGTAGTTTAGGCAGATGAATCTTACAGCAATATGCAAGATAAAAGGGGAGAAATTAAAAGGGTGGAAATTGTTAGGATACTTCCCCATCGGTCCTTGCTATCCAGTAAACAGTGGTTCCATTCTTCCTGTTCCTCAGGTTAAAAATCTAGAGTCATCTTTGACTCCCCTCTTTGCAAAGCAGACATCCAATTAGCAAACCCCTTCACCTCTTCCTTCAAAATATATCTAATATCTAGCCATTTTTCACAGTCTCCTTTCACCCAAGTCAAAAGTCACAACTAGCACTCATCTGGACTGTTGCAATATATCCTCCTTTTTGCTTTTCTTGATTTTATCGTGCCTCCTCTACAAGATACTCTGCACATGGGACCCAGAGTAATGTTTTAAAGACATTAGTCACCTCTCTGCTTACAACCCTGTGGTGTTTTAAGTAAAAGCCATATGATATACTGGCCTACAAGGCCATATAGGACTTGTGCTCCCACCTCCTATGCTACCCTCCTTGTGCCTGCATATTTATATCCCAACCACTCGCTGCCCTCATTCACTCTGCTTCAGTCACACTGGCCTATTTGCTGTTCCTTACATGCATCAAGTGAGTTTCTACCTGAGAATCTTTGTATTTGCTGCCCCTTTTTCTGCCTGAATGCCTGCAGTGCCTCCAACCTCACTTTATTAAAATCTCTGCTTAAATGTCATCACGTCGTATCAGAGAGTCCTTCACTGACCACCTAAGTAAGACATAACACCCTCCATTGCATCACTCTTTTTCCCTACCCTTTTCATAGTTTTTTGAACAGCTTAATTGAAGTATAATTTATATACCATTAAACTGCATGTAATAAAAGTGTACAGTTTGATCTTTTTTGACACGTATATACACACCTGTGAAACCATCAGCAGAATCGAAGTAATGGGGTATCTATCATGCCCAGAAGTTTTCCCTGTGCCCCTTTGAAATCCCTCCACTTGCATCCCTTCTCCAGACATTGTTACTGATCTTTTAACTAAACTGTGGATTAGTTTACATTTTCCAAAATTGTATAGAAATTGAATAATATAGTATGTTCTGGTTTTTATCTGGCTTCTTTTACTCAGCATAATTGTTTTGATACTTATGTTGTTTGTGCCAGTAATTGTTTATTGCTAAGTAGTGTTCCATTATATGGCTATTTGTTTGTCCATTGAGATGGGACATTTGGGTTTACAGACACAGTACTATGAACATTCATGGACAAGTCCCTGGGGACATTTTTCTTGGGTAAATACCTAGGAGTGGAATGGTTGGATCATATGATAGGTATATATTTAATTCAACAAACTGCCAGAATGTTTTCCGAAGTAGTTGTACCATTGTATATTCCTATCATTTTACATTCTTACCAGCAGTGTATGATTTCACCCATATCCTTGCTAACTCATTGCCAATATTTGGTATGAATCAGTCTTTTAAATTTTATTTATTCTAATAGGTGTGCTATAACACTTCATGACTTTAATTTGAGTATCCCTAAGGACAAATGATGTTGACCATCTTCTCTCACTTATTTGCTACCTATATTTCTTCTTTTCAGGAGTGTCTGTTTAAATCTTTTGCTCATTTTTAAATTGGAGGCTCTTTATTTTTTTTATTATTGAGTATTAAGAGGCCTTTGTATATCCTAGATACAAGTCCTTAATCAGGTATCATTTGCACATATTTTCATCCTGTCTGTTTTTTCATTCTATAAATAGTGTCTTTCAAAGACAGGAGAGTCTAAATTTTGATGAAGCTTAGTTTATCAGTTTTTTCTTTATGGATTATGCTTTTGGGATCATGTGTAAGAAATCTTTACCTAACTGAAGGTCACAAAGATTTTCTCCTGTACTTTCTTCTAGAAGTTATATAATTTTAGAGTTTACATTTAAGTCTATGATTCATTTTGAGTTGATTTTTATGTATGGTGTGAAGTATGAAATAAAGTTTGCATGGCTTTTTTTCTTTCTGATGCATAGCTAATTTTCTCAGAGTCATTTGTTGAAAAGACTTTTTTTTTTTTTTTTTTTTTTTTTTTTTTTTTAGATGAGTCTCGCTCTGTCACCACCAGGCTGGTGTGCAGTGGCGCGATCTCAGCTCACTGCAACCACCGCCTTCCGGGTTCAAGCGATTCTCCTGCCTTAGCCTCATGAGTAACGAGGACTACAGGTGTGCGCTACCATGCCCAGCTAATTTTAATTATTTATTTATTTATTTTTATTTGTATTTTTAGTTGAGACAGGGTTTCACCTTGTTGGCTAGGATGGTCTTGATCTCCTGACCTCGTGATCCGCCTGCTTCGGCCTCCTAGAGTGCTGGGATTACAGGCGTGAGCCACCGTGCCCAGCCAAAAACTCTCTTTTACCTACTGGATTGTCGTTTTACCTTTGCAAAAAATCAGTTGTCCATAAACATGTGTCTGTTTCTGAACTCTATTCTGTTCCATTGATCTGTTTATGTATCTTTATGCCAGTACCACACTGTCTTCATTAGTATAGTTTTATAAGTTTTATAGTTTTAAAATAAGTTTTATAATCAGGTAGTATTAGTTTTTGAACTTTGTTCTTTTTATACAAAGTTGTTTGGCACTGTAAGTTCTTTGGATTCCATATAAATTTTAGAATCAGCTTGTCAGTTTGTACGTAAAAGCTTACTAGGAGTTTCATTGTAATTGCCATGAATTTATAGATTAATTTGGGGAGAACTGACAGTATTATTTAGTCTTCCAACCTATGAACATGGCATATGTCCCTTAAAATTTTTTTTAACAGTGTCATATAATTTTCACTATATAGGTCTTACATTTATTTTTCTAAGTATTTTATGTGTTTTGATGCTATTGTAAATTTTTTAAAATTTTAGTTTCCAGTTATTAGTTGCTAGTATATACAAATACAGCTTATTTTTGTGTATTGATATTTTATCAAAACTATAACTTTACTAAAATCACATCTAGTAGTGTTTTTGTAGATTTCATTGAATATTCAAACATAGAAATCATGTTGTCTGTGAATAAAGACAGTCTCCTTCCTTTTCAATCTGAATGCTCCCCCATGTTCCTTCCCCACCCTCCTGCTTGCCTCAACTAGAAACTCCAATACCATGTTAAATAAAAATGGTGAGAGTAGACATCTTTTGTCTTGTTCCTGATCTTAGAGAGAAAGTTGTCATTTTTCATCCTTATATAAGATGTTCATGTAGGGTTTTTTGTAGATGTCCTTTATCAGGTGTTATATTTCTAGTTTGCTGAGAATTTTTATTGGGAATGAATGTTGAATTTTGTCACATGATTTTTCCTTATCTATTGAGGGAATTATGGTTTTCCTTCTTTAGTTTGCTAATTTTTGAATTACATTGTTTGAGTTTCAAATGTGAACCAACTTCATACCTGGGATAAAATCTATTTGGTCATGATATATATCCTTTTTATATATTGGGTTGATTAGCTAAAATTTTGTTAAGAATTTCTGCATCTGCATCGCTTGAGTCCAGGAGTTCAAGACCAGTCTGGGCAACAAAGCAAGACCCCCCACCTCTATAAAAATCTAGCCAGTCATGGTGGCATATGCCTGTAGTCCCAGTCAGTTGTGTCCTGACATAACAGTGGTTCAACTTAGGTTTTTTGACTTCACAATGCTGTGAAAAGTGATGTGTATTTAGTAGAAATTCTACTTCCAGTAACTGTACAATCATTCTGTTTTATATTTTCAGTGCAGTGTTTAATAAATTACATGAGGTATGCAAAACTTAGGATATTTTCAGCTTACAGTGGGTTAATTGGGACATAACCCCATGGCAAGTCAAGGAACATCTGTGTTTTCATGACAAATTTTGGAATCTGTTTTTTTTTTTTCTTGTAACATGTTTGTCTGGTTTTGTTACTGAGGTAGCACTGGTTTCATAGAGTGAGTTGGGAAGAATTTCCTCCCTTCAGAAAATTGGCATTATTCTTTCTAAAATGTTTGGTGCAAAGTTACCAGTGAAGCCATCTGGGTTTGTAGTTTTTTTTGTGAGAAATTTTTAAATTATAAATTTAATTTATGAAATATAGGGGGTATTCAGGTTATCTATTTTTTTCTTGAGTAAATGTTTTGTGTGTTTTTCATTGGAGTTGTCCATTTTATCTGTGTTGTTGAATAATTTCTTTATCATCGCTCAATATCTCCATAATCTGTAGTGATATTACCTCTCTCATTTCTGATATTAATAATTTGTGTCTTCTCTCTTTGTCCTCATTTATCTGGCTAGTTTTAATCTACCTATTCATTTTTCTCAAAAAGCAGCTCGATTTTATTTATTGCCTTTTGCCCATTTGCTTTTCTGTTTCTTTGATTTCTGCCCAGAACTTTATTATTTCTTTTTTTCTGCTTACTTGGGTTTTATTTGTTCTTATTTTTCCAGTTTCTTAAGATTGAAGTTGTAGTCCCATTGATTTAAGAACTGTCTTTCTTTCTAATATAGATGTTTCTTTCTAAGTATTCTTAAACTGCATCTGATGCTGTTATTTTTAATCAGTTCAAAATACATCCTGGTTTCACTTTTTATTTCTTTTTTGACCCACAACACATCAGAAGTGTGCAATTTCATTTTCAAATATTTGGAGATTTTCAAATCTTTCTGATGAATTTACTCCTTTACCATTATCAAATAACTGTCTTTATCCCTGCCAATATTTTTTGCTCTGAAATCTAGTTTGTCTAGTATCAATACTGCAATACCACTTTTCTTTTGATTAGTATTAGAATAATAATTTTTCATCCTTTAACATATTTGTTTTTATATTTAAATTATATTTCAAGTAGACAGCATATGTAGTCAGTCGGATCTTGCTTTTTTTAAATCCAGCCTGCCAATTGCTGCCTTTAAATTGGGGTTTTTGACATGTTTAGTGTGATTATGGATATGATTAAGTATATCATCTTTATTTTTTCTATTTGTCACATCTGGTTTTTGTTCTCCTTTTCCTCTTTTTCTGCCTTCCTTTGATTTTTCTCCTCTTTTTAACAAAAACAGCTTTATTGAGATATAAATCACATATCATACAAGTCACCATTCTAAAGTATACCATTCAGTGGTTTTTAAGCATATTCAAAAAGGTAGACTGGGGGTGGTGGCTCACGCCTATAATTACAGCACTTTGGGAAGCTAAGGCAGGAGGATTGCTTGAGCCCAGGAGTTGAAGACCAACCTGGGCAACAAAGCGAGACCCCCACCTCTACAAAAAACTAGCCAGGCATGATGGCATGTGCCTGTAGTCCCAGCTCTTCAGGAGGCTGAGGCAGAAGATTGCATGAACCCAGGAGGTCGAGGCTGCAGTAAGTTGTGATTGTGTCACTATACTCCAGGCTGAGTGACAGAGCTAATATCCTGTCCCCCCAAAAAAGTGCAGCCATCACCACCCTCTAATTTTAAAACATTTTCACCAGCCTGATAAACTGTATACCTATTAGCAGTCACTCCTCATTCCCCTTTAACTACTCAGCCTTAAATACTTAAATACTCATTCTGTAATTTCGTTTTCAAATATTTGGAGATTTTCCAGCAACAGTAGTTTACTTTCTATCTCTATAGATTTGCCTATTCAGTACATTTAAGATAAATGGAATCATACAATATGTGGAGTTTTGTGACTGGTGTTTTGTTTTTTTTACTTAAAATAATATTTTCAAGGTTCGTCTGTGTAGCGTGTATCAGTGTCTTCAAGTGATAGTATGCCTATACATAGTGTAAGAACCTTAAGGTAGTCTGCTTTTCTTCTCTTTGTGTTATTGTTACAAATTTTACTTCTGTATACGTTATAAACCCCACAGTGTATTGAATTTATTTTTGTCTAAAAAAATCAGTTAAAGATACTTAAATAATAAGGAAAAAAAAATTTTTAAATTGACCCATGTAGTTACCGTTTTTGGTACTCTTCATTATTTATGTATGGATTCATATTACTATGTGGTATCATTTTTGTTTGCCTGAAGGATGTTAACATTTCTTGAAATGCAGGTGTACTGGTAATAATCAGCTTTTGTATGTCTGAAAAAAATGTTTATTTTGCCTTTATTTTTGAAAGATATTTTCTCTGGGTATAGAATTCTAGGTGGACAGTTTGTTTTTGTTTTCTTTCCATACTTTAAAGATGCTCCACTCTTTTCTTCCTTACATTGTTTCCAAGGAGACATTTGCTGTCATTTATCTTTGTTCTTTTGTAGTTAATATGTCTTTTTTCTCTGTTTTTAAGATTTTCCCTTTATCAAATTGTTTGATTGAAGAAATTTCTCTCTTGCCCAAATTGTTTTGAGCAATTTGATGAGAGCATGCATTGGTGTTGATTTCTTCATGTTTCTTATGCTTGGAGTTTGTTGAGTGTTATCTCAGACTTTGTCATTTTCATCTCTACAAGTTTGGTTTAGGTCTTTTTAATATCTTCCGTGTCTGTCCTTAATTGTTTTGAACATATGGAATACAAATATAATTCTTTTAATATCCTCTTCTGCCAACTCTAATAATCTATGTCATTTTAGGGTCAGTTTTAATCAGTTTTTTTTCTCTGTCCTTTGTGTGCGTGATAATCTTTGATTGGATTCCAGACATTGTGAATTTTATGTTGGGTGATGAAGATATATGTATACCTAGAGATATTCTTAAGCTTTGCTTTGGGATTCAGTTTAATAAGTTACAAACAGTTTGAACTTTCTGAAATTGCTTTTAAGATATTCTAGGCAGGACAAAGAGCAGTGTTTAGTCCTGGGCTAAATACTCATCACTGATAAGGTAAGAGCCTTTTGGGTGTTTTGCCCAATGCCCTTTGAATTGTAAGGCTTTTTACTCTGACTGGTGGGAATAAGCACTGATTCTGTTCCTATGTGACAAACAAGTATTGTTTCCCCTAATCCTTTTGGGTGTTTCTTGCCTCAGCCCTGGGTATTTTCCTCACACATTTGCATATCTGTACTATGCTGAATAGGAGGAGGGTTCCTCTGCACATCTCCACAGTTGTCTCTTTAGGCAGATCTTTCTTGTAGGGTACTCTGTCCTGTTAACTCTAGCTACCTTTTTCTCTCCAGACTCTAAGCCTTATCTCCTTAAGTCAGAACATCTGGCAGACTCAGCCTCAGTTCCCCTTCGTGCACTGCAGACTGGAAACTCTCAAGGTAGTTAGCTGTGGTAGTCAGAGGGCTGGCCTCATTTGTTTACCATGTCTCAGGGATCATTGTCCTTTGTTGGCTCTGTCCTGTGTGTCCTGAATATGATTATCATATGCTTTGTGTAGTTTTTTTTTTTTTTATTGTTTCAGGCTGCCAGATAAATCCATCTTGAATAGAAACATGCATTAATTTTTCAACATAACATTTCTCTTCATTTGACAGATTATTTTGTTACTGTTTATTGTCATATTCTTCTTCCCCAAGAATGTAACCTCTTTAAAAGCATCGCTTTGTCTGTTTTTATTACTGTTGAGTCTCTGTCACCTAGTAGAGCACAGCACATAATCAGTAAATATTGGTGAATAAAGTATAAACAACTGAGTAAATAAGGCCACTACTTTCTAGATTTGAATGCGTGATCACAAGACCAGAGTTAAGAGGAAACCCCTAAAATGTTGTGAAGGAATAATGTTAAGATTTTAAACTGATTAGGTAAATAGAATGAAGGAAAGAAATGTAAAGATTTTGGTATTGCTCAGATTTCTACCTTAGGAACTCTTCTCATTCAATATACTCTCCCTAGGCATTCTCATTTATTCACAAGGTCTCAGTTCACCATGCTGTTGACTCCCAAATCTCTATTTATAGTCTCAATCTCTCTTCTGGAAATTAGATGCCTACTCGACAGCTCTGCTTAGATGTATCATAGGTATTAATTCAGCAGAAACAAAATAAATTTATAATTTTTTCTACCAAAACTTTTCTGTGTTCTTTATCAAAGAGAGGGGTACTATCACCAAGCTAGATTGCCAAGTGCCTGTTTGGTATTTAAGTGTCCCTGCTTTTCCTCCCTTGTCTAATAAATGACAAATGTTATTGATCTTCCTTTTTGAAAAGCTTTTGAACCCATTCATTTCTTTCTAACCTACACCCTTATCTTAGTTTAGACCATGTTCATCTCCTGTCTTCATCGCAGTAGGATCTTCCATACTGTCTTCTTTCCCATTAAAATTCTTTATACTGTAGTCAGAGGAATTTTTTTTAAAAATTGAAGAGCAAAGAGAGAGAAGGTGAGGCTTAGAGTGTTCAAGTGATTTACTCAAGATGACAGAATTCAGGAGTGGTGAAGCTGCATGACTACTGCTGAGTGCTGAAAGCCCATGCTCTGTTCACTGTACCATGCTGCCACCCATACTGTTAATGAGTACTTGAGTAGTTCACAGAGCATTTTCATGTTTTTCTTCTTGAATAACTTTTTAAAATAGAGATTATAATTACCCTTGTCAGATGATAAAATTGAAACTCAGGGAGGTTAAGCAACTTGCCCAAGGATAAGAAGCTGTTAAGTGGTGACGTTAGCACTAGAAATTGGTTTCTGGCTCCAAAAGCCGTACTTTTAATCCTTAATGCCACCTTGGAATTTGTTAATGGTTGCAGATACACAGCCTACCTTTTTAGGCATGATTGTGGTTTTGTTTGGTCCTAGCATTGTGATCAAGTATGGGCCAAGTTACTTAGACTCTCAGTGCCTCCATTTCTTCTTCTATAAAATGGAGGTAATATTTACTATATATAGATGGACACAAAGCATTTAATACAATATGTGACACAAACTGAGGTATTATTATCAGGGTATATTATTAGCTTCTACTCCTCATTATTGCGTATTCTTTCTTCCCACTTCCCTAAGCATTCTGTGTTTTATCCTCCATGCCTTTGTTTCAGCTATTTCTTCTATTTGAATTGCCCCCTTTTCTTTTCTTCTTTTCTGCTATTCAGATCTTACTGTTTTCTCAAGGCTCCCACATTCTTGGGAATATTTTTCTAATTAATTTAGGCTGTGTTAACCTTTTCCTTTCTGAACTCTCTTAAGTTTGCTAAGACTTAGAGAACTTATCTGTTTTGTAATTATACCTTAATTTCTGAGTCTTCTCTGTTTTCCACATTTTTGATGATGATGAGTATTTGTTCCATAAGTGTTCACAGTTGCTTGGATATAATTTATTTGGTATACATTATTGACCTGGTCTCTTTCAAGTAGTTCATAATACAGTAGATAAATTATAGCTTATATACTATGGTACAGTGGTTCTTAACCTCTCTTCTGCTTTCACATCATTTATATTTGCAACTCACTTTCATCATTAGCATCTCATTTTATACATTGACTAGGGGAGCATTTCCCTCCATCATTGAGAGTCACTGATTTATAATTCTAAAAAGCGCTTTCTCATGTCCTCTCCTATTTAAGCATCATAACAAACAGATGAGGTACAGGAATTAATGTAGCCATTAACAGAAGGGAAATTGTGATCCAGAGATATATATGTTACTCTCCCACTGATGATTGAAGAAACCGAGTCTCACAGAGGTTTTTTTAGACTCAAATAAGAAGTTAGCAATAGAGTTGGAACTTAAACTCAGATTTAGTATTTAGACAATCTAACAATGGAATAATAAGCTCCAGTATGCTAACCAATAACTTTCTTATTTTAAACCTTTTATTATGTTTATTTTAAACACATATAGAAAAGAGAGTAATATAGTGAACCCCTGTGTACCCATCACCCAACTTCATCAGTTTATCAACATTTTGCCAATGTTGTTTTATCTACCCCTCTACACTATTTTTTTCAGAGTATTTTAGAGCAAATCTTAGATGTGATATCATTTTACTCATAAATCCTTCAAGATGATCATTGATTTAAATTTAGCTGAATATAACTATGTAAAACACACTAGTGTAAAATCCCTAATCTCTTTTTTTTTTTTTTTTTTTTTTTTTTTGAGACAGAGTTGCTCTGTTGCTCAAGCTAGAGTGCAGTGCAACCTCCGCCTTCTGGGTTCATGCAATTCTCTTGCCTCAGCCTCCCAAGTAGCTGGGATTACAGATGTGCGCCACCACGCCCAGCTAATTTTTGTATTTTTAGTAAAGACGGGGTTTCACCATGTTAGTCAGGCTGGTCTCGAACTCCTGACCTCAAGTGAATCACCCGCCTTGGCCTCCCAAAGTGCTGGGATTACAGGTGTGAGTCACCATGCCTGGCCCATAAAATCCCTAATTCTGTTTAATTCATTATTCCATCATATATATGGTGACATTCAACACATTATCATGTGTATTTACTTCTGTGGAAATGTAGATTTTTAGGGTACCATTTCTTATGGTAGAGAAGTATTTCAAGTCTAGAATGTTTTTGAGTTATATTGTTGTGACGTGGAGAGAGAGTTGTTTAGCCAAAGGAAACAGTTAACTAATTATATGCTTCCAGTGAGTCATGCTTTTTGAAAATTAGTGCTTTTATGAACATCTGTTTTAAACACATTTAAGAAATTTGTAATAAAATACATATTTCATAGTATGTCTTTCTTTTTTTCTACCTTCTGTTTTAGAGGAAAAGATGTTGCTTATCTTCTCCAAAAGTTAACCTGAACAGATGTATACTGGACATTGTTTACCCCCACTCACAGAATTGTGCTGCTTCATCATGTCCCTTCGTGCTGCTTCATCATGTCCCTTTTGTCTATATTCCCTTTCTGTCTCATCCTGTCATCCTGAGGGTCTTCAAGTCTACCTTATTAAGAAAACAAAACAGACAACACAAAACAGCTTTCCTTGATTTTATGTCCCTGTGGCCTGTCTAAATACCTCTGCTGAACTTTGTTGACCTCAGGGAAAGGCTCAATTATTTTGGTATGGATAGAAGGTTCTTTACCTTTTATGTCCCACATACCTTTCCATTTTCACTTGCCACTTATTGCAAATACCCTTGATGTTCATTTGTAATAATTATAACAAGCTAAACACTCACAAAGTTGTCACACTAGCATATGATTTACACCCTAATATATATATTACATCAGAGTTTAGAACTAGAACTTCTCACTCAATGCCTGCTCAATTCATTCAACAAAATTCACTAAACATTTAAGTTCCCACTCTGACAAGTATTATTCTAGGCTCATTTGCTAATCCCTAGCATATTTTGGACTATGAAATTCATTTGCAATTGAATATAATATCAGAAGAAATTACAGGGTGATACTGTATACCTAACGATATAAAAAAATTTTGTTTATTGTAGGTACGGCTGCTTTTTTGTGGTATGACAGTGTTAGAAATGATTCGTTTGTAATCTTCTTTGCCTGTTATGGTCAAACTATTATCTAATTATATTTTTAAATTTATCTTTTAGGGACAGTATGGAAATTACCAGCAGTGAAAAAGTACTTACATTCCAGTAGCCAGTATCTATTAGCAGCCATATTGTCACCTCAGCACTGTGGACACCTCCCTGTGAAGAGATCCTTCCATTCCATCTAGTTTTTGGAAAAACCTTGTGGATAAGTGGCTGTTTCATCAGTAAGCAGCCTTTGTGGTTTAGTTATAAAAGGCTTTAGTAGCTCAAAAATACTCTTGATTTCACATTTCTACTCTAGATGGCAACATTGGACAGAAAATGCAATGACATAACCAATTTGTAATGATTTTGGAACTGTGTTTCAAATGGACTGTTACAGACTGAAAGGTGTGAACAGCTTTGTATGTTTATGAAGGGTAAGGGAATTTAATACTTTTCCACAGATTTTTTTGTAAGGGGAAGAGGGAAATGTACACTTTTTACAGCAGCAATATTTTGTATATTATGTTTATTTCATGTGGTGAATATGCAAGGCGGTACACTACGCACTGGACAGCATCAGAAATCCTCTGTTAATGTGGACTGGAACATGGTAGATGCTTGATTGTTTTGGTCTCAAAATGGTGTGCTATAAAGATAAAGGTGAGGGGAAGACAAAGCACACCATATGTCCACTGTTCTGTTCTCATAGAGGAAATTCAAATCCCTTTTATCTATTAGATAATCAAGGGCACTGTGATACAGTTTTGAGTAAAAAGACATTTTTTAAAAGCCTTCCAGTTTTGTGGATTAAACCTTTTTATAAAGATCATTTATAATACTGTTTTAAAATGTGAGGCAATAAGAATTACTTTGTGTTGGATCTGAGGAGGCTTTGGTAAAACAGTTTCATCTAAATGAAAGTGGTAATCCTCTTCTAAAATAGCAATAACTGAAAATGAAAGTGTTAATTTTACCTTGTTTGAGTTATCAGGGAACTTAGTAAGTAATATCAAAGCATTTTATAAATGATATCAAAGAAGAGTCAACATTGATCCAGTCATTTTATTTTGTAATATTGAGGGATAATTGGTTATTAAACTGAATAGTTCAGGAGACTTTACAAACCTTTGTTTCAACTTTCTTATCTGGAAATAATATCATTTATAAAGGGACACTTTTATGTTTTTCCCTTTTTTATGTTGGTTGATATAACACAAAGAGATATTTAGGAAAATGCTTATTGATGAGGTTTATTCTATCTGTTTTTAAAGCACCGAGGTTGCATTCTAGATAACCTTGTTTATTAGCATGGCATATTTTAATCATTATTTGAGACTGTCCTGTGCCTGATTATTTTAGCTAAATTCAGGGAGATTGCGTGGGGCAGGAAAGCATGCATTGAAAAATTTCTAACCACGGTTATTTAAGCATAATCTGAAAACATCTAGCCCAAAGGTAAGTTGCTATTTTCATCACAGTTGCCTATGCCCAGGGAATAAGATGTATTCTTTATAATTGAATTGGTTTTTCCCACGTCTAACTGGAAACAAAACAGAAGGGGCGTCATAAATTTGAATAAGCAGAACATACTGTTCTCAACATACTGTAATCAAAAGGAGGAATTTCAGTGGGTCTCTGTGTGTGTATGAGAGAGAGAGTGTGTGTTTGTGTGTTTCAAGGTCAGAACAGGTTTTTTTGTTTTTGTTTTTTGTTCTTTGTTTTTTTTTTTGAGATGGAGTCTTGCTCTTGTCGCCCAGGCTGGAGTGCAGTGGCGCAATCTCAGCTCACTGCAACCTCCGCCTCCCAGGTTCAAGCAGTTCTCCTGCCTCAGCCTCCTGAGTAGCTGGGATGACAGGCACCCGCCACCACACCCAGCTAATTTTTGTACTTTTAGTAGAGACGAGGTTTCGCCATGTTGGCCAGGCTGGTCTCGAACTCCTGACCTCAGGTGATCCACCCGCCTCGGCCTTCCAAAGTGCTGGGATTACAGGCGTGAGCCACCGTGCCTGGCCAGAATAGGTTTTTTCTTTCAACTTGATCAGTAGAAAATGGACATCAAGTTTGAACAGATAAATCATGGACAGCCTTATTGTGATTGAAATGCTTGTAGGTTCTGTGCCAATTTTCCACCACTGTGTACTTTGTTGCTATTTAAAACTGTATCAACTCTAACGGAAGAATAAATTATTTGTGATTTTAATTTTCTCATTTGTTTCTTTAAATTAGATCTCTTTGACTCTCTTGTCTTGTCTGGAGACTATGCTGTGGGTTTTTATATAAGTTAGTCCAGTATAAGCAGACTATATTTGTATTCTAGGACTTTATCAAAATTCTCTTGCCATGCCCAAGTTAATTAGAATTAACCGTTCAGTAATCAGCATGTTGTGTAGGCTGTTTGTTACAGAATTCTTTCTCCGAAAATGAAGTCCATAAGGCTATAATCAAGATGACTGAATTAGATAAATGAGTTGAGGAGACAAAATTGTACTGAACCCAACCTGGTGTAGTACGTTATCTCATTTGAAATAAGCTCAACTGACATTAAGAAATAATTTGTCTTGCCAACCCATCTTCTGTTGTCTTATTCTCCTTTTAATGGAAACTAAAATTGCAATTTTAATAAGCAGAATTTCCTCCAGGACTTTCTTCCTGGAGACTAGTGCATTTGCAAGGTTTAATTGTTTTATAACAGTCCTATTTTGTAAAAGTTTTTAATTGGTGGTGACAAAAATTACCTTACTCCTCTGATACCTAGTAAGAGGAATAACTTTACCAGTAGCTGTCTACTAGATTTGACATTTCTGTACAGACTATATATTCTACAACTGAAATTTGCATTTTATCGAAGTAATAATATCATACTATCCCATAAAATTCCAGAAACAAAGTATTACCAAGAAAAGAGTGGGGTCACTATTAAACATTTCAAAATATGCTAAGTGTGTTAGTTCTGTTATTTGGGAATATGTTATTATTCTGTAGCATTATTCAGGTGGCACATTGTTTTTGGTTTTCTCTTAAAATTTTTTAATGGAATTTTTAAACATACACCCAAGTGTAGAGCAGAGTATGGTGCGATGGGCCCCCATGTAATGTTAACCCAATTTATATACTTAGCAACTCATGGCGAAACTTCTGATTGTTCATACACTAACCCCCAAATAGAAACAAACGCTATATTATTTAATCACTTAAATATTCCAGTAAACATATCTAAAAGTACTTGAAGATTCTTCTTGCTCCTAAATTCTGTGTTTTCAATGTTAACATTGAATTAGAAACCATCTGAGAATTTGTACGTATAAGTCATTGCCTTTTCTTTCATTTTAAAAAGTCATTCATGTTAAATAAAAGATTAATAGACATACATTATACAAAGAGTTAACATTTTTCATAATTTCATCCATTAAAAGTCACAATTATTAAAAATTTGGTACTTTTCTTCCAGTTTAACTTTACACAATAAGCCAACCTATGTTGTTTTTTAAAACAAAAACGGAATTATACTACATACTATTCTGCAACTTTCTTTTCTTTTTAACTTAGAAATATCTTGAATGCTCCTTGTTCCCTTGTTGCCTCTTAATTTTTTACTGTTGTAGAAACAAAGCTTTTATAAGCTATATTGCAGAGTTGTTTTTTTGGGGTTTTTTGTGTGCTGTTGGGGTATTTCTTTACAGTAAATTTTTAATATCTTAGGTGTAAGGCTATGGATGTTGAAAAAAGTATCACCATAAAAGGTATATCACTGGCAACACCAGTTTCATTAGTCTTACTAATTTTTGCAATTCTCATCAATTTTTTAAAATGTTATCTCTGAATTTTATTTGAATTGCATTTATTTGTAAGTTGAGCATCAATTTAAGTACCTATTACACTTTTTTTTTGGCTATGAAATGCCTTTTAATGTTCTTTGTCTGTTTTTCTGTTGGGATGTTTGTTGTGTAAGAGAGAGGAAATTACACACAGACACACAGAGATGTGTGCACATACATGTAAAATTACATATGTCCCTGCACAGTTAATCCTTTGTCTCTTCTATTGTTGCAGGTCTCTTCTGTCCATTATTTTGTAACATGATGTCTTTCACTGTATTAAAGCTTTAAGATTTTATGTAGTCAAAAGTTTGGCTTATGACTCCCCCCAACTAACAAATTTGTAAAAATATTCCTCATATTTGCTTCCATTTTTCTGAAACTTATTGTTCATGATATAATTTAGGACATTAATTTTTTTCTTATGGATAACGTTGCTTAAGCATCATTTATTGTATCATTTTTCTTCCAGTGATTTGAGAAGCCACTCTATTCCTTTAATTTAAAAAATTAATTATAGTTAAAGCTATTTATTTATGTTTTATGTATTCCATTTCAAGGACTAGTTAAATGCATTTAACTGTCTAATTTAATTGGCATAAACTTGTGAGTTGTTTTTCTCTAACACAGTGTTTTTTTATTTGATAAAAGTTATCTGCAAAATTATACATAATCACTAGCTTTTTTGTTGTTTGTTTTTGGTAAAGACAGAGTCTTGCTTTATTTCCCAGGCTGCAGTGCAGTGGTCCCATCTTGGCTCACTGCAGCCTCCGCCGCTCAGGTTCAAGCGATTGTGGTGCCTCAGCCTCTTAAGTAGCTGGGATTACAGGAGTATGCCACCATGCCTGGCTAATTTTTTTTGTATTTTTAGTAGCGATGGGGTTTTGCCATATTGGCTGGTCTCGAACTCTGACTTCAAGTTATCCGCCCACCTCAGCCTTCCAAAGTCCTGGGATTGATTACAGGCATGAGCCACCATGCCTGGCCCTTAGCTTCTTAATAGTAAGAAAATTATTGAAGTGTGTTTTTATAAAGAATGACTACAACTTTTAGAGATTTTTGCTTGTTGATGTTTAAAAGCTCTTTAATTTTTTTGTGCCCTGCTAATGGACTGTCTTTTTAGCTGCCCCAAAGTATCTCTGTTTGATTACTAAAGAAATCAGTAGAAAACTTTTATTGTTTACAAATTGAAGTCTCAGAAATAGACAATGCAATATAATTTTCATTAATAAAGACCTATAATTAGAGTGACAATGTAATTTATTGCCCAATTTGATAACCTTGAGAATGGGAGATTGTTTTACATATATATACACACACATATGTATATATGTACAAACGTGTGTTCATTACATATATAAACACAAATACAGGTGCATATATGTGTGTATATGTGTATTATATATGCGTATATGTTAGATATATGGGTATATATTTTTTATTTTGTCTTTTCCTGATAGAGATCCATAGTTTAAAAACTTAGAGCCGGGCATGGTGGCTCATGCCTGTAATCTCAGCACTTTGGGAGGCCAAGGCAGGCAGATCACCTGAGGTCGGGAGTTCAAGACCAGCCTGACCAACATGGAGAAACCCCGTCTCTACTGAAAATCCAAAATTAGCTGGGGTGTTGGCACATGCCTGTAATCCCAGATACTCAGGAGGCTGAGGCAGGAGAATCGCTTGAACCCGGGAGGGTGGAGGTTGCAGTGAGCTGAGATTGTGCCATCTGCACTCTAGCCTGGGCAACAAGAGCGAAACTCCGTCTCAAAAAAAAAAAAAAGAACTTAGATATGTGAGTTGATGCATTTATGTTATAATTTTGAACTGTGATATCATCCTGAGAGGGTTTCTCATGATATAGTATATTAAAATATTATTTAATATTAAAATAGATGAAAAAGAAATCCTGAATGTTCTGAAAGGTTATCATTTTTGTTCTCTCCTAGGAATAATGATTTTCCTCCATTATTATTATTTTTATTTATTTATTTATTTTTTGAGACAGAGTCTCGCTGTGTTGCCCAGGCTGGAGTGCAGTGGTGCTATCTCAGCTCACTGCAAGCACCGCCTCCTGGATTCACAGCATTCTCCTGCTTCAGCCTCCCGAGTAGCTGGGACTACAGGCACCTGCCACCACACCCAGCTAATTTTTTTTTGTATTTTTAGTAGAGAAGGGGTTTGACGGTGTTAGCCAGGATGGTCTCGATCTCCTGACCTCGTGATCTGCCCACCTCAGCCTCCCAAAGTGCTGGGATTACAGGCATGAGCCACCGTGCCCGGCCCCTCCATTATTGTTTTGGGTGGGTGCATGGTTGCCTACCTAGAGACATTTAACATCCTCCTTTGCAGCTTGGTGTGGTCATATGACTTTAAGTTCAACCCAGGAGGCTATGAGTTGTAATGTGTACAGCTTCTAGACCACATTCTTAAAACGGTGCTTTCGTTTTTCTTTTCTTTTTTCCATGGGCTGGAACATGACCTATTGTTAGGGAGCTTTGGCTTTATAGATAGAAAGATACTCCAGAGAATGACAGTGTAGGTAGACAGAAGCAAAAGTCCCCTGAAAATGGTTGTCATGAAGCCCTCTCCTCTCCCGCTAATCAGCTTGGACTTCGACATGAGAGAAGTAACACTTCTATGTTATTAAGCCCTTTGTGATAGGAGCAAATCCTGTACTCTGATGTAGGGTGATGCAGTAGTGGCCAATTCATATTACTCTATGATATGCTCTGTATGGAATCAATTTTTAGGAATGACAAGTGAGTGTACTGTGTGTTTAGCATACATTATAGTAATTCCTTTCATGTTTGTGACTAGTGAAATAGGCTAAAATTATGTAGCATTTTCTCTACGATCACTCTCTGCTTTCCATCAGTTGAATGAATGGGAATGCCACATTTAATAACAATAAATTTGGTTAATTTGAAAGTATTGGTAATATAGTTAATATTGATCTTTTTTAGCATATGTATAATTATAAATTTTATAAATATCATGTTTTCCATGTACTTATTTTGAGCATTTTGTAGGTAGGACCTCATAAAACCTCTCTCAAGATTTCAACTTCGTTTTGACTTATCACTTTAATCGATTCTTTGAATTTTTTTCTCTAATGCTTTCTTGCTGCTTCCTTAGTTTTCTGACTTTGACTCTATGGCATGTGTACTTTGATTCTAGTTTCTCTGCCATCTTTTCTTTGAGGATAAAAAAACATGCACCAAAAGTATTTTGATTTTACTTTAATAGTAGCTCTTATTCAGCTTAGGTCAAATGTAAAGAGTTTTATGTCTACAGAAGCTGTAACTATATTAGCTATGGAATGATATTTAGAAATGATATTTATCAGGACTTCTGGTATCAGTGGACCAAAATACTGCATATAGCTATCAAGGATTTTACCTTCTTTTCTATCAATATGGCTATACTAGGGAATTCTGTCTGTTATTGCCTTGAAAATTAAGAGCAAGGAAGTGTAGTTTGGCTTTCTCTTCAGCACTAATATTCTATCCAAAGAAATCCTATTTCCTGTTCATTAATTTCAGTATTCCATTCTTTCCCAAGATCTTGCTTCACAGCAAGCTTTCATACTTCAAGCTCTACAAGTTAGTGTTCAGTCCTCATTCCCACATAAACACAACCATTTTGAAAACATGAACTGATATTAATTACCCCCTTGGCACCAAAAAGTCAGGATTTCCTGATGCGGCACGCTAATGTAAAATGCATTAGTGCAAACGGTGGCTCCAAAGGGTAATACTCTCTAAATAAACACAGCATTTTTTTTTTTTATTCACAACTCTGGGGCTAGTCTGAAAGTTATTCATCCTCCACACCCCCCCAAAAAGCATTTTGATTTTTAATAAGTTATAACTGGGATTTTTATAAGAAGAAATTGAATTCCAAGCTGGAAATCAGTGTCACTTAACTCTTTTTGGTTCTGTGAAATAAAATTCTACCTGAATGTTCGGGTGATTAAGTGGCTTTGAACCATAATTTTCAACAATCTATTGGAAGATAATAACAGTTCATGTTTAGTCAGTATCACTAAAAATGTGTATCTTACATTTTTACTTAATAAATTCTTTATTTCAAATAGTCATTCAAGGTCAGAAAGTGTGTGTGTTTTGGTGTATGTGTTTATTTGAATATTCTATATAAAGACTTCTGATCAAGAAGGCATTATATCATACTTTGATGTAACCCACCATACACATAATACTGCTACTACTAACAGAAACCAACCAAAGAAGAATTAAAGTACAGAGAGTCAGGTTCAAAGAAGGTAAGCATCTCTATGGATCAAAAGCGGAATAAAAATGTAAATAGGGAAGGCAGAAACCATGAGCCTCCTGGGTTCTGAGTGTAGAAGTTGACAGTGAAACTCGAGAAATTGGTTCCTGTGGAGTAATTGAGCCAAAAAATAATATACATAATAATATAATAAGATAATGGAGCCAGGTTTGCTGCTTTAAGGCAGAGGCTAGAATGTGACTTTCTCCCACTTTCCCTCCTATTTATAAAAGAAAACTAACAAAAGCTCCCTTCTTGCTAGCCACCACCTAGGGCCTTGTTTTGAAGAAGCTGGACATAATGATGCTAGAAGATACGTATTTAGCCTCTCGATCTAGAACGAAACCAAGCTATTTTGAAGCTTAGTATTGGATTTTAAATAATTTCTAAAATCATTAGGAGAATAGGAAGAAATTTTCTCAAAGTTTTGATTCTAGACTTGGTTTGGGATCTGGGAGACAAAGGGATGCACAGAAGGAAGCAGGAATGGTGGGGAAGAGAGAAAAAAATGAACCTCCTGCTTTAAGCCCATGAACCAAACTTTCAAAATATGTTAACAAACTAACTTGGAACCTGCATTCAAACCACGTAACATTCATTTTATTTAAAAGTCTGACAGATTTTAAAATAATGTATTTTGGAATGTTTAAAGAGATAACCCATCCATCCACATAGATTTTCAGATATTATAAAACAAAAACAAGTGAAATAACAGGTACGTGTAAAAACCATTTGGAAATCGTATAAGTGCAACATAGTGAGACCTTGTCTCTACTTACAAAAAAAAAAATTGTTTTTAATGAGCTGGGTGTTGCACCTGGAGTCCCAGCTACTCCAGAGACTGGGGCCAGAGGATCACTTGAACACAGCAGGTGAAGCTGCAGTGATCTATGATCACACCACTGCAGAATAGCCTGGGTGATAAAGCAAGACCTTGTCTCTTAAAAAAAAAGCTTTTGAGTGAAAAATGTAGTAATTGGACCAGCTCAATTGGCATAAACTATAGGCTGGACACAGTTAAGAAAATCTGTGAAACAGATGAAGGTATGAGAAATTGCCCCATACCAGAGCACCAAGAAATAAGATTTTAAAAAATGTATATATATATGAAGGAAAAATTAAGACATGAGTGCAGAGTTTTAATATGGGAGCTTCAGCAAAAGGAAATTGAAGCATTGGTTAAAAATATATATATATATATATATATATATATATATATATATATATATATATATATATATATATATAAAACAAAGCTCACAGTTTTCCACAACTGAGTCTGTGAATACACGGATTGTAACTTAACCAAGTTCCAACGAGGTTGAATAAAAATGAATCCTGTCCATATTTAGACACATTATATTGCTGTTAAGAAAAAATCTCAAAACTACCTGAAAGAAAAGGCACATTACCTATAAAGAAAATTTAGACAGAATTCTCTGCAATAATCAAAAGATAGGAGAGTTAAATACTGAGGGAAAATAAGTCTAAATGTTACACCCAGCTAAACTATTAGGTTGGTGCAAAAGTAATCGCAGTTTTTGCCACTGAAAGTAATGGTAAAAAGCACAATAACTTTTGCACCAACCTATATAATTCTGAAGTGAGGGCAAAATGAACATTTTCAGGCTTGCAAAGATCAAGAGAATTCATCATCCATGGAAGATGTACTGGAGCAAAAGAAAATAATACAGTAGAAAGGTGTAGGATGTAAACAAGAATAGAGACTATATAAAATTTGTCAAAACATAATTATGGGTAGGAAACATTACTTTTTTGGGTGTGAGAAAAGGTACAGTTAAGTGTGATAGGTTGGTTCCATTAATGGCCTCATTTTTTAGCCCTCCAAGTCCATGCCCCCTTTTTATATAAAAGTCAGACAGATTTTAAAATATGTTTCTCTCAGGAGTGGGACTTACTTTCCTGCCACTTGATTCTGCTTGGCCATGTAACTTGCTTTGACCAAGGGTATGTTGTTGACTCATAAGGAAGTTTGTAAAAGTGCTTGTGGAGTTCTGCTTCCACTCTTGTACCTCTGCCCTTGCCATGGAAACCTGCCCAGGCTAACCTGCTGGAGGAATGTGAGAGACACATGGGGCAAAGCCGAACTGGCACAACCAACACCAGCTAACCCCTAACCAAAATCAGTAGAGCCACCTAGCCAACCAGCCTGCTGACTGTAGAAGCATAAGCAAGTCTAGCACAGATCAGCTGGACTATGCAAACTCTTAAGCTAAATAAATGTTTATTGTTATACAAGCTGCTGATTTGTTTGTGTGTGTGGTTCTTTGTTAATGCAGCATTACTGTGGCAATAAATAGCTGATACAATACTAAGATACAATGACAAGATAGGAAGCATGACCAATGAATAGATTATAGGTCATGATAAAGGGTTGCATGCATGCAACTAAAGGGTTAACATGCTAAAGGGTTTTCATGGTCAGGAGAATAGGAAAACTGAAAAACTTAGTTGGAAAATTTTCAGGTAAAACAACAAAACGTAGGCCAGGCATGGTGGCTCACACCTGTGATTCCAACACTTTGGGAGGCTGAGGCAGGCAGATCACTTGAGGCCAGTAGTTTGAGACCATCCTGGCCTACGTAGCAAAACCCTGTCTCTAATAAAAATACAAAATATTACCTGGGCATGGTGGCATACGCCTGTAATCCCAGCTACACAGGAGGCTGAATGAGGCATGAGAATCGCTTGAATCTGGGAGGTGGGAGGTTGCAGTGAGCCGAGATCGCACCACTACGCTCCAGCCTGAGCAACAGAGCCAGACTCTCTCAAATAATAATAAAATGTAAAAGTCATTTTTAAAAGAAGACATACAATTCAGAAATTTAGAGCCAGTAAAGAGAAGAAAGGAAAAAAGCATGAGAATAGAGAAAATGTACTCATCCAATGGGAGGAATGAATGGAGAAAAAAGTGGGGAAGGTGGTTAAGAAATACAAAAGAAGATAAAATGGTGTAAATACATCAGTAATCACAATAAATGTAAATAGATTAAACTCATTTAAGGACATCAGGTTGGGTGGACCCCAACTTCTGCTTATTAAGAGATGTTACTAAAAATACAACAAAAATCTAGAAGTTAGATACAGGTATATTAATATCAAACTGTAAGGCAAAAACATTAATAGGGATAAGAAAGGATCCTAAGTATTTAAGATATAACGTTGGATTATATAAGCAAAAACTGAGAAGTATAAGCAAAATTTAAAACTCCAAAATCATAATGAAAAGATTTTAGTCCATTTGTAGCAGAAACTCTGTTTAAAACAGACAAAACATTAATAAGGATGCAGAACACTTTTTTTCTTTTTTTGAGACAGAGTCTCCCTCTGTTGCCCAGGCGGGAGTGCAGTGGTGCAATCTCGGCTCACTGCAACCTCTACCTCCTGGGTTCAAGCGATTCTCCTGCCTCAGCCTCCCGAGTAGCTGGGATTACAGGCAGTGCCACCATGCCCAACTAATTTTTGTATTTTTAGTAGAGACAGGGGTCTCACCATCTTGACCAGTCTGGTCTCAAACTCCTGACCCCAGGTGATCTGCCTGCTTGGCCTCTCAAAGTGCTGGGATTACAGGTGTGAGATACCGTGCCAGGCTAAAATTTTCTAGTAACTATGTTTTAAAAATGTATAAAAAGGGAAACTTCATTTTAATAATATATTTAACCCAATATATCAGAAATGCTATTTCAACATGTAAATTCATGAGACACTTTACATCCTTGTTTTCATAGTAAGCCTTAGAAATCTGGTTTGTATTTTATACTTACAGCCTATCACTAATCACATTTCAAGTGCTCGATAGCCACATATGGCCAGTGGATGTGGAATACAGGATAGCTTTGATGCAGAAAATCTAAAAATGAATATCGAATCCTGTACCTGACAGAATATACATTCTTTTTAAGTATATGTAGTAATTTTAAAAAATGTACTTGTGCTAATTTACAAAAGAAGTCTGATCAAAGTTCAGTCAGTATTCTATAAGTCATTTTCTTTGACAACAGTAGTACATGTGTTAAGAACTTTCAAAATTGATTAAACAGCTTTTGGTTAAAGAAGGTCTCAGCAGAAATTTAGAAATGAGCTACAATAAAAGTTCTCTATCAAAACTGGTATCTGTAGCCTATAGTTAACAAAAATATATTGTACACGTAAAAAAGAGGAAGGAAAAAACATGAGATGCTGATATAGCAATTCTTAGAAGTAAATTGATAGCTTTCAATGGTTTTATTTAAAAACAAAAAAGACTGAAATTTAACTCAGGAATATAGATGAGGATTCCAAAATTGAATGCAGATAAAACATTAGAATTTTGAAGAAGTTATTAAAAAGCAGAAAGTAATACAATTTAAAAATTAGAGGATCATCAAAAGCTGTTTTTTTTAAAAGATAAAAATAAATTGATCAAGAAAAAAGATATTAAGGCACAAGAATCTTTGTCTGTTTAGGCTGCTATAGCAAAATACCATAAACTGGGTGGCTTATAAACAATGAATTTATTTCTCACGGTTTGGGAGACTGGGAAGTCCAAGTTCAAGATGTAGGGAGATTTACTGTCTGGTTAGGGCACCATTGCTGGTTCACAGATGGGGCCTTCTGTCTGTGTCCTCCCATGGTGGAAAGAGTGATGGAGCTCTCTGGGGTCTCTTTTATATGGGCAGAACCCCACCCATGAGGGAAACCTCATGACCTAATCACCTCCCAAAGATGCCACCTTCTAATACTATGACCTTAGTGATTAGAATTCAACACATTAATGTTGACAGAACATTCAGACCATAGCAGTCCATCCCTGGCCCCACAAAATTTATATCCTTCTCATATGTAAAATACATTCATTTCATCCAAGTAGCCCCAAATGTAACTTGTTCAACATCAACATTAAAGTCTAAGTCCAAAGACTCATCTAAATATCTAAAGCAGATATGGGTGAGACCCAAGTTACAATTCATCTTGAGACAAATTGCTCTTCATATGTGAACCTGTGAAATCAAATAAGTTGTGTATTTCCAAAATACAGTGGTGGGACAGGCATAGGATAAACATCGCCATAACAAAAGGGAGAAATAGGGAAGAAAAAAGGGGTAACAGGTCTCAAGCAAGTTCCAACCCTAACAGGGCAAACAATATTACGTTCTAAATTCCCAGGATAATCTTTGACTCAAAGTACTGCCTCTGGACACACTGGGGCAGGAGTTCCTGGCGCCCTTTCCCTCGTGGCTTTGCTGGGCACAGCCCACACTGCAGCTGTCAGGTTATAGTAGGGTTGTAGTTGAGTGCCTGTGGCTCTCCTGCTGGGATCACGGGCTGGTGTCAACCCATCTGGGGTTGCAGGCATGGCAGTTTCCAAGACGACGTCTCGCTCTGTTGCCCAGGCTAAAGTGCAGTAGCGATCTGGCTCACTGCAATTTGACGATCGCTTCCTAAGCTCAAGCGATCCTCCCACCTCGGCCTCTCAAGTAGCTGGGATAACAGGGAAGCGCCACCATGCCTGGCTAATTTTTGTATTTTTAGTAGAGATGGGGTTTCACCATGTTGCTCAGGCTGGTCTTGAACTCCTGGGCTCAAGCAACCCATTGGTCTCGGCCTCCCAAAGTGCTGGGATTACAGGTGTGAGCCACTGTGCCCAGCTGGGCTGGCAGTTTTAATAAGCAGTTTTAGGGAGGGACAGGGGGATATGACTACATATATGCTATATATTCTAAATGTTTACTAAAATAATAGTACAAAAAAAGCTGTATGGAAAGCTTGATTATGAATTTCTTGTGTTTGACATTGACATGATAAAATATAAATAGCTGTGTTATATGATGTGGTCTCTGGTCTTTTTGGCAGCCATGAATAGATTTAGGAATGAAACACTGAACTCTTTAATTATTTATAGCTCATTTATGAATTCTCTCATTGTCCCAGGGGAGTCATTGAAAGCTCCCCGAAGGCAGGGGTTTTGTTTTGTCTACTACTAGTCACTTGATGTCTAGAATGATGCCTAGAATAATGCCCAGTTATGTAATGGGAGTTCCATAAATATTGATTATTAGAAATGTTATTAATTAGGATATATAGAGACATTTAGGATTCATACATTGAAAATGAAGTAGTAAAATAGATGGATTAGAGGTAAAAGTTAGGGCTTTAACCTGAGTCCACAGTGCCTTAGCCAAAATTCCAAAATCCTGACCAGCCCTGAGGTCATTTGGCTATAAAACCTGGTCTGACCCATGGTGAGGTTATAGTCTCTTTATCTGATTCAGCGTCCCCTGGAGGTGCCATGTAATATACTGCCTATGCACACATCTGGCCCCACGAGGCTGGAGAGGAGATTGTGCACCTGTATAGATGTCTATACTTAAGCTGTATACTAGAAGGGTACGTTTCGTTTTGAGTAGGTCTGGAGTAGATGCTTGGTCATACCAGTGATTTATTAATGAATCATAGCATTGCAATAATTAAAATGATAAACATAGCTAACTGTCCCATTGCCCCTCAATTAAAAAAAAAAGTCTCCTTGGTGGAAGATATTTTGTGGGAATGCAGATGGAACGATGACATATATGACAACATTTTCTCTCTTTACTGTCTGTTTTCTGCTAGTCTGTGCCCAGAGCTAAACCATTAGAATCCGACTTGCTAGGAAAGCATGCACTATTTTGCTCTTTTACCAGTATAGACAACTATATGATACCTGTAACAATCTTACCATCATGAGCTTCCTTCTGCCTCTGTGCTTCACAATGTTCTCATAGCCTTGGCTCCATGCCAGTTCCACCTTAACAATGCTCCTTCTATTTCCCAGTGTTTCTCTATCCCTCTGTATAATCCTCCCTAAATAATCTGTGATATTCCAAATGGCTTTCCTTACTGCATAGTATTCACTCAACCGTGTTCTTTCAAGCCACTTGTTAAACCTGTTTTCTTTTTCATATTTTATGGCTTTGAAGAATTCTCAAGTTCCTCTGCTATAAAGTTTCCTTACAGTGGGAGTGATGGGCTTCTGGTCTGGCATGTGTAATTGTTAGTAATAATTTCTCCTCTTCTTTCCAAAAGAGATAGCAAGGGCTCCTTGATGTGAAGGATCTGTTGACTCATATTTGGGCTAATGGATCAATAAGGTTGCCACAATGGAGAAGGGACTTTGTATAAACATTCAGGCCTAAAAGAATAGCCACACTGCATTGAGTTTCATATTTGGGAACTCAGATCAAAAATTATCTTCAGAGAAAGAATACCTCCTAGTTGGAACTAAATCTGAGATCCATTGAGTTCACATTTTAGTATCTCTGAAATTGAGATTTGTTCTCTTTCTTTATAACATAAAATAATGATATGTCTTACTCTTATAATTGATAGTGCTTTAGACTAGAGGAAGAACAATGTAAGTGTTTTTAAAACCAAACCATATTATTTGCATTTTCAGTACAATCATTTTAATTTTCTTAATAAAGTTTCTTAGAGTCTATAATAACCTAAATAATAACCTATAATTTAAAAACTATATTAAAAAAATAAGTATAATATGTTATCTACTCTGTCTTTTGCTTAGTCATTTCCCCTATCATAGAATATTTGGCTTTTCTTCTGGAAATTCCTATCATCAGTATTGCTGAGGCGAACATCTTTGTATTTCTGTTTATCCTGAGAGGCAGTGCAGCAGAGTGATTAAGCACATAGAACCTGGAGTCAGACTGCCTGGGTTTGAGTCTTGCCTTTTTAGTTTCATCACTAACTAGTTTTGAAACCTTGGGCAACAATTGAAACTGTGCTGCAGTTGCTGTATCTCTAACTAGAGAGAATAGTATACTTAACTACCTCAGGGTTGTAAGGATTAAATGAGTTAATATATTACTCAAATTTCTCAATGTTATTGCATGTTAATACATTAGATATAGTAGTTCCTGGCATGTGGTAAGTGCTAAATAAGTAAATTACTGTTATTTGGGGTTATTTCTTTAGGATAGATTCCTAAAATGGGATTATCTTCTCAAAGTATATAAACATTTTCTGACACTCTGGATAAATACTGCCATATTTCTTTCCAATGAGATTATACTAATTTATACTCCTAGAATAGACTGAGTATATATTAATCCTCCTTTGTCAATTTTTAGCATTTTTATTTTTTAATTTTTAACTAGTAACATTTTTTTGGAGACAGGCCTTGCTCTGTCACTAGGCTGCAGTGCAGTGGCATGATCATAGTTCATGCAGCCTTCAACTCCTGGGGGCAAACGATCCTCCTGCCTCAGCCTCCGGAATAGCTAGGACTACAGGAGTGCACCACCACACCTGGCTAATTTTTAAAAATGTGTGTAGAGTTGGGGGTCTCCCTATGTTGCCTAGGCTGATCTTGAGATCCTGGCCGTAAGTGATCCTCTGGACTTTGCCCCCCAAAATATTGGGATTCCAGGTGTGAGCCATTGGGCCTGGCTTAGCATTTTTTAAAAGTAAGTCTTCGTTAATCTCACAGATAAAAATGGTAGTTTATTCTAATATTTATTTCTTTGGTTATTAGTATGAGTTGAATTGAATATTTTCTATGTGTTAGCCATTTGTATTTCCTTATTTGTTCATGTCTGCCTATTTATCTGTTGCTTACTGGTTTTAAATGGTTCCTTATGTATTTGGATACGCTCAATAGATAATAAGTCATGCTTTTGTAATATAGTTATTTGGATAAGTTAATTAAGCAGTAATTTATACTTAAAAAGTAGTTTTTTCATTTTGGTATTTTATATGTATATAACATTGATTATCTAATACAGGCAAATATGTCTATTTTATTGCTTGAAAGCTTGAAAAGCCCTTTAACTTTTACCTATGTTTTCTTTGTTTTATAATGTTTAGATTTTTAAAACATATAACTTTAATCTGTAATTTTTAAATAAAATTTTTCCTTAAATATATTAACCAATACATTTAGACTAATTCATTGCTCTTAAAAACATTTTTAAAGTAATACATGCTAATTTTAGAAAAATTCAAAAATACAGAAAACATGAAGAAGAAAACTAAAGTTGTCTATAATTCCACTATCTATTGATAAACATCATTAACATTTTAAAGTTGTTTTCTCCCTTTTCTTCCCCTTTGCCCCCTTTACGTGACATCATTCTGGTTTTATTGTTGCTTCTTTTATCATATATTAAAGTCTTTCTCTGGGCTATTTATCTTGTTTTGTTGTTTTATCCTTGCCCTAAAGCCCACCCCTTTAAATGTTTTAGGTTTAAAGTATGTTTTAATGTAAGGAGGTCACACATGTCTCCTTGTTTGTTCTTGAACTTGCCAATCACACTTCTGTCTCAGGGCCTTTGCTTTTTCCATAGGTATCCACATGGCTCACTCCACTCTCCTCTCTTCCAGTCTCGCACAGTGTCACCTCAATTGTATGGTTTTCCCTGACCACCCATTTAAAATAGAAACCTCTTCCCCCTGGGTACTCCATATTCCTCTTTAATTTTTTTCCAATTTATTATCATCAACTCACATACTATATTATAAACTTGTAATACACACACACACACACACACATCTTGAGTTTCATTTATTGCTTATTCCTCTCTACTAGAGTATATGCTTCACAAGAACTGAGATTTTGTTTTCCTTTGTATTCAGTTACAGTGTCTGTGCCCAGAACAGAGCCTGGTATATATGAGTATTCAATAAATGTTTACTGAAAACATGAATGAATGCATATCTAGCAGGGCAAATCCCCCTTCCTATTATTCTTATTTTGACTGTATATATTTATTTTTGGTTGGCCACATAATTCTATCAGCTTTTGGTTTTTCAAGTACTCGAGAAAGCTTTGCTACTTAACACAGAAATATTCCTTTCTTCTGCTTTTCTTGCAGTAGTGAGAATAGCACTTTTCTTCTTTTCTTTTTTACTTCTACTCATGTTCATTTGGATTTCTCTCTGACTTTCAAGGGAGTGGTCAAGTGAGTTATTTTCAATTCAGTCCACCTTTTCAATTGATTCTATTACTCTTTTAAAAAGTCGAGATAGGATCTTGCTATGTTGCCCAGGCTGGTCTTGAACTTCCGGCCTCAAGCAATCCTCCTGCCTCAGCCTCCCTAAGTGCTGGGATTACAGTTGTGAGCCACAATGCCTGGCCCATATTACTCTTTCTACTATATATAAGTGTCCACTGCTACTTGCTAGACCTGAGTCTCTTGCTGCCCTTCTGTTTTGTTTAAATCTTTAGTTTCCTCTGTTATTTTAAAAAATAAATTTCAAAGCAGAGTATATCTGTTATTTATACTGTTAAATATATTTAAATATGTGTAAAGAATATAATTCATTTCACCTTTTACCCCTGAGCTAATCAGCAGTAATGGAATGGTGTGTATCCTTCCAGAGTTGTTTCTGGGCTCACACAGATGTAAATATTACATTGTGTTTATTTTTTAAATGATTTAGTGCTGCTATGTGCGTTACATACTACTCTAAAACTTCCTTTTAAACAACTTTATTGGTGTATACTTTACATATCATAAAATTCACACATTTTAAGTGTACTGCTCAATGAATTTTACTAAATTCATAGAATTGGGTAGCTGTCATCACCAATCCAATCTTAGAACACTTCCACCAGTCCAAGACATTTCCTCATGCCCATTTGTATGCAAAACCTGTCCCCATCCCTGGCTCCAGCAACCACAAATCTGTTTTTTGTTGCTATATAGTTTTGCCTTTTCTAGAAATTTCATTTAACTGAAGTCATACAGTATGTAAACATTTGTTTCTGAATTTTTCACTTGGCATGATGATTTTGAGATTGATCTATGTCGTGTGTAATGGTTTTCCCCTTTTTAGTGCTGAGTAATATTTCATTGTATGGACATACCCCATTTTTCTTCTCCATTTATCAGCTGATAAACATTTGTATTGTTTCCAGTTTTAGGCTATTATGAATAATGCTGCTATGAACATTTGTTTACAAATTCTTTTGTGTGTCCATACGTTTTCATTTCTAGGAGTGAATAGGAGTAAATATCTAGGAGTAGAATTTTGGATTTTTTGGTAAAAGTTTTTAATAAACTTCCGGCCATTTGCAAATATTTTAGAGGGAAGGTGTAGGGTTCAAGTTTGATGACCCCATGAGACAGCTAATTTAGAATTGCTTATAGTCAATTGGGAATCTAAGTACAGAATCAAAGAGATAGGATGGGCTGGAGCTATAGGATCTCATAAAACACAGGGGTAACATTTGACGCCATGGGAGAGGATGATATCACCAGGGGAGTTCCTGAAATATAAGGAGGACTGAAACCTTGAAGATGTAAACACTTGGAGGGAGTGGGTAGATAAAGAAGAACTAGTCAGACAATGTGAGAAATCAAGAGATAGAAAACCAGGAGAAATTGTGTCACAGAAACTAAGGAAAGAAAATTCAATGTGGTAAATGTGCGGCTGTGTCCAATTCTGGTCCTGAGAATTTTACTGCTGGCTATTTTCTGCCCTTGATCTCCACATCCAGACATATGATGATACCCCCAACATTTATGCAGAGGTCACCTAGCCCTCTGGCAAAACTCTCTTAAGCATGATACCTTACAAAATTTCCAGGCTGAGGTTCCTATTAGAGGTAGTACAGTAAGTCCTCAAATGTAGCCCTGGACTCTGTGTCTATGGAGTGTACTCTGTGCCACTTCAGCCTGTCTCTCATCTGTACACTTTTTTTTTTTTTCTGGCATGAGTCAGACATCAGTCTACTGTGTCTCCCAAGCCCCAGAAACTTCAGATGATTCCAAGGTGGTTCTGAATGGCATCCTGGACTTGAAGTAAGTGAAATGCACATGGAGTTATCATACACAGCCCCTGAAAACTCTTCAGAGAAATTCCCATTTTGATATGACTTTAATTTTACTCTTTTTATGCCCTTCAGATGGGGGTTAGGAGGAAAGTCTTGGCAAACCCTGTCTAGGTGGGCTGGCACCTCATGTGGAGTGTGTTTTGGGTCTCAGCCTACAGTAAGATTGAAAGGTCCCACTTTTTGATTTCCAAGCATTCCAGAACACTCATTAAAAGTGAATTCTCAGAAAACGTTGAATGAATAACAAGTGATCCCATAAATGACTGCATAATTTCCATTCCTGGTCATCATCTCTTGGTTTTCTTTTACCCTCTGACCACTCCCTCTTTCTCAATCACTCTTCTCCACTGGCTTCTGGACCACCTTGTCTCCTGGCTGCACTTCTACCTCTCCATCTGCTATTTCTCATCTCTTGCTCACTTCCTACTGCCTGCCCTTTAAATGTTGGTATCCCTCGCGCCTGTAATCCCAGCACTTTGGGAGGCCGAGGCGGGTGGATCACGAGATCCGGAGTTCGAGACCAGCCTGGGCAACATGGTGAAACCCCGTCTCTACTAAAAATAAAAACTTAGCCGGGCGTGGTGGCGGGCGCCTGTAATCCCAGCTACTCGGGAGGCTGAGGCAGGAGAATCACTTGAAACTGGAAGGCGGAGATTGCAGTTAGCCGAGATCACGCCACTGCATTCCAGCCTGGACGACAGAGCGAAACTCTGTCTCCAAAAAAAAAAAAAAATATATATATATATAGGTATTCTCCAGGTTTCATCCTTAGCTGCTTTCTCTTACCTTCTTACTAAATATATTCTCCCAGGAGGAATTTCATCTATATCCCTGGTTAGACTGCTACCTGTACGCTTAATGTCCCAGCCTACACCTCTCCACTTCACCTTAAACCAATAGTGTGTGTTGCACCATCTCATGAGAGCCAATCGTTAAAATTTCAAGAATTTTATAAGCCAGTTGCTAAACCCAGACATTATTAAAATTGTGTAAATTTACAATGAAATAAAGTATATTAAAGACAAAAGTAATAAATACTTAAAACTCATTATTTTCTAGTTTGCTACATTTCTGTATTATCAATGCTGTTGAGATTATGTATGTCTATTGCATCTGTATGATAGAAAGAATATTTAATGGTATACTACCACACATCATTTCCAGCTTTGCATTTAGTGATGTTACGTTGGTCACTTGAAAACTGCCACAGTGGGAATATTTACACCATGGAAATTGGGAAATGCTACAAATTGGAGCTTCATTTATTATTTCTGTTGATTGTCTAGACTTCAGAAAATGATCAAGAAAATGTTGACAGAAGCACAAAGTAGTGGGGAAGATCAGAGGACAGTGAAGCATTTTATCAGAGTCAAGGAGGAGAATTTCTATGGCTTCACATAAAGGAGGCAACATTTGAATTGGCTCTTGAAGGGACAGTGGAAAAAAAATTCTCACTGGGGGAATATGGAAGGGAATGAAAAAAGTGCATGAAAGCAGTCTGGTTAGGGATCTGTGGTTTAGAAATATGGTAAACCCTGTAACAAGACACCCACAATAAGTGAAGTTAGATAGAGGGATTGGTATTGGCTGTTGTCCTCATTCAGCCTCCATTCTTAAACAGGGGCAGGCTGAGTTTCTTATACTGGGGGTAGAGGGGTGAGAATGGTTTGGGGTGGAGCCTGGCCTGGGAAGGGGCAGGTAACCCCCCTCTTTGGAAGTGGGAAGGCAAAGGGTGTGTTGCCACATCCCAGTAGCCTTCTAGACTTAGAAGACTTCTAGATACTGGTTTTCTAGATACTAAGTCTTCTAGACTTAGCATCTGTTTCATGCTATGAAATGGATACTGATTAACCAGGATATAAGGATATAACTGGAATTGTTGGTACTTTCTTTGACGTCCCAGCCAGGCACAGAGCCCAGAATTGTCTCTATTGATATTTAAACCAGAATAGACACAACCACTAGTAGACAAACCAAACCACAGCTAAACTACATTTGATCTGGCACCTGACCCAGAACTACCAGTGGATAGCTGTTGTAGGCTCCCCAACATTTTGTTTACTTTACAATGACACATTTTACCCAAATATTTTGGTTTCTGCATATGTGGGATTTTGGCAGAACTTTTTTTTTTTTTTTTTTTTTTTTGAGATGGAGTCTCGCTCTGTCTCCCAGGCTGGAATGCAGTGGCGTGATCTTGGCTCACTGCAAGCTCTGCCTGCTGGGTTCACACCATTTTCCCGCCTCAGCCTCTGGAGTAGCTGGGACTACAGGCACCCATTTTGGCACGGTTTTATTGTGTTTAGATGGTATGAAGGACAGAGGAAGTGAAAACAGTTGAAAGGATTTTTTTAGTTGAAAAAGTATTATAAAAGTAATACACATGCTTTACAAATAATCCAAATAATACAGAAGTGCATAAAAAAAAAAAACAGAAGTAACGATTACCTCCACACTACTAAAGCAACCCTTTCCCCCAAGAGATTATTATTGTGAATAGGTTGGTATATAGCTTTTCATACATACATATGCACATATAGAACGTACATATAATATATGAAAATATACACACAAATTTATGTATGTATGGCAGGATGGAGTAGCTCATGCCTGTAATCCCAGCACTTTGGGAAGCTAAAGCAGGAGGATCTCTTGGGCCCAGGAGTTTGAGACCAATCTGGGCAACATGGCAAAAACGATCTCTACAAAAAATACACAAATTAGCTGGGTGTGGTGGTGCATGCCTCTAGTCCCAGTTACCCAGGAGGCTGAGGAGGGAGGATCACTTGAACTCTGGAGTTCGAGGCAGCAGTGAGCTGGGATCATGCCCACTGTATTCCAGCCTGGGTGACAGGGTGAGATCTTGTCTCAAACAAACAAATTATATATACTATTACAGTTTTTAATCTGCTACTCTTCAGTCAATAATACATCTTGGGTTTTTAACATGATTAGATAAATAGTTTTGCCTTTTTTCATAGCTGCCGAATATTCCATGGTATGGAAGGAAGTACCATTACTTATTTACCAAATTTCCCATTGATGAGGATTTAGGTAGATTCTGCTTTTTTATTATTGTGAATAATGCAACAATGAACATTGCATATATACTTCTTTTTACACTTAGCTAATTATTTCAGATAAACTCTCAGAAGTAGAATTACTGTATCACAGGATGTGATATTTTCACATATCAGCTAGCTAACTTTTATATACATCACCAGATTGCTTTCAAAAAACTTGTATAAACTTACTTCTTAGCCAACAGTGTTAAAGTATGTTTCTTTACCAAAATGGAACAGTACTGATATTTTTATCTGATTGGTTAAAGTTATATCTTAAGAAGCCATTTTTAATATTTCTGGTGATAAAGAGGAATACTTGCATGGGGACAGTTGATATTGCAGATGGAAAAGATTCTCTGGGTAATTGAGCTTAAAAGTGTGTCTTTAACTCTTTTGAGAGTTACCTCTTCTGAGAGCCTTTAACTCTTCTGAGAGCCTGTTGTGAGTTTCATTGGGTTAATGAAGATGGAATATAAATCTAGGGGCTGCTGCCTCCACTCTTCATTTAGTTTGAAATGCTCCCAAAATTCATGTAGTGGAATTAGTCTCTAAGGATGGAAGCAGTAACATGGTAGAACCCTTCTTAAGAATGTACTTGTAATTTGCAGAAATAACACTTTCAAAACCTTTCAGTGTATGGGGAATGCATCTCACGGGATCTAATCTCTCCCTATTATAGAACCATTATAAAGTTCTTTAAGTTTAAAAAGAAAAATGCCTTAGTTGTTTTTTTGTTTTGGTTTGGTTTGGTTTTTTTGATGGAACCTTGCTCTGTTACCCAGGCAGAAGTGCAGTGGTGTGATCTTGGCTCACTGCAACCTTTGCCTCCTGGGTTCAAACGATTCTCCTGCCTCAGCCTCTCTAGTAGCTGGAACTACAGATGCATGCCACCATGCCCGGCTAACATTTTGTAGTTTTAGTAGAGATGGGGTTTCATCGTGTTGACCAGACTGGTCTCGAACTCCCTACCTCAAGTTGATCTGTCCACCTTGGCCACCCAAAGTGCTGGAATTACAGGCATGAGCCACTGTGCCTGGCTGCTGTAGATTTTTTAAGCAGTTATAACAAAATAAGTTAGTGTCAGCCATTAGAATTATTATATGCACAAGGGAAAATACACACTTAGATGAAAAGGAAATTGGAAACATCATCATTACAACGAATAGTTTGTTAAAAGTGTGTGTCTCTGTATTCAGGTCCATTTCGATCTCTGACTGGACCATTTTTTCAGAGCTGTACTGATATGTAACTTTGAAACAAAATGTGGTTGATTGAATTCTCAGTTCTTTACCCTTGTTGGATCCTCACGACATGGATGGAGTATACTTCCATGCTCATGACTTTGGGCTTGTCCATAGTCCTTTCTTTGGCTAACAGAATTGGGTGAAAATTCTAGTTTTGAGCCTAGACCCATGATGTGAGCATGCCTGGCTAGCCCACTAGTCCAAGGAGGATGAAAGACACATAGAGCAGACACAGTCTTTGTGAAGCAAAATCACCTGTCTGATTCATAGAACCATGAAAACAAGTGCTTCTTGTGTGCCACTGGTTTTGGTGGCACAAAACCAGTGTTTTGCTTGTTATGCAGCATTGTTTTTGGCAATAGCTAACTAATACACAATTTTTTTTGTAGTTCTCAGTGTTCCTACAAATTTTCCACTGATTTTTCTTATTTTATTTTTTTGAGACAGTCTCACTGTGTCACCCAGGCTGGAGTGCAGTGGTGCAATCTCGGCTCACTGCGACCTCCGCCTCCCAGGTTCAAGCAATTCTCCTGCCTCAGCCCCTTGAGTAGCTGGGATTACAGGCATGTGTGGTGGCCGGGCTAATTTTTGTATTTTAAGTTGCGACAGGGTTTCGCAATGTTGGCCAGGCTAGCCTTGAACTCCTGACCTTAAGTGATCTGCCCTCCTCAGCCTCCCAAAGCATTGGGATTACAGGCATGAGCCACTGTACCTGGCCACCACTGATTTTTAAATTTGACATACCCACTTCTAATATGTTTTGTATTTAATGCTATGGTTTTTATTTTGTATAAGGATTTCTTGGTCTCATCAGAGCCCAAAAGAAAATTCATCCAACTTTGTTCTCACATATGCTGGTAAAAACAAGAAAGCAAGTTTGATTTTATTTTCCTCAAATCTCTATTTAAGTGTAAATAAACTTTGCCACTCTTTTAAAATTCTGTGCCAGGGTGATGACGATGAGAAATGGATACTGAAGTTCATAAAATGTTTCCTCTTTGCATTCAGTTTTCAGAATTCTCCTTATGTCATGTAGGTCTGAAAGGTTAAAAATAACTCTACCTCCAGAGACTTCTTGGGCTATATTCTTCCTTGAATGGATTCTCTAAGCTTTTCCCACCCAAACTGGGTCATCATCCTTGCCTAATTTTAAAATCTCCCAGATCCAGTGCTCTATAAAAATCAATGAGATCCTTCCCACCAGATAATCCCAGCAGCCACACATTATATTCTCTGGTCTGATTCTGCATGAGTTTGATTTTATATGCTGTATTGTAATAATTTATTAACTTGATAAAATCTGCTGACTCCTCATGGAAAATATTCTGTTTATATTTTATATTTCCTGCTGCTTTCTTTCCATAGCCTTTATTGTGGAGTATTTACATGAGAATAGGGCCTTTGTTTTTTAAAAGTTCATTTGTGCCTGCTGTTTCTTGTCTCCCCTGAAGTCACAGCCCTGTGTTTGTGACATACGTCGTGCTTTTCATATTGAATGCACTCAATGAACCCTAAATAGCTAATTTTCCCATCATGTCTGAGTTATCTAGGTTAGTTGAATTAGCCCTATTTTCCAGGTAGGGCAACCTAAAGAGATAGAGAAGGTGGTCATTTGAGGACATCTGAGTCCAAGTAAAGAGCCCTTGCATCTCTTGTACTAGATGAAGCCGTTCTCCTTGGTTACAGTTCATTCTGCTGGGTTATGATCATGTATATTATGTTAAGCTTACTCTTCCTCTGCAATATTGCTGAAGAAAAGGGAAAGGAAAGATGCACAATGTATGATGAAACTTCACTAATAAATAGTTACTACTACTATTTCTCAGGGTAGTGGTTTCTGAAAAACCTGTTGCGAAAGTGGAGGCAGTGGCTCTACGTAATACCATGTGTGCATGAACCAAGGGGTGAGTTCCAACTTTGAGCTCTCCTTGTCTACATGTTGTCTATACCTGGACCAGAACTTTGGGGTCAATTGGCAGATAACAAATTGAATCATTAAAAGAAAATCCAGTGTATTCATATTAGCCATTAAACTAGCTCGATTTATTCAGATTCTATTGATATGTTCACAGATTTAAGGATTTGCTTACTGATTTGTGATCAACAGCAGTGATGATTAAAACAAAATGTAAACAAATCTATGGAGCAGTTTTAATACTCAATTTGTTTCTGCAGAGAAAGATAAGTCATGCAGTTCTTTTTTTTTTTTTTTTTTTTTTTTGATATAGAGTCTTGTCCTGTTGCCTAGGCTGGAGTGCAGTGGCGCCATCTCAAGTCACTGCAACCTCTGCCTCTCAGGTTCAGGCAATTCTCTTGCCTCAGCCTCCTGAGTAGCTGGGATTACAGGCACACACCATCACGCCCGCTTAAGTTTTGTATTTTTAGTAGAGACGGGGTTTCACCATGTTGGCAAAGCTGGTCTCAAACTCCTGGCCTCCCGCCTCGGCCTCCCAGAGTGTTGGGATTGCAGGTGTGAGCCACTGCATCCAGCTGAGTCATGAAGTTCTTCTAAATCAACAGTAAGAGTGTCCCATGCATTCCTGCCCTCTGGGACATCCTCAACTTTCTATTCTTCTCCTCCCGACCCCCATAGATTACTATTAAAATCCTTCAAGGCTCTTCTCAATTGCAACAACCTCTATCTCTCAACCCATCTTTTTCTTTTGAATCCACATTGTATTTTGAATGAAGCTCTCTAATATAAGTGATCACAGCCTACTGTCTTAGCCTCCTGCTAGATTATATACTTCTTGGGGGCAACGACAATAATTAATTCATCTTGATATTCTCTGAAGGCCTAGGCTTCCAGAGGTATTCTTCTATTCTTTCTATTTGAATAGTGTTCAATTCAGTGCTAAAGTAATGAAATGTGATATTTTAAAATATATATGTCCTCTTTCCCCAGTTGGGTTAGACTTGGATAGAGAATCTAGTCTCAGGGTAAATCCATGAGGAAGACCGAATGTTAACTGTTACTAGGAGCATATCCAAACCAAATCCAGGATGACAGTTTTGGTGAATTTCATAATTTTGTAGCATCCTTGTAATACAGATTCCAAAACCTTGTAGTTCCAAATTTCCAAAGGATCATGTTACCTTGGTAGGAAACCAGGGACGACTGTAAATGGAAGCTCTGCTAAGTGTCATCTATTAAAAAAAAAATGGGACATAAATAGGGGGAGAGCATGTTTGTTATCATATGTACCAAGAATTAATTCCACTGTTATTCACTAACCTTTAGGAATCTGAAAATAATATGCCTGTTGGCTATTTATGTTAGAACAGATGTAAAATTAATCGGTCTAGCTAACAGTACTAGGTCTGCCTGATGGGTGAAAGACTTTAAAATAGTTCTCTCAAAACAGGAATCATAAAAAAGTCCTCCAAATCACATTATTAGTAGGCCAAAATATTGTCATTGTGTCATGTCTATTCATGTTTCCCCCTCTTGTGAATCATTTTTACCTTCTTCCGGGAAACAAAGGATCGTTTTCTCTGAATACCTCGCCCTTCCTGGAAGGCAGTTTTCTTGCCCACTGTTATCAGTGCCTTTGGTCAGAACAGTAAGTCTAATCTGAGCAGCCGGGTATTAGGCTGCTCTTCCTGGTACTGGGATCCTCTGTACCCGGCAAGACTGGGCAGCAGGGGCTAGCCCTGTTGGAGTCCGGAGAAGGCAGGGTGCACCCTGTTTGCCATGGTATTTGAAGCGACGTGCCCCCTAATTCTCTTTCTGCCTCGCTTGCCATTTTGCTGCTAACATAAAGATGGAAATGAATATTTTATTAAATATTCTATTTCTACATTGATTCTGAACCTTGAGTCACATAGGAAAGTTATCGATTAAATTTTTAGATGAGAATGACACCTATAACCCATAAAAGTGGATTAAGGTAAGCCAAGAGCTTTATACCTTAAAAAACGATGTAAACAGCATTTGACTTTGAAGGAGAGAACCTCCGCTTGAGCCCCGGCTTCAACATTTCCTGAATAATCCCACCCAGTTGCCAGTAAATATAAATCTTGGACGCGTGAACAGTTCTATTGTTTCATGGCTATTATCCAGAACCTTCCTTGCTTAGTGAACGCCCACTTGCTGCCAAGCATTGTATTTTTCTGTCTTGTCCCTCTCTTAACTCCCAACATTGTTTAGAATATAGATTCACACTCACTTCACTGCAATTCAGACTTACTTCCCTCTGACCCTCTTTTAGCTCAGTTATCCAGCCCAGCACCAACCCCTGGTGACCCAGCACCCAAGAGCCTGTAACATGAGAGTTACACATAACTTCTCAGAGCCTCAGTTTTCCTCATGCGGATAATGTAGCCAATGAGCTACCTTTTATTTTGTGAAATTAAAGCACCACGTTAGTTCAATTTTATTCATAAACTTATTAACCACTGTACTGGGCACCAGGGGTCTACAGATGAATAAGTCACAGTTTTCTTTCTTTCTTTCTTTCTCTTTCTTCCTTGCTTTCTTTTTTTTCCCCTCTCTTTCTTTCTTTCTTTCTTTCTTTCTTTCTTTCTTTCTCTCTCTCTCTCTCCCTCTCTCTCTTTCTTTCTCTTTCTTTCTTTCTTTCTTATTTCTGACAGAGTCTCACTGGGGGTCTACAGATGAATAAGTCACAGCTTTCTTTCTTTCTTTCTTTCTTTCTTTCTTTCTTTCTTTCTTCCTTCCTTCCTTCCTTCCTTCCTTCCTTCCTTCCTTTCGAGTCTCACAGGGGGTCTACAGATGAATAAATCACAGTTTCCCTTCCTTCCTTCCTTCCTTCCTTCCTTCCTTCCTTCCTTCCTTCCTTTTCTTCCTTTCTTTCTTTCTTTCTTGCTTTCTTGACAGAGTCTCACTCTGTTGCCCAGCCTGGAGTGCACTGGCGCCATCTCTGCTCACTGCAACCTCTGCCCCCCCGGGTTCAAGCAATTCTCCTGCCTCAGCCTCCCAAGTAGCTGGGATTACAGGCATGTGCCACCACACCCAGCTAATTTCTTTGTATGTTAGTAGAGGCAGGGTTTCACTATGTTGGCCAGGCTGGTCTCAAACTCCTGACCTCAAGTGATCTGCCCACATTGGCTTCCCAAAGTTCTAGGATTATAGGAGTGAACCACCACGCCTAGCCTAAGTCATAGTTTTCTGCAGAGACAAACAAAAGTCAAGGCTTATGGAGGAATATACGGGAAGTTATGGGAGTAAGGGGGTGCTCAGTGAAGTGTGAGTTTATCAGCTGGGATAGTAGAGAAGATGTGTATATGAAGGCTTTCAAAAATCACACTTGAGCTGAGTTTCAAAGCACCTTTAGGAGTTTGACAGGTGAGGAGACAGGATAAGACCATTCTAAGTAAAGGGAACAGAGAGGCATTAAAAAGCAGTGGCCACACAAAAGAGAACTGGCCTCTGTCATTCTAGGCAAGTGGCTTAATCTTTATGCACTTTAGTTGCCAAAACTGTAAAAAAAAAAAAAAAAAAAAAGGGGAGGGCAGTGTTGGGGAAGGGAGGGCATTATTTGTGATCATGGTTTTAGTTAATAGGTGTTTGTTAATTTTGTTATTATTTCCCCTCCCTTTTTGGTTATACTGTAGGCTAATTTTGCTTTGGGGAAACCATGTCTTATCTGTGGGTGAACCTCGGAGTTCACTCTCAGCTTTGAGGGGAGGTGTGTGTCTTGGACACAGGGCAATTGGCGCCTTGCATCTATTGGTTCAGGAATGGACACATGAGGAGGGCCAGCCAGACTCAATTTTTAGATTTTTGTTTGAATTCTCATTTTTTGAGCTCTCTCTTCTGGATAATCTTGAACCTAAAATTACACTGGGCATAGGAAGTTTGGAGCCAATATAAAGAAACCAGAGCTCAGAAGCGGGAAAAGGAAAACCAGGCCCCAAGATTCTTGCTCTTTCCGCAGTGAGGCCAAGCCTGACACGGATTTTACCCCTGGACTCTGCTGCTATTAATCAGTAGGTCTCCTTTATGCATAAACCGGTTTCTGTCCCTTGACATAAAAACAAAACTTCTGACTGAGATAGGTTGTTTTGAGGACTAAATGAGATAATATATTAAACGTTCCTGGTACCACATTTGACGTATAAGAGATCTCAAGAAATGCTAGCTCCTGCATGAGCAAAGGCCTAGAGAGCTGAGAGCATGCCATGCATTTGGGGAATTGCTGGTAAGTTGCTGTGGTGGGGACAGATTGTGCTCACGAGGAAGTGGCAGGACATGAGCTGGGCCCATGAGCAGTCGCAAAGACTACAGATTATACCTTGGTAAACAGTTTGAACTTTGTCCTTAAAAAGTTTCAAGAGTGATGAAGACCATAATGAAGAAAGACAGGACACTAGGAGGACAGCTGTCCTGGGCACCCAACCCTGTTTAAGGGATGAGGAAAAACACATGGCTTTTCAGCTGAGGCCTGAAGGTTGAGCGTAAAGTTTGGAACATCATTCATTCTGACCTCATTGTGGAGAATGAATTAAAGTGAGGTAAGTATGACCCACTTGGATGTCACTTCCATGACAGCAAGAATTTTTGGGGTCTGTTTTGTTCACTGTCATGGCCTCAGATTTTTAAATAGTGCTTAACACAAGGTAGGTGCTTAAATATTTGCATGAACACCGTGGTACAAATGGTAGTAGGAAAAGCTTTTTTTTGAGAAGGAGTCTCACTCTGTCACGCAGGCTGGAGTGCAATGGCGTGATCTCGGCTCACTGCGACCTCCCTGTCCTGGGTTCAAGCGATTCTCCTGCCTCAGCCTCCTGAGTAGCTGGAACTACAAGCACATGCCACTACACCTGGCTAATTTTTGTATTTTTAGTAGAGACAGGGTTTCACCATGTTGGCCAGACTGGTCTTGAACTCCTGACCTCAGGTGATCTGCCCGTCTTGGCCTCCCAAAGTGTTACGATTACAGGCCTGAGCCTCTGTGCCTGGCCTGGAAAACATTTTAGAAGGTGAGAAATTCCAGCAAATAATTCAGGCAAAAAATATTAAGAGCCTGAACTGAGGTGGGGGGTGGGGCAGGAAGAAGGGGGTTGGTATGGATTTAATATGTATTGATAGGGTAGATTTAATAGATCATAGTGACTGGGATAATAATAAAAATAGCTTCCATTTGCTGAGAATGGAAACTATTCTCTGTGTTCTGAGCTCTGTTAGATTAAGGATAAAAAGCTGTACCTCATTATCTCACTTGTTCCAGAGAGCAGCAGCTTACTTTATTCACTGTTAAACCCTACTGCCTAGCATAGCACCTGATGCGTACCTTTTTGTAAAATGATTAAATGAGGCCTTATGACAAATTTAAAGCCAGATATTGTATTAGATAATAAATATCTCCACTTTACATGTGAGAAGGTTAAGGCTCAGAGAGTGTAAGTGATTTGCCCAAGATCTCACAGAGTTTAGGTTCAAGCCTGGCTTTGCTCTGCCCCCGTAAAGCCTCTGCTTTTGCCCTTGGTTTGCTGACTACTCTCACATGGAGGTAGTTTGAGGGTGAGAGGAAGGTCCAAGGTTTTTAACTGGTCAAGCGGGCAGATGGTGATGCCCTCCCGTGAGAGCACCTGGAGACGAGCAGGACGGTTCTGGGTATGTGGGCCCCGGGGGTGGTGGCTGTGGGACAGCAAGGGGAGGTGACACATGAGCAGGTAGAAATACAAGCGTGAAACTGAGAGGCAAGAGCTGAGCTGGAGGCAGACATTTGGGAGTCATTGATTATAGGTGATAGGTCGAGCCCTGAATAATCTAGCATTTAATGGATGTGCACAGCCGGCTGAAGATTAGCCAGAAATCAGGGAGACAGCATTTAGAAGCCAGGAGGGCAAGATGTATGCAATGAAGTGAGCTGCCAACCCAGCAAATGTGGTATGTTGGCTACAAAAAAGGAAAAGGAAGGAAGGGAGGGAGGGAGGGAGGAAGGAAGGAAGGAAGGAAGGAAGGAAAGAAAGAAAAATTAAGAAAAAAGAGAGAAAGAGAATTGTCCATGTGGATTTAGTGATTGAGCAAGAATTGCAGTGGTGTTGTGTGGCCTGGTGGAGACAGTCAGTGCATACTGAAGGACTTGAAGAGGGAGGCTGTTGAGGAAATAAAGCCATTCAGTAGTCATATAAAAAGCTTGGCTAATTACTTCCAGTCAAGTGCAGAATTCAGGAAATCCATTTTTTCCCACCTCAGACTTTTCTATAGAGATGAAAGCAGGCTAAAAGAAATATCAAATACAGGCTTAGTCCTAATGAAACAAAGTCTGGGGAAAAGTGAATATTGAAGTGTAGGCTCTACACTAAAGGTGTGGTTTTAAGAGTGTGTTTTTGTACATATGTTGTTTATGGGTTTGCATTCATTTGATTATTCAACAAATACTTATTGAGTGTGTCTCCTGTGCTAGGCACTATTCCAGGAACTGGGGAACGTCAGAGTGATCTTTAAAACTTCAGAGTGAACTTTAAAACTTTAGACTGAACTTTATTTTACTTTTTATTTTTGTAGAGTGAACTTTAAAAAAGACAAAAATCTGTTTCCTCAAGGAGATTTCTAGTAAGGAGTGCGTGTTTGTGTGTGTGTGCGCGCACGTGTGTGGATGTGTGTGTGTGCAGTGGCCTGGGGAAGAATAAAGCAGAAAAGGAGGATTGGGATTCAGGCTAGAGGGGTTACAATTTTAAGTAGGAGGCCAGGAAGGGCTCCCATCACGACATCTGCTTCAAGAGTATTTTAGGCAGAGAGAACATAATCATATGAACAGCTCAGAATTTTTTTTTTTTTTGAGACAGAGTCTTGCTCTGTCGTGAAGCAGGAGTGCAGCGGCACGATCTTGGCTCACGGCAACCTCCGCCTCCCGGGTTCAAGCGATTCTCCTGCCTCAGCCTCCTGAGTATCTGGGATTACAGGTGCCCACAACCACACCCGGCTAATTTTTGTATTTTTAGTAGAGACAGGGTTTCATCATGCTGGCCAGGATGGTCTCGATCTCTTGACCTTGTGATCCACCTGCCTCGGCCTCCCAAAGTGCTGGGATTACGGGCGTGAGCCAACGAGCCCAGCCAGCTCAGAATTTTTTTAAACATTAGGTAGTAGTGGCCAGGCACAGTGGCTCACGGCTATAATCCCAACACTTTGGGATCCTGAGGTGGGAGGATCACTTGAGCCAAGGAGGTCGAGGCTGCAGTGAGCTATGATCCTGTCACTGCACTCCAGAGTGAGACTCCATCTCTTAAAGAAAAAAAAGGCAGTAGAGCCATTTTCTCTCTCCTTGGGTCACTCTGCAGAATCAGTGCAGATAGTTAAGTGTGAAGTATTCTGAAAAGAAATAGTTCTTCTGAAGGGAATTTGTCACTGGTGCCCCTTAATCATTGCCTCCTCTAGTCAAATGTATTGGCCCTGTGAGGTTCTGGGTCTAAAACTGACCAAAAGAGAGAGTTCTTGTCACTCTAAAGACATGCTAGAATAGCAACTGTAAAGACTGATGAAATTTAAAATATCAGTTTGTCTTTTGATGTTTATATATAAATTTACAATGATGTTTTACTAAGTATAAATGAGTTCATTTTGCCTTTGCTCAGAACCACTTTATGAGAGAAATGTTACATATCATCCCTTTGTATTTGCCAAATCTGGACTTAATTCCATTTTTCAAGAAATTGTGTTTGCAGAAATAAGGCCACATGGAAATGAACAAATAATACAAAATTGAATATAACAAACCCCTCAAGTCCTAGAGAATTAAAACCCTGCCAGAATTATTTATAAAATGTGCACCAGTATCCAGAAGTATTTACAATTTACTCGATGGCTTGTAAAATCTGGTGCAATCCAAACAATACTTGGTAGTTCCATGAGACCCAAAACATGTTTCTGAAATCCTGTGCCCAACTCACTGCAAAGCAAAGAGCCCCATATGGTGGAAGCATAATCCTTACATGCAAAATTCTTCATAACTAGACTTTCAGGGCCATTCAGAAGAGAAGTAGATTTCTGCATGTACCTCTGGGCTGCTCTCTAGTTAGTCTATCAGTAGAGATGAACATCCAATGTCCTATGACTCAGTGAAGGTGTTATAAGATAGGGAGTTGGGAATTCTGAATTTGGGGTTGGTGGGAGTAAAAGGGGTGTGATGGCACAGAAGTCAGAATGTGGGAAAAGTGAGGATTGTAAGGCCCTTTGAAATGCAAAGGGGCATTTCAACACTAAACAATCAAGTGGTTGATTCATGTTTGAGTGATGCAGACTCAGATCAAGCTTTAAAAGTTACCCAGGATATGGCGATGCTGCGGGGAACACTGCAGAGGGATTGTGGTGTTCCTCTTCACTTTGTTGAACTACACATCCCTTGTTCCTGCTACCCATTCAGATGGTGGCAACACAATGCCATCCATCTGTACCTCTTTGAAACAAGAATCTCACATTCATGCATCCCTTTTAAATGGTGGATACAAGAGCCAACTCTTGCTGCTATCATAAGGTCTCACAAGGCTGTTAATCATCAAGTACTGATAGCTACTGTTCAGCGTTGGATGAATACCAATTAGAGAGATGGGGCGACCTGAGGAATGGAGAGGAGAGAGCGGTGGGGGACTGGCTTTGTTGTTTTGGGGAGGGGTTGCCAAAAAATATTACCTAGGGTGCCAGTGCTCTTCTTGCCAACCCTGAGGGGTGAATAATGAGCACGGCAGCCTAATTTACAAAGTATAAAGTAGGGAATGAATCAGAGCATCCTATTATTCTAAGTGAGGTTTGTTTTTCTAAATCGTAATGGCTGACTCGAACTTGTTTCTAGTTTTCAAATCAGTCAGCGTTTGTCGAAACTTTATAATTCTGTTTGCATATTCTCTCTTGGTAATCCTCCTTTATAAAAGTGGTTGTATGAAGCTCCAGGCAAGCTTAGAAAAAAAGGCTTAGAAACCAAAAACTTACCATGTGGAAAAGAAAAAATTTACCAGGGAGCATTGAGGAGAATAGAATGAAGAGTCCCTCCAAGTTAAAGAACGTCTCAGTTGGACAAATAGTCCACATTGCAGCAGATAGCTTAAACTGATAGGGCTTTTGCCAAAATGAGATTTTACTTGCCCATGCGCATGTCTCTGCCCAGCCAATGATACACAAATCCAGCATCCAGCACAGAGACTTGCTGTCTTGAGTGCTCCCTCCTTTGTCTCTCACAAATCACTGTCGGATATCAGAAGTCTCTCAGCATCTTTGGATGTGTCTTGAGGGCAGTGATTCTCAATATGAGGATAAGGTTTTATAACTGGCTACTATATCAGAAGCAAACTTGTTGAGAGCCAACTACAGACTTGGGAATAGGGGAGGGAAAACATATTTTCCCCCAGTTTAGTTTAGAGCTGTCTTCCACTGCCCCAGAGTGCTAAGAACACAGCATGGAGCTGCTCAGAAAACCTGATTAGGTCCCACAGTGCTAAGCACATAGAGTTTCAAGAGGCTGGGAAATTGTTCATACCATTGGAAGTCGTATGAAAAACGGCCCATGGAGGGAGGAGGGCAAAAAATTAAACTGAGATGACTAAGAAACATATTAACTAAAATTATGTTTGATTTGCTATCAAGAGCTCTGCTCTTTGAGATGGTTGGGAGAGTGCTTCCATGGGGAGTTGAAAAGCCATATTCAAGGCCTCTCCTGAATTGATAGTGTTCCCAGGGCTGATGTGAACACTTCCAGGAGTGGGGACAGCCACAGAGACCTTTCAAATTGGATGGGAGGCCCTCGTGATGGATTTGAGAAGAAAAGTCTTGAAGAAATAAGACAAAATAACTTAGCTGTAAGAGTTGTTCCTCTGTTCTTTTGTTCCTTGTGTGTAATAGGCACTCAAGGAATGTTTATTCTAACATATTAAAGTAGTGTGCAGTTTGAAACCAAGTAGTGGATCTGGCCAGATGTTGTTTCTCAGATTATTATCCCATGACAAGAAACACCACACTCTGTGTGAACACAGTCAAAAGACAGCTCTGTAGAAATTTCTCCTGGACTCAAGCATTTTGGCTCATTATTTTCTCAGGTGATACATGATCTTGAGACTGTGAAAGTCATGGCTATACTGAAATGCCAGCTAGAAATAAAAGCAAACACTATGTAGCAAAATATTATATTGAATATAATCATGATGGCAACTGAAAAGCAAGCATATTTTGGGAGAGAAGGAGAAGAATCTATAGAGGCTGGCTCAGCTACAAAGCTGACTTTGACCTTTTGGTTGATATACTAGTTACCATTAGTGGTTGATTGGACTTTGCCATAATTAAATCTTTTTTTACCTTTAGGAACATAAGGCAATGAACTTCATGCAGATAGGTGTGTATTTGCCTCCCTTTTTCTTTTTCTTTTTCCTTTTTTTTTTTTTTGAGACGGAGTCCCGCTCTGTCACCAGGCTGGAGTGCACTGACGTGATCTCGGCTCACTGCAACTTCCACCTCCCAGGTTCACGTGATTCTCCTGCCTCAGCCTCACGCCACCATGCCCAGCTAATTTTTTTTTGTATGTTTAGTAGAGACGGGGTTTCACCATGTTGGCCAGAATGGTCTCAATCTCTTGACCTCGTGATCCACTCACCTTGGCCTCCCAAAGTGATGGGATTACAGGTGTGAGCCACCGTGCCCGGCCTTGTCTCCCTTTTTCTTAAAGCAAAACATTAGAGGGTATATGCCCTCATATGTTGATACCCTTTGCAACCTTCCAACAAAATCATGGAGAATGGGAAACATTAATCCATCTCTGTTGATAAGGAAGAGCGAAAAAGTGGAAGCTTGAGAAGGGCGTGGAAGAAAGCCTTCGGAGTTGTTCTGGGGAAGACACACTCCTGAATGGTCACAAATGTTACTTTAAAAAGAAGTTCCCTCTGCATAAAGACTGCCAGATAAAAATGGATTAAGTCCAGACTAATGAAGAAGCAAAGCAGAGTAGTATCTGTAGAAGAAAAACTGAAACAAGAATGGAAAACTTCATAAACTGCCAGGCACGGTGGCTCATGTCTGTAATCTCAGCACTTTGCTCCTAAAGGAGGGTGGATCACTTGAGATAGGGCGTTCGACACCAGCCTGGTCAACATGCTCTTTGCTCCCAAAGAAGGGTGGACCAAGGAGGGTGGATCACTTGAGGTAGGGAGTTCGAGACCAGCCTGGCCAACATGGCGAAACCCTGTCTCTACTAAAAATACAAAAATTAGCTGGGTGTGGTAGCAGGCACCTGTAGTCCCAGCTACTCAGGAGGCTGAGGCAGGAGAATCTCTTGAACCCAGGAAGGAGAGATTGCAGTGAGCCAAGATCATGCCACTGCACTCCAGCCTGAGTGACAGAGCGAGAGTCTGTCTCAAAACAAACAAACAAACAAAAAACTTCCTAAACTTGGGTTGCCAATTTGCCACAGATTGTGAGATTGGAGAGACATATGACAGCTATGAAGATAAAAGCAATTTGTCATAACAATTCAAGTGCATAAAAGATCAGTCTAAGGACTAAATTGAAAATGTTTACAGCATTAATATCTTGTCAACATTTCTCTAAGAACCTCAGTGAAAGCTGTTCTGGAAAGACGAGAGAGGATGTTCAATCCTCTGTACGGTGGGTATTTGTAAGGAATTCTGGAAAGCTGCCAGAATAAAGTGTGGCTTTTAGAAGATCAGCCATGTCATCAAAGTCAAAGAAGGATTGACAAGTGGAAAGGTGGGGAAAAGATTCAATGGAGACACTGCAGTTGGTGACCAAAAGGCTTTGTGAATTTAGGCCAAATGAGGTATCCAAAAGCAGATAGGCAGTATAGGGTCTATGTACTTTTCAAATGTAAATATGCTCACGAATCACTGCGCGATCTTGTTAAAATGTAGATTCTGATTTGGTAGGCCATGGGTGGGGCCTAAGATTCTGGATTTCCAACAAATTCTCACACTGTACTCCTGATACTGTTCCAAAGACCACACTTTGAGTATCAAGGGGCTAGATAATCATTTTGTCTTAGTCTGGTCAACTTAAATTGTCTTTGAAGAGAGGAGCTTAGCATGATGGTGTGTTCAAGGTTATATCTTTTAATTATATTAGACAATTCAACATGTTTTTAATTGTTAATATTCTGGGTATATTTGATTATAGGTTGCTTAAACTGCCATTGGTGACAATCATTGTAGCAATGTTCTACTCAGATGGCTGACAATTTGTATTTTGGGTTGTTGGGATTTGATGGTCTTGCTTCAGATAGTATTATGTAAGGAAGACTCTGAAAAGTAACATTAACTATCCAATTCTAATTGCAACAATATATACTGGGACTATTTTTTCCCTATTTCTTTCTCCTGATTTCTTTTTCTTTTCTTTCTTTCTTTCTTTTTTTTTTTTTAACCACTACTGAATCAGTGAAACCCAGCCAAATCCTTGGAAATAATCCAGACCTACACACTTCTCTTGCCCATTACGGCTGAAACAGTAGTAGCAAAACAGAAATAGCTCTATTTACAAAAACATTTTCCCCCTACAATTTAAGATTACAACTGGCATGCCAAATCAATATTAGGGACATGTTTAATACACTTATGTATTTTGGGGGTGGGGAATAGAAATAACACCTTTTATTTCAGAATCAATTTGAAGGGAGCTGACTTCATACACTGAATAGAGATCTCAGCCCATAATCTTGGGTTCCTGAGCACACAGCACCAGTTTAGCTTCTAATTTACTCTCGGGTGACTTAATGGTATTGCTTAATTATAGCAGTTGCAAATTCCACCCCCCAAAATATATCACAGGCAGCCAAACATCTGCAGGGTTTTGTAATAGGGAGGATGCCAAAATGAAATGCTCATTTTTTGTATTATTTTGCTTTTATTAGTTTTTAATACATATATGTAATAAACAAGATGAGCAAGACAACATTTAAATATGCACCAATGGTAATCAAATGTAAGATATTAAGTTCGAAAAATGCCCATTCTATGGAAAGGAATATGCTCCTCGGGAGAATCGAGGCTGTGGCAGGGGACATTTTAAAATAACATGAACTTCTCAGTGATATAATAGAAACAGGAAGACTCCTCAACATAGCAACTGTAGATCAGAGCCAGAGAAAACCCTCTGCAATGTACCAAATGCCAGCAAAACATTTGTTTTTTTTCTGTGAAGAGGAAGGCCAACTCCTGACTAATTGAAACCCCTCTTTTACCCAATCCTGGATCTTCAAGAAAGGATTAGAAAGGAAAAGTGCTGTCAACAAACTCAGAAAATTAAAAATGAAGTTATCTGTGGTTTGTCTCAAGCTTGTAACTGACAAATAGAAATGAAAATAGTATGTGGTTTTTTGGTTTTTTGTTTATTTTTGAGACAGAGTCTTGCTCTGTTACCCAGGGTGGAGTGCAGTGGCGCGATCTCGGCTCACTGCAAACTCCACCTCCCGGGTTCCAGAGATTCTCCTTCCTCAGCCTCCCCAGTAGCTGGGATTACAGGCCTGCACCATCACGCTGAACTAATTTTTGTGTTTTTGTAGAGACAGGGTTTCACCATGTTGGCCAGGCTGGTCTCAAACTCCTGACCTCGTGATCCACCCACCTCAGCCTCCCAAAGTGCTGGGATTACAGGCATGAGCCACTGAGCCTGGCCTAATGTTTATCTTTAATAAAAGATATTTGCAAGATGAGCATTAAATATAACTATCATTTCCAGAAATTAAATTTATACTTTATGTAGCAAAGTAATGAATAATATAATTTTACATGCAAGAAGACAGTGTTTGAAAAAAATATTTTTGGGGCTGTTTTTTCTATATTTTGTTACCAAAAGATATGCCCCATTATTGACAAAAATATGTATATATTTCTGAATTGTATAGTGTTTTGTTTTGTTTTGAGACAGAGTCTCCCTCTGTTGCCCAGGCTGGAGTACAGTGGTGCAATCTCGGCTCACTGCAACCTCCATGTCCCCGGATCAAGCAATTCTCCTGCCTCAGCCTCCCGAGTAGCTGGGATTACAGGCACACGCCACCATGCCCGGTTAAGTTTTGTATTTTCAGTAGAGAAGATGGGGTTTCACCATGTTGGCCAGGCTGATCTCAAACTCCCGACCTCAAGTGATCCACCCACCTTGGCCTCCCAAAGTGCTGGTCAATTGTATAGTGTTAAAAAGAGAAGAATATTCTTTACCCTAATGCCTTAAAAACACCCTACAAACAAAACTTCAAACTTCACCAATGACTCATCTCTTTTATGCAAAAATATTTGTATAAATTTTTTTGAATGAAAGAAAAGAAGAAGAAAGAAAAGCACAAAATATAAAAAAATAGGCAATTAAAAAAATTGCTTTTGTGTATGCTCAGCAGGGATCTGGTAAAAATTAAACTGAGGCTAATGAAGCTCCAAGCCCCCGCATAACGCCACAGAGGGAGGAAGACTGAATATTGCCTGCTATGAGGCAAACTGCTTAAGGAGCTTTGTGAAAGTCTCACTGAAACCAACTTAGCAAATGCTCCTGTCCCAAAGCCTTTATGATGATCATCTCCAATCAGATAATGTTCCTGCCACCATGGAGCTAGGTGCCACTCCAGTGCATGCGAAGTCACCTCGGTGAGGTGTTAACTTGAAAGTCAAGGGAGACTAGTAAGTGGGTCTTATTAAACAATCCAGGACTCTAGGCTCTCGTTGATCCCCGTGTGGGTGCTAGGCATGTAGATGGTTCATTAGAAGACTCACCCGTTTGCTTTTCTGAGCCCAGTTGTGTATTTTTTGTAAACCCAGGCAGCTTCCAGCAAAACGGAAGTTTTGGTTTCCTGCCTTTTCTGTGGCTTGCAACCATATTCAAGCCTTTCCTGGAGGATTTGCAGAGCCTCCCACCATAGAAATCTCCCAAGTGCTGGCCTTCCTGAGACCAGAGCTCATGCATCATTGTCACCAGATTTATCCCCTGTGTTCTATTCCCTCTAGGTCTTTTCTGGAGACTTGCTTGCTAATTTCAGATAGACCACTGGAAGTGTGGTCCTCAGCCCAGCAGCATCACAACACCTGAGAGCTCGTTAGAAATGCACAAACTGGCCAGGTGTGATGGTTCATGCCTGTAATCCCAGCACTTTGAGAGGCTGAGGTGGGCTCATCACTTGAGGTCAGGAGTCCGAGACCAGCCTGGCCAACATGGCGAAACCCCATCTCTACTAAAAAATACAAAAATCAGCTGGGTGTGGTGGCAGGTGCCTACAATTTCAGCTACTCAGGAGGCTGAGGCACGAGAAGCGCTTGAACCTGGAAGACAGAGGTTGCAGTGTGCCGAGATTGCACCACTGCACTCCAGCCTGGGCGACAGAGTGAGACTCTGTATCAACAACAACAACAACAACAAAACCTCTTGTTACCATAGCCAGTCCTCTTCAGGTTCAGCCACTAGGGGACCCTGTATCCCATCCCAGTAAGGCCAGTCTTGGAGAAAGCCAGGGCAGCCAGCCATGACCAACCACGAACTGAATATACAAAAGGAAGGAGCTGGCTTCAGTACAACCACAGTAATTCCATCCACTGTGGCAAGACACATAAACAGTTGGAAAATGTTAAAGGAGAAAGTTGAAGTGTGCATCTGTTTTTCCATGGAATAGGAGATTAGAGCAATTATCCAGCAGATATTATTAAACATAGTGCCATAAGAACTGTAGACAGTGTGACAATGGCAGTCATAATGTTACAAGAAAGGGGTCCCAGTCCAGACCCCAAGAGAGGGTTCTTGAATCTCGCACAAGAAAGAATTCAGGGCAAGTCTGCAGTGCAAAGTGAAAGCAAGTTTATTAAGAAAGTAAAGGGATAAAAGAATGACTACTCCATAGAGCAGCCCCGAGGGCTGCTGGTTGCCCATTTGTATGGTTATTTCTTGATGATATGCTAAACAACTGGTAGATTATTCATGCCTGCCCTTTTTAGACCATATAGGGTAACTTCCTAATGTTGCCGTGGCATCTGTAAACTGTTATGGCGCTGTTGGGAGTGTAGCAGTGAGAACGACCAGAGGTCACTCTCGTGGCCATCTTGGTTTTCGTGGGTTTTGGCCGGCTCCTTTACTGCAACTTGTTTTATCAGCAAGGTCTTTATGACCTGTATTTTGTGCTGACCTCCTATCTCATCCTGTGACTTAGAATGCCTTAACCATCTGGGAATGCAGTCTAGTAGGTCTCAGCATCATTTTACCCAGCTCCTGTTTAAGATGGAGTTGCGCTGGGCCAGGCCCGGTGGCTCATGCCTGTAATCTCAGCACTTTCGGAGGCTGAATTATGCAAATCACGAGGTCAGGAAATCAAGACCATCCTGGCTAACACGGTGAAACCCCGTCTCTACCAAAAATACAAAAATTAGCTGGGCATGGTGGTGGGCGCCTATAGTCCCAGCTACTCTGGAGGCTGAGGCCGGAGAATTGCTTGAACCCGGGAGGTGGAGGTTGCAGTGAGATGAGATCACGTCACTGCACTCCAGCCTGGGTGACAGAGCGAGACTCTGTCTCAAAAAAAAAAAAAAAAAAAAAAAGAAAGATGGAGTGCTCTGGTTCACATGCCTCTGACAATAATGTTACAGGAAAGGGGTCCCAATCCAGACCCCAAGAGGGTTCTTGGATCTCACAGAAGAAAGAATTCAGGGCGAGTCTGTAAAGTGAAAGCAAGTTTATTAAGAAAGTAAAGGAATAGGCCGGGCACGGTGGCTCACGTCTGTAGTCCCAGCGCTTTGGGAGGCTGAGGCGGGCAGATAACAAGGTCAGGAGTTCGAGACCAGCCTGGCCAACATGGTGAAACCCTGTCTCTACTAAAAATACAAAAAGTAGCCAGGCATGGTGGCGAGTGCCTCCCAGCTACTTGGGAGGCTGAGGCAGGAGAATCGCTGGAAATGGGAAGGCATAGGTTGCAGTGAGTGGACATCGCACCACTGCACTCCAGTCGGGGCAAAAGAGCAAAACTCCGTCTCAACAACAACAACAACAACAACAACAACAAAGTAAAGGAATAAAAGAATGGCTACTCCATAGACACAGCGGCCCCAAGGGCTGCTGGTTGCCCATTTGTATGGTTATTTCTTGATGATATGCTAAACAAGGGGTGGATTATTCATGCCTCCCCTTTTTAGACCGTATAGGGTAACTTCCTGACGTTGCCATGGCATCTGTAAACTGTCATGGTGCTGGTGGGAGTGTAGCAGTGAGGATGACCAGAGGTCACTCTTGTGGCCATTTTGGTTTTGGTGGGATTTAGCTGGCTTCTTTACTGTAACCTGTTTTATCAGCAATGTCTTTATGACCTGTGTCTTGTGCTGACCTCCTATCTCATCCTGTGACTTAGAATGCCTTAACTGTCTGGGAATGCAGCCAAATAAGTCTCAACCTCATTGTACCCAGCCCTACTCAAGATAGAGTTGTTCTCGTTCTCATGCTTCTAACAATAACACTGACTTGAGAATCTGGAGACCTAGGTTCCAGTCCCAGCCTGGCCACTAACTGTGCTACCTCAGACAAGTGACTTAATTAATTCAGGCCACATTGAGGGAGTTCTTACTGAGTGCAGGCCAAAACAGTGATGGTGATAAGAAAGTGGAGGCCATCTAGTGGCTTTTATAAATAAGTGTATTGCTCTTGATCAGCTTAAGGAACCCGTTAAAAAATATGAAACATTTATACTCATTGAACAGCAACTCCCCATTTCCCCCTCCATTGCTGTTCAATGAGTAAAGAGTTCTCATGATGTAAGTTGAACAAGTTCTAGAGACCTGCTGTACATCGTGTTTAGCACATTGTACTTAATGATCTACTGTACCGTACACTTAAACATTTGTTGGCAAATTTATGAGTGTTAAGGGCAATTTAAGAGGGCAAACACATAAAAGTGAAAACATTTTGTAACATTATGTAAACATTTTGTGTTAGTCCAATACAGAAAAAGATAAAATTTGAGCTGTTCTGTTTGAAGCTGCAGTAGAGTCCTGGACCACCTGCTCAGAAGTCAAATGGTCCTAGCGGGGGCCCTGTGGCATTTCTTTGGAATTTCATGTTTCCAAAGTTTGAAAAGGATAGAGCTTGATGATGTTTACAGTCACCTTTCACACTGCCATCTTTAACATTCTCCAGCTGTTTATGTGTCTTGCTGTCAGAGGCGTTTGAACCCGAGCAACTCCATCTTGAATAGGAACTGGGCAAAATGAGGCTGAGACCTACTAAGCGGCATTCCCAGACAGTTAAAGCATTCTAAGTCACAGGATGAGATAGGAGGTCAGCATAAGATACAAGTCATAAAGACCTTATTGACGAAACAGATTGCAGTAAAGAAGCCGGCTAAATCCCACCAAAACCAAGATGGCCACGAGAGTGAACTCTGGTCGTCCTCACTGCTACACTCCCAGCAGTGCCATGACAGTTTACAGATGCCATGGCAACATCAGGAAGTTACCCTATAAGGTCTAAAAAGGGCAGGCAGGAATAATCCACCTGTTGTTTAGCATGTCATTAAGAAATAACCATAAAAATGGGCAACCAGCAGCCTTCGGGGCTACTCTGTCTATGGAGTAGCCATTCTTTTGTTCCTCTACTTTCTTAATAAACTTGCTTTCACTTTACTCTATGGACTCGCCCTGAATTCTTTCTTGTGCGAGATTCAAGAACCCTCTCTTGGGGTCTGTATTGGGACCCTTTTCCTGTAACATTGGCACAGTGGATGGAATTACTCTGGTTGTGCTTGAGCCAGCTCCTCCCTTTTGTTTCCCAAGATATGTCATGCCACTCTCTTTTAAGAAATATGGGCGCCAAGTAGAACCATGGGCACCTTAAGAAGAAAGAATGATACAAGAGGAAAGAATGATTCATTTGACCAACAAACAATGTAAAGCTTTCGATGTCAGGAGAAAATGTAATGCAATAAATATAATTAAAAAACAAATGAATATTATCCAGACAAATTGGCTATATTAAAAAAATTAAAAATGAATTAACTGGGAAAAAATCCACTTGCAATTTATATGCTTAGGGGGTTAATGTACTAATTTAAGGATCTCCACAAATCAACCTGAAAAATATAGCTCCTAATAGAAATATAGGCAAAAAATAAGTAGTCAACACAACAGATAATACATCAAATGGCTAAAGATTAGTAAACCTCAAATTAAAACAACAGCAAGACACTTTTTAATTTTTCAGATTAGCAAAGTTTAAGAAGAATGCCAAATCCTGTTGTAAAGGTGGCGGGCAAAGGACATTCATAAATACTGCTGTTTGTTCTTTCTGGAGGGCAATTTGTTTTACAGCCTCAAAAGTAGGCATATCTACTACTGTGCAATTTTGTTTCCAAGATTTTGTTGGCCGGGCGCAGTGACTCACATCTGTAATCCCAGCACTTTGGGAGGCCAAGGCAGGCGGATCACGAGGTCAGGAGTTCGAGACCAGCCTGGCCAACATAGCAAAACCCTGTCTCTACTAAAAATACAAAAATTAGCTGGGCGTGGTGGCTCGCACCTGTAATCCCAGCTATTTGGGAAGCCGAAGCAGGAGAATTGCTTGAGCCTGGGAGGCGGAGGTTGCAATGAGCTGAGATTGCACCACTGCACTCCAGCCTGTGCGACAGAGCAAGACTCTGTTACGGGGGGTGGGGGGGAAAGAAGATTTTGTCATTAGAAATCAATCAGAAATGAATACAAAGGTGCAAAGATGCACAGAAATATTCATTGCAGGACAGGAATATTCATTGGCAAAACAAACAAGCAAACTGGAAACAATCTAAATTTTCAATAATTTAGGTATGATGATACAGATTTTGCTAAACTGGTGCAACAGAATACTACATAGTGATTAAAAGTGAAGGAAGTGACATGGTATGAAGTTTATGCAAAACTAGTATATGCTAGGATGGCAGTTTTGAAAACAGGTATGTATATTCAGATGTATTTTGCAATTTTACAAAGGTGATAAAATATTATAGAGTCATTGGAATGAAGGGGGTTATGCTCAACTGGAATCAAGACGTATATATTCTTGTGTTGACTTTATTTCTAATTAGTTGCATGACTTTTTTTTTTTTTTTTGAGACGGAGTCTCGCTCTGTCGCCCAGGCTGGAGTGCAGTGGCGCGATCTCGGCTCACTGCAAACTCCGCCTCCCGGGTTCACGCCATTCTCCTGCCTCAGCCTCCCGAGTAGCTGGGACTACAGGCAGTTGCATGACTTTTGGGCAACATTTCTCTCTTGGTCTCAGTTTCTTCATGTCTAACACGAGCAGTGTGTGGGAGGCTGAATAAAGGCCCCAAAGATATTAAGCCCTAATCCATGGAGCCTATAAATATTACATTGAATAGAAAAAGAGTCTTTGCAGATGTAATTAAGTTAAGGATTTTGAGATAGGGAGATTATCTTGGATAATCTTGAGTGTAATCGTAAGTGTCCTTATCAAAGGAAAACAGAAAGGAATATCATACAGAAAAAGAGAAAACAATATGGTGACCACGGAGGTAGAGGTTAGAGTGATGCAGCCACAAGCCAAGGAATGCCAACAGCCACTGGAAACAGGAGGAGGTAAGAAATGCATCCTTCCCTAAACCCCCTAGAGGGGACACAAACTTTGATTTTTGCTGGTGACACTGACTTTGGATTTATAGCCTCCATAACTATGAGAGAATAAATTTCTGTTTTTATTTTATATTATTTTGTTTTTTGAGATGGAGTCTCTGTCACCCAAGCTGGAGTGCAGTGGCGTGATCTTGGCTCACTGCAACCTCCACCTGCTGGGTTCAAGCAATTCTCCTGTCTCAGCCTCCTGAGTAGCTGGGACTACAGGCACATGCCTCCACACCCAGCTAATTTTTGTATTTTTAGTAGAGATGGGATTTCATCATATTGGTCAGGCTGGTCTCAAACTCCTGACTTTAGGTGATCTACCCACCTCAGCCTCCCAAAATGTTGGGATTACAGGCATGAGCCATCGCGCCTGGCCATAAATTTATGTTTTAAGCCATCAAGTTTGTGGTAATTTGTTATAGCTGCCATAGAAAACTTACATAGGCAGTTTGGAACGAATTATTCCTAAGGTCCGTTTTGTTCTAAAAGTGTTAGAATGATATAATTTGCTTTGCCAGGTAAAGATAAATTAAGAAATAAATATTTTCATGATATATTAGTAGTTTGGGTAGAATAGTTTCTACACCCATCATATGTTTTTTCTTTCTTTTTAAATAGAAGTAAAGGAAATTAAGCATTACAAACACAAAGATGTCTATGGAAGAGAGCAAATGGCTTTATATTAACATATTTTATAGAGAACCAAACTGTGCTGTGTTATTATAATTAATCTTAAGGCCAACTTTATTTGCAATTACTTTTATATCACATTTAGCCACTTGTAGACAAATTGGAGACAGATGAGAAAAAACACAGTAGAGTAGTTTCCAGAGGTCTATGCTCATTCCCCAAGTCTCTGGTGACAAGGAAATTCTCCATTTTAGTACTATTTGGGGGCCTATGAATTCTTCTGAAATGGTCCCATGGAGCTCTGTGGAGGGATGTGAATGCATGTGGTCACTGAGGTAATTGAAGAGGGAAGTCATACACCTGGATATGCACTTTTAATAGTACAACTAAAATTTTGTGTTGTGATGGAAACACTCAGGTGCATTAATATTGGCATGCAAATGTAATATACCTTTTCCCTTTTTTAAGATTTGCTTGTACATGTAATATCACATATAAAAATATTGTATTAGAACCAGTATAAAGAGAGTTTTACCACATTTTCTGACACAGACTTTGTTACATTCCAATGTGCTTTTAATTATCTCAACAGGTATTGCAAGAGTATTAAGAACAGGATGTTAAAAAATGTGATCAGTTCTGGCACTGATTACAAAACAATAGGTGCCACCTACTCCCAAGTTCTGGACCACCAAGGTGGGGATTGTAAAAGGGTTGTCTGAGAACTAGGTTTGTAACCCTTAGCTGCCTATCAGACCTGAGGGGGAGACCTAAAAGGAGAGTTGAAAATAAGAAAAATAATTTTGGAGCCAACTTGGTGTCTTAGTCTGTCTTGCTTCATATAACAACCACTATTATAGAAACAGGGTGGCTTATAAGCAACAGACATTTATTTCTCACAGCTCTGAAGGCTGGGAAGTCCAAGATCAAGGCACCCACAGATTCTGTGTCTGCTCAGAAACTGCTCTCTGGTTCATAGATGGCACCTTCTTGCATGTCCTCATATGGCAGAAGAGTGAGGGGTCTCTCTCTGGCTTCTTTTATAAGAACATTAATCCCATTCATGAGGGCTGTGCTCCCATGACCTAATCAGCTCCCAAAGGCCCTGCCTTTAATACTGTTACCATGTGGGTTAGGATTTCAACATATGAATTTTGGAGGACACAATAATTCAAACCATAGCATTTGGGAAATTTTCTACCATTCCAAAGTAGGAGGAAAATGGAGTATTTACTTTCTTTCTGTTTTTTTTTTTTTTTTTTTTTTTTAAAGACAGAGTCTCGCTCTGTTGCCCAGGCTGGAGTGCAGTGGCGCGATCTCGGCTCACTGCAAGCTCCACCTCCTGGGTTCAAGCCATTCTCCTACCTCAGCCTCCCGAGTAGCTGGGACTACAGGTGCCTGCCACCACACCCGGCTAATGTTTTTGTATTTTTAGTAGAGACAGGGTTTCACCGTGTTAGCCAGGATGGTCTTGATCTCCTGACCTCGTGATCCACCCGCTTCAGCCTCTCAAAGTGTTGGGATTACAGGCATGAGCCACCACGTCTGGCCAGGAGTATTTGCTTTCACTTTATGCATAGGAAAAGATACTTCAGTAGCCTAGGACTGGTTGCTTGCTTTGACAGAAGGGGGGATATTGATTACTGGGTAGGGGACAGGCTGTACAGTCAGCATTTGTACTGCAACAATGCCCGAGAGCTTCTCTGTAACCAGTGTGGGCCACAAAAGAGAAAGAGGTGGTGACAGTTTGTCCACGACCTTGCCATAAAATTCTACCTGTAGGGGTGAGGAGCTCTTGGCAGGAAGATGTTGAAGGAGTACAGCCAGACTGCAGAGACTGAGAGAGATAGTTGTAAGCTCCCAGTGTAAGATGATAATTTTTTCCAGGACAGGTAAATTGTATTAATAGGTAAAAGATCCCCTATTGCCCAAGAATCCACTGACGAGCCCATGGGAAAATGAATCAGCTGTAAATGTTTTTAAGAAGACAGTTTCACACCATATCGCTGCTCTTACCCCTTCTCCTTCCCTATTCCTCTTCAACCCTGAGGTCTGAAGCCTCAGCTGGAGTTGCGTTGGGGCTGATGAGGAGGGGCAGGATAATGCTGGCAGAGTGAGTCGGGAAGCCAACTGTGTGCATCTTTGCCACTGTAGGTATTCAGCCCGAATCAGGCCTAGCTGCAGAATGGAAGAAAACTTAACTTTGAACATAGTTGGAGAATTTGACAAGTATAAGGGACTGGCCATTTTATTAATGAACTAAGACTGTTTGGGGGACTAGAGTCACCAGAGAAACTTTTGTGGCTGAAGGGTATCCAGAAAAGCTATGGAACATGCCCAATTTCATTCAAGGAGGTAGGGAAGCTGAGTAAAAGGACAGTGGGAGACCAATATAGTTGCTTTATAACTACCAGACCTGTTTTTTCAAACTAACAGTTTTAATAAAAAAAATTTATTACCCCATTAATAGATTCCGTTTTTAAGTCTAGAAACGATATTGCAAAATCAAATAAACAATTGTGTCATCATGTGGCTGAGTGCAGTGGCACACATCTGTAATCCCAGCATTTTGGCAGGCCAAGGTACATGGATCGCTTAAGCCCAGAAGTTTGAGACCAGCCTGGGCAATATTCTGAGGTCCCTTCTCTACAAAAAATTTTAAAAAATTAAAAATTAGCTGGCTGTGGTGGTGCGCACCTGTGGTCCCAGCTACTCAGGAGGCTGAAGTAGGAGAATCTCTTGAGCCCAAGAGGTCAAGGCTGCAGTGAGCCATGATCGTACTCCTGCAGTCTAGCCTGGGCAAAAGAGCAAGACCCTGCCTTAGAAAAAAAAAATTAGAAAGGTCATGTATGTTACTACAGAATATGCAACAGAGGTAATTTGAGAACTTGCTACTGAAAAGTCTCATCTTATGTTACTGACTATATTTTCTTAGGTTAAAACTTCCCAAACCAACTAGTAGGTGAGTGTTTTTAAAGCATCAGCTGGGCTACACTTTTGATGTATTTGAATCATGTGAAGGTGAAAAAACACACTCTCTTCTCTAAAAAATGTTCTGACCTTTTTGGGCTTATATAACTTAAAGAACAGAAGCCATAAACTTCAAACTGAATGGGAATAGAGTTCTTATTGAGAAAGGACAATGAAGTCAAATTAGGAGAAAAATGGCTTCATATTTTTTAGATAGGAATATTAAAAATTGAAGCCTGTGTCCAGATATTCAGAAGATTCACATGGTTTTTAGAGCTACTCAGGTAAGATTGAAATAAAGCATCATTTGCATTAACTTTGAACTTTGTTTTTTACCAAGGAGTTTTCTAACTCAATAATTAAATGCAAATACATGTTAATAAAATGTTTGGATTGGAAAACAAAGCACTTTGCTTTGAAATTTTATTGAAATTGGAAAAAAACCAACAATTGGTAATGTGGTCATATTACTCATATTTTATTATGAGTTCCTCTTATTTTACTCTGGGGAACTTTATCTCAAGCGGCAAGGAGACCAACCCATTCTCTTACACGTTAATGTAAAAACTAGGAACATTTAAAAATTTATGTAATTAAAATCTTCTGACTAAATTACTGATGTTAAATACAAAAACACATAACACAGAGGTTGTGCCAGTGGTTTTGCAGACTATCATCTGGGGCCATTACTTGACGTCTTTGGTCCTGGTAATCTTGCTCTTTTAAAAGGTACTGATATTTTGGGAGGTAATTCTTCCCTTTGGTACTAACTTTTCCCTTATCTGAAATAAGCAGCCCTCAGCTTTTAAAATATATTTATTGCTAACATGTAAGAAATCTATCCACATTCTAACTCTCTTTCCAGGTATCAGACTATGAAAGTAATCATCCATGTTTTTCTTTTTAAAAACTTATTGTAGATATTTCCTTCTCAAAATAGGGCTCCCTTGCATGTATTTTTAGGGTAAAACAGCCCAGTAAAGTCTTGACCCTTTAATGTGCTCCTCTTAAGTAAATATTGCTAAAGGCCATGTAGGATTGCATGGAATAAAAATTTAATACTATATATTTTTATTGAAATTTTTTCAGTTCTTTATTTTGACATAATTTCAGAGTTACAGGAACCTTGCAAGCATAGTACAAAGAATTTCCATATATCCTTCACTTTGATTCTCTAGATTTTTATATTATACCACATTTGCTTTACTGCTCCCCCCAGTCTCTGTGTGTGTGTGTGTGTCCATTTAATCTTTTTTTTCTAAACTGCTTTCTGAAGAGTAAGTTGCAGACATGATGCTGCTATACCTTTAAATACATCTATACCTTTGCTAATGCGAAGACATTCTCTTACATAACCACAGTGCTATAACCAAAATCAGAACATTAGCACAGATATAATACTATTGTCTGATCTACCTTATTCAATTTTGCTAATTTTCTCAATAATGTCCTTTTACATCAAGAGAAAAATCGCAGACAATGCATTGAATTCAACTGTCAAGTTGCTTTAGTCTCCTTCAATCTGGAACAGTCCCCAGTCTGTCTTTGTCATGACCTTGACATTTTTGAAGAGCATAAATCAGTTATTTTGTAGAATTTCTCTCAATTTGGGTTTGCTTATATATTTTTCAAAACATAAAATATTCACTATGAGAGAGTCAGAAAATTCTTTTTGCTCTAGAAACCTATAACTTCAAAATTTATTGACTTACGTGAGCACAAATACATGAAACACTAAAGGGATTTAATCTCTGAATTTATATATGTGGTTCCTGAGCCATTTGTACACATGTCTGCATTCTTCAGACTCTGTACACTTTGTTCTTAAATAAAAATAATAAATGGCTGAAGTCAGGATCTGAAAAATATATAGTTCATTTTTAAGAGAAAAGTTCTATGTTCTTGATTTTATTAGTAAGTGTTGCTAATAGAATTTTTTTTTCCTGTTTAGGCTATTTGTCTCACTTTGTCTTGAGTAATAGGAAGAAGTGAAAAATTACTACTGAAAAGTTCAGGAGAGGTTTAATAGCTAATTGAACTAGTTTCTGAAAAAATCCTCAAAGATGTGCTATTGACTGAAGTCTTTTTTTGAGGGACAGCTGGTCTATTGCTATCAGGTATTCTTTGTCTCTTTATTTCAAGACTTCTCTTCTTCACTCATGCCTTTGTTTTTCTGAGTCTGTAATATTCAGGCCTTTTATGTAAACATGACTTTCCATATACAACATTGTAAGATATACATATATATATATATATATATATTCATCATCAGATCAAGTTTGGGAATCTTGAGATCTCTCAGAAGTGCAGTAAGGGCTTGAGAGATCAACATTCTTTCTCCTCTCCTGCAGTAAATAAACTGAAGGCTGATGATGATCTCAGGAATCATGGGAAGAGATTTTTATTGTAGAGCTAAGGAGGGGGCTGCTTGGGTAATGCAAATGTTGTTATTGTTAGGATAACATATAAGCATAAAGCTGTTTCCTCCTAAGATAAAAATTTGCCTCCCAGGATACAATCATTTGATTTTCTTTTCCTAGAACAGAAAAAAAAGATAATAAATAAATTTTAAAAATATAAATAGCGAGTGACATTCAAGCCCCAGATAGTCATTGACTTTGGTGGAACTGTCAGCTGGACAAAGGAGCATTTTTGTGCTGGAACTTCTGCAAGGCTTATGTCTCCACAACCATCAATTCCCTGTCTCCAAAGATTTTCTCTGTAATGGTAAATAGCGCAAGAATTATTGAGTAACTGTCTTGGTAAAACAATTATAACCTTCTTCGCCATTAAAAAATGTGACCGGTCACTTAAAATACTGTACTTCTGATTAAAAAAACAAGAATAACCTATTGTATACACCTTTCTTTTGGATTTATTCTTCTTTGCAAGTGAAGTGATATTAGAATTCTTTTAATTGAGCTCAACCTTTGCAGTGCTTCTCTTTCAGAAAAATCAGTGCAAAAATAAACCCTTTTTTCTCCTGTGAATTGCTACCACTTGCCTTCTAGAGGTGCCTGAATTATTTTTTTGGTGGCCTTAGTTTTTACCTCATTTTGAACAACAGTAGTTTAGTTTGCCACTTATTTACTTCTCATCACCTAATGTCATCCAACATTTTCTTGCTGAATCAACTTTTTGAGCTCTCAACTTTCCTTTCAAATGCCTCACCTCTGTCGCTGATCTGTCAGGCTTAGGGATTCAGCTTTGTTGCACCAACGCATACTTCAAACATGTTTCAGAATTCGCACTTCAAAATTAAAATATACATTTTCTTTTCAGTGACTGAGCCATGAAACAGAATCACATGGGATAAGGAAGTGGTAGAGTAGAACAGAAAAAACTACGGCATAGAAGCAAGCACTTCCTAGGGAATTAACTTTCTCAAACATGTGCTTCCCAGAGCTCAGGAAACACTAATTTCTGTGTTGTTGGTATTGTTTCTTTGTTCTACTCTGCCACTTCCTTATCCCACATGATTCCATTTCACGCCTCAGTCACCAAGTAAGAAAATGTATATTTGAGGTTAGATTTTAACTTTAAGCACATTTTTTAAGGGAGCCCCCGGTATTAAAAATGCTAGCACTTGTGGGTATTCCCTGGAGCTGGATAGTGTGATATGGAAGACCCCCTCCCAAACAGAAAAACAGGGTAACTGTGTTGTCTAAAGGCAGAGAAAACACTCCCTCCTCACCATAGATCACTGCGCCAGAGTCCTGTGGGGACCAGTGGAACCTCAGCACCTGAGTTGCCTGATGTTTAACCTGGAAGCTTCCACATTTCAGTACATTGCCCAATTACAAGGCCGTTGTGATGGGGATGCTATGTCCCACTGCTGTGCTAATGGGTGGCTGATTTCAAAATGATTCCATATGCTTTCTGTTTGTTAGAGAGCTTTCCCTTCCTGCCATGCCCCTGGAGGAGATGTCATTCACTCTGCATTCTGAGAGGAGCTTACTAGTGTCCTGGGCCATTGCGGGATGAGGGCTGTGTAGGAGGATGGGTAGGGAGAGTGGGGGTGGAATAATCCTGATGCCCATATGAGAGTCACCCCCACTCAGGGAGTGCCTAGGTGATAGGTTGGCTGCTGTCAGCTTGGGGACCTTGCACACAGGAGCCAGAGGGTGGGCTCAGGCTGCTGGCTCTGCTGGTTTCTTCTTAAACACTCCCAGCAGTCTCTTCCTCTTTTGTTTTTTTCCTCCCTTTCCCAGCTGGGAAGGCAACATTTTTTTATTTCTAAGGACAGAAAATTCCACTTTGCAAGTATGCATTTCAGTCTTTCTCCTTGGGTTTAGGTGAGTAAATTCCCCTCTACTCCAAATAGACAAGTGCCTAAAGCTTTTTGTTCCGGTTCCTAGTGACAGACTTCCATGAGCCGAGGAGAAAAGAGGCTCTCGGTGTGTAAATGGAGGAATTCAGTGGGTTTGGGGTGGGAATGGGGAGAAGCAAGGAACAACAGAAATAAACATTTCAAAATATTTTCCTTCTATGTGTTTCATAACACCACTGAGCACACAATTCCCCCCTATTTCAACTTATCACCAGTAATAAGTCTTGAACTCTAAAAGATGAACTCTAACAACTCTTAATCTAATTTGAAATATGGCAGACAGCATTTGAAGTATGTAGACCTTCCAAGGCCATCTGGGAGCCTGGCAAATCCCAAGTGTAATATTTGGAATTTTTAATCACATTTAAAGCTCTTGTTCAGATAGTTCAACAAACCCTAATTAAGCCATTAGAAAACGGTAAGCCCTCTGCTAGGGTTGAAGATTACAAACAGCAGTAAAAATCTCTGCCTCATGGAGTTTCAAGCCGAGCACAAGAAACAAATACGTGAAATGATACTGGGAATAATAAAGTCTGTATGAAGTAAAGAAATAGTTCAGAACTGCAGGTGATTTATTCTCATGGAGAGAGAGTGCTGTCAAGAAAATTTTTCCAGACCTGCCTGACCTGGGTTTTGAAGGATGAATAGAAGTTTGACAGATGAACAAGAGAGAGGCAGGTCCATGCAAGTGGAAGAGGCATGTGCAAAGGAATAGAGATGTGTGTCCACCTTCCAGCCTGCACTCCTCTGCTGGCTACACTTTGGATTTTTGAGGCTAAGAGGGACTTGGGAAAAAGAAGTTTAAAGCCCTCTGGGGATCTCTGAATCTGCTTTGTGGATCTAGAGAAATCTGGAGATTTTAGAGTAATTTTAGAGTGGGTTATAGATTCTCCATAAACTCTTGGGAAACCAAGTTTGGAAAGGATTGTAGAGTCCTGTCTTGCTCTGGAAGGTCCACTTTTGGTCTCTGAAGTCCCTCCTCTTTGAATGGCTTTGGGTGCTGATCACTGCTACTCATTAGGGGTGAGAAGCCAGGTAGCCCCCAGACAGACATTTGTTGATAAGAGTTGGTTGCACTGAACCTGAGCTATCCAAGGGACAAACCAGCAGACATGGAGGGGACTAGAGAAATCCACACACCCAAACTTTTGGGGAGAGAACAAAGACACATCAGCAGCCCTGGTCTGCCATCTGGCATTGCAGCACCTGATCCATTTGGGAAGGGTATTCAGCGTTGTCGATGGCTTTTAGCAGAGGTTAGACAGGGTGCTCAGAGTTCAGGTTGAGGCAGCTGAGAATGCAGGTTGTTGTTGGAGAATTCTGTGTGAGACTGAGTTTTTCTTGCTTTGGTCAGGTGGTCAGCAAGTGTTGGCTGGGAATTCCCCGAGAAACCCTCAGTCTTGTTGCAGAGTCCTAGGTGACACAGAAGTGTATCTGTGCAAAACGACAGCTTGGCTGGGTTGGCAGTTAAGCTTAGGACATTCAATTTTCCAAAACAGTCCCAGGTCAGGACCTACATTCCTTCTAAAAGTAGGTTTCTATAGTTCATAGCAACATTCTATTAAGTAGTTCTAAATGGAGTATATTTTGATTGTATGTGTTGGTGTTTTATTGAGCATTGCTGTAAGGTATATCATATTTGTAAATCTGCTCTTAAGAATATTCTGCTAAAATTGTTCATTGTCCTGTTCATAAAGATCTATACAATAAATTCTCCTCAAAATGTAAAAAGAGATCCTGATAAACTGATAGGCTTCTTTTTACCAGTTAATGAAAACTCTGTAACCCAAGATGTTTTGCATTTTGTCTTAGCCACCAGAAAGCTCAGAGGTAAATGTTCTGATCAATTCTGTCATTCTAATTTATTTTTCTGCAAAAGACTCTTGTTCTCTTATCCTTTCCAAAATCCTCCTATTGCATAGAGGCCTCAAATTCATTTTTGGAAACAGTTGGGGGCATAGAAAGTAAATATTCAATGAAATTATAACATTTTATTAAATAGTGCTATCTTATTTTCTAATGAAACATACACGTGGAAATTCTTGTATTAAGCACAAATCGGGGTTCTGCTTCTGGCTGTTACTCACTTGGAACTATCATTGACAGGAAGGCACTCTCATTCCTACTGGAATGCCTATGTGGGTAGTTCCTCTGTTAAACCCTCCTAGATTAACTTGCTCATCTCCAGACATTCCTATCACTCTAAGCACCTCTAAGCACTCATGTATATATGTCTGGGTAACCATAATTGTCATTAGTTACGTATTTCACAGAACACAGAAATTTAGAGCTGGAAGGAATGTAATCACCCAAATCCCATTTAGCTAAAACGATAGATGGGCATTTTGAAACCACTAAGAGATTACAACAGAAGTTAGCATGCTGTAGGTTATTGCATGGGCTCTATGGGATGCTCTCCAGAATGTGGAGGCTGGGCCTCAGAGACTCGGGTAGTGTTTGCATTATTCTTCCATGAATGGCAAACAGAAACTTGGCTTTAGGACTTTCTCCTTAAAAATAAATTTTCATCTAATTGTTTGTTTCTGGTTTCTATTTATACATGTCTGTCTTCTCCTCTGGAAGAGGTGGTCCTTGAGTGCAGAGGCCATGTCTTTCTATCTTTGGCATCAGCGCAGGTCCTGGCATACAAGCACGTAACTAAAGTTTGCTGAGGGAATGAATGAATGAATGACATACTGTCTCTTTGGTAGGACTGTGCATTCATTGGTGGAAGGTCCTACCCTTGCCATTTCTTTCTTGCCTTGTAAGATGCATTGCCCCAGAGGATACCATGAACAAGGACTGACAAAAGCAAAGAATACAGCCAAGGCAGTGAGCAAAGTGTCATTTTAGGAGGTTGGCAAGTAGCTTTAGTTGCTGCTGTCACTATCAGTACTAATCAGATAGCTGCTCAGGCAAGTCAGTCCTGGAGGGAAGAGCCTAAGGATGCAATGATGAGAGAAGCAGAAAGACATGGTGAAGGATTTGATGACTGAGGACAGAAATAAGGGAGCTGAGGATGCAAAAGTTAGGGGTAGTTTTGTGTTGGGCAGGGCAGTAATGCTGTACCTGGGGATTGTGGAAGCTGAGAGGGAGAAACTTTGGGGGGAAAAATAAAATCATTTGTGGGCAATTGTGCAGAGTGTTCAGGCCTTGTTTCTTTCATTGTGTGTGTGGTCACAATGGCTTCTCCAGCTCTGTCTCTCACAGTGGAGTCAGGTGTTAGTTAGGATGGAGGAAAGGCAAGAGGGGGAAGAAACAGGCCAAGGGTGGACGCTGGCTGGTAAAGAGATTTCCTGGAATTCACACACTTGTGCTTAAGTCTTATTGGCCAGAACTTTGTTACACGATTGTACCTTCCTGCAAGGAAGTTTGGGAAAGGCAGTATTTAGTTAAGCACATGCTCTCAATAAAATTGGGAGGTCTTTTTACTGTGGAGAAGGGGAGCCCGAATATTGAGGGAATGCTAACAGTATATATCACATAAAGCTAGACATAGAACACAGTCTTTTAGTCCTAATCCAGTGCTCTATTACCTAGCTGTGAATTTGAACTCTATATTGTGGAGGTACAATGGGAGACTGAGAAACGCTGGAGGCTTAATGCCGGAGGCTTAGACTGTCCTGTCTCTGCCATTTATTGTTACCTTGGACAGAGCATACCATTTCCCTCAATCCCTATCTCTGAATCTGTAAAATGGTTTGCTGCATAAAATGGCCTTTGAATTTCTCTCTCTCTCTCTCTATATATGTTTGTTTGTTTGTTTGTTTGAGATGGGGTTTCGCTCTTATCGCCCCGACTGGAGTGCAATGACACGATCTTGGCTCACTGCCACCTCTGCCTCCTGGGTTCAAGTGATTCTCCTGCCTCAGCCTCCTGAGTAGCTGGGATTACAGGCACATGCCACCATGTCTGGCTAATTTTTGTATTTTTAGTAGAGACAGGGGGTCATCATGTTGGCCAGGCTGGTCTCAAACCCTTGACCTCATGTTATTTGACTGTCTCGGCCTCCCAAAGTGCTGGGATTACAGGCGTGAGCCACCTCACCCGGCCCTAAAATACTTTATGATTTAAAAAAAATATGGTAGCTAAAAACCAAGTGAGCAATTGAGCAAGTCAGAGGATTCTGCAGGGGTCTCTCAAGGAAGGCTATTCTGGTTGAGATTCACAGGAAGGCCCCATGATTAGGCCGGATTACAAACCTGCGTCATCTCTTCAGACCCAATTTGCAAAACAAAAGCTAACGTGGTTGTTTGCTCAACAGCTATTTCTCTGCTCTTTCCTTGTCCAACAGGATGCTGATTTTATTTGAATGTCGGTCAGCAATCCTACAGTAACCTGACTCCAAAGATGGCTGCCATGGATTCCTTCCCTCCCTGTACTCCCCCATTGAGGAGTGGAGTCTCTACAATCTGGGCTGGACTGGGTTTGACCAATAGAATACTGCAGAAGTATATGGCATGAGAGAGTATAGCCAGCTCCAGGCTTGGCATTCAAGAGGAATGGAGTTTCTGCTTCCTGTCTTTGGGAGCCGTGAGCTACCTGCTAAGAAGGTTAGACCACTCCACTTAAGAGAGAGGCCACGTGCACAAGCACTGAAGGACTAGATGTGTGAGCAAGGAGGCCATCTTGGGGAACAGCCAGCCCAGCCGAGCCTACAGAAGACTCCAGCCCCAGTCATTTGATGGCAGCCACAGAAGGAAGCCAAGCAATGCCCAGCTGAGCTCAGGTAACTCACAAAACTATGAGATATCATAGTAAATTGCTTTAAGGCACTAAGTGTTTGGGTGGTTTTGAGGCAGGAGAATAGGATCTGGAGGTAGGGAACCTAAGGCTGTTTCATGCCGACTTCCCGGAACTAAACTGAAGGGAAAACCCTAACTTTCCGCGACTAAGTAACAAAAGGACCGGAGGCTACTCCCTTTGCAAACCCCTCACCTTTCCCAGATGGGAAATTGGCTATCCACAACCAATCAGACTGATTGCTGGTAGAGTCTTTTTTCGCAACTTTGTAACTTCACCTTAGTCTCTGATTGGTTACTTTTTTGCAACCAATCAGATGTTTGCACAGGAGTGTGACCTTTGTAACTCCACTTCAGCCTCTGATTGGTTGCTTTTGGCAACCCATCAGACCAATTGTAGGCCACCACTTCATTTCCATGAGGTGAGCATGAAGTGGCTAATGGGAAACCTCTAGGGGATATTTGGACCTGAGAAGATTCTGTTTAGGGGTCCTTGAGCCGCTGCTGGGCCAGCTCCCACACTGTGGAGTGTACTTTTGTTTTCAGTAAATCCCTGCTTTCGTTCTTTTGTTGCTTCATTCTGTCTTTGCTTTGCTGGGCGTTTTGTCCAATTCTTTGTTTAAAACGCCAAGAACCTGGACAACTTGCGGTCAAGACCCTCTACCGGTTAACACTTTGTTGTATAATAATAGACAACCGTAACCAATGTGCTCAGGAAAAAACATCTTCTCAGTCCTGGAAGTGAGTCATGATAGGTGTAAACCATTCTTAATAATTCCATTCTTTTGCCAAACTATTTTAGGGGGATACACGGGGCCCAGTCACAGTCAGTGAGATACTGAATGGCCTTCCCTTACAGATAAAAAGCGACTCAAGGGAGGACATGTCTGTGTTTTTCTGCCTGACATTGTTGTGTCTACACTGATTTCTGGAACGATGAAAGCTATATTCTGACCATAAAGGGACAGCTCTCAGGACAGCCAGTAAGCTGAGGATGACAGAGCGAAAAAGAGACAGCTTGTGTCCTGAAGTCAATTCCAAAACCTCCCAAACTCTATAATAAACTCCTTCCATAACCTCTTTTTGTTTAAATCAGTTTGATTTTGGTTTCCTATTAGTTACAGGTGAAATCATCTGAATTGATACAGTGTGAAAATGAATCTCTATACTATGCCTTTTCACTGCTGGGAGAAAGAAAAAAATGAAAATTATAAAGTTTTTACCCTTTCTTTCATGCTGTTCAAGTGTGGGCCCCGGAGCAGGCCTTGCAAAGCCTGGGATATACAAAGGTAGCAGCTGAGTTGTGGGTGGAACCTAAATTGCTTTGCATAATAAAATAAAAGAATTGAGTGTGAGAGGAGGGGGCTAGAGAACAGAAACTCAGGAAGGTAGGAGGAGGTATGTATGTGTGTGTATGTGTGTGTGTGTGTGTGTGTGTGTGTGTGTGTGTGTGAGAGAGAGAGAGAGAGAGCAGGGCAAAGAGAAATAGGAAGGGGAGCTGATCCCAGGGGAAAAGGCAGCCTTAGTAAAGTCTGCTATGCACAAAGCCAGCTTTGAGTGTGAAGATGAGTTTCATGTTTGGCTTGGTGTGGAGCAGAGGAAAACCCAGGAGGTGCAGAGTGAGGGAAGTGGAGAGCTAGAAGAAGAGGAAGGCAGAGTTAGAAGTGGCTGGGGGAATGTGAGGTGCTAGGGCTTTATAGGAATCCGGAAGCTGTCATGGGGAGGAGGGAGGGGTCATGGCAGTAAAAAATCTTTAACTCTGGAAGTGCAAAATGACATCTTCTGACATATTGATTGAAGACTCGCTTCTTACACAATGATTATGTACTAAAAACGTGAGTTTTTTTTTTCCAAGTTTGAAGTATCTAAATTCTACATTCAGTTTTCTTTGAGATCCTTGTTGCTGTTTAACTCCTAGGCCATAGCAAGACTTGTTGAGATAAGTCAAACTTGCCTGAAATTAGAGTAAACAACCCGAGTGAATGGGAAGCAGCATAAACCAATGGAAAGAGAGCCAAGCTTTATCAGGAGGACTAGGTTCTTGCTGCAATTCTCTCGCTAACTTCCTGTGTGACCCTGAGCAAGTTGCTCAGTGATTGCTAGCCTCAGCTTCCTCCCTTATAAAATAAATAGCTAACTGCCCTCCCTTGCTCCTGCTCTCGCCATTTGATGCGACTGCTCCCCCTTCGCCCTCTACCACTATTGGAAGCTTCCTGAAGCCTCACCAGAAGAGATGCCAGCACCATGCTTCCTGTACACCCTGCAGAATCATACTCCTTAGATAAAAACAGGTTAAGAAAAGAATGAAAAAGAAAAAAAAAAAAAAAAAGAAACCCAACCCATATTTCAGTGATCAGAGCAAGAATAAGGATATGGAAACACTTGAGACAATGAATTAAAGAATCATTATGAATGAAGCACCCATACGTGCATGACAAGCTGCATATTGTGAATTAAATAGCTAAGTCCTACATCCTTCCATGGATTGTAAGAAAGCCAACAAGCAACCAAGTTCAGATGGACATAGCAATAAGAGTTATGTGAAAAGAGGTAAAACAGCAAGTCTGTGAATTAATACATTATATTAACAGATTATAGTGATAGTGGATTTTTTATGTTGAAGCCTGAATCAGCCACTGCCTTGGGAAGAATTGTGGACTACATTTCCATCTGAAAAAAAACAAAAAAACAAAAAAACAAAACTTCTAGAAGAGTCATCTAAGGAGGATACATTGAAAAAAACAAATCCTGGAGAATGTTAACTATGGAAACTGCAAAGGAAAGGAGGGATTTAACTGAAGGTGTAGAGTTGGAGGTGGAAAATAAGGATGAGGGTTTGCTAACAAGACCTTGTCAGGACTGATAAAGACGAAGAAATACAAAGGAGACCTTGACTTAACTGCTGGTTTTCTGTTTTATTTTCTGCACAGAAATAGAATGTCTTGAACTCTTCGGGTAGAGGTTTGAGTTTAATTACCGATTGTTTGGAGCTAAAGGTCTGTTCACTCACCCTATATCCTCACAGATATAGGCCACATAGAGACGGTGAAAATGAACCAAAAAACAAAAACAAGTGAGAACAGGGAAAGAGTAAGAAGGAGAAAAGATATCTGAAAAGATGCCAAGAAAATTTTGTGTCTGAAGGAACCTCTAGTCCACTTGTTTGATTTTACAGATGAAGACACTGAGACTCCAAAAGAATCCATAATTGAAGGTCACACACTAATGATTAGTGGCAAGACTGGTATTAGAATTTGGATTTCCTGGTTTCCATTTTTGCAATCTTGTTACCACATGTTCAGTATTTAGCTTTGGGTTACTGCATCCTCAAACTAGCTTCTTTACCTGAAGGACACATTTTAAAATAAAATTTTCAGTATCAAAGAGTGACACCTGCAATGTCACGTTAAGAGGAAAATTAACTAGTATTTGCTTGGGCAGACCCATTAAAGCAGATAAAGATGGCCAGCAGTTTCTACAACTAACATGATTCATATCTTCTTTGTGCATATGCAAAGCACATTTAAAATATGAACCCATAGGGTGATAGGAGAAAGCCAACTGAATTAACAATGAAAACAAATGACTGTTTTTTAAAAATAGCTAATGTATATCTGTTCCTTTAAAATAAAATTTTAAAAATCATTTTGAAATTTGTCAAATATATCACTGTTTTTAGAAAAGAAAAAGCCAGCTTCTAACATTTGCAGGTCCTGTCAAGAAAACAAACAGAGATCCACATATAGCGTGTCTACATATCTGCATGTTACAAGATAAGGTAACAAACTATCAAGTAAAATATGTCCTATCTGTAAGGGCAAGTAAATATTAAAAATAAGAGGCTTAATTCTTGTTAAAAATAAGGGAAGAAATTACCTTCGTTCACTTTTCTTAGAGTATTTACTTTAGAAAATGTGTACTTGTAAGTTATTTCCCTCTTTGACATGTACGTAAATGTTTTTAGAGCTAAATAAGTTTTCTGCTGTCTTTGTGACCCAGGAATGTCTTTCTCAAGGACCTGGCAGCCATTGCTTTAGAATATAATCATTGAGGGAGATAGCACCCCATCTCTCAGTTTCTGAGGGACGGTAGGAGCCTAACTTTGGTGATTGCCTCCCCGCCACAACTTGCAAAATTACCTTCTGTCATAAAGATAGGAGAAGCTTATTTTCCTTTGTATAAAATCATTTAACTAATACAGATGGTTACGCCAATTACCAGGTGAATTTAGGACGAACTATGTGTTATTTGAGAACTAATTTTTGTTTATCTTGGGAAAAGGTATATAATGGGTTGTATCTTCTTGGCTATATTAAAGGCTGGAATTTCTTTCTGTCTTTGTAATTCCTTAGTGGACTGCCTGTGATGTGCATCACATTTTGGTTTAATAGTTTATTCGTAATAAAACTATTTTCTCTGCTACCTTTGTGGAGAGGGTTTCTGGCTTGGAAGAAGATTTTGTTTAGAATTATATTTTCTCAACATATCCTTTTACCTTGACAAATATACAGTCCTAGAGAATTGGAAGATGGGATTTAAATGAGGAATTCTTAGACTCTCCAGAGTTCTTCATCAAAATATGGCATGGTAGAGAGAGCTGGCCCTGGCCCATGCCCTCACCTCATCTTCCCTTCCCACTGCAAGGGCCTTGGGCACACACGTGTGGCAACCCAGTCTGCACATTCAATTCTATCCTCAACTCCCCCGGACTTCAGCCCCACAAACGTCTGCCCCTTGTCACTTCTTAGGGCTGGGGGTGTGCACACTGGTGGGGATGCAGCTGCCCTTGAGAGGTTGACTTGGGAAGGCACCATGCACAGGCTCTGGGACCCTGGACAGGGCATTCTGGAGTCCCGGGTGCCTGAAACACAGTCTAATATTGTGGCCAAGGACTCAGGGTAAGCATGTACTGTTGACACTGAAAGCTCCTGGCCTTGTGCAGAGAAGCCTGGCTAGAAAAGTGTCAGAGAGAAGCTGGGGAAGGGTCAGGGTGGGGTTGTCTATCATGCAGCAGGAGTAGTACACTTCCCCACTCCTCAGGTCTCAGGGTGAATAATGTATTCTGAGAGAGAGAGAGCAAGAAGTGAAAAGTACACCTAATTTCCTTTCACTTTTACTTTCATTTTTGTTTATTTATTTATTTTATTTTTTTGAGACGAGGTCTTGCTCTGTCACCCAGGCTGGAGTGCAGTGGTGCGATCACGGCTCACTGAGACCTCAACCACCCAGGCTCAAGTGATCCTCCCACCTCAGCCTCCCAAGTAGCTGGGACCACAGGTGCACCACCACGCCTAGCTATCCTTTCACTTTCTGTCCCTGCCCCGACGATACCCACTTACTGTCCATAGTTTAGTGTGTATCCTTCTAGGATGGTTAATTGTATGTGTCAACTTAACTGGACCATGGTGCCCATATACTTGGTTAAATACTATTACGGATGTTTTCTGTAAATGTGTTTTTTGGGGATGAGATTAGCATTTAAATTGGTGAACTGCAACTGTGAGTTTTCCTTGGCAGGCCTGCTCTTGTCTCCTCCCTTGGTAGGTAGTGACAGCCCCTCAGGAACTGTTGGTGGTATTAGTTGACAACTACATCAAACTCTTCACAGACTGCAACACAGAAGCCTTCCGGAAGATACTGGACATGAAGGGAATGAAGAGGAACAAGCAGAGCAGCATGCTGGAATTCCTGCACCTGCCACTCCCCATGCTGCCCTTGGGGGTGGAAAGCTCAAGCTCACTGTCCCTGATGCCGCCAACACCAGAGCAGGAATTGTCTGGCATCTGCAAACTCATTAAAAAGAGACTGTGGGGCTGGGCATGGTGGCTCACACCTGTAATCCCAACACTTTGGGAGGCCAAGGAGGGGCGGATCACTTGAGGTCAGGAGTTTTCGACCAGCCTGGCCAACATGGTGAAACTTCATCTCTACTAAAAATAGAAAAATTAACTGGGCATGGTGGCTCGTGCCTGTAGTCCAGCTACTTGGGAGGCTGAGGTAGGAGAATCCCTTGAACCGGGGAGGCAGAGGTTGCATTGAGCCAAGATTGTGCCTCTGCACTCCAGGGCAACACTCTGTCTCAAAAAAAAAAAAAAAAAAAAAAAAAGTACCACTGTTTTTTGGATGCTTTGGTCTGCAGTGAAACTTTAAATTAATTCTGTCATGAAACATAGGAGAAACACGATTCATGTGTATCTCTTTACCATGCACAAAATCTCAAATCATTATAATAAAGCTTATTTTCTCCAAAAATAAAAATAAATACACAAAGCCCTTCATAAAGTGAGTGGGCTGCATCCAATCAACTGAAGTCCTGAAGAGAACAAATACTGACCATGCAAGATTCCACCACCTTCTAGAATTCTGTCCTCAGGTGGCCTTTGGTCTGGAACTGCAGCTCTGGCCTGGGTCTCCAGCCTGCCAGCCTCTTCATCAGATTTTGAATGTTCCAAGCCTTACAATCGTATGAGTCAATCCTTAAAATAAATCTCTCTCTACATATATACACATCCTGTTTCTGTTTCTTTAGAGAACCTTGACTAACACACCTTCCCATTGTTTCTCTGGACATATTCAAATATACACATTCAAACATAAACACTCAAATTGGAGTCTATTGCATGTGCTTTATTTGTTTGGTGTTTTCTTTCTATGGCAGCATCTGCAGTTTAACTGATATAATGCAATAAAGTGTTCAGCACTGTGCTTGGCAATGTTAATGCATCATCGGTACGTGGAGCATGGAGCATGCAGGGCTAGCATCACCAGGCAAGTGTTTATCATCTCCTGACCCTTTAAGCTTTATTCAGTGGAGAATTCTTTTCCCCTGCTCCTGGATGGAAGCTCTGGGAGTCCCACAAATCTTCTGAACATCCTTAGGTCATAACAAGTCCCAGAGTCACCTTGAGTGGCAAACACAGTGTCAATTCAAAAACAAGAATATCCAAGACCAGATGAGAAACAAAACTTTGAACGTGATTTACAATTAAGCCTTTTACCTCTCCTCTATTCAGCTAGAACCTGCTGTTGTTGGGAAGCCCACTCTTGGGGAAGGTGTATTGGGTTCAAGTTATTCTTTTTCCATGTTATTTCTCCATCTTATCCTGCTGCCTGTCTTCTGGTATCTTCTATGGTCTCTCACACTTTCAGGGTTCAGACAGAGGGAAGGAGTAGCAGAAGTGGGTAGGAAAGTTATTTCATGATTGACCAGTTTTGTGTTTTCTGAATCTGGCAGCTCTAACAAGAGGCTCTTTCTCTCATGGATGTTTGCATGGGTTCTTCGGTGTATCCTCCAACCCCTTGGGACTTCCCACCTATATTTCCCTTGACAAGAATGATGAGTTTGCTTCCAGCTGGCTGCCTTCCCATTCTGTGGTCCCTAGGAATATGTTGCTACCATCAGCTTCTCTCTGCTGAGGCCTATCCACCCTCTCAGTTGGCCCAGGTGGACAGGTCCCAAGAAGACCTCAGGCTGGTTGTTTCTCCCCCATGGTCCACACCTGGCCCATGAAATTACTCAGGTCTTCTTGTCTCCATAAATTCTGGGAGTGCAGGCCACCCCCACACAGACATTTCTTCTACTCATTCATCAGTAGCTACACAGCCTACCTCTCCTCATAGATTTCTCAGATGGGATCAGATACAATTCATTGTATCCTCCTTCTCCTCCAACTTCAGGGGGTGCTTATTTCATTCTCTGAGTAGTCTCACTAGAGTCCCTCTCCCTTAACTTGGATATACAAGGAGCACCCCAAACCCTTCCATCTTGATAGTACTCATAGTATATCAGCAACTTTTGGCAAAGAAGTATTTCTGGAATCCTTTTAATTTCCCATGAATTGATTATTTTTTGTCTTCAAATGGAACAAGATGCTTAAGAGTTCAATAACTGGTTCCTGGATTATTTTCATTGAAAATTAGATTGATATTTTACTTTGATGTGGTATATTTACTGCATTTTGGTGCCTTGGTTAAAACTTCCACTTTAACATCCTATTACATCAACTATTACTTTTATCATTATTTTTATTATTATTTATCATTTACAAAAAATTAGTTTATAGTGTTCATAGTATTAAAGTTATAATTTATTTAAATCTTCTTCCACAGAGAGTCTTGATGTTGTTTCTAATTTTTTTAAATAAAAATAATGGACAGAGATATTGATATCATTTGGATGTCCCCTCCAAATCTCATGTTGAGATGTAATCCCCAGTGTTGGAGATGGGGCCTGGCGAGAGGTGTTTGTGTCATGAGGGTGAATCCTTCCTGGCTTGGTGCTGTTCTTGAGATAATGAGCGAGTTCTTATGAGGTCTGGTTCAGTAAAAGTGTGTGGCACTCCCTATCCCCACCCACTCTCTTCTTCTTGTTCCCACTCCTGCCATGTGGGATGCCCCTTTGCCTTCCACCATAATTGTAAGCTCCCTGAGGCCTCCCAGAAGCAGACACCAGTGCTGTGTTTCCTGTACAGCCAGCAGAACTGTGAGCCAGTTAAACCTCTTTTCTTATAAATTACCCAATCTCAGGTATTTCTTTAGCACAATGCAAGAATGGCCTAATACAGGTATCTTCAAGGATCTTTGTCCACATGTTTGGAATTTCTTTTCTTTTTTTTTTTTTTTTGAGAGGGAGTCTCACTCTGTCACCCAGGCTGAAGTGCAGTGGCGCAATCTCAGCTCACTGCAAGCTCCACCTCCCGGGTTCACACCATTCTCCTGCCTCAGCCTCCCGAGTAGCTGGGACTACAGGCGCCCACCACTGCTCCCGGCTAATTTTTTTTTCTGTATTTTTAGTAGAGACGGGGTTTCACCGTGTTAGCCAGGATGGTCTTGATCTCGTGACCTCGTGATCTGCCCGCCTCGGCCTCCCAAAGTGCTGGGATTACAGGCGTGAGCCACCACACCCGGCCACATGTTTGGAATTTCTGTAGATTAGATTCTTGGAAGTCATATTTCTGGATCAAAGGTCAATTACAATTTAAAATTGGAATTGCTGCCCAATTTCCACTTTCATAACAATGATTTCTCACCTTTATAATATCAATATTTGCATTTTTGCCAGTATTATGGGTAAAGTATTTTTCCTTCATGTTTTATTCTACACTTGCTTGATTAGCAGAAAAGCCCATCATCTTTATATGTCTTTATTGGCCATCAATATTTCTTCCTCAGTGAATTTACTTTTCATATTTTTTTCTATTGGTTAATTTGTCTTTCTTCTTGTTGATTTCTAAGAACTTTTAATATATTGTGAAGATGCAAGTCCAGTTCTGTGGTTTTCAAATGGTGTTCCGTGGAGCCCAAGGCTCTGTGGAGCTGTATGAGGTACATGTGGCTGCCCTTCCTTGGAAATTCAAGGCAGAACAAACGGGGTTCTGGTTCCCTCAACCCATGCTTCATCCACAATAGCTCTCTTTTACCTCACTTAGACATTAGAGAGCATTTATAAAATTATATTTTGGGGAAAAAAGGGCCTATTGCTAAATATAAGTATTTAAATCAGATCATTAAGTATCTTTATGGTCCTGAAGTACTATGATCTTTGGTTCTATGAATTCAAAAAATATGCTGTAATTGCTGAGGGATAGAAGATAGATCCAGAGTTGACAGATGATGCTGTGGTCTGAAGGTTTGTGTGCTCCCATCATTTATAGATTAAAACCTAATCCTCAAGGTAATAGTATTAGAAGGTGGGACTTTTGGGAGGTGATTAGCTCATGATGGCTCTGCCCTAATTAATGGGATTAGTGCCCTTATAAAAGACACCCCAGAGAGCTAGCTAGCCATATGAGGACACAGCAAGAAGGCACCATCTATAAGGAATGGGTCCTCATCAGACAGTGAATCTACTAGTGCCTTGATCTTGGACTTCTCAGCCTCTAGAACTGTGAGAAATAAATGTTTGTTGTTTATAAGTCACCAAGTTTATGGTATTTTTGTTATAGCAACCCAAATAGACTAAGACAGATGATCATGTTTTTGAGAGCTTTATTTGTTTACTAAGTATTGTTATTCAGCACTTACCTACTTTGTGCTAGGCACTACACAAAGTGCTGATTTGTACCCAAAACAGACATGGCTCCTAATCTCTCAAACTATTGGTTGGTGAAGAAGAAAGATAGTAAACAAGTAATTACAATAAAATATGTTGAAGGTTATGAAAGCCACATACAACATATTATCTTAAGCCAGTTTGAAGGGCAGTGATGAGGAAGGGACGTTCAACTATAATCTGAAAGTGACTATGAGCTAGAGAGGTGAAGGGAGGGGGCTACGGATTGGGACTGGATGAACAGCACACAGGACGATAAATAATTTAAGTACATTTTTATTTCCTTGAAGTACAGATGCTTCTTAACTTATGATGGGGTTACATCCCGATAAACCCATTGTAAGGTGAAAATATTGCAAGTTGAAAATGCATCTGCTATACCTAACCTGCCAAACATCATAGGTTAGCCTAGCATATCTTAAACATGATCAGAAGACACACATTAGCCTACAGCTGGGCAAACTCATCTAACACAAAGCCTATTTTATAATAAAGTGTTGAATATCTCATGCAACTTATTGAATACTGTACTGGAAGTGAAAAACAGAATACTTTAAAGGGTACTTGAATATGGTTTCTAATGGATGTGTATTGCTTTTGCACTCTCATAAAATAAAAAAAAGTCACAAGTAAAACTATGATGAGTTGTTGACTATTCATATTGTTTTGCTTAACAACCAAGTCTTCAAATGAGCAAATCTAGATTTTTACTTACTTTCATGAGTATATATATAATTATAGTGAGTTGCCATTCTCCTCTATTTTCCTCCCACGCTCTTTTCACTTTTCCTTTTCTCTTTTTCTTGAGTAACTTACAAATGAAAATTGTATTTCCAAGATGGAATATACCTAAATTGACACGCTCTTTTAAACGACAATTAAATGGGAATTTGAATGAGGAATGAGATTTTTGACAAAATTCCAATAACACAAAGAACCACTTGACTTGAATTCAACCGAAACAATAAATCTAGAATTTATATTCATTATGAGACTTCAAACAAAAGTTAACATGCTGTAGGTTATTATATGAGCTTTGTTGGGCTTGCTCCAAAATGAATAGACAGAGCCCAAGAGAATCAGGTGGTTTTCACATATGTCTTACCTGTGTAGAGAACCAGAATTTAGCTTTAGAATTTTGCTGCTGGAAATATGTTTTTTATACAGGGTTAGACTATCCCCCAAGCACCCTTATATCTTTCTCCTTCCTTTCATCATCAAACATTTAAATGTTTGATCTTGGACTTCCAAACATTTAAGTGTTTGATAAGGAAAGGAAGGAGAAAGATGTCTTTATTTTCTCGTCACCACTCATTACTTACCCTCTTGCAACCTAGCTTTAGTTCCCATCCCTTTAAATAAATTGCTTTCTTGATGTTCAGTGCTTTTATTTATTTATTTATTTTTTAACACAGGGTCTTGCTCTGTCACCCAGGCTGGAGTGCAGTATTGCAATCACAACTCACTGCAGCCTTGACCTCTCAGACTCAAGAGATTTTCCTCCTTCAGCCTCCTGAGTAGCTGGGACCACAGGTGTGTGCCACCATGCCTAGATAATTTATTTTTTATTTTTTGTGGAGATGGGGTCTCACCATGTTGCCCAGGCTGCACTGGTAACTTCTTAATTGCTAAGCCACTAGCTTTGGCTCTATTCTTCTCAACTTGGAAAATTCTATAGCATTTGGTACCCTTGGTCTCCTGTTTTCTCCAAACTCACTTGAAGGCCTTTGTTATGGTGATTGTCCTCCTCGTATGACTCTGGCTTGTTGGTTATCTCCTTTACCAATGATCCTTCCTCTTTCCTCCCTCTACAATAAATGTACTACTGAGACTGTCTTTCTCTATCTGCTTTTCTCTCCCTTCTTATGGAGATGAGTCCCCTATCTTTAAACCTGGCTGGGCTTTGGTTTAACATTTGTTGTTTGCTTGACATCTCCACCTGGTTACCTCCTCCCAAAACCCAGCACCCAATGTGTGTCCTGTTTCTATTAGTGGCACCAGTGTTCTCCAAACTACCCAGAACTCGAAGTTATATTTGACTTCTCCCTTCTTCTTAATCTCTTGAATCAGGTAAATCACTAAGTCTTTTTGCTTTTTTTCTTTCCTTCCTTCCTTCCTCCTTCCTTCCTTCTTTCCTCCTTCCTTCCTTCCTCCCTCCTTCCTTCTTTCCTCCTTCCTTCCTTCCTCCTTCCTTCCTTCCTCCCTCCCTTCCTCTTCCTTTCCTTTCCTTTCTTTTTCTTTCTTTTCTTTTCTTTCTCCTTCCTTCCTTCCTTCCTTTCTTTCTCTCTCTCTTTCTCTTTCTCTCTTTCCTTCTTTCTTTCCCTATGCATCCTAGTTTGCTAAGGGCAGCTGGGATTTCCACCTAGAATTCCATTCAATTGGTACCCTCTTTCACTCCCAATGTGTCCTGTGAGATGTTGAGTTGCTAGGTTCAATTTTGTGATATCTTCTAACTGGTCTCTCATCTCAAAGCTTTCCCTGAGTGTATGCTACTGGAAAGGATTAATCTTTTTAAAGTACTTTTTGGAATAAATTTATGCATGTGTTTAAAATCTTTGCCAATTTATCACTGCCTTTTAAATAAAGTAAATGCCCTTTGGTCTTTGTTTAAGGCCTTCCACAATTTGGTCCCAAACTGTGTTTTCAGTTTTATTCCTGGCTTCTCTCTGAAAGCAAAGTATGGGACATTGAAGTACAAGGCAAGCCTGGGTCAGCATTTCACCAGAGTTGACAACGTGGGCATACAGATGTTTTAAAGATGGCCAGAGTTAGGAATGAGACCCCTTTCTGGGACAGGCCCAACTTTGGTTCTTTTAATAATGATAAGACAGAAATTTCGGGACTGCTACCCAGTTTTTATTGTCTCTTTATTCTTAGCCCAAAGCAATGTGGAGGTACTATCTGCCAAGGTAGAATCCTTCACTGTCTGAGCAATCCAGCACCCCTGAACCAACATGGTCCCCTTGGTTGAAGGGATGCCCACAGATGACTTGCCAACAACCCAGTTTCATGGGCATGATCAGGCAAGTATTTTCAAGGACAGAGATATCCTGGCCTCCTGAGGTTGATACAGGGGTTGAGATGACATCTAATCACAATTTTCTTTCCTAAATTAAGACTGGCTTTTTTATTCTCTAATGGAAACATTCCTTTAAAAAGCAAGTATAATTTCTACACAAGTCTTGGCTTTCTTCCAAGAATTTTGGGTACCCTTCCCTTGCATAATTTTTTCATGTCCTGAATATGGGGCTTTTGTGCATAGAAAGAACTACTTACAGTACTGGAGTTTTTAATTAATAGTTTATAAAATTTTTTTAAATGTTAAATCTATTTTATTAAGTTTTAAATTTTAACTTACAAATCTTGTTTTCTATGTAAAACTCTATTAAAATTATAATAAATAGCTTCACTTTTTTTGGGGTTAATTACTTAACTAACTCAAGTTAAAAAGACTGAAAGTCCTTAAACAACCAGTTCTATTTACAAATTTAATTCCTCAAACATTTAAAGATGCATCAATACATTTAACAGATTTTATTCTCTGTTATAGAACTTTGAATGCCCAACAGAGCAAGCTGTTGACTCTAACAAGGAGAAACTTTCCAAGAACTTACAAAACTCTTGTAAATCTATATGCATTACATTTGCAAACATAGTAAGACAAATAATAAACATAAATAAATGCTTTGAAACCTTCAAACATTATGTACATGTTTTAAAAATTGGCCAGGCATGGTGGCTTATGCTGTAATCCCAGCGCTTTGGGAGGCTGAGGCGGGCAGACCACCTGAGGTCAGGCGTTCGAGACCAGCCTGGCCAACATGGGGAAACCTCATCTCTACTAAAAATACAAAAATTAGCCTGGCGTGGTGGCTCACGCCTGGAGTCCCAGTTACTCAGTTCAGGCTGGAGCATAAGAATCTCTTGAATCTGGGAGGCAGAGGTTGCAGTGAGCTGAGATTACACCACTGCACTCCAGTCTGGTAACATGGTGAGACTTGGTCTCAAAAAAAAAAAAAAGAAAAAAGAAAAAAAATCTTATTCCTTTTAAAACAATTCTAAAATTAATTACACATTTAAATTGGAACCATAAAGCTTATTAATTGGACAAAAATAACGAATATGCCAAATTCTTTTAAAATTACAAATATTTTAATACCAGATACAGGTGGATTTTTCCAATGATAAAAAAATGGTTTCCTGAATTCAATACAAAATCGTTAATATGACGGGTTTCGATTTCATTTGTTTTCTTTTTTTTCCTTTGAAACATTGTCTCACTCTGTCACCCAGGCTGCAGTGCAGTGGCATGATCTCAGCTCACTGCAACCTCTGCCTCCTGGGCTCAAGCGATCCTCTTGCCTCAGCCTCCAGAGTAGCTGGGATTACAGGCATGTGCTATCATGCCTGACTTTTTTTTTTTTTTTTTTGTAGAGATGGGATTTCACCATTTTGCCCATGCTGGTCCAGAACTCCTGGGTTCAAGTGATCCACCCACCTCTGCCTCCCAAAGTGCTAGTATTACAGGTGTGAACCACCACACCTGGCTGAGCCACAGTGCCAGGCCTGATCTCTTTAATTATATTTATGTCTTATTCTAGCTTTTCCGGATCTTGGAAATATATTTACCCATTAGAAGATTTATTATAGTGGGTGAACTGAGGTTGGTTATTGGAAATTGACAAATCATGGCTAGGATGTTGTTTGGAGATACTAGATTGGATATGGGGTTTAAGGGCTACATGTTTCTATGATAATTCTGTGTCACCAATTGAAAACTTAGTAATCTTTCATTTCTATGTCAAGGGAAGAAATCAACACCCTGAGGTATGGCACTTTGGCATACTAAGCACTTTGAACTAAAGAAAATTCAAAGGCTTTAGAAGCAGGCTCAGAACCAAGGACTTGAACTTCTGTTTCTTTCTGCAAGCACAGGGTGGATGGAACTCTCTATCTCTCTAAGTCTCATTATCTCAAGATCCTCCAGAAGGAATGTAATTGCATTCCATCCTCTCCCTGAAATTTCACTAACTAGAAAAGATTAAACTCATATCACAGGAAGGAAGATGGAGGAATGTCGCCATACCTAGACAGACTTTGTCACAAGCTATGGCCTGTCCTCCAGTCCCATTCAGTTTCCAAAGATAATTATTTACAAACTATAGTCTGCTCACTGGGGCCCACTCAATTCTCCTAAAAATCATTTACTACACCTCAAAATTGTCTACATTCTCCCATCACCCTGTCCCCCATGAAGAGGCTACTATGTAAGCATCAGCCATCTGGCCCTTCTTTGAGTCTCATGAACTTCCATGCACACTTGCATGGAAATAATAAATTTATTAAATAATAAATTTGTATGCAGCTGGGCACAGTGGCACATGCCTGTAATCCCAGCACTTTGGGAGGCTTAGGCAGGCGGATTGCTTAAGCTCATAAGACCAGTCTGGGCAATGAATTGGTGTCATTTTCTGGGGTGAATACCAGAGGTTCCTTGTCTCACACCAAGGAAATCGAGTATGCAGACACACAAGAAGTGGGTTTAAGAGCAGAGGTTTAATAGGTGAAAGAAAGAGAAAGGAGAATAGCTCTCTGTCCTGGGAGAGAGAGGGGTGCCTGAGTGGGACTTCCGGTTTTGTGGTGAAGTGCATGGGGTTTTATAGACCAGCTTGAGGAGGTGGTCTCTGATTTACATAAGGCCCAAAGATTGGTTGGATTAGGTGTGACATTTACATAGTGTGCAAAGAAGCTGGCCACCCCACCCTAATCTTTTATTATGCAAGTGGGTTTTTTTACCTGGTCAGTGCCATGCTGTCTGCTTCTTACCGTACACGTGGTTGATAAAGAAAAGGGAAGATGGAGCCACCATGTTGAACACAACTAGTCCCCAGGTAGCCCCTTTCCTATTGGCACAGCTGCTGGCATTTACCTGTGCAAGCTTCCAGCTTGCTTATCTGTGTCCGCAGCTCCATTTTCTAGGCTGCTCTTTGTTAGAAGTGATTTGGGGGCTGCTTTTCATGAAAAGGGAAACCTTACTGAGGACTTCCTTACCCTCACTATTTGCCTAAATAATTCCTTGTTAACTCCTATATCAGCAACATGGCAAAACTCCATCTCTACAAAAAATACAAAAATTAGCCAGGCCTGGTGGTGTGTGCCTGTAGTCCCAGCTACTTAGGAGGCTGAGGTGGGAGGATCGCTTGAGCTCAGGAGGCGAAGGTTGCAGTGAGCCAACATCACACCACTGCACTCCAGCCTTGGCAATAGAGCCAGACCTTGTCTCAATCAATCAATAATCAATATTAAAAAATAAAATTGTTTGCTTTTTCTGTTGACCTGTCTATTGTCAGTTCACGGCAAACCTTCAGAGGGCGAAGGGGAAGTTTTGTATTCATTCCTTTAGATTTGACACAGTTGGCAGGATATGCAAAACTGCTCTGTTCCTCTGGAAACTGCAGTTGTGAGAACCTAGAACCCGATAAGCTGATGAAAGGGTAAGGAATTCTTACTACTCAGCCCCTTGGATCTGATTCCAGCTTACGGAATGAGGTTGAGTGGATAGCAAAAATCACTGCCTGTTCCTTTTTTCTTTGCAAATTTAGAAGAGTAGGATAAAATCATTTGTACAGACTAGTCCTTGCGTATAGCAATTCTGGTATATATTTTTTTGGTATGAATACTCATATTGGATGATCTCTTTTTTCCCAGAAATGGTCTTTGTTTTCCTTTGTCTCTGTCTCATGGGTTGTTTGTTGTAAAAAGGACAACCTTTTTTGGGTAGAACATGGGCCTAAAGCCCTTATAAGCCCATTGTTTGAGCCGTCCTTATAGACTGATGAGTGCGTGGTTCTCACCAGCCTGGCATAGAAACTTTGCTGTGGGTCCCTGAAACAAAAAACGAATAAGGTTCCTTGCTTGTCTTGTTTTGTGTCTTGAGATCCTGGCTTTGTGAACAAGCCAGAACCTCTCTTTCTTGTTCTTTGTCAGCTGGGAAGTACAGTTGTCAGGTTGTGCCAGGTGGCCAGTCTGAAAAGACTAGGAACCCAAGACACAAAATGCTATTAAGCAGCATTCTCTTTGTCTAAATGTGCCAAGCTCTCAGGGAAGTTTATCTTAATAAATTCCATCCATAAGGGGCTTTTGTCATCTCTACCTCTGTTGTCTGGTTAGTGCTGGGAAAGTCCAATCCCGGATGTGCCTATCTGATGTCACAGATTAGTAGGTCTGTGACTAATGCCATTCCACATTTTGCAGTGGACTGGAGACACCATTTGCAAATGTTATTCTTTTTTTTGAGACAGAGACTCACTCTGTTGCCAAGGCTGGAGTGCAGTAGCACGATCTCAGCTCATTGCAACCTCTGCCACCTGGGTTCAAGTGATTCTCCTGCCTCAGCCTCCCGAGTAGCTGGGATTATAGACGCCTGCCACCGTGCCCACCTAATTTTTGTATTTTTAGTAGAGACGGGGTTTCACCATCTTGGCCAGGCTGGTCTTGAACTCCTGACCTCGTGATCCACCCACCTCAGCCTCCCAAAGTGCTGGGATTACAGATGTGAGACACCGCACCTGACTGCAAATGTGATTCTTAACTGCCTATGCTAATACAGGTCTTTACACTATCTTAATCTATTTTTGAAAGTGAATTTTGGGGGATCTTAAGAGCTGCATCTTCTGCACCCTCTTTGAGAATGCCTCTTGCTTTCACGCTAAAAATTTATTCTAAACCTAGAAGATTACCTCCTGGTCTTTCCATGAAGAGGCTTATCGAATTGAGCTGCTACTGCAATAAATACACCGTTGGAGGTCCTAATTGTTAATGACCAGATGATGAATTCTTTGAATTGGAATGACTTCTATATTTGAAATATGTTCCCCTCCATTTAGCGGCCAGCAAATTAAAAATTACTGAGGGGGAATATCAGAGTTCTATCACATGAAGAACCTAAATGAGATTTTTGATGACCCTGGGACACCTTGAAGGACACACAAAAGACACCACTGACCCCCCACTTTTGGGGTCCTCTGTCTCCCTCATGGAGCTCTGAAACTCATGGGTGGTATTCCTCTCAGATCGGATGCTCTGTTCTCTTTTGCATTAAACTCCCTAATCTCTGGCTCTTGGGGATATCAAGGGTTACTTTACATAAATATGTCCAGTTCACATTGAAAGATTATTCTATGAAAAGGCCTATATTTCTTAAAATTATAAGATATGTATTCATAAAATGTTGGTACGTGACAGTTCAAAATTGCTTGCTTCCTAGGTTTTCACTGAAAATTAAGGCTACTTAGGGTTAAAAATTCTAATTATTATATGTAATTAAAATTACTAAAAATAAAGGAAACTATTTTGTATACAAAGTGTACAAGGAAAAAATGTGTTTTGGGTGAGAAAAGTTATTTAAAAAGATATATGGACATGTGTTATTGTTCAGGAAAAAAGTAATTTTATCTAGTTTAGAGGGTATTAAAAATTATTTCAGAATAGATAAGTGGAAGATAAAACATTATAGACAAAAAGAAGTGAATATAAAAAGATGGGGGGAAGAGTGCAAAAGATAATCTTATGTGGTTAAACTGACTATGATTACATAAATTTATTATAACAGGTTTTAAAATTGAGCCTTAATATCAAAAGTACACCGATACAAAACTAAAATTTGGTCTTCTCATTTAAACAAGATTTTCATGTAGTACTGCCAAGAGGTAGCAAAAGATTTTTATTTACCTTTTAAAGTGAACTGCAAAAGCGAAGTGAGGGAGGTGAGAAACATTATTTGTGCCTCATGCTGTCTTTATTAGGTCTTTTGATTACTTAAGGAAACCAAGTATCCTCTCAAAGAGTAAAGTTTTTGTTTGTTTTTTAACAACTATGTAAATTCCTGTATTTGCTTTTCAAGACTTTTAATTATCATTCTGGCTAAATGAATGACTATTATTTCACAATGATTGGTGATCTTATTTTGACCTAGTGTTTTAAATGTTTGATACTTGACAAACCTCTCAAAAATCAACATAAGCCTTTTTGACCACAAACTATCTTTTGGATATTCCATGGGGCCCCTGAAAGTTCAACAGAGAAATATTAAACTAATTAGGCTTATTGGAAATGTTAAAATTATATTGGATGGACTAACAAATAAGAAATGATGTTTAATTTTTTTGACTTAAAATTTTATAAGTATGTTATTGGTGAGTGTTCAGAAACCGTATATTCCTGAAAATCTAATATGTCATTGGTCACAATATAGTATGATTATCTTATTAAATTGTTATAGGCCACAAAATAATATAATTTTCATGCTAATTGCATCATTATAATGAACTCCAATCATATCTTTAACCTTGGTTATTCTAAGTCTTATTGCCCACAGTTAATTGCTTTATTCTGATGCTTCTTCTGAAAGTTCTTTGCAAGCAGTTATAATCCTAAAGTGTTGTACATTCAAGGAGATATATGAAAAGAATTCTGATAAGCACAGGTTTCTAATGACTTTGAGTTCATACCACTGGACTGAATTTACAGAACTCTGCTAAAAACTGAACTTAGAAAACTGCTCACTCAACATCAAGCAGAATAAAGATTAATCACATGGAATAAAACTGACAAAAGAGCATGGTTTTTATGGCTTTTTTGGTCAAAACATTGGTTATTCTTCTCATGTTTTGTTTTCCAGATTTAAGGAAACTTTGTTCCTTTTAAGCTAGCTATAGCTTTCAGCAATTTGGTAAAGTATATCTTTGTGAACAGATTTGAAGCATTTACTTTTTTCCTACCTAATATCTCCAGAATTGAGAAACTATTCATGAATAGAGCCCTAAAATGTCACCTATTGACATGACAAAGAACTTTTTAATTGGACTGACCTATCTTAAGAATAGGAGACTGGTTTAATGAGATAATTTGCTACTCAACTACAAACTGAATTTTTCTTTCTGTGGCCACCAACTCAGCTTTTAATGTGTGAAACTTCTAGGAAAATTTTAGACAGGGCAATGTTGAGGCTTAGAAAACAATACTCCAAAGCATGGCACTTTGATACGTGGAACAGTATGAATGAAAAGAAATTAAGAAGCCTTAGAATCAGCCTCAGAACCAAGAACTTTCTAACCTTCTCCTCTTTCTCCCCCAGCACAGAGTGGAACTCTCTGTCTCTCTGAAGTTTCCTTATCTGAAGCTCTTCCAGGAGAAACACAATGGTCTTCACTCCCCTCCCTGAAATTTCACTGCCCAGAAAGGATTAAACTCGTATCACAGGAAGGAAGACAGGAATGTCATCCCACCTAGGCAGACTTTGTCACAAGCTATGCCCTATTCTTCAGTCCCATTCAGTTTCCAAAGAGAATCATTTACGAACTATTGTCTGCTCTTTGGGGCCTACTTAATTCTCCTAAAAACCAGATTCCAAAATTGTCTACATTCTGTCATTTCTCTGTCCCCTATGAAGAGAGTGCTGTTTACCCTTCAGCCACCTGGTCCTTCTTTGAGTCTCATATTTTGTACAAATTCCATGTACACTTGCACATTAACACATTTGTGTGCTTTTTCTCCTGTTGATCTGTCTATTAATTAATTTCAGCAAACCTTCAGAGGGTGGAAAAGAAACAGTTCCTTCACCAATACACCACGCTTTGACCCAGTACTGTCATCTCATGTGAGTCTTCATCTCTGTCCAGATTGCAATTAACTTCATTCAGTTAATTTCTTTACTGCGCAGTTTAAATCAGCATCCTTTATCCAGACCTTGAAAACATCTAGGGCAACAGTGTTCAATGGAAATATAATAGCAGCCACAAACCTGAGCCATATGTTAAATTTTTCTGATTACAAACATTAACAAAATAAAAAATAGGTGAAATTAATTTTAATATGTTTTAACTCAAAATATCCAAAATACTATTATTTCAATATAGAACGAATGTAAACTTGTGTCCTAAATCACCTTTACTTTACTACCCAAGCCAAGATAAATAAAATTAGGATCAAAATAGGGTCTGGCAAAAGCTTCTTAAGCTGATAAGCAAGTTCAGCAAAGTCTCAGGATACAAAATCAATGCGCAAAAATCGCTAGCATTCCTATACACCAACAACAGGCAAGCAGAGAGCCAAATCATGAATGAACTCCCATTAACAATTGCTACAAAAAGAATAAGATACCTAGGAATATAGCTAACAAGGGAAGTGAAGGACCTCTTCAAGGAGAACTACAAACCACTGCTCAAAGAAATCAGAGAGGACACAAACAAATGGAGAAACATTCCATACTCATGGATAGGAATAATCAATATCATGAAAATAACCATAATGCCCAAAGTAATTTATAGATCCAGTGCTATTCACATTAAAATACCATTGACATCCTTCACAGAATTAGAAACTATTTTAAAATTCATATGGAACCAAAAAAGAGCCCAAATAGTCAAGACAATCCTAAGCAAAAAGAAGAAAGCTGGAGACATCATGCTACCTGACTTCAAACTATACTACAAGGCTAAAGTAACCAAAATAGCATGGTACTGATACAAGAACAGACACATAGGCCAATGGAACAAAGTAAGGAATTCAGAAATAAGACCACACACCTACAACCATCTGATTTTTGACAAACTTGACCAAAACAATCAATGGGGAAAGAACTCCCTATTTAATAAATGGTGCTGGGATAACTGGCTAGCTATATGCAGAAATCGGAAATCTGACCCCTTGGTTAAACCATATACAAAAATTAACTCAATGGATTAAAGACTTAAATATAAAACCCAAAACTATAAAAACCCTAGAAGAAAATCTAAGCAATACCATTCAGGACATAGGCATGGGCAAAGATTTCATGACAAAAATGCCAAAAGCAATTGCAACAAAAGCAAAAATTGACAAGTGGGATTTAATTAAACATGACAAAAATGCCAAAAGCAATTGCAAAAAAAAAGCAAAAATTGACAAGTGGGATAGTTGCTGTGCAGAAGCAACTATCATCAGAGTGAATAGACAACCTACAGAATGGGAGAAAATTTTTGCAATCTATCCATCTGACAAAGGTATAGCATCTGGAATCTATGAGGAACTTAAATAAATTTACAAGAAAAAAACAACCCCATTAAAAAGTGGGCAAAGGACATGAACAGACACTTCTCAAAAGAAGACATATATGTGGCCAACAAACATGAAAAAAATCAACATCACTAATCATTAGAGAAATGCAAATCAAAATCACAATGAGATACCATCTGTCACCAGTCAGAATGGCTATTATTAAAAAGTCAAAAAACAGCAGATGCTGGCAAGGTTATAGAGAAAAAGGAATGCTTTTTTTTTTTTTTTTTTTTTTTTTTTTTTTGGTGGGAGTGTAAATTAGTTCAACTATTGTGGAAGAGAGTGTGGTGATACCTCAAAGACCTAGAGGCAGAAATACTATTTGACCCAGCAATCCTATTACTGGGTATGTACCCAAAGGAATATAAATCGTTCTATTATAAAGATACCTGCATACGTATGTTCATTGCAGCACTATTCACAATAGCAAAGACATGGAATCAACCGAAATGCCCATCAATGAAAGACTGGATAAAGAAAATGTGGTACATATAACACCATGAAATACTATGCAACCATAAAAATCAATGAGATCATGTCCTTTGCAGGGACATGGATGGAGCTGGAAATCACTATCCTCAGCAAACTAATGCAGGAACAGAAAATCAAATAATGAAAACACATGGACACATGGAGGGGAACAACACACTGGGGTTTGTTGCGGGGGCGGCGGTGCGGTAAGGAGAGGGACAGCATCAGGAAGAATAACTAATGGATGCTGGACTTAATACCTAGGTGATGGGATAATCCGTGCAGCAAACTATCATGGCACACGTTTACCTACATATGTAACAACCTGCAAATCCTGCATATGTACCCCTGAACTTAAAATAAAAGTTGAAAAAAAACTTTCTAAGACTGTGGAAACCATTCAGATAATATTTACTTAAAGGCTAATGCATTCTTGGGCTACCGAATGTTGAGAAAGTAGGTGTTTCTTATAATTTATTATCACTGAAGGTGATAATTAAAGAATAGTCAATGTTCTTGCCCCCGGGGTCAAGTAAATATATTTCTGAGAAAGTAGCATAAGGAAATATAGACAAAGCCTGTATCACTTGAATTTTGCTATATAAAAAACCACTTCAAAACCAAGTGGCCGAAACAATAACATTTATTTGGCTTATGATTCTGTGGTCACTGGGTATTTCTCCTTGTCAAGGCTAGCTCTGCCAGTTTCAGCTAGGTTTGTCCAAATCTGTGTTCAGTGGTGTGTTGGCTGGTGACTGCATGATCTAAGATGGCTTTACTCACAAGTCTGGTGATTGGCAGGTCTGCAGAAGGTATGGGAGCAACTAAGCTATGTGTCTCATGAACCAGCAAGCAAGTCCACACTTGTTCATATGGTGACAGTTCCCAGGAGCAGCAGGGGAATAAACCCCAATGTGAAAGCACTTGTATGTCTCAAGTTTCGCTAATATCTCATTTGCCAAGCAAGCCACATGGCTGAGCTCAGAATCAGAATGGGAGGGCACTGGTAGTTACATGGCAAGAGGGCATGGGCACAGGAAGGGGAAACACAGCTAGCCATTTTGGCAATCAATCTAGCACAAAAAATATACATTAAGATGTTTATCACGATGGTTTCTATAGTGTAGCAATGCATAAATGTAATTCAGAAGTCCAACAAAAATACTAAAAATTAAAATGAAATGGCAAGACCATTTGGTAGCTCTCACACAGTAACATTTAAAATGCTTCTGATGCCTGGGTGCAGTGGCTCACACCTGTAATCCCAGCACTTGCCGAGGCCAAGGTGGGTGGGTCACTTGAGGCCAGGAGTTTGAGACCAGCCTGGTCAACATACTGAAACCCTGTCTGTATTAAAAATACAAAAATTAGCCGGGTGTGGTGGTGCATGCCTGTAGCCCCAGCTACTCGGGAGGCTGTGGCACAAGAATTGCTTGGACTCAGGAGGTAGAGGTTTCAGTGAGCTGAGATCGCACCACTGCACTCCAGCCTGGGTGACAGAAAGAGACTCTGTCATAAATAAATAAATAAATAAAATAAAATGCTTTTGATAAAAGTGTCTGCATAGCAAAAGAAGCAATCAACAGAGTGTACACAAAACATGTTGAATGGGAGAAAACATTTGCAAATTATTCATCTGACAAAGGACTAATAGCCAGAATATACAAGAAACTCAAACAACTCAACAGTGTAAAAAACCAAATAATCTCATTAAAAAGTAGGCAAAGGACAGGAATAGACATTTCTGAAAAAAAGACATACCAATGGCCAACAGGTATATATGAAAGAATCCTCAACATCACCAGTCATCAGGGAAATGCAAATCAAAACCACAGTGAGATATCACCTTATCCCAATTAGAAAGGCTGTTATTAAAAAGACAAAAAATAACAGATGCTGGCAAGGATGTGGAGTAAAGCAAACTCTTACATACTGTTGGTGGGAATGTAAATTAATACAGTCACCATGGAAAACAGTGTGGAGATTTCTTAAAAAACTAAAAATAGGCTGGGTGCAGTGGCTCACGCCTGTAATTCCAACACTTTGAGAGGCCGAGGTGGGCCGATCACCTGCGGTCAGGAGTTTGAGACCAGCCTGGCCAACATGGTGAAACCCTGTCTCTACTAAAAACACAAAAATTAGCCAGGCATGGTGGCAGGTGCCTGTAATCCCAGCTACTTGGGAGGCTGAGGCAAGAGAATTGCTTGAACCCGGGAGGCGAAAGTTGCAGTGAGCTGAGATTGCCCCACTGCACTCCGGCCTGGGCAACAAAGTGAGGCTTGGCCTCAAAAAACAGAAAACAAAAACTGAAACTGAAAATAGAACTACCATACAATCCAGCAATTCTACTACTGGGCATTTATCCAAAGGAAGAGAAATCAGTCTATCAAAAGGATGTCTGCACTTGCATGTTTATTGCAGCACTGTTCACAATAGCAAAGATACAGAATTAACCTAAGTGTCCATCAATGGATGAATGGAAGAAGAAAATGTGGTATACATACACCATGGAATATTATTCAGCCATAAAAAAGAACAAAATTATGCCATTTGCAGCAACATGGATGGAACTGGAGGTAATTATGTTAAGTGAAATAAAGCAGGAACAGAAAGACAAATGTCGCATGTTCTCACTTCTGGGAGCTAAAAGTTGATTTCATGCAGGTAGAGAGTAGAATGATAGACACCATAGCCTAGGAAAATTGTGTAGGCAGGTGGGGGGAAATGAAGAGAGGTTGGTCAATGGGTACAAACACACAATTAGATAGAAGATATAAGTTCTAAAGTTAGATAGCAGAGTAAGGTGACTATAGTTAGCAATAACATGTTGTATATTTCAAAGTAGCTAGGAGAGAGAACTTGAAATGTCCCCAGCATGTAGAAATAATAAATACTCAAGATGATGGATGCCCCAAATAACCTGACTTGATCATTGCCCATTCTATGCATGTAACAAAATATCACTTGTATCTCATATATATGTATAATATTATGTATCAATAAAAAGCCTTTTAATATGCTATTTAATGAAAAGAAGATACACAATTTTTTATGTGCCCTATAACAACTGCATAATAAACATTAATTCAAATTAAAAATATTAGAAATACACAAAAATGTTAGTAACTGTTTTGAGGAATAACATCATGGGACTGTCTTCTCTTCATTACTCAAAACATCCAAAATATTTTACTACATATACTTATTTAATTTATTTAGCATTTTATTCAAAATGAACTTTCCATGTTTATTAAGAAATAGTTTTATACAACCCCGAAATTAGTAATATGTCATGTTTCAGACACTAAAAAAATGTGCTTCAGCAACATTTTCTGTTAGTGTAAAGGGAAATTTTACAATTTCTTCTTATGAAAGAGTAATATAAGACTGCAAGAGCCGAGAAGTAATTTAAGTATGTTCAGGGACCATTTTCATCTTCAGAATTAAGGATTATTTTAATTTTACATCATTGCCTTTTCTCTTTTACTTTCCTTTTTAGTTTTATCATTTTAGGGTTCCCTATTTTTAATTTTCATACAGAGATTTCTTTAATTGATCATTATAATTAAGCATAAAGTCCTAAGTTAGGAAATCATATTTTACTGGATCCTAGCGTTCTAAATTATTCATTCCGCTTACTGCTCTTAATTTGGTTTATCTGAAAATTCCCAGTTTATTGTTTTTGTTTTTTATTTCATACAAATAAGATGGCAGAAAAAAGGAAGGACATTATAAAGTAGATCTTAAGGTTTGTTGATCTTAAAGTTTATGTTGTTTGATGCTCTTATGTGCTTACCAGACATCAATTTTCTCCCAGAAGCCCTTGATTTCATTTTCTATAAACTCTGTTGTACTCAATATATTCCAGCAAATCTTCATTGTTTCTTCTTGGACCTTAACTTCTTAAGTAAAGCCATTTATTGATATACTACTTTTTTTCAGTGAGCTAGCAAATCAATAAATGAAAGATTAGTTCAGCGTGTCAGCTTTCCCTAAGCATTTGGGGAGTCATTTACTCCTTTGGCTGACGAGGAGGAGGCCAGGTGGCAGCCTTACACAGCAATAATGGGTTTCCCTGTCAAACATTTCTAGGTGTTACCTCTCATAGTAATTATTGAGTTTCACGCTGTTTTAGATGAGAAAATTGGGTGTGGGTTTTAACTTTATGTGTACTAGCAGTGCTAGTTAAACAATTATTTTCAGTACATCCCGTTTTATGTTGTTCTACCAGGCTTAGATCCAGGGTTAGGAAGATTCCTTAGAGAGATATTTTGTTCATTACATTAAAAAAGCCCGCTTCCATGGCCTGACATAGCATGCATATATATATATATATTAGGTTGCACATTTCCATAAGCTAATCCTATTCATACGACTATGTGGGTGGGATATATTAGCACTATGCTGGATTTTATCAATCTTATCTCCTGGAATCGGTACAGTCTATTTACTCTGATATTGTTCTGTTCACTCCTGCTAGCTCTTACCCAGCTTTCATTCCGCAGAGGTCCGTTCAGGGATCTGAGCTGTTTACTCTTTAGATCTTCCCGCGAGCATCACAGTCATCACAGAACACTCTCTCCTCAATTGAGAGTTTACAATTCAAAACCTCATTACGTTTTATAGAACCATATTTGGAATCTTTATCCCCAACTGTTTGAAATTATCTTTATTTTTACTTAAGAGCATTTAGATATCCAATCAGAAACATTTCGTGTGGATGAAAAGGAACAGACTAGCCACAGGAACTGAGGGTCTGGGAGTCACGTTAGAACAGTGGCTCAATGATCAAATTTAATATGTTGATGGCTAGTTTGGCCTGACAGGTTTACGAAAGACATCATGGGAATATGTTTAACTCTAATAATGCTGTTAATTTACTAGTTTAGAGAACATGGTCAGAACAAGTCCTATTCCCAAAAGACAGAAAGTCAAAATAATAGGAAACCCACTGTTGGTAAGTGGGAAAATATGCGCTTTGATACACTGCTGGTGGGAATTTAAATTGGTATAATCTTTCTGAAAGGCAATTTTGCAAAATATAGAAAGTTTTAATAATTGCTTAATCCCAATGACTCAGCAATTTGATTTACAAGATTTTACCCTAAGGAAATAATTCTGGATTTAAGTAAAGATAAAAGGATGTTCAATACAATTTGACTAATGATAATGAATATTGGAAACAACTTAAATATCCAAAAATAGGGGATGATTGAATAACAAGGTACATCAATCCTATGGCATATTATGCTTTTTTTGAAAATCATGCTTGGAATAATCTTTATTGATATGGAAAAATATGTCTGACATATGAAAAAAATCTTTATATAAAATAAAGTATACACAGTATACTATTTTGGAGGAAAAAAACAACATGTACTTATGCATAGAAAACCAGATAAGAAATACAAATATCAAAATGATAACAGCATTTATCTCTGGGTAGAGGCTTATGAATGATTTAAATTTTCTTTCTTTTGGCCAGGAGTGGTGGCTCATGCCTATAATCCCAGCACTTTGGGAGGCTGAGGCAGGCAGATCGCTTGAGCTCAGGAGTTTGAGACCAGCCTGGGCAACATGGTGAATCCCCGTCTCTACTAAAAATACAAAAATTTAGCTGGGCGTGGTGGCATACATCTGTGGTCCCAGGTAGTTGGGAGGCAGAGGTGGGAGGATAGTTTGAGCCCAGGAGGCAGAGGTTGTAGTGAGTGGAGATGGTGCCACTGCATTCCAGCCTGGATGACAGAATGAGACTCTGTCTCAAAGATATATATATTTTTTCTTTTTTGTGTTTTCCTTTCCTTTTAAAATTTTGTACGTGTTTAAAATAATGTACTTGTATTCTATTTTTGATTAGGTGATGGGAATCAGAAGAGTAAACTTTGCTCATCCACTGTATATAGTACATATATATATATATGTGTATATATATATACACATACATACATACATACACACATTCATTACAAGAATTCCCATTAAGAAGGAGACATTAACATTTGCAAAGGAGCTCATGCAGGCTGCTAAAATGTGATGTGTATATGTGTGTGCAGAACCAGTGGTCTGAAAACCCAATGATCTTTATGTAAAAAGGCATAAACAGAATTAATAACCCGTATAATTTTTCTCTTTGCACAGATAGATTGACTTAAATATTTCTTAAAAGCAGAATTGTGGGGTTGGTAAAACAAACAATGTAATGCAATGCTGTACTTTAGATCTCCCCAGTTTAGTCCACCTAAGTCTGTCCCACCCAACCTCTCACTGAGAAGGGCTGTCCAGAATTCTGGGCATGCCTGTGTGTGTATGTGGTCTGTGGGGACACAGGGTGCCTTCAGGGATATGAGCTGGAAGAAATTTGGAAGAATTGATGCTGCTCCTTTAAGTGTTTGTGGGTTGGGTTCAGTTGCAGAGCGCTGTGTTCCAGTAGTGGAGAGTGAGCAGGAGAACTAGGCTAACACTGCCCCACTGCAGTACATAAAATAAAAACAAATAAGACAATCACGAAAGTCATCAGAATCTATTTTTTCTATTTTGGTTCTGTAACAAGGGATTATTAACCCAGATAAGAGAGCATGTCTGTATTTCTCTCCTATCAGCTCTTTTCCCCTAGGACACACTGGGTGACTTTCCTAAGAGGTCAAACAGGGTAAAATACTCTCCCCTATCCCCAGCCTAGCCTTTATTTCACTTGGTAAACCTATTATCATTGAATGGTGAGCTGAACAGGCTACTCGCCTGGCTGCTTTGTGAGCTGTGGCATTGGGGCCGATTCCGTTCATAAGCACCTATTTTCAAATCTGGTTCATTTACAGGAATTAGGATTAACCTTCTAACAGGCAGAGCTGAGAGGCCTGGTGATAACTTCAAGAGCTTGTAGCCCTCTTTGTAGCCCTCTCCTCAGTCTGAGTCTTTCACAATATAACCTTGCTCAGTGGTCTACGGGGAGGTGTCCTTTCGGAAGTGGTAGCAACTGGAGATTTTCTAGGGACAAGCCCTCTCCTCAAAGCGTTCACTCCAGAAATTCAACAGCAAATTTACTTCATTTCAGAGATTTGTGTCTCTTTCAGTGAAACATTTGGGGTCACTTTTTTAGGAATTTATTTGAAACCATTTGCATAATGTGCTAAATTTTGCTTACTCATTCTAATTCTCCTCTACTTGACTAATTAAAATTCCGTCAAGAATTATACCAGTTTGGCCAAGGATAGATGAACAGAGACAGCCTATGCTTTATTCCTTTTTTGGTACATAAACATCCTTTCTCATTCTTCCTATTACTTCCACAGACCTAGCTGAATCCATCAGGCCCACAGCTGGGAAATCCCTCCTACCCTTTCTGAGGGTCACCTACAAGTGCCAGTCTTTGACAAGAGGGGCTAGGGTCCAGCCCAGAACTCATTTTATCATCAGGAACATTTGCAACCATTCGGCCACAGAGGCAATCAGGTGTACAGAAATATGGTCCTGGACTGTGCTTCAGGTCACTTTGGGGGAGGTTTCTCATCACTATATACTGGACAACTGTGTTTCACTTTTTAGATTTCTGACCCCGATTGGAGTTTCCAGTTTTTGTCTCCTTTGTCATTTTTTCCTCAACATCTTGATGTCTTGCCTGATTCTGTGGTGGTATGCTTTCGGAGTGCTGGAAAACCAAGGCATTTGTTCTCTTCTTCTTGCTTCTTCTTTTTTAATTTTTTTTTTGAGGTAGAGTCTTGCTGTGTTGACCAGGCTGGAGTGCAGTGGCATGATCTCTGCCTCCTGGGTTCAAGTGATTCTCATGCCTCATCCTCCTGAGTAGCTGGGATTACAGGCACGCGCCACCATGCCCGGCTAATTTTTGTATTTTTAGTAGAGACGGGGCTTCACCATGTTGGCCAGCCTGGCCTTGAACTCCTGACCTCACGCAATCCACCCTCCTTGGCCTCCCAAAGTGCTGGGATTACAGGTGTGAGTCACCATGCCTGGCCTCTTCTTGCTTCTTATAAAGGACTTCCTAGATTATAAATTCTTACTTTATCAGCAGATTCATTTGTTCCCCATTGTCTCTTAAAACTTCCCCTGTCCTCTGGCTCCTTCCCTAAGGCTCCTTCCCCACACACTCCCAGATCCACGCTATCTTAAAAAAGTCTGTCCTTGGACAAGACACAGCTGTCCCTCAATATAGCCCATGATGGGCCTATTTCTGAAAGAGTTTTCTGCCCTGGCTTTTGTCTCCTTCCTGCCTCTCATTTGCTCTTCCAAATAGACAGCATTCTGGCTCTTGCTCCTGCAAAACAACTGAACTGCTCACATTTGATTCACCAAGTGCTCCCAATTGCCCATTTTCAGTTTCCATCCTGTGTACCTCGCTGTAGCATCTGGTGCTGTTGCTCACTCTCTGTTTCATGAACCTTTACTTTCTGGTGTCTGAGACATCATTTTCTTCCAGTTCAACGTTTCTGACCACTGTCTCCTCCTTCAATTTGATATTCTCTGGTGTGGTCTCTTTGATCTTATTCTCTTGTCACTCTAGTGGTCCCTATTGGCTATAACCTTTTAATGGCTTCATGTTACCCAGAAGTGAAGTCCAAACTCCTTCAGCTGATGTTCAGGGACCTTCATGAGTCGGTCCCAAGCCATATTTCTCACCACAGCCCTGTAACTATGCTGCATTTAATTTAGCCCGTCTGCCAGCAGTTATGCTAACATTCTTGAGTGTATCTGCCTCTGCACCTTCCTTCACCCATGACATTTTCCAGCACCAGTTATGGCTCAACAAATATACACTGAGTAACTGAATGAAATATCTGCTCAGCTGCCTACCAGAATTCTTTTCACTCTTCTTGGTCTAGTTCTTATTCTATCACTTCCATGAATTCTTTCCTGATCCTTGCCCTGGAAGCCACCTCTCCTCCTTTGAGCTCCTGTGGTACTTCTTTAATTCTATTAGTCCTATGCTACTTTATACATTTTAATAGCCTTTCCAATGCCCATCCCAGTACCTTATACCTACCAGGTGCTAAAGTGGATGAAATACTTAGTACGGTCTTTTTATATTTATTTATTTATTTATTTATTTATTTATATTATTTTTGAGACAGAGTTTCGCTGTTTCACCCAGGCTGGAGTGCAGTGGCGCGATCTCAGCTAACTGCAACCTCCACTTCCCAGGTTCAGGCGATTCTCCTGCCTCAGCCTCCCGAGTAGCTGGGATTACAGGCACCTGCCACCATTCCCGGCTAATTTTTGTATTTTTACTAGAGACGGGGTTTTGCCATGTTGGCCAGGCTGGTCTCAAATTTTTGACCTCAGATGATCCACCCGCCTCGGCCTCCCAAGGTGCTAGGATTACAGGTGTGAGCCACCACGCCCAGCCAGTACAGTCTTTTTAAAAACTATGTAACATGGAGCCCTTGGGTTATAAAGTTTGTGCCCAAACAAAAAAAAGTCAAACAAAAAGTTAAAAACTCTACTTAGGAAGTAGTAGTTAACACTAATAATACTATATTTAATGAAATTTAAAAAGTAGAGCTATTTCTGTTTCCTTTATATACCATAGAAATGTTCCTAGAAGCTGCATAGATCAATATAGATCTTACAATATAGAGGTATCAAAGTAAAATCAAATAAGGTTGCTTTTCAATATAGTAGTCCCCTCTTAACTGAAGAGGGTATGTTCCAAGATCCCCAGTGGATGCCCAAACCCTATATACACAGGTTGAGTATTCCTTATCCAAAATTCTTGGGAACAGAAGTGTTTTGAATTTGGATTTTTTAATTTTGGAATATTTGCATTGTATTTACACGTTTGGAATTCCCAGCCCGAAAATCTGAAGTCCAAATTGTTTCAATGAGCATTTCCTTTGGGCATCATATCAGTGTTCACAGTTTCAGATTTTAGAGCATTTTGGATTTCAGATTAGGGATATTCAACCTTTGCTATGTTTTCTCCTACACATACACACCTATGATAAAGTTTAATTTATAAATTAAGAACAGTAAGATATTAACTGCAATAGCTAATAATAAAATAGAACAATTATAATAGTCTACTGTAATAAATGTTATATGAATGTAGTGTCTCTCTCTCAAAATATCTTATTGTACTGTTCAAGTAACTCTTATGTTACTTAACAGAGGCCCCAAAGTGCAAGAGTAGTGATGTAATATTTTTGGACCACATTTGACCGTGGGTCACTGAACCCTTGAAAATTAAAACTGTGGTTAAGGCCGAGAGCAGTGGCTCACCCCAGTAGTTTGGGAGCCCAAGGTGGGAGGATTGCTTGAGCCCAGGAGTTTGAGACCAGTCTGGGTAATATAGGGAGACTGTCTCTACAAAAAAATTAAAAAGTTAGCTGTGCATGGTTGCATGCGTGTGTAGTCCCAGCTACTAAAGGAGGCTGAGGTGGGAGGATTGCTTGAGCCCAAGAGGCTGAGGCTACAGTGAACCATGATAGCGCCACTGCACTCCAGCCTGGGTGACACAGCAAGATCCTGTCTCAAAAAACAAAACAAAAAACTGCAGTGAGAAGGGGACTAGTGTATAATCTGTCATTTCAACAATGTCCGTAATAATTTATCATTTCTAACTCATCAATGGGCTACTCTAACGTATTTGGCTATTGAAGCCCTAATATAGGTAAAGATATTATAGCAAGAATAAGTATTAAAGGTCATATTTAACTCCTATGTAATAAGCATGGTTATTAAAAGATGTTACCAATTTCAGGATCATTTGATCCTGTCTCATAATGTGTGTAATCGTGGCTTATGGTGACCTAATTTACCTTGACCAAATGAACATGACAGCTATTGAACAGTTTTTTTGCCTCTTAGCAGTGAATTACACTCCTGAAAGTTGGAGTTAACTGGATTTTCAATGTACGGCTGATTGGTCTGTGACTTGGTTGAAGCCATGGGTGCGCTCTTATGTATGTATGAAAAGTGGGGTCTTCTGTCTGCAATAGTAGACCTGGAGTGAATAAAAGACAATTTTGAAAGTATGCTGTTAGGAAGAAATTGAGAAGATGTTTTTAAACCTTGGATTTTAGCTACATTTATGATGGCCACTAATGCAGGAAAACCTGCTAATGAGTAGGCCACTTGTGTAATTTTTTCTTTGTACTTAAAGTAAAATGTAAAATGTCAGGCAACTATCCATGACTTACTCTAGGGAAAGGGAACAGCTAATGATTAGTCTTCTGTTTACAATTAAAATCTGATTTCTTTTCCTAATTTTGGTTGACTTGCTATTGGTCCTCTGGACTCCTAATAGGCCTTGTGGATTCTAAATAGATTCTGCTTTGACTCCCAATTACCACGCAATTAACGGACCTCCAAATGCTGCCCTTTAATTTTGTTTATGTTCCTTTTCTTTACGCTTTTATTCTGTAATCTACTTTTAGTTACCATATCAGTTCTTCATAATTTCCTATCTGTTTTTTAATGATATACCACCGCGATTTTCCAATATGGCTCTTCTTTATGTAAGAAAAGACTTAAGAAAATCACCAAAATGCTTGCATAAACTTTTTTGGAAATGAGTTGTATGACAATGAATTAAATAAAAAAAGAACTGGTTTAAGAATATGTGTTTATCTCCAGACCTGGAATGAAGAGATGCCTAACTTGATTATTTTGTGCTTAGCTTCCTAGGTTTAACTGAAGACTTAGACCTTTTGTTTGTGTTCTAAGCTGAGGTCCCATGGTACACATTCTCCGGAGTCTGTGCATGAACTTAATATGCTGTTTAATAATGGAATATCAAGCTCTATCCTTTCACCATTAAGGACACAGTCCTGAGGTTATTTACACAGAAACCCTCCCTTGAAGAGCCAGATACTTTGAGCCTTCCTGGGTGATGGTTAACTAAGCTGGTAATGGGAGAAAATTAGGGGAGACTCCTCATGGCAAGCAGGCCACGAAAATACATTTTAACAGTGGCCTTTAAAGGGCCATGTCCTAAACCGTAAAAGAATTACTCAAATAGTGTCTAATTAAGACTTTTTTTCTGAAAGCAGCCTTAAAAGCAGCTTCAGTATTGGGGATTTCAGGAGGGTAGAACAGTTGGGATCTAGCAGGGCCTCTCCAATCACATTTGGTCTCTTCTGGCCCCATGGAGTGGTGGCCCTAGACCCAAAGATCTTCAAAGGTCTGAAAGTCTATGGGAAGAAGCCTTGATACGAAGCTCTTAATGAAGATCAGTTCAGCATAGTAAGCAGTAATCACCATCAGACCTTGCAAAAAGTGCTGAGTTACTTTTCCTTCTGCTTTCTCTTGATGATTCAGGAGAGTAGAGGGGAAAAGTCACTGATATGGGTTACCCCAAACCATAAATAATTGAAAGTATATGTAATGCAAATTCAAATTCATTTCATTTGGTAACAACCCCACTTAAACAGCCCATTCAACTATGTGTGCCAGTAAATGGAGTGGAATTGGAATTGACAAGAGGAGTTTCTCTTGACTGTGCTTGAATATGCCAACTGAGTTGCAGAAATGCTTTCTAGTGCAAAACAAAGAAATTGGCAAACGAAGCCAGTCATTTTGAGATACTTCACTTCTTCCTTGTCTTCCTGATGAAGCACCTAATGAAATGTTAAGCGCTCTGAAGAGCTGTAGGCAGAAGAATGGCTAAGTGGAATAATGGACAGAGAGGTGGTTGCGTAAAAATGGGTCCAGGCTTATGGGTGAAAGTGTAAAGCAAACTTCCAGGCTGGGGTTAAACAAAGAGTACTAAGGATGGGAGAATAAAGGACAATAGCCTGCAGGGAAGGCATCTTTCTTTCAATCACTGTCGTCATCTGAGATTTAAGAACATTGCAATTTTAAATCAGGTAATAGCAGATGCAACGTGGTGGTGTTTAAAAATATTAACCGAAGTTTTTTCTCTCTCTCCTACCATTAGTATCTTCTTTCCCTCTTCTGCCCCACTCCATTAAAGTAATTTCTCTAGGTCATTGCCTCAAGGAAGTGATGTGAAAAGGTGTCCAAGAGAAAGAGGAAGTCGCTTTGGTTTGCAAAATCTAAGCCTCAGATAGAACTGAGATTTGGGATAGAGGTTAAGAATTTGGTGGAATAGGATTTGAGGAGAGGTTTCTCTTGGAGTAAGAGACAACTCCCTTGGGCCAGGGAGTGGAGGGGATGGCTAGGGGAAGGGAGGAGAGCAGAGCTGTTGGTGGGTGCTGGAGGGGGGCTCTGTGCCCCCACTTCGGGGGCAGTACCAGGAGAGGTGGCTAGAGTGCTAGCCTGAACAGACCACGAACAAGATGGCACCCAAACAGCAAGGGGTTCCTGTGCCCCCACAAGTGCTGTGGCATCTGTGGAGACACAAGTGGGCCCAGGGTGGGGGGATGGGAGGTAGGAAGGAATGAAGAATGAACACTTCATGGCCTCCTATAGTGACCAAACATTTTAGCACTTTGTGAGGCCCCCCTCAGAACTTACACATAATCCTGGGGATTCCAACCTGGGGATTCCAAATTTACGAGGACTGCACTCCTACCACCCTACAATAATGTGGTTTTAATACAGGCATTAAGTGAATTAGTGTAAAAACAGCTAATGAATGAAAATAAAGAGGTACAAACCACGATTTGTACTTGTCCAGGGTGGAGCTGGATCCAGGATTTCTTTTTCCTGCTTTTTTTTTTTTTTTTGAGACTGAGTCTTGTTCTGTCATTCATGCTGGAGTGCAGTGGCACGATCTAGGCTCACTGCAACCTCTGCCTCCTGGGTTCAAGCAATTCTCCTGCTGAGACTATAGGGGCGTGCCGCCATGCCCAGTTAATTTTTTTGTATTTTTAGGAGAGACAGGGTTTAGCCATGTTGGCCAGGCTGGTCTCAAACTCCTGGCCTCAAGTGATCCGCCTGCCTTGGCCTCTCAAAATGCTGGGATTACAGGTGTAAGCCACCGTGCCGGCCTCCCAGAGGAATCCTTATGGTTTGCTGCCTGTAGGAAGAGACAGGTCAGTTAGCCCTTTCTGAAACTACAGTTTCTCCAACGTTTGTAACTTGAAATAATCAGTATACCAATTCAACACATTTTGGGATGGGACGTCCTTCACTCCTTCACTCTCCTCAGACATTTCGGATGTGCAGGTGGAATCTCGCTTGCCCCAGCTGGCCTGACACTCAAACAGGCACACACCTTGCTGCAGTGGCCTAGGGCACTTGCTGAGGGTGGGGGACTGTGCCTTGGAGTCGGAGAGACAGACACTGAAGCAGGAGTGTGCGGAACACTGCCCAGGCTCAGAAGGACAATGTTTTGAAGAGCGTTGCAAGAGTTTAGGGAAACACAAATTTCCTTCCTTTTGCTTTTCTTGTAGGAAGAAAAAAGTGAACTTTTCATGGCATATTCTAGAGCACCGCCACTGGCACTGACCAAACTAAGGTAGAATCGGGGTGGTCTTGGGAAAGGAGAGACAGATCATAGCATGTGGTCTCTTGATTCCTGAGAATGGAAGATCAGGTGACAATTCTCCACCTCCTGCATAAGGTGCTCACCCAGCCTCAACTGAGGAGGAAGAGAGCAGACTGGAGATCTGAACAAGGGAACTCGCTGCCTTCATGGCTACCATCTTGAAGCCAGGCACTGACGGGGTGTCCATTTTACCTTCGCACAAAATTCACTTTAGTCTGGTGCCAGACTCCCTCTGGTGGATGGGGCAGTAAATGCAGAAAGGAGAAGCTGACGGGCTCCTAGATAAGCCATCCCCAGATAACTGAGGCAAGAAACTGGCTCTGCAAAAGGGCTTCCCTACTTGAGCCTGGGGAAGCTAGCACCCACCGTACCATGGAGTATTTTGCTAGAGAGTTACTGTTCCAAAAAACTGAATTTGGGGCAGAGACCCAGTTTGCTGGGGACATGTAGAGGAAGAGTAAGTTTCTTTTGCAGGAATGCTCAGATCTACCAGAATAACAAATGTGGTAGAAGATAATTTTGCATTGATGTTTGTTTCTCTCTCCATAATTCTCACTCTGGCAGCCCTCGCCATCTGCCGTAGACTCTGGTCTCTGGTTTTTGTGTTTCCAAGGCAGAAATCTGGGCTATAGCTATCACGAGTAAAGTCTTTATGATAGAAGCATACCCCTGAAGGACAAAGATGAAGAGGGGGAGAATTTCTTTCAAAGGTCAGTAAAGGATCCTCATGGGCTGGTTTTGGAGAAGGAGAGTAAAAAAAAAAAGAAAGTCCAATTTATTTGGGGAGGGGCCGTCCTGAGAGATTTGAAAGAGAAGAATGAAGGATGCCCTTATTTTTAACATGTTTCCTGGGATATGTCAAAGGGAAGCCAGACGCTGATGTGAAGTCCACTGAGGCTTACCTTGGCACAACATTCAGTTTTGTCTGTGGTCAGACCTCCGCTGGCAGCTTGAGCATCTTTGGGTTCAAGTTTTCAGGATTTGCATTGGGCCCAGACTGGCAATGACCGTGTCTCTGTGCACTCTTCCTGGTCTTGCGGTGTTTCAGAATTTCCTTACCGTTTTGTTCCCCTTTGTTTTCTACCACTTAGTTGCAAGGTTCTGAGCAGGACCAAAAGGATGCTGCAAAGTGCCTGGGCTCCCCTAACTCTTTCCACTTGCTTACCATTATTTGACATCCAAAGAGCAATTATTAAGGGCCTCCTCGTACACCAGGCATGTGTTTGGTGCTAGAAATCAGATGGGAGTGCCCTCACTGTTGCTGATGGAGAAGACAGTCAGGAAAACTGAAAAATCACAGTACAGTCTGACAGGTGCTGCCAGTGATGTGTACACTGGGGGCAAAAGGGGCATATGAGTGAGCTTTTGGGGATCTGCGGGACTTCCCATCTGGAGAAGCTTCCCTACTGCTTTGGTTTTTTTTTTAAGAGGTGAATTTTGCAAGAGAATCATAGAGATATTGACTCCGCAAGTTGACATCTGCGAGAGGCTGAATCAATTCCTAGAACTTCCTATCAGACTTCTTGTCATTTGAAGTAATTAAATGTATTTATTACTTAGACAATGTTATCATTTCTATAGCTTTTAGCCAAAAGCAATCCTGACTGATACAATGTTCTTTGTCATTTTCAGTATTAAATCATGTTGAGGAAAAGTTGAGATTCACATTGTTTTGGCTATACTTACTATTTCTTTTTTTACTTGCATTGTAATTTATGCAAGGAGAAAAAGTGGTGGTTTTCCAACTCCAAGAAAACTGGAACACACTTTCTGTCTCTCTCTCCCCTCTCTTTCTGCCTTCCTTTCTTCCTTTTTTCCTAGTTGAATTATTTAAAATAACGTCGGCAAAGTAAAAATCAATGGGTTAAATATTAACTTGTTGAATTAATTAAAATTCATTTTCATATGCTAAATAAACAATGAATAACACTTTCCATACCAAACAAATAAGCATACTTATTAATCTCAAGGTTAAAGATTATGTGCCTATAAAGTATTATTTATAAAGTAGAACCTCACCAGAGAGCTTCTGGCAAATGATCTACCCAGGGCTCAATGTCATCGTGACAAAATACTGATTAAGTGTAAAGATTATAAGAAAAAACCTTCACTCCAGCCTGGGTAGTATTTATATTCTTGGTTCCTTTGAGGTATCTGAGTTTTCAGTATCTTGAGGTTTCTTCCTTATCTTTATAAATAAAATGTGAAAGACTTGTTCAGTGGTTTTTCTCAATATTTTCTTTATAGTCCTGCTGTTAAAAATCTGTAGCTAGGCCCAGTGGTGTGCACTCTCAGCTACTTGGGAAGTGGAGGCCAGAGGATTGCTTGAGCCCAGGAGTTGAAGACCAGCCTGGGCAACATAGCAAGACCCCAGCGCTTAAAAAAATTAAAAAAAAAAAAAAACAAACAAAACCTTATGATCTCTGATTTTCACTTTAATTTTAATTGAGGCTAAATTAAGGAAATTTGGGCTTATACTTTTTTTGTGGTTTACTGGTAGTCTTCTTTTTCTTAGTGATTTACCAGGGGGCTTTATATTAATATATTAATATGCTAACTTTTTGTCATTTATGCTGCAAACATTTTCTTCTATATGTTGTTTGTAAATCACCTTGCAGTGATCTTTTTTGTTTTAGAGAATTTTTGTGTTGTACAATGTACAGTCTTTGATTTGATCATTTCTGGCTTTTGTATACATTTAAAGAGGCTTCCTTCAAAACTGGAATTATAAAAATAGTTACCTATGTTTTCTTTTATTATTTTCAAGGCTTCATAATAATTTTTAAGTCTGATTTATGTGGAATTTATTTTAGTATAATAAATAAGTTAGGAATTCAAGCTTATTTATTTGGGACATAGCTACCCTATCGTTTTAGTAAAATTTAGTAAAATTGAGTTTTCCTTTCACCACTGCTTTAAAATGCCACCTTAATCGTCTACTAAATTTTTATGTCTGCTTGCCTCACACGATGGCCTGTTAGCTCAATTGGTTAGAGTGTGGTGCCAATATCTCCTTGCCTCTATTTGTGGAGTTTCTATTGGATTAACTCATCTGTTGGTCTATATACCTGTGCCACTAGCTCACTTTAAGAATGACTACAGCTTGGCCGGGCATGGTGGCTCCCGCCTGTAATCCCAGGATTTTGGGAGGCTGAGGCAGGCGGATCACCTGAGGTCAGGAGTTTGAGACCAGCCTGGCCAACAGAGCGAAACCCTGTCTCTAGAAAAAATACAAAAATTAGCTGGGTGTGGTGGCAGGCACCTCTAATCCCACCTACTCGGGAGGCTAAGGCAGGAGAATCCCTTGAACCTGGGAGTTGGAGGGTGCAGTGAGCTGAGATTGCGCCATTGCACTCCAGCCTGGGCAACAGAACGAGAATCCATCTCAGGAAAAAAAAAATGACTACAGCTCTAAGTACATTGTAATAATTGGTAGCACAAGTTCTTACACTTTCCAAGAATGTCTGGCTCTTCTTTCATTTTCGTTCTTTCAGATGGATTTTTAAAACAGTACTATCACCAGCCAGGCATTTGATTTGTTTATTATTTTTTTTTCTGTATTGATGTTTTAAGAAAATAAATTATAAACATAACATAAGCTTGCTATAACAAATTCAAACAATACAAACCAGTGGAAAATAAGCCTCGAACCACCTTCCCAAAACCCCACCCTTAACAGCACATTCCAGCCATCGCTCCTGCCAGCTGTTTGTTTAGGATTCTTTTGGACTTTCTCTTACTCTTAAGCATAAGCACACTTCATGAAGTGCCCCCAAATCCCAGTGATATTTTGACTGGGATTTCTCAATAAATATTTGTAACAAAATATTTTCATTCACATTTCTGGCTTTCAAGTCGTGTAATGCCTGAGACTTTCAGTTTCTTATATGTACACTGTTACAACACTACTTATCTACAACACAGAAATTGCATGAGACAATGCGTGATAATAAAACACGGTTCAAAAATATCTGATCATGGCATTTCTCAAAGTATGTTCTGTAATACATAGATCCTGCAATATACTCTGCAAAGAAAATAAGAGTTCCCTGGGCAAATGAGTTTGGAACATTAGGTGGTATATTTTCTTTTTTGGATATTTGTAATTCAGGGCAACATATTAGAAACCCTTAGTTCTATAAAAAAGGTTTAACTTTGTCTAACCAATGTTTTCCAAACTTGTTTGATCAGGGAAAGTATTTTGCCTATTGACACGATGCTCATAAAACACCATTTGGGAGATGCTGAGTTAGACAGATTGGATCAGCTCTTGGCTGGGGTGGGGTTGTGAAGAACCTAGAATAACTCCCAGGTCTCTGGCTTTAAGTGAATGATTGGTGATGTCACTGACTGAGGTGAAGGATAGAAGTGGAGGATCAATTTTGGACATATTGAGTTTCAATTCCTCTGGCAGGTTTGAATGGAAATGTTTAGTAAGCTGAGAATATATAGGTCTGGGACTCAGGTGACAGGTCATCACTAGAGAAACGTGGGTTAGAAAGTTTGCTTTGGATTAAAGTGTGTTGTCTAAAACAGCTCAGTTAAAAATGCACATATATTACCTAGGAAGGGTAAGCATTAAATTATTAATACATATTATATTATCATATTAGCTTACTATCATTTTAAAGCAGAGATCAGGCCCCTGAAGGAATGGAAATCAGGAATGGTGAATTTTGAGTGGAAGTCGGCCAAGAAAGAGTCTGAAGTTGTGATTTTTACCTTCTGTGGGCCCTTTTTCAATGCTAAAAAAATTTGCCAATCTCCCCACTGCCCTCACATATTAAACTTTTAATATCTTTTGACTGAGAAAATATGTCCTGACTATAACTACTATGACTTAATGTAGTTATAGTCAGGACATATTGTTCTGTACATAGAGGACATGTAAATGTATGGAATAGGTTCACATTTAGCAGGGTGTTTATCCTGCTTCCGGACAGTCAGCGTTGCTGTCCATATGGACTTCTGATCCTCCTGCCACTCCTGTGGTTCTGTTACTGAGACACCAGGGGTTCAGTCTAGGTCCTGCTGCTCACCACCCAGAAAGCCAATGACTGAGATGATCAGTATTGCCAAGGATGAAGGCTTTAATTTGGTGCTGCAGCCAAGGAGATGGGAGATCAGTCTCAAATCCTCTCCTTGACCGACTAAAAGTAGGGTTTCATACAGGAGGGAGGAAATGAAAACAAGAGCTAGGGAGGGGCAAGGAAGGATGATGATGAAGGAGGGGTCCAGCATCTCATTGTCTGGATGCCGTGATCTGGTGAGTTTCAGGTCTTTGATACTTTTTTTTGACAGGCTTGAAGGTCCTTTCCTGAGGAAAAAACAGATACAACAAATGTAAGGTTCAAGCTTTAAGACCAGCAGGGTCAATTTATATGTTTATCCAAAAAACTATCTGTGGGATTATTGGGTCCTTTTCAGTTCCAGGCTAAGGCAGATTTATAAGATGTCACTTTTAGTTCTGAGTAAACACTGCGATCTCCTGCTTACTCAGGCTCATGTCAAATTCAAACTAGAAGCTGAGGGAGAGAAAGATGATTGTACAGTTGTTAGGTCAGTCATCTGACTATGTTTCAGCCTGGGTTCATTTTAAGTAAGAGAAGATGTGGGTATGTGGGAAGAAGCAAGACTGGACTCTTGGCTTGGATTTATCCCACCACTAATGAGATGACCTCAGAGAAACCTCACTGCCTCTTTTGCCTTAACTCTCAAAATGGGATAATAGCAATAACTTTTCCTCCTTCCTGGGCCTTTGTACCGAAGTCAGTAAACTAAATAGTTGTGCAAGTGAGTAGGAAAGTTAAAAGTGCTCTAAAATGTGAGGTATTTTCATGCCTGCATTTTAATATGGCTACCACTAGGTGCCCCGAAGGTAGCAATTCCCCGGGAGGGAGTTCAATCTTCTAGGTTCACCATAGGGTGGACTCCATTTAACCTGTGTATTCTAGTTGATTAGGTTATTGTGTGTAGATTGCAGGAATTTCAAGCTCTACTCCATCTTTTTCCTTCTGATATAATTTTAACGAGATTCCCTCATTCTTTTATTGCATGGCAGGCTACTACTAGAATAAATATAAAGAAGTTTTAAAAGTGCAGAAAACAAGAGAGCTTGGGAGATGGAAAAATGCACAGGGTGAGGCAGGGGATGAGGGTGGGAAGGCTGTTCTCAGATCTGCACAGGCTCCCAATGACTTTAGAATTCCTGGGGCTCTTCTTTATGAGCCAGGCATTCTGAGAGCTAAGAGAGAAGCCTTGACCAAAGCCACTGAAAGAAATGTCTTTTTAAATTGCTTAAAGAGCACCACCTTCCTCCCAAGAAGCTTCATCACCAGGCCCAGCAATCCAGTGCTTTTTTTTTGTATTGCAGAAGTGAAGTCTGCATGTCCAGACTCTTCCTGTGCAATGGCTGCTAGTATTTCTCTGAGTGGGAAGTTGTGTGGGATACATCAAGCATTTAAAATGATAAGGAAATTCTGGCAGAGTATATTTTCAGTTAGATCAATCTAGGTGATGTGGTTTGCTGTGTCCCCATCCAAATCTCATCTGGAATTGTAGTTCCCATAATCCCCACATGTCGTGGGAGGGACCCAGTGGGAGGTAATTGAATCATGGGGACGGTTACCTCCGTGCTGTTCTTGTGATAGTGAGTGAATTGTCTGGAGATCTGATTTATAAGGGGCTTTTCTCCCACTTCACTCTACGCTTCTCCTTGCTGCCGCCATGTTAAGAAGGATGTATTTGATTCCCCTTCTGCCATGATTGTAAGTTTCCTGAGGCCTCCCCAGCCCTGTGGGAACTGTAAATCATTAAACCTCTTTCCTTTATAAATGACCCAGTCTCAGGTCTGTCCTTACAGCAGCGTGAGAACGGACTAATACGCTAGGTAACACTTAAAAGCCATTTGTCCTGAGTTGAGGTTGTTATTATTCATTAATCAGGTTTATTTAGTTCTTGTAATTCTGCCACTGACTAAGGTGTCACTAACTAGCAAGTCATTTTATCACTGAAGGCTTGTTTTCCTTTCTTGTGAAGTGTGTGTGTGTGTGTGTGTGTGTGTTTGTGTATGTGTATGTGTGTGCTTTGGGATATTGAGTGTAGGGGATCAGAATATGTTACCTTAAAGTATGCCACTTTGGCATGAAGATTATTTTGAGCTGAAGAAAACTGAGAAACAGCAGATGCCAAAAATAAGTGAATGAATGACTGAATGAATAAAGCTCTCTGCCTTCCTCCCATTTGCCTATCAGCAGGCTTAGATTCTTCGTTGGCACTGGAGATAACTCTAGACTTATGAGCCCTGGGACAGCACTTAGAAGAATTTACATAACAAAACTTACTGAAATAACCCTTATTTTCCCCATATATTTACCTTCCCACAGCTTGCTGCCCCTAAAAGTCTAAACCCTTTATCCTTCTCTACAAATTTATTGTTCTTTGTGAAGATGCTATACAAGCCCCCAAATTCTATCCCTCCATTTGAATTACTCATCTCTGAGTTTCTCCCACATGTATATGCATTGCACATGTTAACACTCTCTATTTGTTTTCCTCTTGTTTATCTCTCTTTTGTCCATTAAATTTTCAGGTCGCTAATCAGAGAACCTAGGAGTGTAGAGGAAGAGTTTTGTTTTCCTCCCCTATAGGAGCAAGAGAAGTATGAGTACCCGATAGATACAGTGTGAGGTGGACCATTGAGATTATTTAATCCAATAACCCAGGTAGGCATTAGTTCTCCCATTTAGCTGATGTGACTCAGAGAGATGGAGCAACTTATTAAAGTCAACAGCTTAAAGTAGCTAGGCTAAATTTTCAATCTAAGTCTGATTCTTGGTCAAACTCATCTTACTGTACCAAGTTATTTTAGTTTGATTCAGAGATGGCAAAGAAGTTTCTACTCATGTTTCAATTCTAGAGAGGCTGCCTGGGTTCCCAGGAAAGAGTACTGTGAATCAATCACAGATATTTGTAGGTAGCAAAGGATGAGGAAGTGGGTCACATAAGCCATGTGTATGCCTTCACTCATTTAGAAGATCTCTACCAACCTTTCAAATTTTACTGTGCTATGGTGCTTTTGAGTGAGTAAGGGGGTCTCTGGAAGAAGGAAGGAAGGGAACAAAACAGCATTTATGGAGCACACAGGGGACTTCCTACAAGCCGGAGCATCCAAGACAAGAAAGGGGTGGGCAAATGACCCAGAGAATTTCCATAACATTTTATAAATTCTCTCATTACCAATTTTTTTTAGACTAATGATTCCTTTCTATGTAATAGAAATATTGCTTCTATTTCTATGTTTTGGGCAGAACATTCTAGGACTAAGTAGAGTCCCCTTGTTAAAGGACAATAGCCTGTCCCTGGGATTGAAGGCATTATGTTCTCTGGCTTTTGGGAATTAATGTCTCTGTCAAGACAGCCTCTAGTCCTATCCATGCCAAGAATAGCATGGAGTAGAGTGTGGCCAAATGAGTGGGCAGGGCCTGCCACCATAGCATCATCATGACACAAGGAGACAATTGACCAGGCTTGGGTGAGCCGTATCAGTGAGGACTGGCAGTGGGGGTGTTTGGAAACTATGTTTACAGTGTCATTGTCTGTTTTTCTTATTACTTGGGGACAACTTCAGCAATTTCTTTCAGGAAAGAAACTACTTACTGTAAATTTGACTTACTTCGCTCTGCCAATTTTAGTCACTATTTACTTTTACAACATTTTACAGCTGCCAGCATGGGAACTCCATTGTCAGCTGATATCCTCTTGAGGTATTTAGGTTCAAAGAATCCCATTCCCCTGGCTCCCTGCTCTAGATCAGTGGTTCTCAATCCTGACTGTACATTAGCATCCTCTGAGGGGCCATTAAAAATACTGATGGCTGGGCCCCATCCCAAGAGAGTGTGATTTAATTGGTCTAGGAGGGACCCTCACATTGGTATTTTTCAGCAGCTCCCCAGGTGATCCTAATGAGCAGCCAAAATTGGGAATCACCGCTCTGGATGGTTGACTCATCCTACATAACCCATCAACTGGAGTCTCTGTGGCTTCTGGGGCTGTGCAAGTACATTGGTGCCTTTGTGTGAATTAGAAAGCGGTGCCCCTCTTCCTGAGCACATTAGAAAAATGTGCCATTTCTTCTAGATTAACACAGCTACATGGGCACATGGCTTGGCAAGCAGAGTGCACAGTCTTCACCGCCCTGCAGGCCAGTCTTTGTGGATTCCAACCTTAGGTTCCTCTTTGAGTCTTCTGGTTTCCTGGCTCCTAGCCTTAGGCAAATTTTATCTTTTAAAGAAATATAGAAGGGAAACTTCTAGAATGGTGGTAGGACGAGCTTCACTGATCCTCTCCTCAGCTAACCAATATTTTTTTTTTTGAGATGGAGTTTTGCTCTTGTTGCCCAGGCTGGAGTGTGATGGCGTGATCTCGGCTCACCACAACCTCTGCCTCCAGGGTTCAAGTGATTCTCCTGCCTCAGCCTCCAGAGCAGCTGGAATTACAGGCATGCGCCACCATGCCTGGCTAATTTTGTATTTTTAGTAGAGACGGGGTTTCTCCATGTTGGTGAGGCTGGCCTCGAACTCCTGACCTCAGGTGATCTGCCCGCCTCGGCCTCCCAAAGTGCTGGGATTACAGGTGTGAGCTGCCATGCCTGGCCTCAGCTAACCAATTCTAACTGGTAAACATTTTGAAAACACCATTTAAGGCTTCTGGAAATTGTCCTAAGGGCATACACAAATGCGAAAACATATTTAAGAAAATTTACTAAGTCGCTTTGGGAGGCTGAGGTGGGTGGATCACCTGAGGCCAGGAGTTCGAGACCAGCCTGGCCAACAGGGTGCCTGTAAGTCACACCTACAAGGGAGGCTGAGGCAGGAGAATTGCTTGAACCCAGGAGGCAGAGGTTGCAATGAGCCGAGACTGCACCACTGCATTCCAGCATGGAGGACAGAGCGAGACTCCATCTCAAAATAATAATAATAATAATAAAGAAAGAAAATTTACTAAGTCTCTATAAGAATAGTAAGAGTCTGTGACATTTATGCAGAATTCCACCACCTACTTACAACAAACTCCATCTCAGTGTGATGGAAGCTCTGCTGTAGGTGGGAGTGGGCAAGAACAAAGAGCTTCTACTCTCCCAAGCTCCAGTCTAGGGCTACAGTTTCTTCCTGGAGAAGCAAGCTGCTAGAATTTCTTATTCCTCACTCCCCAGCTCCATGTTGCAGAAGCTCTATTATGGGCAGACCAAGAATATTGGGCCCAGTGGTTTTCACTTTAACTCACTTTTATAGTCTTGTTTCCATGCCAGAAGAGAAGACAAAAAAAGATCAGGGCTACCACCTCCTCCCAATGCCCCACACATAAAACAGGGATATCACTCCAACAGAAGCAGGCCTTTCTTCCTTCCCTCAGCTCTAGAGCAGTGAAACAGAGGTTTTTCCCAGGGGGACAGGCAGGCTGTGAGAATAGAGAACTCCATAGGTCTCCCTAAGGGCACTGATTTTATTTGGAACAAAGTGTGGTAAAGTTGAAGTCCAAGGCTGCTATCAAAATCAATGGAGATTTTGGTAGTAAGCAATTATGAGGAGGCTGGTAGCTTCATGATAGCAATAAGCTAAACCACAGAACAGAAAGAATTAGGGAAAGAGATAGCTAACAAAAGCCTTTCCTGGGATTGAAACAAGCCTCAAAGACTGTCTTTGCAAAGGGGTTCAAATTTAATTGGATTAGGCTGTGGAGCAATTTATGGCCCAGAGCATTGCTGAAAACAATAAGGCAATCAGC